>NC_000005.10:147578659-148203659 GCF_000001405.40 Homo sapiens
AAAATAAGGTGAAATTGAACAGGGAATGTGGTGATCTATTCGTAAGTGTTTTCTGAAGAGCTTATGGCTTATCAAAAAGACACCTTCAGAAAAGAAAAAAAAAAAAAGAACAACAGAAAGAAAGGAAAGAATAACAAAACAAACAAAAAGCTAAGAATAACAACAAAATTACTTTCCAATAAAATGGCCCAGTTAACCTATTTCCACCTTCATGGGGACTTCTCTGAGCATTCAAACAAGAAGCAATTGCTCCCTCCACAATTCAATACATAAATACTAGAATTAAAATAATACACCAAGACTCTGCTGTGTGCTAGGACCTGTGCTAGGTGCTGGGAATGAAAAGCTGACAAAGGAATATCTCTTCCCTCAAATAACTCAGATTTCATGGGGCATTAAGTGGAAAGGGACAGAACAAGTAACTTTATTTATTTATTTATTTATTTATTTTTGAGACAAAGTTTCGCTCTTGTTGCCCAGGCTGGAGTGCAATGGCACGATCTTGGCTCACTGCAACCTCCACCTCCCAGGTTCAAGCAATTCTCCTGCCTCAGCCTCCCCAGTAGCTGGTATTACAGGCATGCGCCACCATGCCCAGCTAATTTTGTATTTTTAGTAGAGATGGGTTTTCTCCATGTTGGTCAGGCTGGTCTCGAACTCCCGACCTCAGGTGATCCACCTGCCTCGGCCTCCCAAAATGTTGGGATTACAGGTGTGAGCCACGGTGCCCGGCCTGTAACTTTAATATACATGGTAAATAGCATGATAGGTACACATAGAGTGCGAGATCAAAGAATATTTTGTTCTGCTCTTAAAGAAGATGATGGCTGAGTCTTCCAGTAGCAATAAGATTTAAACAGGTAGCTGGGCACGGTGGCTCACGCCTGTAATCCTAACACTTTGGGAGACTGAGGCGGGTGGATCATGAGGTCCAGAGTTCGAGACCAGACTGACCAACATGGTGAAACCCCCATCTCTACTAAAAATACAGGAGTTAGCCGGGCATGGTGGTGGCACACTCCTGTAATCCCTGCTACTTGGGAGGCTGAGGCAGCAGAATCACTTGAACCCAGGAGGTGGAGGTTGCGGTGAGCTGAGATCGTGCCACTGTACTCCAGCCTGGGTGACAGAACGAGACTCTGTCTCAAAAAAAAAAAAAAAAAAAAAGAAAAGATAAAAAGATTTATCTAGACAAAAAAATAGGAAAAACATTTCTAGACATAAAGAGCAGCATATAGCAAAAAATCCACAGCATGAATTTGCCTCAAAGCCTGCATAAATACCAGCTCTTTTGACCTGCCAAGGTCTAAGTGTATGTGTGTGTCTGTTTGTGTTGGAGAAGATGGGACAGTGTCACCTGTGTGTTGCGGGAAGTCAGGGACCCCAAACAGAGGGATCGGCTCAAGTCGCAGCAGAAGAGCATAATTTGTGAAGATTTCATGGACATGTACCAGTTCCCAAAATTAATACATTTATAATTTCTTACACCCGTCTTTACTGCAGTCTCTGAACATAAATTGTGAAGATTTCATGGACATTTATCACTTCCCCAATCAATACTCTTATATTCCTATGCCTGTCTTTACTTTAATCTCTTAATCCTGTCATCTTCGTAAGCTGAGTATGAATGTCACCTCAGGACCCTGTGATGATTGCATTAACTGTACAAATTATTTGTAAAACGTGTGTTTGAACAATATGAAATCAGTGCACCCTGAAAAAGAACAGAATAACAGCAATTTTCAGGGAACAAGGAAAGATAACCATAAGGTCTGACTGCCTTTGGGGTTGGGCAGAATAGAGCCATATTTTTCTTCTTGCGGAAAGCCTATAGATGGATGTGCATGTAGGAGGAATATCGCTGAATTCTTTTCCCAGCAAGGAATCCTGGGGAAGGAATGCATTCCTGGGGGTAGGTCTATAGATGGCCGCTCTGGGAGTGTCTGTCTTATGCGGTTGAGATAAAGACTGAAATACGCCCTGGTCTCCTGCAGTACCCTCAGGCTTACTAGGATTGGGAAATTCCAGTCTGGTAAATTCTAGTCAGATCGGTTGTCTGCTCTCGAACCCTGTTTCCTGATAAGATGTTTATCAAGACAATGCATGCACAGCAGGACATAGAACCTCATCAGTAATTCTAATTTTGCCTTGCCTTGTGATCTTTATTGCCCTTTGAAGCATGTAATCTTTGTGACTTACTCCCTGTTCATACACCACCTCCCCTTCTAAAATCTCAAACAAAAACTTGCTGGTTTTGCGGCTCGAGGTCACCATCACGGTCCTACCAATATGTGATGACACCCCCGGAGGCCCAGCTGTAAAATTTCTCTCTTTACACTCTCTCTGTTTCTCAGACCGGCCGACACTTAGGGAAAATAGAAAGAACCTACATTGAAATATTGAAATATCCCTCCATACCTGTGTAAGGTAAGTGTCCCAGGACATAAATGGTCATGCTGAGGAGAGAGTTTGACTTTATTTTCTAGTGCTGGATTAGATAAAACAGTATGCTTGTGTTTCATTTGGCTAAAGTCTCTTACTCCACTCCTAAATCCCATATTTATATTAAATGCTTAGTTCCCATAAGTATCTGAGAGTCAACCACAGGTGCTAATGGGAATGGGAAACAAAGAAGGAATTTTAAAGAGGAGAACAACCTGGTATGATTTGCACATGAAATCAAGCTGAAAACAATGAGTAAGGTGTATTTTAAGGTGGCAAAACTTGAGTTAGCTAATTTAGGAAGTTGCTGCAAGAGTTGAGGTGAAAAACTCTTGGAAGTGATGAAGAATAGAGGATAGATTGCAGAACTAAAATAAATAGGACTTCGGAAGAATTAGTTGTAGAGGGTGAGGGAAAAAAAGGAGATGACAATTAAGTTCACGAACCCACCATATTTCCATCTAACATCTCTCAGTGAGTTGGGGAAGGTAGCAGAAGGTGCAGGTCTGGAATGAAAGATTCATTCAGGATACTTAGTAGCTTGTGGTATCCTTATGGCTTTAACCATCCTGTGCTGAGTTCTACTTTATTGTTACAGCTTTATCTGTCTGACTTTACTGTAAGGTCACTGAGAGCAAGGACTAAGTCTTCTCTATCTCAATATTCCTTAAAATACATTTTGAAAAATAACTCATTAAGTTATTAAAAATATCATTCTCAAACAAACATGTATCCAAATGTCATATACCTTGTTAATTAAAGGAACCAGTAGAATGACTGAGCTGGTTTGAGAAGAAATTGAAGGATGGGGTAAGACCTGCTGAAATGAAAGCTGTATGTTAGAAACAAAAGTAGTTAATGTGCTTATAGGACAAAAACTCAATCTTTATTTGCATGGTTTTATTTTTTCTATCAAGTTGAAAAACGCATCATACCTTATCATTTTTCTATGAATTAGCCTCTACCTTGATAGAATTGTAAAACTTCTGAGCTCTCTTGAATCATTGTATTTCCCCAATTGGAATATTATAAACTACAGAGAAACTATAGAGACATATACTTCTTATTTGCCTTATGTCTAAGTTTTGAATATTTTTTTCTACACACATTTCTGTGGTGGCTCTAAGAATATTTAATGTGCATTTTTTATATTGAATACATATCTTATGACTGTACAAAAAAGATTTGAGGTAATGTAAATTAAAGGCAAAATCAAAGCAAATGAAAGGCAAAACAAT
Organism: Homo sapiens; assembly: GCF_000001405.40. Lineage (NCBI taxonomy): Eukaryota > Metazoa > Chordata > Mammalia > Primates > Hominidae > Homo > Homo sapiens. The sequence goes on from NC_000005.10 coordinate 147,582,340, forward strand.
AAGGTCGATAAAATAAAAAAGGCTGGGTGCAGTGGCTCACACCTGTAATCCTTGCACTTCGGGAATCTGAGGTGGGAGGATTGCTTGGGCCCAGGAGCTCAAGGTTGCAGTGAGCTATGATTGCATCACTGCACTCCAGCCTGGGCGACAGCAAGTCCTCACTGTAAAAAAAATAAATAGGCCGGGTGCAGTGGCTCATGCCTGTAATCCCAGCACTTTGAGAGGCCGAGGTAGGCAGATCACATGAGGTTGGGAGTTCGAGACCAGCCTGACCAACATGGAGAAACCCCATCTCTACTAAAAATACAAAATTAGCTGGGCATGGTGGCACATGCCTGCAATGGGCTGAGGCAAGAGAATCACTTGAACCCAGGAGGTGGAGGTTGCAGTGAGCCGAGATCATGCCATTGCGCTCCAGCCTGGGCAACAAGAGCGAAACTCCATCTCAAACAAATAAATACATAAATAACAATAAAATAACAAAGAAAATAGAAAAAATTGATTAGATGTCACGATTAAATATAGATATGTTTTTGCATTTGTTGGCAGTCAGGGCAAAATGGGAACATAGTAAATTTTCTCTTATCACAAGGGAAGAAAAATCTGGCTCCTGAGGTGGTTGTTATTTTTTTTGTGTTTTTCTTCTTCTAAATTCTAAAAGAAAGTGTCATGTGGGGCTTCATATAAATGACACAGATGTCATAGCCCTTTTTTTCAATATTTTTATGGTAATTACAGGCACAAATTACCAATGACTATTTGTTATAGAACTTTTTGACCAAAAATTTACTTCATATTTATAAATATGTGTATGCACAAACATGTTTTGGGTTAAAAACAGAATTTTTTTTCTCTAGAGGATTTTCAATGAGGAAAAAAAGCCTTCACTATTTACTTTTGTATTTCATATGTAGCTACAAATTTGCTTAAATAAAATGAGCATTCTTTATCAGCCATTTGGCACAAATCTTAACCCATGGGGTAGGTAGGAATTTGACTATATCTCTGCACTTCTGCGACTGTACCTGTAGATCAGAGGCAGGGCTATGTCATGAGCTGGTGGGAGGAATTCCTTTGTGTGGGTTTTGTATGGGCCTAGTAAATGTTTCCTTGTCTCACTAGCACTGTGGAAGGAAGTGCCTGCCGCCCACTTTAGCATCTCCAAAAAACACTGGGGTAATTTTCTCTGGATCTAGAAGAGGCCAGTTGAGTTGTTGACATAACACATTTGAATTATATACCAAAACTGGAGTTAATCAAAACAGAGCTTTTCTTTTATAAAGTTATACAGGACCCCATAATAACTGCCTGTTTTATGGCATGCTGATACGTAAGGTACCTTTCTCATAGAGACTCAATTGTTGTAAACCATCATCAAATAATGTAAATTGTGATGTCTTGAGAGGTGGGCCTATGTGTTATTCTTCTCTGTGTTTAGAATTTGATATAGCTCCTGGCATATAAGTGCTTCCTATGAATGAGTGACAGAATACAAACTGATGAGTGACTTTTTTTTTTTTTTTTTGCTAATAAAGATGAAGAGGTTACAATTAAAAGAGGAAACCTTCTTGACATGGATCTTATTGAGCCCATTCCAAAATACTAATTTTTCTTTGTTTCTTTGAGACAGGGTCTTGCTCTGTTGCCCAGGCTGGAGTGGAGTGGCATGATCATAGTTCACTGTAACCTTGAACTACTGGGCTCAAGTGATCCTCACCCCTCAGCCTCTCAAGTATCTGGGACTATTGGCACTCACCACCATGCCCGGCTAATTTTTATTATTATTTTTTAGTAGAGACAAGGGTCTTGCTATGTTGCCCAGGCTGGTCTCAAACTCCTGGCCTCAAGTGATCCTCCCGCCTCAGCCTTCCAAAGCACTGTATTACAAGTGTGAGCTACAGTATCCTGCTTAATATTACTTTTGATAGTTCTTTATCTTTTTTGTTTTGAAAGTTGGGGGTCTTGCTCTGTTGTCTAGACTAAAGTGAAGTGATGGGATCACTGTAACCTTAAACTCTTGGCCTCAAGTGATCCTCCTTCCTTAGTCTCCCAGTAGCTCTGACTATAAGCATGTTCCACCATGCCAGGTAATGGCATGTAAAAAATTTTTGTAGACATGGGTTCTTGTCACGTTGCTCAGGCTGATCTTGAACTCCTGGCCTCAAGGATACTCCTGCCTTAGCCTCCCAAACTGCTGGGATTACAGGTGTAAGCCACTGCACCTGGCCTATTTTTAACAGTTCTTCATGGTGACTTACAAAGTTGTACCTCTATTGTGTCATATTGGTTTCTTATTTGGTTCATGGATACAGGGATTGTTTCCCACATGAGACTGTAAGCTCTTTGAGGGTAGATCCACATGTACATAAGACATAGGAATGTGCACATGATCAATGCTCACATAACACACACCTGTTAATTTGCTATATCTAGTGGGTCTACAAGGTAGAAAAAAAGGTAGATGGATAGAGTAGAAGAAGTAATATTCAGAATAAGGATGGAAAATAGCAGGCAAGATTCTCTCCCAAACTATGTTCAGAACAGAGATGCTAATGATGATAGTTTTTTCCTCAGGGGTGTAAATTCTGCTTTGGCCTCCTTATCATAGTGCCCATAGCACACACAGTAACAAATGCAGAATGGGAAGACAAGAATAAATCTATTTACTGTCCTGGATATAGAGTTTATTTCCCTACATTACACTGATAGCCCTGATTTGCCTCACCCTGTTTTTCAAAAGTAGATTAGAGGAAGGGCGCTGTCGCTCATGCCTGTAATTCCCAGCACTTTGGGAAGCCAAGGCTGGTGGATTGCTTGAGCCCAGGAGTTCGAGACCAGTCCGACCAACATGACGAAACCCCATCTCTACTAAAAATACAAAGAAATTACCAGGTGTGGTAGTGCACGCCTGTAGTCTCAGCTACTTGGGAGGCTGAGGCAGAAGAATCACTTCAACCTGGGAGGCGGAGGTTGCAGTGAGCCAGTGAGCCGAGATCGCACCACTGCACTCCAGCCTGTGCAACAGACCAAGACTGTCTTAGAAAAAAACAAGTGGAAGAGTTCATTAAACAAACAGCTATAAACAATGAAAGATAAAGTTTTTAAAAAATGCAGCTTGTTTTATTTTTATATAAACTAAAACACCAGAGTTCATCGATTCCTATATTAAATACATAAATTATAAAATAACCATTCATAAAACTTTACATACAGTAAGTTGATTCCAATCTCTACGGTAATACATACAGTACATGTACATATTCGGTGTACTTCAGAGGATCATTCTGGTGAAACTCAGTCAATTTTTATTTTTCTTTCATTAATAAACAAGCACTGAAGTGATATATGGAGTCATGCTAATGAGATGGAAAGAAAGAACCCCAATTGAGGCAGTTGATTGAATGAAAGCTCTGTGAAATTGGACCCTTGGCTACATTAACACAGTAAACACCTGGGGAATTATGTATTCAAACACATTAGCTCTATACTTGAGTCCCCAAAGTATTGGATCTTGAAGGCTAAAACATGCATGAACCCTGTTGAGATGGAATTTTTAGCTAATAAAGATATGGGACTTTTGGCTAATTTTAATACTGTAGATTGTGCTGAACTTTCTGTTGCTCTTTCAAAAAAAAGAAACATCAACCAACCAACCAAACAAATAAAAAAAACCTATTTGCTGGTTTATGGGCCTGGATAATTGAAAAACCGAGTGGTCTCTGCCTCAGTCAACAATTGGAAATAATAGTAGTGAACAGAAGGTGGGGTAAGGGAGAGAAGAGGTAGTCAAGGATGGGAAGAGTTCAAACACTAAATGCTCGACAAAAACATGAGTTCCCAGCAGAAGCAGCAGCAGCGCAGAAAAAACCTTTCTTGAAGTCCTGCATCCTAGAACAGAAGTACACGTTTAGTAAGCGCTCACACCATCATACTATGTACAGAATATATCTGTGCATATATTTACATCACATATTTATAAAAATGTTTGGATTTTGATCTGCCTCATTGTGGGAAGTTGCTATGGTTAATGGCTGGTATAGGCACAGTCTGTGAGATGTCAGTCAAATAGAAGTGTTGTTACTAACAGATGCTGGGGATCTGTTTTAGTTGGAAAATTGCATCATCCACTCTTTAGTAAGTTCGTGGGATCTTGATTGTGGGCAAAATTGGGCTCAAAGTTGTTTAACTTTACCATTCTCACCCTACAGAACTTTGCATATAACAAGGATGAAAATATAAGCATGGGTACAAAGACCGTAATGCAGAAAAAAACAAAAACAGGAACCCTCACCAAATCAACCACGTGTATCTCTGCCACATTAATTTGAATATAGGAAATTATAATCCTATTTTTGCTACATTGCCCCTATAAGTATATCTTTAGTAGTTTTTTTCCTCTCTCCCTCTTTTCTTTCTTTCTTTTTTTTTTTTTTTTTTGAGATGAGGTCTCACCATGTTGCCCAGGCCGTTATGAAACTCCTGGGCCCAAGCTATCCTGCCACCTTAGCCTTCTGAGTAGCTATCTTTAGGAATTTTGATTAAGCATTGGACTTGGACTCCCAGCAAGAGATTTATTTAGGAAGAACTAAACCGCCAAACTAATGACAGCAAAGGATTGTGAATCTGCCCTGCCCCATTCTGAAATGGAATAATAGAATTTGGCACTTGAAGAGGCCTTACAGGGATTAGCTCCAACTTTCCATTATGTCTGTATCTTCTTGCCAATATGCCTGAAATTAGATCTCAAGATACTACATTATATAGAAATGACAAGGCAGTAGAACACAATGACATCTTTCCTCACTTAAGACCTAGAAGTCTGCTTAAAGAGGGGCTTGGGTCCATATTGGAAGCATAAACTCATGACATAAACAGTCATCTAAGATTTGCTTTGAATGTTTATCATTCAAAAGTTATATTGAATTTTTTCAATGTAATAGATAAATCTAAATTAGTAAAATGATAGAATTAAACTGCCAAAAGCTGTCATTAATTACCAAAACACTGTTATGAAAATTTCACAAAAGGCAACAAGCAATGCAACTCCCAAATTACAGAGCAAATTTCTATTGCTCTGTGTGTGTGTGTGTGTGTGTGTGTGTTTGTGTGTGTATTCTGTGCCACTCTTTGACAGATTGAAATAATGCAATTAAATATTTTAAAAATAAAATTTCTATGCTGTCCATCTATCTTGATGTAATATAACACAGATGATCCAATTATTTAAACATCAACACAAAACCAATGAATATTCTTTTTACAGTTTCTACAAAAACCTAGGCAGGTTAAAAAGACGTGCTTCATTTTGAAACAATGAACTTGTGAATTATGTTAAAGCAAACATAAGAATTACACAATGGGTTTACAGGAAAATTTGACAGTCAATGGGCAAAAAGGAACAAGTTTGCCAGAGATTTATTTAAAATTGAAAGCAAAGTTGAAACAAAATACTGCAGCAAAATTTATTTGGCAAACTTTATTTCTCCTATTACTAGTGGAGAACACATTTGCTCTCTACCTAAGTGATAACCCAGGCCTTCTATATCAGCTCTACCTTATGGACTTGGGAAGACACATACAACCTGTATGAGCAGTTATTTGTGGGCCAAAAAAAAAAAAAAAAATTAAATCAAGATCTATTCTTCCACCCCTAAAACCTAACTGTTGGTAATAATTTAATTTATATAGCATAAGTCAGAAGGGTTGTAATTTTTTTCAGCAAATTCTATTTCCTAAAAGTAGGGTGGCATTAAAGAAAAGTTTGACATTCAATTTAGTAATAGATGCTTTTTAAGTATGATAGTCAAAGATAGTCTCTCTATGTTTTTCCCCTCTTTCATGAAATTTTTCTATCCTGAATAACTATTTAAATTGGGTCTTTTATTTATCTCAAATTATCTTTAGTAGTCAGTTATGTTTATTTTCCAGGGTATGAATATTTTATTGAGAAAAATTAAGTTAATGAACCCGGAAGAATGCTGTTCTGACTGCTACAAACTCAGTAGCCAAATGCATCTCGGTAGTACAGATGCAGAAGTGGGGCCACAGGAAATCTCAGTTATTGATAACTTTTTTTTTTTTTTTTTTGCTATTGCTGAACATCCCATCCAAGGGAAGCATTCATTTAAACACGGTCCATTTCCATGGATCCATGAGTGACTGGAACACATATCCACAATTTTGCTGATGCTTTTATAATTGTGAAAATGGATAATAGAGAGATGTATCTATTGAAATATTTATACTTTATTCAAGGATATATTCATTTTGAGGCTCATGAGCAAGAGTTGGTAAAAATTACAGTTCAGTCTATAGTCTTGAGAAATTTGCTAATCTCCCAGATCTTAAGCAAAAAGAAAAAACAAGCAAACCTTTTGCCTGGCCCTAAACACATCTAAAGCTGCTTGGACAATCATCCTAGCTGTTGTTCTCATATGACTTATAGCAGATAAGCAGATTAGGTATATAAACCATACCACTTTTTCAAAAATTTTCAATCATTTAGAAATAGTTACTCATGGAAATAAATTTTGACTTACAAATTTCTTGGTGGGTGGGAAAGCAAAATTAAGAGAAGGAAGGTGTGTGTTGGAGCAGACGGAATATAGATTTACTCATATGGGCCCTGCAACAGAAAGTGAAGAAAAATGGAAAAGTCTTAGATATGTGAGAGTAATTTATCCTCTTCCATATTTTCTGACTCAAGTTGGCTAGTGTTGGGTCACCAACACTGTAGAGGCACCCTCTTTCACATTTCTTGCCTAATGAGCATATGGCTCATATTTAATCTGGAACCTACCTAGTTGAATAAAGAATCCAGCAGGAGGCCGGGCACAGTGGCTTACACCTGTAATCCTAGCACTTTGGGAGGCTGAGGCAGGCAGATCACTTGAGGTCAGGAGTTCGAGACCAGCCTGACCAGCATAGTGAAACCCTGTCTCTACTAAAAATACAAAAATTAGCCAGGTGTGGTGGTGTGCACCTGTAATCCCAGCTACTAGGGAGGTTGAGGCAGGAGAATCACTTGAATCCAGGAGGTGGAGCTTGCCATGAGCCGAGATTGTGCCAATGCACTCCAGCATGGGCAACAGAGCAAGACTCCATCTCAAAAAAAAAAAAAAAAAAGAATACAGCAGGATAGTCTGTTTTGTATCTTCCCAGTAGGGCATACCACCTGGCTTTCCTCCAGAATAAAAGATAATCAAGCTAATTATGTGATACTGTCAGTTTGCTCCAAGCCTTTGTTTAATGACTGGCTCTCCTGTGGTAAAAGTGGGGTTCTGTATGATGGCATGCATATGCAATCAAGAGAGCTGGGAGATGCTTATCATAGAAATGACACACTCTTCTATCTTGTTCAATAGCATGAGATGATCTATTTCCTATAGATTATTAAAGATCCTGGTTTTGAATCTCTCAATTTTTATTGCTAATAATGTCCCAAGTAGCTTGATAAGCAAGCTTCAGTGCTATAGTGCTTAAATTTAACCAAACTGAAGCACTATTTTATTACATGAGGGAATCTTTTTGTCAACAACACAAGAAAGTCAAATAATACAGCACTTGTAATAATTACAAAGCACATTGTGCTACTTTAAGCACCTCTTGTTCTAAAATTGCAAATAAAACTTTATGAAAAAGCATTTTAACCCCATTTTGCAGATGAGGAAACTGAGGCACAGAGAGGTTAAGTGACTGGGCCAAAGATACCTGGGTCAGCAGTAAATGTAAGAACAAAAAGTGGGACCCCAGCATTCTAGTTTTTATTGTACATTCTTCAGTTATTGTTCTGGCTTTGCAAATGCCAGTGCTAAAACTGAAGGATGATAGTGAACCCACATATGGAAAGATTTGTATAGCATTTCATAGAAAGAGTTTCTGGCTCCCTACACATATTCTCTATGCATGGGAATTCTAGCCCCATAAATAAAACTTCAAAAATTTGAAAAATTGAGGTTGTTCTGTTATCTACAGTAAATGAGGTGTAAAATTAGCTTTTCAGGAACATACATTTGCTCTCAGAGATGACTCCAAGACTCAGTAATACACAACTTAGGAAAAGTACCAGTCCTCTAATTGTCTCTGGTAGAAAATGACCTTGTCAGTAACATAATGTTATTTCCATATAAAAAAGTAGAGCTATCTTGTTGCTGTCATCTGTCTGGGAAAAAATGTTATCACTCTAAACAAGAAGAGGTCAGAATGCTCTAGGCATGTGAGGATTCTTTAAAAAATAATAGTTTAGTTTAATATTCACATCTCTGTGGCAAACCCGACTCTTGGTAGAAATTTACTCATTGATTCTGCTGTGTTTTTGCCCAAATCATATAGCATATTCATTTGCAGGCAATTTTAAGCAGCCATTTGAAAAACAGTATTTTGGAAATGAAAGATTCAGAGATGCTCTCTGGCCCATGTTCCCTATAGATGTTGGCGTTCTAAACAGAACTAAGTCAGGGAGCATGTGATTTACAGTATCATCTTCTTAGTTTTCAATATGAATGAGATCAGTCCATTGTTGATAGAGGAATGCAGATGTGAGAGTAGGACAAGGAAGCATCGAATCTGCTTTTATTTCACATGTCACATTCGCTCGGGTCCTTTGACTTCGTTACCAGTTTTGTTGTGGTCACTGTGATCCACTTCTCATCTGTCGTCTGTGGAATGAATTCCACAAGCTCCACCTTTTGCAGAAAAACAAAACAGAGAGTGTTTTTCTTCCCATTTACGATGCGGATGTCTCTGTTCCTGAGTTTAAAACAATCATAAAGACAGAAAAGCAAATCCCTGTAGTAAGAAACCAGACTTTTCAAATGAAACATTTTATTGTAAATAGCTCTTCATAGGTATTCCTCGTGCTTCACTCCCCACCCACCCTTGTTTTTTTTGTTTGTTTGTTTTGATCTTTTAAAATGATGTTTATTATCAGGACTAGTGTTTCCATGGGGTGTGGTGTTACATTAAAATGACCCCCCTGCACAGCAGGGGTTGAATATTTCATTGTAACTTTGGTTCCATGCCCAAGACACATCTTTGCTTGATCTGCAGAAACTAGTTCCATTGCTGAACTTTTTCTTTACACAATATATGTTTATAGTTCTTCTCTTCTGATTTGACATATACATGTTTCATTAAATGCAGCATATATTGTAGATTTTCAACAGGGTTGTGTAGGAACTGTCAAGTAAGAAACCTTGAATAATGGCTTTAAAATACACAGTTGTAGTCCTGGCTACAGGGTAGTTCTTAGCTTTTGATCTCCCTCTCACTGGTGTAAACAATTTTGCCATCTTTGAAGGTTTAGAAGCACTTGTCTTCCTGGGATCTTATCCATGTTTTCGGTTACTCTGCAAAACAGAGGAAAAAAATTATTTATATATCAATTTTGTTAATAGCTGAATCATAAAAAACAAACTTTAAAAAAAGACACAAATTTTTTATTCTTTACCACTGCTTTGATGTGTATGATCTTATGCAAGTTACATCTCTAAGCTTAGTTACTTTAATTTTAAGGGAGAAAATAGAAGTCTCTATGTCAAAGGTTGTTGCAACACAATGCATATAAAACAATTAATGGTTCTTGTCTCAAAGTAAGTTGCCTGAAATATTATTATCATTACTGCTTTTTCCTCTGAGGCCTTCCAAGGTGATAGCTAAGAAGTTAAATTGAATAATCATGCCCCAACATATCCATTTAAGATGTTATTTTATTTTTGAAACTTATTTTAGATTCAGAAGGTAAATGTGCAGGTTGGTTACATGGATATATTTCATGATGCAGAAGTCTGGGCTTCTATTGAACCCATCACACAAAAGTGAAAATAGTACCCAATAGGTAGTTTTTCAAACACTGCCACTTCTCTACCTCCCCACTTTTGAAGTCTCCAGTATCTACTGTTTCTGCAAGATGTTATTTTAATAGCAGACCTGTCTATTCCCTTCAGTGACTTAATTCTATGTCACATTTCCTCCCCAACAAAATTGTAACCATTGGCAAATTGTCTCCACCTAAAGTCCTGATTGAAGAACTCCCTGGGAATTCTGCCACACAGGTTTCTTGGTTGGCCCAGAGATGTCCCTGAAAAGGTGCTACCCTGGGGATGTGCCAGTCAGGACTCCTAGCCCTGTTCCTCTGTAAGTCCATATGTCTGAGTTTTCACTTGTGTAGAAGTCTAGGTCGTAATGCTGTCTTCCAATGAAAGCCAGAAATAGCACAGAAGATGTGCTATGAGGTTGTGCTATCATGTCCTACTTAAGGGAATGGCCTTTAGGGTCTGAACAACATGGATAGAGAAAATGGGATTTCTATTTTCTTGCTGTATGCCCAAAGCTAATTTATTTAACTTCTCTAAGCCTCAATCTCCTCATCTATAAAATAAGGATACTGATTCTGTAGAAAGACTTTACTATTATTCCAGAAATGTTAAATCCAAAGTTAAATGTTAAAACCACAATCTAAAGTGGAGGAAAAGGAGGCACTTAGTACCCCAAGGATACTTCTAGTCTACCAACCAGGGGCAACTTAAAGATCCAAAGGCATATTTGCAGAGCCATTTTGCTCCCAAGACAAGGTTAGACTGGGATGGAAGAGTGACAGAGTCACAGAGGAGAACCTGTGGGAAGGAAGTACAGTGGTCGGGGAGAGATCACACTGAGGGAATGAGGAGGAGGTACGAAGAGGCGTAAAGATATTGATGGTGGATTCACAGAGGCATACTTGCCTCCTATTGCTCAGACATAGACTTTCTCATCTTCCCTTGCTTATATGTGAGCAGAGAACTGAAGAGTGATGACAGGGCAGAGACAGGCGCTACAGCGTAGTTGTCTCCTTGCTCCACACTCCATCAAAAAGCTACCTCCTTAGCAAAAAGCTGTGGGTTGCACCACCAACGAAGGGAGCCAGTGAGGCAGTGGAAGAGTCTGGGCCTTGGCCAGACTGGGAATAGGGCAGTGGGCATCCCCTGCACACCCTTCTGAAGAATTCACACATATGTTGCCCAGAATGGCCAGCCTTTGGTCACCTCTCATAGAAAAGATATCAAGTGTTGGTCAACAGTAGCCAAAGAAACATCTGCAATCACTGTCAAAGGAGCTGAGAGGGAGAATCCTTTTCCCTCTTCTTCCTCCCTGCTCTCCAGAACGGCTGAGCCTTGAAGAGGAAGAGAAGAGGAAGAGTTCTCGTAGAGTCAGACCCTGAACTACAGCTCCATGGGGGTACTTGGCTCATGCCTAAGGGAGGATAAGGGAAGAAATGAGAATAAAACAGAGTCTGAAATTGAACTTTTAAACTGGCTTAAGACTTTTGAGGATTGAAAGTGACTGAGAAGTTGGGGGACCAACCTAATATTTAATTAAAAGATGAGAGAGGGAAATAAGACAGAGCCTGAGTGAAGAAAGCTATGATTTGAGAAAATAGATTGAGTACATATTTACATTCCACTGGGATGAGAGCCCCAAATAACTAGTTACAAACACAACATTCTCCTATTCCATGGTAAATAAGAGAGTTGATCTGAATGTATATAAAAAATTCTTCAGGGATGTATTTTTGTTTGTGTGTTTTTAAATATAGAATAAATATACAAACACAAAAAGTCTTTTACTTGCAAACTTTCAATGTATAGCATATCAAAGATTAAATCCTATATATTGTGTCAAAGCATGTATGCATCATTTCCACCTATCACAACCGAGGTAAAACCCCTCATTTGAGTAAACACATGTTGGTTTTAAAAACCAATGGACTTACAGGCAGTCCAGGCAGTCTCCTGGAATGTTAAGTTTCTATGAATTGAGAAGTACTTGTAAAAGGAACTATTATTTCTATAGTGAAGCCAGATTTATTCAAATTAGCATTCTGAGTTATTGCAGTTACCCAGTGGGTAACAGGAGTTCTTTTTAACAGGTTGCATAACAGTGCTACAATTTAGTTTCCTCATCTGTGGAAAACAGCAATTGCCACTATCATTTTTGAGACTTTACTGCATGCTACAAATTCTTTTTTTTTCTTTTTGATACAGGGTCTTGCTTTGTTGCTCAGGATGGAGTACAGTGGTGCAATCTTGTCTCACTGCAGCATCGACCTCTGGGGCTTAAGCCATCCTTGCACTTCAGCCTCCCAAGTAGCTGGTACTACAGGTATGTGCCCCCATACCCAGCTAGTTTTTGTACTTTTGTAGAGATGGGATTTCACCATGTTTCCCAGGCTGGTCTTAAACTCCTGGGCTCAAGTGATCCACCTGCCTCAGCCTCTCAAAATGCTGTGATTACAGAGCCACTGTGCCCAGCTAATGCCACAAACTCCAAGTCTTGAGTACGGTGATGTGGCTTCTGACTTGTGGTTGTAGCATCTGTAAGGGCACCACCGTTTAACCAGTTACACCATCTAGGAACACAAGGGCCATCTCTGACACCTTCCACTCCTCACCCTTTATATGCAATTTGTCATAAAGTATTCAATAAATGGTAGCTATTAATATTACCTCCACAATACAGATGAGTACACTGAGACTGAAGATTATTAAATAATTGGTCCATAAAAATCCTGGTAGGGAAGACATAATAATATTGTATGAAATGTAACTGAAGCTGGAGGATCAGGGAAAGCTTCCCTGATTTTCCACTGAGACGGGAAGGATGAATGGGTATCAACCATTTAATGGTGATGTGGGAAATGTGGTCCCAGAAGATGGAAGCACATCTTGAAAGGCATGATTCAAGACAGAATGCTTGGTATGTCTACAGACTTGACCTTTAATGAGCCTTTCTATGTGCCAACTACTAAACTAGTTGCTTTACCTGTATAATATTACTCAATCCTCAGAAAAATAATGGGTGCTATTACTTGCTAATTTTTTATATTAGAAAATTAACGTTTGGAGAGTGCTATATTTTGAATGTTTTTGTCCCCTCCAAAATTCATGCTGAAAGTTAATCCCCAGTGCAAGAGTATTAACAGGTGAGGCTTTTAGGAGGTTATTAGGCCATGAGTGCAGAATGGATGAGGGATTAGTGCCTTATGAAAGAGCTGGAGAGAACTAACTTAGGCTCTTTTGCCCCTCTGTTCCTTCTGTCCTGTGACACAGCTTTGCCCCCTCCAGGGGATGCAACAACAAGGCGCCATCTTGGAAGTAGACACCAGGCCCTCACCAGACACCAAACCTGCTGGTGCCTCGATCTTCAATTTCCAGCCTCCAGAGTGGTGAGCAATACATTACTATTACTCATAAATTACCTAGTCTCAGGTATTTTGTTATAATAGCACAAATGGACTAAGACAGAGAGTTATAATGGTCTCCATTATGCAGAATTGTTGTAAGTATTACATAAAATAATAAATATAAATGTACCTTTTGAACTGTAAAGCAAGTTGTACTCTCCTTCCTTATTGAAATATCATTAATATTATTTTAAAAGTATTTATTGATTGTTGACTATGTGCTAGACACTGTTGGTTATGTGCTAGGTATTTGGTATACAAGGTTGAACAAAATTATATGGTCATTATCTGCATCAAGCTTATTTACAATGAGAAAGAGTGACATTAATTAAAAAAATGTGTATTTATATATATATTTCCCCAATGTATGTAAAATTTGTTCAGAAAGGAAGTCAAGAAAGATGCCCTTGTGGGAATCACAACTGAACTGAGATCCGAAGGATAGGTGAGTAGTAGGTGTTTACTAGTTAAAGCAGAAGGGAAGCATTCTGTGCACCAAGTCAGCTTGGGCAAACCCTGTGGAAGGCAGGAAGGCACATGGTTCATTAAGGGAAACTGGAGCAACAGGAAGCCTGAGAGATTGCCCGTGTGGTTAGACCATGCAGGGCTTTGTTGGCCAAGTTAAAAAATTCAAATTTGATCTTTTTTTTTTTTTAACTTGTTATCAATAGATTGGTTGAAGGAACTTGATCCTAACACAGTGATATTTTCCTAGGATGGGGGTCAAGGTAAGGTTTGCCTTTCTAAAACTCACTCTAACTGCTGTGTGGAGAATGAGTTATAAGAATGTCTATAGTGGAAGCACTGAGCCCAGTTAGTGGGCTACTTCAGCTGTGGAGGAGGGGATAATATATTTGTTTATGTCCTCTTTCCTTTGTCAATGCATTCTTTAAGGTAGTCTTCAAATGGTATATAAAAAAACAAATTGAATATGAGTTATCTTTGAAAGATACGACAACTCTATTCATGGTTCTGATCTAACATATCCCAAATCTGCTTTCATATTCATTTTCCCAGCTATTCATTCATCCATCTGCCTCTCAGTTCATCTGTCAATCTGAAATTTATTCTGCACCTAGGATAGATAAGGCACTGTTATAGACACTAAAGATACAAAGATGAATAAAACATAACTCCTACCCTATGCTTTATTAGTACAATTTGTGAGACAAATAGGGAAACAATTTATATATGACTGGATAAAGCTAATGGATATATTTACACAAAAAGGAATTACTAACTGGCATAAACTGATTCATCTTAGACTTTCCTTATCCATGTAAAAACTAAGGAGTAAAATTTTCCTACTAATACTTTATTTTTTTGGTGGGGGGATGGAGTCTTACTCTGTCACCCAGGCTGGAGTGTAGTGGTACAATCTTGGCTCACTGCAGCCTCTGCCTCCTGGGTTCTAAGTGATTCTCCTGCCTTAGCCTCCCAAGTAGCTGGGATTATAGGCACGGACCACCATGCCTGGCTAATTTTTGTATTTTTTTTTTTTTTTTAGTAGAATGGGGTTTCATCATGTTGGCCAGGCTGGTCTCGAACTCCTGACCTCAGGTGATCCGCCTGCCTCAGCCTCCCAAAGTGCTGGGATTACAGGAGTGAGCCACCGCGCCTGGCCGATCGTACTAATACTCTAAATGACGAATATAATAGAGACTGGTCATGTGGCCATTTGTTTTCCCCAGGCTACCTGAGTAAATATTTGCACGTTTTAACAAATAATACAGTACTTAATTTTTCTTAAGTTTTTTTCCATTAGAACAATAACATAGTATTATGTGCCTTTTAAAATTTTTCATGTTATTAGACAGGAAGTAAAAATATTGGGCTGTCAAGTTCAAAAATTTATGGTTAACACTGGAGAAATATCATTAAAATTTATATACATATATCTCCAAATGCATGTAAAATTTGTCCAGTGGGGGACAGTAAAAATGAGCTAGGCCAGTGTATGTGGATAAATAATCATGATCACCTGTTCTGTGGTCCTCCCAACTTCATAATGAGCAAAACTGGTGCTGTCATGTTCTTCATTATTTCATCCTTGCTCAGAAAAGGAGGATTTTCAATGGGTCATTGCAACCTGGGTATAGCAGCTAATCTGGTGATAGCTATTTTTGTATTCCTCTAATTTTTTTCTTTCCTTTGTCTCCCTGTGTAACCATGTAATGTGACACAATGAGTCGTTGCTATGGCTTAAATGTGTCTCCCACAAAGCGTGTGTTAGAAACTTAATCCCTAGTGCAACAGTGTTGGGAGTTGGAACCTGATGAGAGGCCATGAAGGTGGAGTGAATGCCTAGTAACTCCAGGTCCTTCAGCCTTTGGACTCTGGGACTTGCACCAGCAGCCTCCTGGGGCTCTCAAGCCTTTGGCCTTTGACTGAGAGTTACACCTCTGGCTTCCTTGGTTCTTGGGTCTTCTTATTCCTTTTTTTTTTTTCTTTATTTTTTGAGATGGGGTCTCATTTTGTCGCCCAGGCTGGAATGCAATGGTGCGATCTCAGCTCACTGCAACCTCCACCTCCCAGGTTCAAGCAATTCTCCTCCCTCAGCCTCCCAAAAGTAGCTGGGACTACAGGCGCCCGCCACCACGCCTGGCTAATTTTTGTATTTTTATTAGAGACGCGGTTTCACCATATTGGCCAGGCTGGTTTTGAACTCCTGACCTTGTGATCTGCCAGCCTCAGCCTCCCAAAGTGCTGGGATTACAGGCGTGAGCCATCAGCGGTTCTTGGGTTTCTGATTTGAACAGAGCCATGTTGCTTCTCTGGTTCTCCAGCGTGCAGATGGCTTACCATGGGACTTCTCCACCCCCATAACCAGGTGAGCGAATTCTCTTAATAAAGCCGCTCTCATTTTCATCTATCTATCTATCTATCTATCTATCTATCTATCATCTATCTATGTATCATCTATCTATCTATCTATGCTATTGGTTACCTCTCTGGAGAACCTGACTAATACATTGATATGCCATTCGTTTGGAAAACCAGAATGCATAGCCAGATAATATCTTCTGGAACTACTTGGAGTCCCCTTGTTTAAAGTAAAAGTCCTGATATAATCCATGCAGTTATTTAGTCAATGCCAGCACTGAGTCCAGTAAGGGTGCCTTCTAGGGAGCGTTCGATGGCTTCTATATCATTACTGACAATAATGACTTAGGCAATTACTAAAAGAAAAAAAGTAGGAGTCTCTCCATTTTAAGGAGGACTTTGTCATTTAAGCTAGTCTTGGGTTTATGAACACAATACAAATCATTAATTTAGTATGGAAAAAAATTTATCGTAATTTGCAGTAAGCTTTCACTACCTACCAATAAAGAAGCACTTTTTCCCTTACTTCTTCCTATTTCTATCTTGCCAACTTTGGAGACATAAGTAGCATTGATCAGTTTTCAGTGATGTTTTATTCCCTAATATTATTTAAAGCCAGATTATTCCCTGAGAAGAGGAGATGAAAAAGCAACTATTTGTTTGGGTTTAGGCTGAAAACTACTTGGCAGTACTAGAGGTTATAATTTTGAATTTAGTATAATTTTGTATACTAGAATACTAGTATAATTTAGTGTAATTTTGAATTCAGTAAATGTGGTAGCTAATTTTTAAATCTAATAATAGCTAAGAGTTACTGATTAATGATTTTCCAGGCACTGTTATGCCTTTGACATGCATAACCTCGTCTCATTCTCTCAACACAACACCCTGCTGTAGGTAACATGATTATAACCATTTTGTGGAATAGGAAACCTAATCTTGGGTGGATTAAATAAACTGCCTATCATCACACAACTAGTAAATGGCAGGACTCAAGCTTTAAATTATATCTGACTTGTAAGCTGTGCACTCTAACCTCTCAGCCATTTTACTGCATATGCAATATATTTATTGCCCAGATTCACTGTCACATTCATCGGCTATATTATTAATTATCATTATAGTCATTCACTTAACAGACAATTACTAAGTGTCATTTATGTGCTACTTTGGAGGAAAAACATCAAATCTTGTACATCCCTCAAGGAGTTACACAAAATGGGAAAAGGTACAGAGACGAGCACACTGTAATTTCAAAAGCCAGTAGCTAAGTAGTACTATACAAATAGATGACGCTTCTGATGAGGATACATATGAACGCCAATGTTGCTTGAAACATGGGAGAAAGGCCCTTTTTTACTTGTGAGGCAGTTTGGTGGTTAGAAGTGGATTCTGGGCTGAGGCTGCCTGGGTACAAATTGGTAGCTGGATGGTCTTGGGAAAGTCACATGCTGTAGTTTCTCCAACTACAAATTAGGGATAAAAGCAATACCTATCCCACAGGGGATTTCATGAGGATTAAATGTATCTATTACTTAGAACAGCTCCCAGGACATAATCAGCTTTGGCCAGCATTGATGTTAATGCTGAAGCCTATCCATTTTCTACCTAGTACTTACAAGGTTTGATATTTCTTCTGTAAACCACCATGTATTACTTGTCTCTTACTGAAATTTATTTTCCCTACTTTTAAAATTTATTTACTGTTTTTTTTTTTTTTTTTTTTTTTTGGTGGGGGGAGGCTGTTTGTTTCCTGATACTCTGGTCATTTTGATCCTTTACTAGTGAATCTCCCTCCACTTCAATTTGGATATTCCCATTCAATTTAAGAGACTTAGTCCTCTTCTTTCCATCCTACAAGGCTGTCATCTTTCTTGACAGACAAAGGATAGTGGTCAATCTGAAAAGAAAATATTTTGGAAGAAAGAATATAGCCAGAGAGTGAGTTATGAGTTCATATATTTTCTGAGCATATCTACTTAACTCTTTGCTTGTATCAGGTTATTCTAAAGCACTTTTACTTGTCTGTTCCATATCCAGGTAACAGATCTCATACCTATGGAGGGAGAAAGTGCCTCTCTTCTGTTTTCCAACTTGCTGTAGAAAATGTTAAATCACCTGAGGTCCAGGAAAGATCTCAGGCTAATATAATTTAATAGGATAATCAGAGTTGACATGAACCATGATAAATGGATTTAGAATAGCCGCTGGCCCTTCTTCTTTTTGAACAGTGGTATTGAGATTTGTGGTTTCCCTATTTGGCCGGCCATCAGAATCACATAGCGTGCTTGTTAAATACAGACCAGTCCTTGCTCTCATCTCTCCCACCCTCTCTCTATCTCCCTCTATCTCCAGTGATCTGACTCAGCAAGTCTGAGGTGGGGCTTAAAAATCTATATTTTTAAGCACTGGGAATCACTAAGATTATTTATGCATGTATTCATGAGACATGGACTTAATAATAGTAATTATAAGACTCTCCTTTTTGTTTTCTATATTGACATTGAAAAGTAACTTATTTGAAAACAAGATCCACTTAGCCTGCTTTCTTGAGTTTTAATGAACTCCCTAGTCTCTACTGGGGAAAAGGGGTGAAAAAAACAGCAGTCATTACTAGCTTGTTAGATTAGCAGAATCAGAATTTTCAAGCTGAACGCAACACTAAAGATAACGTCATTATTTATTCACTTTGCAGATACAGATGCAACTTTCTGCATAATGGGAGACTATGATGAGAATGCTAACAACCACAGACATTGTGACTTCCCAAAGTAATACAGTTAACTGGAACAGATTCTTGATTCCCAGAATATTTGGTTTCTTCACTTTTCTAATAATCACCCAAATAGACTGGATCTATTTCTCAATTTATGGCATTTATGCTAACCAAAGCAAGTGTGTTTGTATTTTAAAAATATAGCATAGTTAAAATATATAGACCAGGCCTGATGGCTTGGTCAACACTTTGGGAGGCTAAGGCAGGAGGATTGCTTGAGCTCTGAAGTTCAAGACTACCCTGGGCAACAAAGTGAGACCTTGTCTCTACTAAAAATAATAATAAAAAAAAATTAGCTGAGCATGGTGACACATGCCTGTAGTCCCAGCTACTCAGGAGGCTGAGGTTGGAGGATCGCTTTGAGCCTGGGAGATTGAGGCTGCCAGTGAATGATCTGATTGTGCCACTGTATTCCAGCCTGGGTGACAGAACAAGACTCTGTCTCAAAACAAAACAAAACAAAACAAAACAAAACAAAACAAAACAAAACAAAAAACTAAAGAAAGGCATAGTAACTATAGGTAACATCCTTTTTATCAAATACCTCTTAGAACCACATTTTGAGAATTAAATGGAATCTTACCTTTAAGAGGCACCTTGACATCAAGGCCATAGAATAAAGGCAAGAGAGAAGAACAAGAATAGAAACAGAAACTGCAGAAGAAAAAGAAGAAGATTATGTAAATCTGAATTTCTGTAGTGCCATTCAGGTAGTACAAAACCTCAGCTTTTCCATATTGCTCAAGTCTAATCACTTCACACATGAACATCAAGCACCTTTTTGTTTAAAAAAATCCACACCTTTTATGTAGCTACTGACAGAGTATCAGTGTTCAACTAACATTGATTCATACATTTTAGAATCATGAGGTGGTCTTACGAACAATTGGTCTAAGCTCCTAATTTTACAGATAAGAAAAATAAGCACAGAGCAGTAAATCAATAGTTTAATTTCATACAATTTTATGGCACAGTGAGGGCTAAAGCTTAGCTAGCCTGAATCCTACTTTATTATATATCACTGTCTCTTTCATGCACAAGAGGGTATTTCAAAAACACAAAATACGATCAGAACATACACTTAATCATGCAGTACTATCTTTTTTGGTTACTATGATAGGTTTTAGGATTAAGGCACAGCTGGGAGAATATTAATCTGTAGGCTAAATATATACTTAATTACTCACAGTGGAACATTTCAGAGAGAGAAATGGACACTGTTAATAATTACATTGGGTTGATGGGTAAAAACTGGGTCTGTCCTAGGCAAGTGGGGACATCTGGTCATGCTATTGGTATAAAACCTGCTTCTGCATCAATGGGCATTTCACATAATAAATGCGTGATGTTGTTCCACCTCCAAGATAGACTTCTTCTTATTTGAGTCATGGAAGTTAAATGGAGTCTGATTTGTTTCTCTTCACCAAATTTTTCACTTGAGAAACAGATAATTGGATGGACAAACAGTGCTTGAGTAGCACAGGTATATAACTAACCGTATACTAACTATAAAAAGTCATGGGTCAGGTCAGTTTTAAAAAAAATAATTGATTTCCTTGGTGGTTTTATTTTACAGAGTAAGTCTTTTACTTGATTATCACACTCCAGGAACATACCGTTGGACACATCTGTGAATAAGGGTTATGTCTGGCATTCTCATATTGTGAATGTTATTAGCATATTTCCTTTAATGCTACTGCTTATAAGGTTCTTGCTTCACTATGGCTAAATTCTATAAACAAGTTATGAGTATGGCTCTAAGAGGCATGTATTGGTGGCTAGTCTATTATTCTGAAAAGCAAAAACTGTTGCTTTTCTTCATTCCTTGAAGGTAGACTTATAGCAGGAGAAGTTCGAGAATGAGAGTAATGGACGAATTCCCATTCCTGCTATTTCTATGAGAAGATCAGATATCAGAGCTACCTCTTTGGGCATGAGGAGATGCCCATCACTTAATCTGTAATGAGAGTCTTAATCCCTGCCGTGTGGTGGGCAGATCATGCCATTTGGAGTCAGACACCCTGACCTCTGGTTTTGACTTGCCATAAATTGGTTATATAATTTTGGGCAAGTTGTTTAATTTCTTTGAGCCATTGTTTTATTATTTGTATAAAAGGGGATCATAACATCTGTAGTGTCTGTCTCATAGAGTAATTATGAGAATCAGATGAAATGATGGCAGTGGAAGTGCTCTAGATATGGTGCATACAGATATTATGCTCTAGATAAGTGCTGCACACAGCTGAAGCAATTTTGCTAGGTTTGTTGTTACCAACTGATTCACTGAAATAAACAATAAAGAGGGGATATTACATGTACCCTGAGTGGGTGTTCACGTACCACAAGGGAAGAATGAAGAGTATCTCTGGCATACAGGATCTTTAGCCTTTTTACTAGACTTAAGGGTGAGGAGAACTGAAGTCCAATGAGTAGAAGGTGAATCATAAACCTCATCTCTAGTCAAATATCTAATCAGAAGTCAACTGGATTGTTTTTGAAGTGGTTGAATTTGCTACCATATGTGAAATATGCAAGGTTGATAATTAGATCCTTATTTTCTTTGAAGTAAGATTATTACCCCATTATCATAAAAGTTCAGGAAGTTCAGACCCGTAAAGTGTACTGAGCAAAAGAATTGTGAAAAAGTTTACATTGAATTCCAACAATGAACATGATCTTAATCTCCCTTCTTCCAAAATTTTTGAGGGTTTTATTTAGAGAATGGCTAGGGTGATGACGTTGATAGATTTTGTTTTCTCCCCTTTTTGTTTTTTTTAAACCTCAGCTGGATGGGGACTGAATGGGTATCATCGAGTTTTGGGGGAAGAATAGCCTTAACTTTGACTTCTTCCTTGAGCCAGCCCTAGGGTAGCTTATGAATTAGCAGAGAGAGAGAGCTAAGAGCTGGCCATTCACAAGTGTGGAAAATGGAAGATATTAAGTGTGGTCTTTGACAAACAGGGAAGCTGAAAGCAATCCCTGCCTTCTGTGGGGCTTCCTGCCAATCACTGGGAAATTTATTGTATGTTATTGTTGCCTCACTCAATCCTGCAAAACTAAATAGCCCCTTCTGAAATGTGAGAAATTCAAATTTAAAATTTTGCAGAGAATGTATACTTTGGGTCAGAAATTTTAAAAATTACACTTTTAGAATTTGACTTACACATTTTTAGTGTTTCCTTTTTCACATAAGTGACCTCATTTGTTCCTCATGGAACCCATGGGAAGAAGAAGGGACAAGTGTTATCATCCCTGTTTTAGAGATATGGCTTAGACAGAGGAGGTGAAGTTATTTACTTAAGGTCAAATGAGTACCTGAAGACCCACCCTATATAAAAATCTGGATGCCTGGTGGTCTAGCTACTTGAGCCCACCAACTCCCTTTAACCTCACATATATGGATAATTATAGAAGCAATCTGGGATTAACCAAATTTTAACCATTATTGCAGGAAGGGCAGATAGTTTGCTACTTTCTTCTTGTGTGCCTATGGAAGCTATTATAAAACAGCCATAACATTTTACCATACAGGGATTCAGGTAGCTACTTTCAGTCAATCTGATTGGAATTCCAGAGAAAAACCTCTTTGGCATCCTTGCTATTTCCCTCAGCAGAATATTCCTGGTGTCTTGGGCCAGACATTTTATTATTATTATTATTATTATTATTATTATTATTATTATTATACTTTAAGTTCTGGGATATATGCGCAGAACGTGCAGGTTTGTTACATAAGTATACATGTGCCATGGTGGTTTGCTGCACCCATCAACCCGTCATCTACATTAGGTATTTCTCCTAATGCTATCCCTCCCCTTGCTCCCCACCCCCCGACAGGCCCTGGTGTGTGATGTTCCCCAACCTGTGCCCGTATGTTCTCATTGTTCAACTCCCACTTATGAGTGAGAACATGCAGTGTTTGGTTTTCTATTCCTCTGTTAGTTTGCTGAGAATGACTGTTTCCAACTTCATCCATGTCCCTGCAAAGGATACAAACTCATCGTTTTTTATGGTTGCATAGTATTCCATGGTGTATATGTGCCACATTTTTTTTTTTTTTTTTTTTTTTTGAGACGGAGTCTTGCTCTGTCGCCCAGGCTGGAGTGCAGTGGCATGATCTTGGCTCACTGCAAGCTCCGCCTCCCAGGTTCATGCCATTCTCCTGCCTCAGCCTCTCCAGTAGCTGGGACTACAGGCTCCCACCACCTCACCCGGCTAATTTTTTGTATTTTTAGTAGAGACAGGGTTTCACCGTGTTAACTAGGATGGTCTCGATCTCCTGACCTGGTGATCCGCCCACCTCGGCCTCCCAAAGTGCTGGGATTACAGGTGTGAGCCACCGGGCCTGGGCCTGTGCCACATTTTCTTTTTCCAATCTAACAATCATGGGCATTTGGGTTGGTTCCAAGTCTTTGTTATTGTGAATAGTGCTGCAATAAACATACGTGTGCATAGGTCTTTATAGTAGAATGATTCATAATCCTTTGGGTTATATATCCAGTAATGGGTTTATAATTTATAATCCTTTGGGTTATAAATCCAGTAATGAGATTGCTGGGTCAAATGGTATTTCTAGTTCTAGATCCTTGAGGAATCACCACACTGTCTTCCACAATGGTTGAACTAATTTACACTCCCGCCAATCATGTAAAATCATTCCTATTTCTCCACATCCTCTCCAGCATCTATTGTTTCCTGACTTTTTAATGATAGCCATTCTAACTGGTGTGAGATGGTATCTCATTGTGGTTTTAATTTGCATTTCTCTAATGACCAGTGATGATGAGCTTTTTTTCATGTTTGTTGGCTGCATTATGTCTTATTTTGAAAAGCGTCTGTTCACATCCTTTGCCCACTTTTTGATGGGGTTGTTTGCTTTTTTCCTTGTAAATTTGTTTAAGTTCCCTGTAGATTCTGGATAACAGCCCTTTTTCAGATGGATAGATTGCAAAAATTCCCTCCCATTCTGTAGGTTATCTGTTCACTCTGATGATAGTTTTTTTTGCTGTGCAGATGCTCTTTAGCTTAATTAGATCCTATTTGTCAATTTTGGATTTTGTTGCCATTGCTTTTGGTGTTTTAGTCATGAAGTCTTTGCCCATGCTTATGTCCTGAATGGTATTGCCTAGATTTTCTTCTAAGGTTTTTATGGTTTTAGGTCTTACGTTTAAATCTTTAATCCATCTTGAGTTAATTTTCGTATAAGGTGTAAGGAAGGGGTCCAGTTTGAGTTTTCTGAATGTGGCTAGCTGGTTTTCTGAACACCTTTTATTAAATAGGGAATCCTTTCCCCATTGCTTGTTTTTGGCAGGTTTGTCAAAGATCCGATGGTTGTAGATGTGTGGTGTTATTTCTGAGGCCTCTGTTCTGTTCCATTGGTCTATATATCTGTTTTGTTACCAGTACTATGCTGTTTTGTTTACTGTAGACTTGTAGTATGGTCTGAAGTCAGGTAGCATGATGCCTCCAGCTTTGTTCTTTTTGCTAGGATTGTCTTGGCTATATGGGCTCATCTTTGGTTCCATATGAAATTTAAAACAGTTTTTTCTAATTCTGTGAAGAAAGTAAATGGTAGCTTGATGGGAATAGCATTGAATCTATAAATTACTTTGGGCAGTATGGCCATTTTCATGATACTGATTCTTTCTATCCATGAGCATGGAATGTTTTTCCATTTGTTTGTGTTCTCTCTTATTGCCTTGAGTAGTGGATTTTAGTTCTTCTTGAAGTGGTCCTTCCCACGTAAGTTGTATTCCTAGGTATTTTATTCTCCTTGTAGCAATTGTGAATGGGAGTTCACTCATGATTTGGCTCTCTGTCTATTATTGGTGTATAGGAATGCTTGTGATTTTTGCACATTGATTTTGTATCTTGAGAGTTTGCTGAAGTTGCTTATCAGCTTAAGGAGTTTTTGGGCTGAGACAATGGGGTTTTCTAAATATACAATCATGTCATCTGCAAACAGAGACAATTTGACTTCCTCTCTTCCTATCTGAATACACTTTATTTCTTTCTCTTGTCTGATTATACTGGCCAAAACTTCCAATACTATGTTGAATAGGAGTGGTAAGAGACAGCATCCTTGTTTTGTGCCGGTTTTCAAAGGGAATGCTTCCAGCTTTTGCCCATTCAGTATGATATTGGCTGTGGGTCTGTCATAAACAGCTCTTATTATTTTGAGATATGTTCCATCAATACCTAGTTTATTGAGTGTTTTTAGCATGAATGGGTGTTGAATTTTATCAAAGGCCTTTTCTGCATCTATTGAGATAATCATGTGGTTTTTGTCATTGGTTCTGTTTATGTGATGGATTACGTTTATTGATTTATGTATGTTGAACCAGGCTTGCATCCCAGGGATGAAGCCAATGCGATCGTGGTGGATAAGGTTTTTAATGTGCTGCTGGATTTGGTTTGCCAGTATTTTATTGAGGATTGTCACAACGATGCTCATCAGGGATACTGGCCTGAAATTTTGTTGTTGTTGTTGTGTCTCTGCCAGGTTTTATATCAGAATGATGCTGGCCTCATAAAATGAGTTAGGGAGAAGTCCCTTTTTTTCTATTGTTTGGAATAGTTTCAGAATGAATGGTACCAACTCCTCTTTGTACCTCTGGTAGAATTCAGCTGTGAATCCGCCTGGTCCTGGGCTTTTTTTGGTTGGTAGGCAATTAATTACTGCCTCTATTTCAGAACTTCTTATTGGTCTATTCAGGGATTTGACTTCTTCTTGGTTTAGCCTTGGGAGGGTGTATGTGTCCAGGAATTTATCAATTTCTTCTAGATTTTCTATTTATTTGCATAGAGGTGTTTATAGTATTCTCTGATCGTAGTTTGTATTTCTGTGGGATCAGTGGTGATCCCCCCTTTATCATTTTTTATTGTGTCTATTTGATTCTTCTCTCTTTTCTTGTTTATTAGTCTGGCTAGCGGTCTATGTATTTTGTTGATTTTTTCAAAAAACCAGCTCCTGGATTCATTGATTTTTTGAAGGGTTTTTCGTGTCTCTATCTCCTTCAGTTTTGCTCTGATCTTAGTTATTTCTTGTATTCTGCTAACTTTTGAATTTGTTTGCTCTTGATTCTCTAGTTCTTTTCATTGTGATGTTAGGGTGGTGATTTTAGATCTTTCCCACTTTCTCCTGTGGGGATTTAGTGCTATAAATTTCCCTCTAAACACTGTTTTAGCTGTGTCCCAGAGATTCTGTTATGTTGTGTCTTTGTTCTCATTGGTTTCAAATAGCTTATTTGTTTCTGCCTTAATTTCGTTATTTACCCATTAGTCATTCAGGAACAGATTGTTCGGTTTCCATGTAGTTGTGTGGTTTTAAGTGAGTTTCTTAATCCTGAGTTCTAATTTGATTGCACTGTGGTCTGAGAGACTGTTTGTTATGATTTCTGTTCTTTTGCATTTGCTGAGGAGTGTTTTACTTTCAATTATATGGTCGATTTTAGAATAAGAGCTATGTGGTGCTGAGCAGAATGTATGTTCTGTTGATTTGGGGTGGAGAGTTCTGTAGATGTCTATTAGGTCTGCTTGGTCCAGAGCTGAGTTCAAGTCCTGAATTTCCTTGTTAGTTTTCTGCCTTGTTGATTAGTCTAATATTGACAGTGGGGTGTTAAAGTTTCCCACTATTAACGTGTGTGAGTCTAAGTCTCTTTGTAGGTCTCTAAGAACTTGCTTTATGAATCTGGGTGTTCCTATATTGGATGCATATATATTTAGGATAGTTCGCTCTTCTTGTTGCATCGATCTCTTTACCATTATGTAATGCCCTGCTTTGTCTTTTTTGATTTTTGTTGGTTTAAAGTCGGTTTTATCAGAGACTAGAATTGCAACCCCAGCTTTTTTTTTGCTTTCCATTTGCTTGGTAAATCTTTCTCCATTCCTTTATTTTGAGTCTATGTGTGTCTTTGCACATGAGATGGGTCTCCTGAATACAGTACACTAATGGGTTTTGACTTTTTATCCAATTTGCCAGTCTGTGCCTTTTAATTGGGGCATTTAGCCCATTTACATTTAAGGCTAATATTGTTATGTGTGAATTTGATCCTGTCATTGTGATGCTAGCTGGTTGTTTTGCCCATTAGTTGATGCAGTTTCTTCATAGCGTTGACGGTCTTTGCATTTTGGGTTGTTTTTGCAGTGGCTGGTACCAGATTTCCTTTCCATATTTAGTGCTTCCTTCAGGAACTCTTGTAAGGCAGGCCTGATGGTGACAAAATCCCTTAGCATTTGCTTGTCTGTAAAGGATTTTATTTCTCCTTCACTTATGAAGCTTAGTTTGGCTGGATATGAAATTCTGGGTTGAAAATTCTTTTCTTTAAGAATGTTGAATATTGGCCCCTACTCTCTTCTGGCTTGTAGGGTTTCTGCTGAGAGATCCACTGTTAGTCTGATGGGCTTCCCTTTGTGGGTAACCCGCCCTTTCTCTCTGGCTGTGCTTAACATTTTTTTCCTTCATTTCAACCTTGCTTAATCTGATGATTATGTGTCTTAGGGCTGCTCTTCTCGAGGAGTATCTTTGTGGTGTTCTCTGTATTTCCTGAATTTGAATGTTGGCCTGTCTTGCTAGATTGGGGAAGTTCTCCCGGATAATTTCCTGAAGTGTGTTTTCAAACTTAGTTCCATTCTCTCCATCACTTTCAGGTACACCAATCAAACATAGGTTTGGTCTTTACACATAGTCTCATAGTCTCATATTTCTTAGAAGCTTTGTTCATTTCTTTTCATTCTTTTTTCTCTAATCTTGTCTTCACACTTTATTTCATTAAGTTGATCAATCTCTGTTATCCTTTCTTCCACTTGATTGATCCAGCTATGGATACTGCATGCTTCACGAAGTTCTTGTGCTGTGTTTTTCAGCTCCATCAGGTCCTTTATGTTCTTTTCTAAACTGGTTATTCTAGTTAGCAATTCCTCTAACCTTTTATTAAGGTTCTTAGCTTCCTTACATTGGGTTATAACATGCTCCTTTAGCTCAGAGGAATTTGTTATTACCCACCTTCTGAAGCCTACTTCTGTCAATTCGTCAAACTAATTCTCCATCCATCCAGTTTTGTTCCCTTGTTTGCAAGGAGTTTTGATCCTTTGGAGGAGAAGAGGCATTCTGGTTTTTGGAATTTTCAGCCTTTTTGTGCTGGTTTTTCCTCATCTTCATGGATTTATCCACCTTTGGCCTTTGCTGTTGGTGACCTTCGGATACAGTTTTTGCATGGTTGTCCTTTTCATTGATGTTGATGCTATTGCTTTCTGTTAGTTTTCCTTCTAACAGTCAGGCCCCTCTGCTGCAAGTCTGCTGGAGTTTGCTGGGGGTCCACTCCAGACTCTGTTTGCCGGTTATCACCAGCAGAGGCTGCAGAATAGCAAAGATTGCTGCCTGCTCCTTCCTATGGAAGCTTCGTCCCTGAAGGGCACACGTCAGATGCCAGCCAGAGTTCTCCAGTAGGAGGTGTCTGTCGAACCCTCCTGGGAGGTATCTCCCAGTCAGGAGGCACGGGGGTCAGGGACCCACTTGAGGAGGCAGTCTGTCCCTTCACAGAGCTTGAGCGCTATGCTGGGAGATCCACTGCTCTCTTCAGAGCCAGCAGGCAGGAATGTTTAAGTCTGCTGAAGCTGCACCCACAGCTGCCCCTTCCCCTAGGTGCTGTGTCCCAGGAAGATGGGAGTTTTATCCATAAGCCCCTGAATGGGGCTGCTGCCTTTCCTTCAGAGATGCTCTGCCCAGAGAGGAGGAATCTAGACAGGCAGTCTGGCTACAGCAGCTTTGTGGCCCTGTGGTGGGCTCCACCTAGTCTGAACTTTCCCATGGCTTTGTTTACACTGTGAGGGGAAAGCAGCCTACTCAAGCTTCAGTAATAGAGAATGCCCCTCCCCCCACCAAGATCGGGCACCCCAGGTTGACTTCAGACTGCTGTGCTGGCAGGTAGAATTTCAACCCAGTGGGTCTTAGCTTGCTGGGATCCATGGGGGTGGGATCCGCTGAGCAAGACCACTTGGCTCCCTGGCTTCAGGCCCCTTTCCAGGGGAGTGAACGGTTGTGTCTTGATGGCATTCCAGGTGCCACTGGGGTATGAAATAAAAACTCATGCAGCTAGCTCAGTGTCTGCCCAAACAGCCTCCTAGTTTTGTGCTTGAAACCCAGGGCCCTTGTGGTGTAGGCACCTGAGGGAATCTTCTGGTCTGTGGGTTGTGAAGACCATGAGAAAAGTGTAGTATCTGGGCCGGAGTGCACCATCCCTCATGGTGCAGTCCCTCATGGCTTCCCTTGGCTAGGGGAGGGATTTCCCCGACCCCTTGCGCTTCTTGGGTGAGGCAACACCCCACCCTGCTTTGGCTTGCCCTCCGTGGGCTGCACCCATTGTCTAACCAGTCCCAATGAGATGAACCAGGTACCTCAGTTAGAAATGCAGAAATCACCTGCCTTCTGTGTTGGTCTGGCTGGGAGCTGCAGATGGGAGCTGTTCCTATTCAGCCATCTTGCTCGGGAATTCCAGGCTTTGGCTTTTTTTGTTGTGCAAGCCTGTGTAGCTCGCTGCTGCTTGTTCAGCATCCCAGCCTGAGCTCTGTCTGTTCTCCCACCCCACACGCATTTCCAAGTGCCCTCTGTAAGAGCCATGTTGTTATATCCCTCAAAAACACTGGCTGACTTGGAAGAAGCAGCCACTCTTTGAGATCACTGGGGAAGTGACAGGACAACATGATTATCATATATCAACCCAAGTTTCTGAATTTACTGTTAAGGTGAAACTGCAGCACAAGGATGAAAGGTCTTTTTATGAATGATAATGGGAAAGGTAAAACAAAGGTGCTAAAAGATTTTTTTAAAAAAAGAGCAAAGTAGGGTAACAAAACTTGAAGAAACTTTTGGAAAGGAAATGAAGATAAGGAAGGGGAAACTAAGGAAAGAAAACACAGAAAAAATAGGAAAGCAACACAAAAGACAAATATGTGAAGGCTGGGTTACTGATGGCAGACGCTTTGCTGGCATTCTGTTTGACTGAAGGTGAAAGCTAGGTTTACTGTAACTATACCTGCCTCTGCAAGACACACAATAACTGAGAAGCCAGGAAGAAAATACAGTGAGCAAAATCAATATTGCTTTCTGATTAAACAAATAATAAGATAGTTATTGAATTTGACACCTACCTTTTCTTCTAAGTCTTTTATTTGTCTTTTCTGGATGTCTGTTTTATCTTCTAAGTCACGAATTCTCTGAAGAAAGAAAAGAAAAGAAAGAAAGCATCAGTAGGTGGTAAGTTGTGCGGAAAAATAATTTACCAAATGAAAACACGAAACTTCCTATACAAACCTGAATATTTGTACAAGCAGCTGGAAACATCGCATGTATGTTTTCCCCACCCAAAAACATGTTGCATGTTTCAGAAATTATCTATGTTTGTGGTAGAAAATCATTGCTACTGATTAACTTTTCAAAAAATATTTGCCACCTTTTCTACTGAGCCTATCCCTGTAGACCCCTTCCTAGTGAGGTGTAGATTCCACACCACTGACATTGAGTTTGGCAAAGAGACTTGTTTTGGCCTGTGGAATGCAAGTTGGAATAAGATTTGGGAATATCAAATCCTTGTAGAGGGTGTAGTATATCTCAGAAGTAGACAGCAAGAAACAAGCTTTGTTATGAACCATTTGGATTGAGATTTTGATTGTTTGTTACCACATTAAAGATGGTTGAGGCTGACTCATATAGATGTAAACAATCCAATTGTTCTTTCTTAACCTTTTTATCTTAACCCCATTTCAACCCTGTTTCAGGATAGAATTTTCTCACAAAATAGAATTGGTAAATTCACAAAACAAAGTAGAGATTACACATCAACAAACATTCCCAGGAGGGAACTGGTAAATTAGGAAAACACCAGAATATAACAAACATAACACAAGTAATCCTAAAGATGAAAAGTTCCAAGACTGTCTTTGAACTTACCTCTCAATTATGTAACAAAATTCCACTAATTTAAACACCGAATATTTGAAATCAACATTACATAACAACTATTTACAAGTAAAATAAAGTCTTCACATTTATATCTGGCAATCTGAAGGTTTTTTTGTGTTCATGTACATGGTTATATAATGCAGGCTTCTTATTTAATACCTCTGTAGGGAATAATTAGAAAATAGAGAAATGGAGTCTATGGAGAAAACACTAGAAGCCAAATGGGATGATAATATAGAAAGAGAGGTTTTTATAATGCAATGGTAGGAGAAAAAAAGGGAAGCTAGAACAAGGGGTACTTGAACTTGGAAAGCATATCTCCTTCTCTTTAAAAGAGTAGATCTCAACTGTTTGTCTCTCCCTGCCCCAGCCAGGGACATTTGGCAGTTCTGCACATTTTTTTAAAGTTAGTTAATATGTTTATTTATTTTAAGTTGTGTAATTCAGTGGTTTTAGTATATTCATAAAATTGTGCAACCATCACCACTATCTAAATGTCTTGACATTTTTGTACTGTCACAACTGGGAGTATGTGCATCTAGCATCTACTGAGTAGAAGCCAGGAATGCTACTAAACATTCGATAAGGCACAGAACAGCCACCCCTCCCCCTAAAAAAGAATAAAGAATTATCTGCTTCAAAATTTCAGTAGTGCTGAAATTGAGAAACTCTTCTTTAAAGTAAGGGGGCTAAGGTTTGTGCAACAAGAGATGGTGTGTTTTGGTCAGAGTGAGACCATAAAGGTTAACCTTGAAATTATACCATAATGAATGCCGGAGAAAGGGATGGAACTGGAATGTTGATGGTGTGTTTATACGTGTATGATTTGTGTGCTGGTGTATATTTCCATAGTGCTGTCAGTGCTCCATAGCTACACAGTAAAAGAATAAATTTGCTAGATATTTCCACCTTGAGTGTTCACGTAATTCCTTGGCATGTCTGCTGGATATGGAGGCAAGTACTATATGGACAAAATCATGAATATGTAAAATTACTGCAGTATCCATTCAGCCATCACATCTATGCTTGTTGGGCACCTCCTTACATGCTCATGACTCTGCTGAATGTAATGGACAATACAGATAAGGCACCAGTTAGTTCCCAGTTTCAAAGAACTATCAGATCCAGATGGAATAGCAAAACTAAATAGAAAAGGTAAACAATGGAAAAAAACTGAATAACTTTGTCACCCATCTCCAATTCCTAGTGCAGTGTTAAGCATGGAGAAGGTGTCCACACATATTTTTTTGTCAAATAAATGTGTTATGCTACATCATATGACGTATACTTGATTTCTTTTTGCTTCCCATCCCTTTGCCATCCACCCAACAGAAAACCTTGCTGGATCTAAAACATTCCTTTTCTACCTACTTCTTTTTATCTCTACTGATACCAAGTTCACCAAGTCATTGTCTTCCCTTGTCAGGGCTGGTGTGGCAGCTTCTACCTGCTCTTCCTGCCTTTTATTTTGACCATCTTACTCCATCAATAGCAGCCATTGTGAACTCTCAGAATGTAAAAATGATCTCCATGGTCCCCTGAGTTTAAGCGGGTGGGGAAGAAAAGAAGGAAGAGTTAGTTGAGTTGTACTCAGAATAAAACTCAAACTCCTGCAAAGCCCTGTGTGATGTGGCCCTTTCTTAGCTCTGCAACGTCTCCTCCTATCAACCTCACTCTGGCTCTGCGTGCTCCTGACATTCTAGCCTTTGCTCTGTTCCTTGACTATTCCAAACTTATTCCCATGATAGGGACTTAGCCCTTGCTGTCCCTGTCTTCTGGGACACTTGGCCAAGATCTTTGTGTGGCTCATTTCTTGGATCGTAGGTATCTTCAGAGAGGCCTCCTCTGACCAGCCAACCTAAAGTGGCCAATCCTACTCCCAAACTCACATACACATTGTATACGTTTCTGCATAGCACTTATTGCCACTCTCAGAAATTGCCTCAGTCATTGTTCATTTGTTCTGTGGCTCTGCCCCTGTCCCTCTGTGAGATAGATGAGAGTAGTGATCTGTATGTCTTTGCTTACCATTATACTCCCAGCACCTGGTACACAGCAGGCCCTCAATAAATGGTTGTGAATGAGTGCATAACAGAATATAGAATGTAGATATCTTGAGCAGTATGTGGTTCATTTTTAAAATTTTCATCAGGGAGAGGATCCTGAATGGGTTGGATCTTAAACTGGGACTGGAAAAATGAGAACACTTGGATCAATGCAATGGAAACTAATGGACACTTTAGGATGAGCAATTATGCAACAAGGGCTTAGAGGTGGAAAATCACAGCACAAGTGGGACCAGGATGTTTTGCATGAGTGGAGAGGGAAGTATGCTCTGGGGTTGGGTCAAATCTGGTTTTGGAGGGCGGGGTAGTCAGCTACTGAAGGACCTGAAGAGACCTGCGTAAGACTCTACTCAACTGGAAATTGGATCATGGAGGCTTTGAGGCAAGAATGTACCATGAGGAAAAATGAGAAGAATCTGTGATGAGATGTGTGTTGGATTGAAAAGGGGAGAGCTAGAACTAGGTCCTCATGGCACCTGCATGTACTTTTAAAAATGCTATTTATTATGATATATCATAATTATTTTTCTTTGTGTTGATCATTTTATAACCATCTATGGGTCCTTCGTTTTGTGAAGGCAGGGTCCACGGTGAATTCTCTGTCTAGCACAGTACTTAGCACCTAGGAAAAACATTTAAAAGTTTGACTGAATAAATGCATAGATGATGGAGTCAGATTCACACAGAGAACATTTGGCAGTACCTGGAAGCTGGTGGAATAATGAAAGGTCCTGCACGTGCCTGGGGTGACAAAAATGAACAAAATGGACCAGTATCAAAAACATTTCAGGGGAAATGCCAGTTGGATGTGGTGCTGTATTAATGCTTACAGGGAAAGAACAGAGAAGACTCCAGTGTTTCTAGCCGGAGTGATTTGAGATATGGTAATTCTACTGACTAAGACAGGCAGATGGGGAGAGAGAAGAGAAGTAAGGATAAGAACGCATCAGTTCACTCTTAAACATTCAAGCAGAACGGTGTAATACATGGTTAGTGATATACTTTAGAAGTTAGAGTGTATTACATAGTTATATATAAAAAATCCTGGCCAATATCTTCTGGAATAATTCTATGAAACTCAGCTATTAATTAAAAGGGAAGAAGAAGAGTAAGAAATAACTGGGAAAGGCATATTCTAATGAACATTTGTTTAGAAGATGGATGGAAAATGTCAATGAAACTCCCTGAGGTTCAGAAATGTACTATCAGCACTACTGGATAACTTAAACAAAACCAACTCTTTCAGAGGTGAAGTATCTTAGCTAAATGGTTAAAGAAATACTCAAATGGAATACAGTTTTTATCATAAATAAATTTAGATAACTATGAGTCCATCTTAAAAGTAAACACTTCAGTGTTTCCATGACATAACTCCCAATTTGTTGAAAGTAATTACATGCTATTGCAGCACAAGAAATTTGTGCAGAGTACATTTTTATCCCCTGCTAGAAGAAAAGAATGCATGAAGCAATGCAATGATGGCATAGAGTCTATTATTAAAGACTTTAAGAAGTCTTTCCATGGGTCAAAACTCAAACTTTTGTGATGGAATCTGAAGGGGCATTAATAGGAACATGTAGGTATTTATCATTTCTGGGACACGTGGCTTCAGAATTCTCCACCTACTTGGGTAATCTATTAGCCTATAAAATCCACAAAGCTCCTGCCTGCATCTGAAGTGTGCTAAGTGTCATGTCCCCCATGAATTGTTTTTATTTGCCTCATAAAAGAACCCCTGCCTCTTTTCCACTTACCTTGATTGCTGATGACCACACGATTCTTACCGCCTATTCATACCATCTGAATTTTGTACCAGTTGTTTCTTATAGCTTCTGAGGATTGAATACTATAACCTGACACTTTCAATGCTGGAATCCTTATTGAATCTGTATTTTGACCAGGACCTCAGCCCTCAACTGTCAGGCTATGGCATGAATAAAGAGTTACAATTAAAAATTTTTGCTGGAAATTAGTAGTGGGTGCCTATTTTGGACCTTGCTGATGAATCACATAAGTCATGGATGACGGTACAATACAGTGGTTAGACACACTGACCTTGGAGTTCAGCAGACCTAGGCTGTCATCCTGACTGTTGCTTACCATCTGTGTTATCTTGGGCAAATCACTTAAGCATTCTTATCTACAGTATTGTTATCTCCAAAATTGAGATAATAAAAATACTTACCTCATAGGGCTATTATGAAGATTAAATGAAATGATGTAAGTAGAGTCCTTAGTTTAGTTACTGACATAAAGCAAATGTCAGTAAGTAAACAGCAGCTGCCAGGCTTTGTTGGTGGTGATGTTTGTAATGTGAACGGTCCTTGCTCTCTTTTACACTATTCGGATTATTATCAGGCTTGTTTACGGACTGGAGTGAGCAATACATGGGAAGCACTATTTTTGCCCTGGAGAGTGTCCTGCTTCCCTGCATAAGGCAGATAATCAGACACCATGAAATTCAAAGGGTATTTCATGAAAACGTAGTTCTAAAAATAGTAGCAGTATTCAGTCCTTCTGAAATGCCAATTTTCTCAAGATTGAATTATTATAAAACTGTCATTTTTGTATGTGCATGAAGGTAGAAAACAATGGTTATTTATTTTACTCTCTGAAAATAACTTGTATCTCCTGGGCTTCTCCGTACCCATACTCAATACCGTGTACCTAGTACTAAGTTCCATTTGCTAGTACTAACCCTACGCAGAGGCAGTGACTCAGTCCTCACCTGATGGGCTTGCTGTAAGAGCTCCATTCTCTCCTGAAGAATCTGACAGTCATACTCTCTGCTCTTCCTCAGCATTTGCCGCCGTAACTTTTCTACTGCCGTCCTCAGCTCCTCTTGCTGTTTTTCACTTAATAATTCACCAAACTTGATAACAGTTTCTTGCTGTAGAGCATTGTACAAAGTAGCTTCTAGTTCCTGGATTCTCTGGCAAATAGAATTAGAAAAGTCTAACTTTGGAACTTGGCATTGATATCTGGTGTGGGAGTGTATGCTATGTATGTATATGTATATGGCTGCCAACTTTAGGCTTATAGGATCTTAGCAAGAAAATAATTTTAAAACTTCTCTAGCCTAATTACACTTCTGAAAATCTCCTTTTATGAGATTCCATAAGGGTCATCTAGCCAATTCATGAACTTCTCTAGTGAGGGAACATTTGTTCTTTCTTGGGACCCTGTCCATTTTATATACTTTTCCTAACTGTAGTTCCTATCCTAAAGTGTAGCTGAGAATAAGTGTGTTCTCACTTCTACTTGACAGCTCTGGCCAGGCACGGTGGCTCACACCTGTAATCCCAGCACTTTGGGAGCCCGAGGCAGGCGGATCATCTGAGGTCAGGAGTTCGAGACCAGCCTGGCCAATGTGGTGAAACCCCATTTCTACTAAAAATATAAAAAATTAGGTGGGCGTGGTGGTGCGCACCTGTAATCCCAGCTACTCTGGAGGCTGAGACAGAAGAATCACTGGAACCCGAGAGGCGGAAGTTGCAGTGAGCCGAGATCACGCATTGCACTCTGGTCTGTGCAACAAGAGTGAAACTCCATCTCAAAACAACAGCAACAAAAAACAAACAAACAAAAAACAACAAGACAGCTCTTCATACATTTAAAGACATCTACCACGGTGGCCATACTTCTGGAAATAAATAGTCTAAGTTAGAACAAAATACTGCCCCCGTTTTATTAATACATGACAAACCTCTGGTACTTGAAGATGGCTTTATGGTCGCCATATTTTTTCTTGAAATAAAATTGAGAAATAAAATCCAAAAAATGACCTAAAGTTTTGGAATTGGTCTGTTTTTAAGTTCTCTGAGATTTATGGCTGCTCTCATTATAATATTTCTCTGAGTCTTTCTTTTGTAGATGAAGGATGCACTGCCTTCATCTTTTTCTTTCTTTTTTTGATATGCTTCAGATAACAGTTGCTAAAATCTACAATCTTATCCCTTCTAAGTTTGACAGAAGTGACCAGACATGCTTTGGTGAGAAATATTTTCCTAGCTCTTGTCCTGGGCTAAGCAGGTCTCATCTTTTTAAGGATAAATATGGTTTTCTGAATGAGTACTCAGTAGTCTCGGGACCCACATAAACACACAACTTAATTTCGTATAGGTAGAAGAGGCAAGGGTGAAAGGTAGAAGTGAAGCAAAACTCACTTCCTTCTCTGTCTCTAATTAGCATCAAATACCCATTCTCTTCTTTCCCCATCAAACAAGCTCAGAATCTCTTACTCATTTTGGAATGCAAAGACAAGTTCATCTTTGTTACAAGCAGGGACTAAGTGCTTCACTCTTTCCCCAAAAGTGACTCAAGCTGCTTCCAGGAAAGCATTATAAAAACCTCTGCTAGGAATTCTTTGAAATGTTCCTTTAACTTGCTCTTTTTCTTTTGATTCATAATTGTGAATTAATGGAGGGTGGAGCATAAGGAGAGAAGAAATGTGAGCTGTAGTTCATTATGAAGAAGCATGCAATAGGAATTTGGTAGAGGGGAATGGATCACATGTGCTCCTTAATCAGCATAATCTTCTGTGGGAGACAAAAAGGCACAGCCCATTTACCATGGAAGCCTCAGTTACTGTGGCTGGATTATAGTAGGCCACAGGATCTGGAGTCAGATCTACACACTACCTATTTATCAACTTGGGCAAAGTTCTTATATTCTCTAAATCTTACTATCCTCGTATGTAAGATATGAATAATAATCTTACCTATACCTCACAGAGTTGTTGTAAGAGATAAATGAATTAAAAATATGCATAACAAACATTAAACACATTATTCCACCACTAGATCAGACTCCCAAATGACTGGATTTGGTTTAATAAAATTTCTCTTTAATCTACACTGCCATCCAAACTGTTCTTCATTTAATATTATCCAACAACATATATTTAATTGTTTTTGTTTTATTTTGTTTTGAGACAGGATCTTGCTCTGCTGCCCAGGCTGGAGTACAGTGGCACGATCACAACTCACTGAAGCCTTGACCTCCCAGGCTCAATGAATCCTCCCTCCTCAGCCTCCTTAGTGGCTAGTACTACAAAGTGCATGTCACCATGATTGGCTAATTTTTGTATTTTGTATTTTTATTTTTATTTTTTGGAGATACAAGGTTTCACCATGTTGCTCACGCTGGTCTTGAATTCCTGGGCTCAAGGGATCTGCCCACCTTGGTTTCCCAAAAGTGCTGGGATTACATGCATGAGGCACCACGTCTGGCCTTTTAATTGTTAAAAAATGAAGTATAATTAAATATTTATTAGGTATTATAAGAATATCTTATAAGAATCTTAGAATAAGTAAAGAGCTAGGAATGTATTTGTTATAAAATTAGATCTGAAAACCAGTAAATGAATGAACTGCATGTCGTGATCTATTCAAGTACATAGCATGGAAAATTAAAAAGGATACTTAATTCCACAGTGCATAACTGTAAATACTGCGGGTGTCTCTATCACTTGTTGTACCTACCATATATGCTTGGTCAAGAGCTTGTTTTCTGTAGTCTAGTTCTTCCTCCAGATAGCCTTTTATTTTGCAGAACTGTTCCTATAACAAAGGGCCATATTGATAGAGTCAGCTTAGTTAACTAGAAAGTGACGTACAAATGGTATTGATTAATGTTTCCTCTAATTCTACCATAAGACAAATCACTAGTATTTGTAGAGTCATAAATTTTGTCTGTTAGGGAAATAGTTCAACTCTCATAGTCTCACACAGGAATGTGAAAATCAATGGAAAGCAGCATAAAAGATATAATGAAAAATCCACATAGAATGCTCTAAAAGATTTTTAATCTGAGAGCACGTGATTAAGTATAGATTTTGACTAGTGTTTAATAATAATAAGCCTATCTATGTAAAAGTATTATGATAATATATTTTTGTAAGAATGTGATAAAATGTAACATAGCTGGGTTGCATAATCAACAAGTTTAACTGATTCAAATTCATCTGTGTACAACTAGCAAACATAAGGACAAAAATAGCAACTTAAAGAGTGGGAGTGATTCCACCCACACTGCTGCTTAATGAGTGGGTGTCTGCTTTTGCCACAAAGCCAGTGTGAGCTGGGAAAAGTCAATCTGATGTTCCCTCTCTTGTTCTCAGTTTCTGTGTGCTTCTCATATTATCAGCATCTTGCCATTAGCACTTAAAACTATATTTTGGGTACAACATAGTCCCAAGCACAAGTCAATTGTTTCTTTGGGTGTTTAACTGAAGGAACAAAGACTTCTTCCAACTCTGAAGAAAAACTCAATGGTGTTGACTTTTGAGAGATCGTGTATCTGTATGGAGTAATTTTGCTGTTGACTTTGCTGGTGACTGCTGAATTCCAGTACCTAGAACAGTGCCTGATACAGACTAATTGCTTAATTAATATTTGTGTTTTTAAAGAGCTTTCAAGGGTAATTTTGAAGAGAAATTGTTCATTTGGAAAGCTTTCTTGGCCAAATATAAAAATAAAATAAAATAACAAACTGTTCTTTTTACATGCTTTGACATTGGAGCCTAACCTCTTAGTAAAATGTGAGCACTGTATAAAATATAAGCAAATTATAAGCTATAATGTGCCACACAAATGCAAGTTGTTTTTATAGGATTCCCTCATCCAATAGGAATCCACGACGTTTTCTAGTTATAATGATAACATTAATCATAATCTTGTTATAAATTTCTGTTTTTTTTTTGAGACAGAGCTTCGCTCTTGTTGCCCAGGCTGGAGTGCAATGGCGCGATCTCGGCTCACTGCAAACTCCGCCTCCTGGGTTCAAGCGATTCTGCTGCCTCAGCTTCCCGAGTAGCTGGGATTACAGGCATGTGCCACCGCGCCCGGCTAATTTTGTAGTTTTAGTAGAGATGGGGTTTCTCCATGTTGGTCAGGCTGGTCTCGAACTCCTGACCTCAGGTAATCTGCCTGCCTCGGCCTCCCAAAGTTCTGGGATTATAGGCATGAGCCACTGTGCCCAGACGAATCTTGTTATAAATTTCTATGCATTGCTGTAAGTTAATAATAACCAATTTTTAGACTTGGTGAGTAAAAAGAAACTTTTAAAATTGTGGTAAAATGCACATAACATTTACAACCTTACTCATTTTTAATTCATTTTTGAGTGTATAGTTCAGTAGTACAAAGTATATTCACATTGTTATCAACCAATGTACAGAATTTTTCATGCTGCAAAACTGAAACTATACCCATTATACAACAGCTCTATGTTTCCCCTTCTCACCTTCTGGCAACCACAGTCTACTGTCTGTTTCTAAGTTGGATTACTCTAGCACCTCACATGAGTGGATTCATATAGTATTTACAATTCTGTGAATAGCTTATTTCACTTAACGTAGTGTCCTGAAAGTACATCCATATTGTAACTTGTATCAGAACTTCCTTCCTTTTGAAGGCTAAATAATATTCCATGATATGTATACACCACCTTTTGTTTATCTGTTCATCCATTGATGGACATTTGGGTTACTTCTACCTTTTGGCTATTGTGAATAATGCTGCTATGAACATGGGTGTATAAATATCTCTTCCAGACTCTGGTTTCAATTCTTTTGGATACACACCCAGAAGTGGTATTGCTGAATCACATAGTAATTCTATTTTGATTTTTTTGAGCAACCACCATACTTTTTTTCATAGTGGCTGTACCAGTTTTACATTCCCATCAATAGTAAAGAAGGGTTTCAATTTCCCCTTATCTTTGCCAACACTTGTTTTATCTTTTTGGTTGTGGGAACACAGGGTCTTGCTCTGTTGCCCAGGCTGGAATGCAGTGGTACAAAAATAGCTCACTGTAGCCTCCACCTCCTGGGCTCAAATGATCCTCTTGCCTCAGCCCCCTGAGTAGCTGGGACCACAGGCACGTACCACTATGCCCACTAATTATTTTTTGTAGAGATGGGTTCTCACTATGTTGTCCAGGCTGGTCTCCAACTCTTGCGCTCAAGCACACTTCCTGCCTTAACTTCCCAAATTGCTAGGACAGGTGTGAGCCACTGCACTAGGTCTTTTGTTCTACTCTTTTTTTTTTTTTTTGATAAGAGTTATTCTAATGGATGTAAGGTGGCTTAGGGATTTTTAAAATCAGAGTTACACCCTCCATTTCTGTAATTTTTCCTTGCTAATTAAATAAAGTGGAAAAATTATTTAGCCTAAGAAAGAAAACATAAGAAAACTCAATTTTCTTCGGCATTAGTTTTGGATATTTTCCAAAAACTAACATTTTTTGGGGGGAGAATATAGCCTGAAATTGTTTGGTACTTCTGGTAATTTTTTTTCCATCTTCTGTACATAAAATAATAATGGAAAGATGACAAACTTTCATCAGTGCCAGATAAAACTGGTAGAGGCAACTTTAATTTTCCATTTGCCTTGTAAGTTTTTCTTAATTTTTACAATATCTCATCTTGTACTTACCATGTCACTTTCCAATTCCATCATTTTCTGGTGTAGGGCAGCCTCAGCTCCTTCAATCTGCTGGATCCACTAAGGGGTTAACAAGACAAAAGTGTTTGACATGGCTGCTTGATATGGTGTATATCTGTGTGCCCCCATGAGGTGCTCCGTCTCCTCCCCTTATATCTCAGGAAGAAGACTGAGAACTGAAGCAAAAACAACACCTTTTTTTGCTTGTTTGTTTGTTTTGTTTTTGAAACGGAATCTCGCTCCGTTGCCCAGGCTGGAGTGCAGTGACGTTATCTCGGCTCCTGCAACCTCCGCCTCCTGCTTTCAAGCAATTCTCTGCCTCAGCCTCCCGAGTAGCTGGGATTACAGGCGCCTGCCACCACGCCTGGCTAATTTTTGTATTTTTAGTAGAGACGGGGTTTCACCATCTTGGCCAGGCTGGTCTTGAACTCTTGACCTCATGATCCACCTGCCTCAGCCTCCCAAAGTGCTGTGATTATAGGTGCGAGCCACCGTGCCTGACCCACATTTTTATCTCATAGTTCAGAAACAAGACTACAGTCTTCCTTGTATTCATTCATTCACCCATTCAGCAAATGCATTTATGGATGACTAGCAAGTGTCAGGTGCTGTACCAGGTCCTAGGGCTGCAGTGGTGAACCAGATCAACAAGACTCCTGCCCTTATTGGAGAACACCATAGGAGGCTTTCTTGTGAGTGATAATTGCACTGGGGTCCAAAGAATGGGTGAGAGATGACTGGGAAAAAATGAAGAGGAAGTTCCAAGTGGAAGGGACAACATGTCCAATAGCTCTATTGTTGGAGGAAGCAGGATGAGAGAAAGAAGGCCAGGTACACTGGAGAATTGGGACAACGGTAATTTTTCAGTATATAAAACTGATTACAGCAAAGTGGGGAAGAATTATTTTTGTGAAGTGGAGGTGTTCTAAATCACATAAAAACTTATCTTTCCCAGTACTCAGAATATATGATATTTATGTTAGCATTGATAAACACTCTGAATGCAGACTTTGAATAATGTGACCCTACCATATACAGGTTTTTATAGAACAAATTATTATAATGAATCTCTAGCAAGTTAAATGTCAGCTTATATTTTAGGGAAGCAATTGGGCATAATAATTAAGTGGGTTCTGAAGACAGACTACCTTGGCCGTAATTTCAATTCCAGCTTTT
Organism: Homo sapiens; assembly: GCF_000001405.40. Taxonomy (NCBI): domain Eukaryota; kingdom Metazoa; phylum Chordata; class Mammalia; order Primates; family Hominidae; genus Homo; species Homo sapiens. The sequence continues at coordinate 147,624,806 of NC_000005.10, forward strand.
CATGGGTGGGTGGCATGGAAAGGTTACCTGATTTCTCTAAGTCTCAAGTTTCTTGTCTGTCAAATGGGATTAACAATAAGTAAAGATTAAGGAAGTAAAAAACATGAGGCAGTATCCATTGTGTATTGGATGTACTAGTGGTATCTCACTACAAGGTACTATTTATTTATTTATTTATTTATTATTATTTTTTGAGACAAAGTTTCACTCTGTCACCCAGGCTGGAGTGCAATGGCACGATCTTGGCTCACTGCAACCTCCGCCTCCAGGTTCAAGCGATTCTCCAGCCTCAGCCTCCCAAGTAGCTGGGATTATAGGTGCACGCCTCCATGCCTGGCTAAGTTTTTGTATTTTTAGTAGAGACGGGGTTTCACCGTGTTCCCCAGGCTGGTCTTGAACTCCTGAGCTCAGGCAATCCAGCCACCTCGACCTCCCAAAGTGCTAGGATTACAGGCGTGAGCCACTGCGCCCAGCCCCAGATAGTTCTTTCTAGGTTACCTGTGATAAATTATGCAGCACAGCGAGACTTTTATACACAACAGCCTTGATACTTACAAGGGGATACCATGTTCAACCACTCCTTGGCTGTGGGGAACATGGTGAAAGAAAAGAGGCATGCCGAGACTGGAGAGGTGCTAAGTTCTTTGCACATACACATGGTTTCCCCTTGAAACAAATTTCTGTCAATCATGGGTTTTGTGTAAATAGACTCATATTGCAATTGTACCCATCCAAAACCTAAAATCCTTCATCTTGCTTGCTGTCCATTTGTTATCAAGAAACATATTTTTTAAAATCATGTTTTTAAGAGTACTGTGAACTAAAGTCATTATATCATGAGCATTAGATATAGATTTGTGTGTTGGTTGCTGTTCCTTCCTACTTGTGTAATCCAGGACAAGTTACTGAATATCCCAAGCCTCAGTTTCCTCATGTATAAAATAAAAACAATGGTACCCCAATGTACATTATTTGGGCGGTGGATACACTAACAGCCAAGACTTCACCACTACACCATGTATCCATGTAATAAAAGTATACCTGTACTCCGTAAATTTATACAAATTAAAAAATAGTGACAGCTGTAGAATGGTTGTAAGGAACAGTACATAAGTACATAATGTACTTATGGCATTGAGTGCAGTATCCAGCCCCTAATATGTTCTCACTCAAGGTCACTGCCATTATTTTTAATACAAAGTGACAACTGGGTTTGCTTGTTGGAATTTTGTCTAGGCTCAAATTCTGGCTAAAGATCATACTCCCATATAACAGAGTGCTATTCAAATTGGTAGTCTCAAGACATTCATTGTTGTTGTTTAGAATTACTTGGATGTAGAAACTTTTATCTGTGAATCCCACAGACAAGAGATAAATTTAATCTGTGCTTTGCAAAAGTCTGCACAAAAGGCAGCTGAACAGACCATGAGCACTTTAGGGAAGGCTTGTGTCTTGTTCATCTGGTTCCTAGCTTTCTACCACAGTGCTAAGCACAGAGTCATCACCCTGTATTTGTTCAACTGGTCCCTATACCTTTCTTGCAAAAAAAGTAAGCAGAGGCATGGGCTAATTTGCCTCAGCTCCGACAGCCCAGCTCCCATGGGGTCTGCAAAGCCTATTTCCCACAGGAGGAGGAGTTTGGTGCAAGACGTAAGATCATGGGCTTTAGAACCAGACTCCTTGGGTGTGAATCCTGACTCCATCAACTTCAGGCTGTGTGACCTTAGGCAGTTATCTACCTTTTTTGTGCTTCAGATTCCTTGTGTGAAATAAAGGTCACACTAGTACCTAGTCTCCAGCAGTTAGAAAGTGCCTATCTCAAAAGGAGCACTGCGCAAGTCTTGGTTCTGATAAGCACAGTTGTTGGTTCTGATAAGTACAGTTGTACTGCACCCACACAGGGCAGGGAGCAGAAGATATTTCTCCCATCAGTCTCAGTAAATGTGAGACACACAAGGCTGTATTTCCTTTCTTTCACCTCCTCAATCCTCATCTTCCATAGAATCAGCCCATGTTTTGTTTGTAGCCCTAAACCCAGGCGATTTTTTCTTGCAGTAAAGAATTGCAGCCCTTCATGATTCCAGCTGAATAAGGCTCTCTTGCTATCATTGCCAGATGATAGCAGCACTGGAGGCACAGACTGTGTTTTTTTCATCTTTGTGTTGTCACTGAAATGGTGTCTTATGAGCATTCACAAATTCACACCTTTGCTCCTTCAGTTAACATTTATTCATGACTTACTACATGTGCTGGACTAGTGTGAAAAGCTAGGGCAAAAAACAGGGGGTGGGGAGTGGAGAGACACAACTATTTGTCCTCATGGGCCTTAGAGTCTAGTGGTAGTTAGATGGGGCCATATGACAAATGCAAATGGACAGTGTAATGCAATTGTCAAAAGCCATGGGAGCAGTAGCACAGGCCACTGTGGGAACATAGAGCAGGAACACCTAAGGGGGCTTGGATGAACAGGCAGGCCTCCTCATTATGGGGAAGTCTGATGCTCAAGATTTAGCCAGGCAGAGGTAGAAAGGCAAGATGGGACTATCTTCCAGGTAAAAAGATCAGTGTAAAGGACCAAGAGTGGAGAATGGAGAGAGAAAGAGAGAGAGAATGGAGGGAGAGAAGGGAGAGGAGACACTAGAGAAATAGGTAGATAAGACTCAAATCCCAGAGGGTCTGTATGCCAAATTCTAAATTTGGACCTTCTGTTAGAGATAATGAGGCATTTGCTGGGGAGGGATCAGAGAAAGTGATTAGGTCTGTAATTAAACTGTGTAGGAAGTAAGTTTTTTTAAAAGAAAAAATTCCAGCTTTCATTTTATTTCACATGTAAATACTTCAATGTGTATCTCTAACAGATAAAGCCTTTCTGTAAAAAAAAAAAAAAAAAAAAAAAAAACCCACAAGGTTATTGGTACACTTTACAAAATTAACATTAATTACTTTTGTCATCTGATACCCAGTCCACATTAAATTTCTCCAGTTGTCAACAAAATGTCCTTTTTAAAAAACACCTGGTTAAGTGTCTTTTTATTTCATAGCTATAGTTCTTTGTTCTCCCTGTTTTTTATTTCATTCTTTTGTTTGAGTAACTTAACTGTTATTTGGCCCGTAGAATTCCCTCATTTCAGATTGGAGAGAGCTGATTGCTTGCTCTCATTTTATCCAACCATGTGCACATGACTCTCAAGTATTTACTGGTACTTTTTTTTTTTTTTTAAAGGAGATGGAGTCTCACTATGTTGCCTAGGCTGAAGTACAGTGGTTACTCACAGGCATGATCATAGTACACTATAGCCCCAAATTCTTGGGCTCAAGTGAGCCTCCTCCCTCAGCCTCCAAAGTAGCTAGGACTATAGGTACATACCATCCAGCCAGGCTTTATGCATTGATTCATGAGGTACTCTGAATACACCAATTTATCTGGCCATTTACCAGGTTTAGACACAAGGTGGAGCCAGAGCTCAGTCAGTGTTGATTTTCTCCTGACAGTCTCTATGTCGGACTTTCTGAATGAGAAGGCAATGAGCCCCTACTAAGCCACAGGATCAGTTGGGAGCAATGGTAGGTACACACCCCAGGATAAGTCTATGATAAGAGCAATGCTCCAGTTTATCATCGCCCCGCAGAATTCTTCTTTGTGGTTTCCCAGCTTGGTAGGGATTGTGTAAATAATGTAATCTAGAAGGTTTTCTGTTTTTAAAAAATTATATATATTTTTAAGGAACTTCAAAGCAAAAATTAGCCACCCATCCCAAATCAGTGTATAGACTTTTCGTTTGGGTGTTCTCATTCTATCTGGGTTGTACTACCCTTAAAAATAAAATGTGTATTAGGTATTCACACACAGTCATGTGCAGAGGGAATGTCCTTCACACCCTAGTCTGCTCGTTCAGTATTAAGCCAGACACCGAGATGATTTGAAATGTTTGTACGGCTCATTACCTTCTCTGCCAGGGACAGCACAGTGCTGGCCTGAATTATGGCCACTTGTTCTTCATTTCTTAAATTCTGTAAAAAATAAGAAAGGCCGTCAGCTGAACATACTGACATTATTTACCCCAAAGAAAATACTGTCTGACTGACTGCTACAGAGCATTCTGTATAAGCCTGTATAGAAACTTAACAAATTCCTATTCTGTTTAGTAATAATTCTGAACAAAGAGTTAATCAAAACCCGGAAGAAGTATATTAAACGTGATTTTTTAAATATCTCCTTAACACCGATTTGATTTTGTGTCACTGGAGGCATACTTTATTAATAGTCATGTTATGAGAAAAACAGAAACCAAAATGGAATAAAAAACAGTCTCTTCATAGAAGTTTTGATGTAATTTTACTAATTCTGTTCTCTCCTTTGATAATTTTTCAAGGGAAAAACGGTGATTCTTTCAACCTACAAGCACCAATCACATAGTATCACAATAAATGGTCCTCCCACTGAATTAATGTGCCTTGACCCTGTCTGGAAGATGTTTTCGGAAAGAAAATGCATTATAGCCTCCTGGTCCATTTTTATGGCACTGCCAACAACCCTAGTATTTAGCAGCCTTTGCAAATGCGTGACTGATTAATTTCACACTGGATGCCTTTGAGCTAGAGTCAGACAATAATTAGCTTTACTTATTGGAGATGTGGTCGACATTCAAACCTGAAACCTGCCCGCAAAAAGCACTTTACCAGGTCTCATTTCTGCTACTACCTTCCAGAGATCCTTACAACCCCTTAGCCAAGTTGTTTGATAAATTGTATATTCTTCCCAAGGAGCAACATCCTTAAGTGAAATGGCATCTCACTTGCTCTTACTTTACACATGATGCATTGTTAAGTATCTCTTGCCTCTGTTTAGGCAAATTCATATCTATACTAAATCAATTCTTTACTTACCCCATTATCACCCAAGATATCAAGCTGCTTTATGAGATCAGGGATGTTCACATCCTGCAAAATCAAGCAGAAACTCATGTCAAAGACAAATGTGGCCTCCTATTCCATCAGTGCCTGAACATGAAGTTAGAGGAAGACATTTTAGGGCCTGAACTTCCTTGGGATGTTTTCAATCTGGCACACCTAGTTTTAAGTTTCAATTTTGCTTCTTACATGCTGTGTGAACTTGGGTCAGGTACTTAACAGATCATTCTTAATTTTGCTAGTTGCAAAATGGAGATAATAAATTCCTACTTCATAGGCTGAGCTGATCTTCAGGATAAACAGACTGTGTATGAAAGAGTCTAGCATGTAGTAAAAGACTTGGAATATTCTCATTAACTTTCTTCTCATGACTGCCAAATCTTTTTTTTTTCAATTGTGATAGGCTTTCAGGTATAAAAAAGTAATAGGTAATAAATATAAAGAATCAACCAATTTTATTCTAATTAGCAAAATTCTGACCTGATTGAATTTTGACTGCCATGTAGAAAACTATAGTGCAGTACCATTTTTTTAAAGGTGGTTAGCATTAATTTCATCTATCTTATTTTTACCCTGTTCCTTGAGTCAGTTTGAAGCAGCTGAACTCCATTCGAAAGAGTTCATTGGATTAGGTTGTTTGTGATTTATCTGAGAAAAAATGCATCGAAGGAAAAGGCAAAGTAAATTCTTTTCATTTAATTACAGTGAAATCCAAAAATTGCTTTGGTTGACAAATTACCATGCCACCCAGGAAGGCCAGAAGTTTAAACACCAGGACAATGGTTTAAGATGGAAGGCAAGGAAACACAATATTACCACCAAAGTTTTCTCCACTTTTTACCGTATTAGTACTATGTTCTCCTCTTTCTCATGTTCAAACAGCAGTATAGTAGAGCCCTACCACCAGGAAAGGGAAAGTCTAGCTCAATCTCATAAGTACAGAGAAGGCAACTGAAGCAAGTATATTTGGCAGCTCAGAGTGGGAGCAGGAAGGGCCATGCAGAAGGTAAGGAGAGACCAGGAATAGCAGGCAGCATCCCAGCTTTACCCCAGGAACAGATATTCACAATGTGATTTCACTGAAGGACAATATATTTCCCCGGGGGAAGAGCTACCTCAATTCAACTCTAATACTTAAAATATATCCAGTAGCACTAAAAAGATAATTATATTCTATTTAATATGCAACCTGTTATAAACCCTAAGCCCTTCCAAAAGAGGAATCCTCCCTAAATTAAACACATCAAAAGAGATGTTGGACTAGATGACTTCAAACCTTTTCTAACTCTGCAATTCCATAATTATGAATTCCATAGCACCTAGAATGGCTCAACAAAGGGACTCAAACTTTTCTATCTGGCAGACTTGAAATATATTTCTTGAAGTATTAAATCGAATTCACATTTCTCCCAGGTAATTAAGGCTAATTTTGATGCAGCGTCTTTCTTCATATGACTCTGTTCTAAATAATCATGGATGCCTCTGTTTCTTCTGTTATCATTTGTATATCTGTCACACATTAAAAAACATTCTGTTAATTTTCTAGTAGAAGTGACTATTTTCAATTCCTACATAGTTTGTATCAAAATGATGACATCCAGTGACTGAAAGACAAAATAGTCGTAAGTAACCTCCCCTTTTCCAATTCCCAGTTTTTCTAATTTCTACAAACATAAAAAATGAAATATCTGCCTACCTTAACACCTTCTTTCATACAGTAGATCTGTAGAGCACTCACACCATCTGAGAATGGGTGAATTTGGAGATTAAATGGAGGGGATCGTCTCTCTCTCTCCTTGAAACACAGTGAAGAATATATGGAAATTAAAAACAAAACTGATTAATTAAACACTAAACCAGTGGTCTCTTTATGCTATTTCAGCAGTTTATTACTGTCATTTGGCAAAAAGAAAAAAATTCAATCTCAAGATGTTCATGATTAAATGTGACGGAAAAAGCTGACTAGTCAACTAAGAGATTGAGAAGAAGAATTTATAGATGGTGTCATCCATTCTTCCAAATTTTTTGATCAGGGAAATGCAGGAAGTGGAGCTCCAGTTTAAACTGTATGAATATTTAGAGCTTTCAAATATCTCAGCGTGGTCTTGCCATGAAGTTTTATGGCCGCTAACAGCCTTTTGCATATTCAATCTATTCAAGCATTATGAGAAAGATATGTGGGCTACAAAAGAATGACTCTTCTTCACTGAAGCCTACTAACACCTAACTTTTTATCCAGACCTAATTCAAAATAGCCTAAAGAAGAACTAACTGGCAAAATAACAGAAATCAAATGGGAATTTTTCTTATACTTTATATATCAACATACACTGAACCAGATCCTAAGTCAGATTCTGCAGGATACAATCAAAATCTGATGTTTCCATGTTTTACTTGCAAAATAAAAAACAAACACCTGAAATTTGGTCAGATTAATCAAGGTATTTTCTAAGACAAGTTACCTTGCTTCTTAGTCTTTTTTTTCATAAATGCATTAGGGACTAAAACGTTTACTTATAAATTCACATTTACCTAAAAAATATTTTTTATATAGCACATTTTGAAATATAAGTATTGAAGTAACATGTTTTAATGAGTCAAAATTTAATTAAGGATGGACATGAGTATTTAAAAACAACGAATGTTGAGGATGGTTGAAATCTATTATTTAACTTATTTAAAAATTATTTATTAGTCTTGCTCATAAAAGATAGTAATGTTGAAAAGCACAGTATCTAAGTAGACAGTTTTGAGTTGCATCAGAGCTTTACCACTTACTAGTCACAGGACTTAGGCAAGTTAGTTAATCTCAGTTGCCTCCACTATATAATTTTGAGGGTGATTGTGAGGTCCAAATGAGAGTATGAATCTGAAATGCTTAATACAGCGCCTAGCTCCTCAATGTGCTCTGTGCATGTTAATCATTACGATTATTTTTATTATTATCATCATCATTTCCTTACTTCTAGCTCTAGGTTTCGAAACTCCAGCAGCTCATTCTGGTCTCTGGCGTCCTGTAGTTCTTGTTGTAACCGGTGATTTTCTGCCTCCTGTTTTTCTATCTAATAAAGTAAATCCTGAAGTTAGGTAAGCATTGAGAAAAGCACCTACAACTTTGCAAAGCATGAATAGTGTTCAGTTTACTCAGTGAATAAGTCTTCCAGACCATGAAAAAAAATCCCCAAATAGATGTGAATAAAATAAGTATTTGGCTTTGGCTTTCCTTCTAGTTATCCTTCGGTTGAGTTTTTTGAGTCACAGAGAAAAATGCCAGAAGACATCTCTGTTCCTTGGAATTAAAATCTAGGAATTCTGTGAATAGTGAATCTGAGAATACTCACTTTGCCCTTGTGATGGGTCAGAGACAGTCTACTAGAACCAAATTTAATGGTATACATAAGAGGGACTGATACTTCTCATTTCTCGAGTTATATTTGTTACAGAAATTTTTTTTAACAGCTATCATCATACACAAAACTTTGCTGAATTTCAATTACTACAGAAGAAACCAGCTCTTTAACACTGAATTCAAAAACCTTAATAATCTGATTACCACCTAGCTTTCCAGTTTTAAATATTATCACTGTCATCTCTGCACAAACACACCCACACATGATCATGCAAACACTAGAATCTAGGAACTGTGGCCTACCCAATGAACTGACTACTCCAGGAACTCTGTAGCTACTCAGCTCTGCCTGAAAATGGCTCACTTTATCTCCTTTGCTATGTGAGCAAATTCTACACTTCTTTAAACACCTTAAAGCTAAGCTCTTAAGCATTAGCACTTAAATAAGCTCTAATGTCCATAAGAGCCTTCCCTAGTCAATCCATTCAGAAGTGACACCTCTCCTTTTGTTTTCCTCTAGACTTTCTTATAGGACCTCTAGTATAACTTGAGGAAGCATGGATTTCAGTTAGCTGTGTACAAATGCACCTTCCCCTGTAGACAGGGTTCATGTCTGAGTTATCTTTGGATTTTTTTTTTTTTTTTTTGAGATGAAGTCTTGCTCTTGTCCCCGAGGCTGGAGTGCATGATCTCAGTTCACTGCAACCTCTGTCTCCTGGGTTCAAGCAATTCCCTTGCCTCAGCCTCTCTAGTAGCTGGGACTACAGGTGCCTGCCACCAGGCCTGGCTAATTTTTGTATTTTTAGTAGAGACAGGGTTTCACCACGTTGGCCAGGCTGGTCTTGAACTCCTGACTTCAGGTGATCCACCCGCCTCGGCCTCCCAATGTGCTAGGATTACAGGCGTGAGCCATTGTGCCCGGCTGTCATCTTTGGCTTTTAAGGGATCAGAAAATCTTTATGAAGTACAATGGATGTTGAGCTTCCCTTGATATTAGCTGTATAGGTGGGCATTACATACAGTAACTATTTAAAATCTTGAATTTAGAAATACAAACCAGGGCCTTTTTACCATAGCACGAATCTTACTTTCCCAAGTATTTACATTTGAAGTTACCTATTTAGGTTCATTGTCAGTTCTGCCATCCCTTTATTTTGTTTATTTATTCTTAGAAGCCTGAGCATAAAAATTCCTCCTTTAGCCCAAAAAGATTAAGACTAACGGAAATCAGATAGAAGACGTAATGGGATTTTTTTTATGATAAAGAAATATAATAACACTTATTACTGGGCATCTCTGAAACTAATAGGAAAAGAAAGATAGGGAAATAGTGAGAAATTATGTGACATTAATAAATGTAGTCGAGTTTTCTACCCTAGATATTTGTGGCCTAGTAAACTTTCAAAAGTTTGTAGAAGTTAACTTAACATTATAAAGGAGATTCTACTTCCTAGAATCTTCTACTGAATCAATGGTGGAATATTTCGAGAGATTGCTGGTTCTAGTGGTTAACGAAACAATTAGATCAGTGGTTCACAGACTGTAATTCATTCAATGCCAACAAAGTTTCTTTATAGGGTCGCTTAACCTTCCTGAAAGCACCAGTTCTCGATTTTTGAATACCTGCCCACTCTGTATATAACATATACATCATCTATACATCTATGTGATGAACACATCAGCTCTGTCTCACAGCATGCAAAGCATGAGATAGAATGTCTTCACTTTGCCAGACTAGAGGGGAGGTAGGACAAGCATCTTTTTCCTCCTTCTCATGCTTACCAGCCAGGATGTTGTGGTTAATTTTTATTACTTGTCAGGGATAAGAAATATTCATAAAAACAATTCTAAAATAATTTCTGCATAACTTTGGATTGACCTACACAATTGTTTCCCTTACACAATTGGGCTTTCAAATTCTGTTTTTGTCAAACATAATATGAGATTATTTTGTAATTTAAATTAGTCAGATGTGGTGGCACATGCCTGTAATCCCAGCTACTTGGGAGGCTGAGGCAGGAGAATCGCTTCAACCTGGGAGGCAGAGGTTGCCGTGAGCTGAGACTGTGCCATTGCACTCCACCCTGGGCAACAAGAGTAAAACTCCGTCTCAAAAAAAAAAATTATTTTGAAATCTTTCACTAGATTTGTAGAAGGTAAATATCAAAGGAAAAGCCACCTTTGAACTGAAAATGTGTTATGTTTAATTGACTCTATGTTCAGATAACCAAAATTAATTATATCTATTCAAGCCTAAGCCATGTTTTTGTTTCTTAATTTGTTGAGTAATTTCCAGGAATACTGTTTTATGTTTTAAAAACAGTATTCATCTAAAAAAAATCTTTCATTAAAAAAAAAAGAAAGACTCAAGCTTAATAAAAAGACTAAAAGTGGGAATCTAAGCCTATGCTAGGTTTCGGCATGGTCTTGGAGTCATACTCTGTCACTTCTTCTCACAAAATAACAAGTTCTATTCATAGAGGTTTCTTTGTTTTGTTTTGTTTTGTTTTTTGGAGATGGGGTTTTGCTCTTGTTGCCCGGGCTGGAGTGCAATTGCGCAATCTCAGCTCACTGCAACCTCCGCCTCTTGGGTTCAGATGATTCTCCTGTCTCAGCCTCCTAAGTATCTGGGATTACAGGCATGTGCCACCACATCTGCCTAATTTTTTGTATTTAGCAGAGACAGGGTTTCACCATGTTGGCCAGGCTGGTCTCAAACTCCTGACCTCAGGTGATCCACCCACCTCGGCCTCCCAAATTACTGGGATTACAGGCTTGAGCCACTGTGCCTGGCCCTCATAGAGGTTTTGTTGTAGATAAACAACTACACAGGATGTGCACGTGTGTGTGTGCGTGTATGTATATATATATGTACAGTATATATACAGTGTATATGGTTAGCAAATCAGGAGGTTTCAGGGATCACATCCTTTCAAGTCTGCACAATGCCCAGCGCAGAGCCATGCACACGTGCCACTTCACTGATGGTGATGGCGGTGACAGGGATGCGGTTGAGCACGCAGCCGAGGACAGAGCAGTGCCGGAAAAGCCTCCCCTTCCCCTGGCCCCTGTGCCACTCCTGAGAGCACCCCCTGCTGCTCCTGGATCTCTCATGATTTTCTCCTCTGCCCCGCTAGGGTGTTGTGCCCAACATACCTTTTCTAAAAGCTCCTGGTTTCTCTTAATGAAAAGTTGTTTATCTTCTACCCAGTGTGAATCCTGTTTGACAAAGAATATCGCGCAGTCAGCATTTCAGAGTGGCACGAAAGAGCCTGTGTTGTCAAACCACTTTGCCAGAGCTGCCTTCTCCCCACCCTGTTTGTTTGCCTGCCAAAGACTGGTAAGTAGCACCCACCCCTGCCAGCTCCTTCAAAGAAATTGGGGCCAAAGTTGCCGGGAAAATTTAACCCCCTTTTCATCATCACTCCCTATTTCTACCTTTTCCAGTTTGAATAATCCAGGACCAGCCTTCTGGGGACTCAGAAGTGACCACACAGGCAAAAAGTGAAAAGGGTCAGAATGCACACAGGCTAGATACATATGGATGGAAAACATTAAAATGCAGAACCATAAATGTAGCATAGAGGCAAAGAACGCAGCTGGAGGGGTGGGTCTTGGTCTTAGCAGCTTATGACAACTCTAGGCTATTTGTACAGGGTTCCTCTTCCTCTGGCATTCTCTCTCTTGCCCAAGCTCATTCACTGTTGTGGCTGGGTTCATACTCTGGCCAGAAAAACACCAGAGACAGAAGTACAGAGTTGAACATTCTAACGCAGTTCGAGAAAGATCACTGTGGAGAGCCAAGCTGTGTCCTGGGTGCGGCCCATGCACAGGTGAGCTACAGGAAGGTCAGATTGAATTGTCTGCATCTGCAGAAGAGCTAGCAACCAAATGCCTACCTGCCCTTTCTGAGCCAGAGTCGCTTCCAGGTCTTCAATTTTGGCTTTATACCTTAGCACCTCTGCTTGGAGCTGTTCTTGAGCCTGGTGAAACCAAAATTCCAGAACTCAGCAAGTAAAATGGTTATTCAATACCTTTCTTGACTAGAACTCAACAAGTAAGAGAGAGAGAGAGGAAAAAAAGAAGAATTTTCTATGACAAAAGAATCTTTCTGATCTAAATTCTTGTTTAAAACTCCCTGTAGCATTCTTTATTTTCAGGTTAGTATTCAAACTCGTTAGCTTGGCATTCGAGAACTCCCATTATATTTCCAATCTTTTCCTACTACTCATCAGCCTAGAGCCAAACCCTCACCTGCTGGCATAATTCTTGTTTCCTAAATATGCCTTGTAACTCTCCACTCTTCTCTTTATTTGAATGATTTCTCTTTCATGAAAGCCTTGTTCCATTTTGCCTCCCCAAATTCTTTTGATTTTTTTTTTTTTTTTTTTTGAGACAGAGTCTCACTCTGTTGCCCAGGCTGGAATGCAGTGGCACAATCTCAGCTTACTGCAACCTCCGCCTCCTGGGTTCAAGCAATTCTCCCGCTTCAGCCTCCCAAATAGCTTGGATTACAGGCACCGGCCACCACGCCCAGCTAATTTTTGTATTTTTAGTAGAGATGGGGTTTCACCGTGTTGGCCTGGCTGGTCTCGAACTCCTGACCTCAGATGATCCACCCGTCTCCGCCTCCCAAAGTGCACCCGGCCTTTCCATTCTTTCAGAGCAAACTTTGTGCCTAAATTTAAGTCCCTAAATCAATTTCTCTCTGTCTTTCTCTTTATATATCATATTTTGTGTGTCTGTGTGTGTAAGTAGTTTTGAATACTAATCTTGTATGGAGCAACTTTGTTGTCCTATGTGATTTAGCTTAGTAATTTGTTTCCTGCCTGTAAACCCATTTTTTTGTTGTTGTTTTACAATCTGGATAGGTTTTTTAGTACAAAGTTGAATAAAAACAGCGATGAAAGATATCCTTATTCATTGTGAGGAGAATAATTCTTTTGATTGTTAAATATTACATTTACCTCTATCAGGTCCAAAAAATAATTAATTTTGCTAAGATTTATTTTAACTGTGAATTGATGTTGACTGTAACCTATTTTTTCTTGTACCTAATTTTATCTTTTGTTTTCAACGATGCTTTCATCTGTATTATTTTTTAATTTCTAGTCTCTTTAAATTTACTCTGTTGTTCTTTTTCTAACATCTTTATTTCTTGTAGATTATTTTTCTAAGAATGGTAAGTTTTCCTGACTTTAATGGTCAGAGAGAACGCTAAACCTTTATTTAGGTAGAAGAATTAAATGACACAGGGAGGAATCTCCAAAAAGTAAAAGAAGTCTCCTTTTTTTGGAGGAATCTCCAAAAAATAAAAATAAAATAATATGCTATTATTTTAATTCCCCAATCCATGTTGGTAAGAACACTTAACCACAAATATTATAGCACTGGGGCATATATATGACAGCCTACAGGCACATTCCTTTGTAATGATTGCTTGCCTGTTCTAAATTGGTGTTTTTTAAAAACCTGCTTATTTACTTATATATGTGTGTGTGCATGCTACTGTTGAAAAATGTATAACTGCGTTACATCTACCCTTTCCCACTGAACAATAGTAGTTCTACAAAACTCCTCAGTGCATTGTAGACCCTCCAGAAAGAAAGTAGGATGAAATCACTGGGTGGTCTCGGTGGTCATGCTGCCTTTTGGCTCATGTAAATTTACCTAGGAGGCAATTATAGCCTGGTGATTATGACTGTGAAGTCACAAGGCTAGGAAACCTAGGTAAACCTAGGTAAATAATTTAACTTCACTAAACTACATTTAACTTCTACTAAGCTATTATTTCCTCTTCTATAGAAAGAAGATAATAATCATATCTAGCTCCTAGGGTTGTTTTAGGATTATATAGATAATGTGTGTAAAATGTTCAACACAATGCCTGGAACACAGCAAGCACTCAATAAATATTAAGAATTAGTATAGTACATGTCTATCTTTTCTTTTTGTTGAAATAGGCTCATGAGAGGCAGTTATGATATAAAGGAAAGAACATTTGACCCAGTAAGACTTAAGTTGTAATATCAGCTTTGCCATTTACTATTTGTGCTATTTGGGGCAATTCAATTAACCTCTCTGAGTGTCAAATTTCTCTTTTATAAAATATCTGCCTTAGGGGACTGTCTCAAGGGTTAAATGAGATAGTGTCTGTGAAAATTCTGGTAAGTTGTCATACGTAAACGCTGGGCACTTATTAACGAAGAGAAGACACTGGCTCACTATTGCTTTTGAAAGATAAAAAAGTTCTTTTTCTAAGCAAGAAACTAAAAAATGGCTTAACAAAATCCAATATTGTCTAGCTTTGAAAATGTATGTTTTCAAACAGCAAGAACAAGAACTATGTACTCAACTATCTTTAAAAGAACAAAAGCATTGATCTAAGCTGGTTCTAATGTTTCTAGAGTCAAGGTTTGTTGACATAAAAGCTATAACAATTCAAAAGCTGCAGAGGAGAGAAGAATACAGGGAAAGCTGTCTTATTGATATTTTTATGTCCACAGTGCTTTTATGCTGTGACTGCTGCACGCTAATTCAGAGCACTCTCACAGATACACACTAACCTTGGCTTCTCGTTCAGCGTCGATGATGCCTCCCGTCTGCTCCTGTAGGAGGGCATATGCTCTTTGGAGGGCCTGATATTCTTTTGTTAATTGTCGAAATCTTAGTTCAGATTCTTCAGCTGCTAAACTCTTGAGGTTAAGAAAAAAAGCCCCAAAACAATTGTGTTATGTTCAGGTCCTGTTTTCAATGTGAAATATTAACATTTGCCCACTTTTTACAAGAAGTAAAAGGTTGTTTAACAGTCTATTTGATTTTATTTTTAGCTCTGAAGTGTATATACGGGCACAAATACTGTAATACTTTCAAGATGGACACTGCAGAAATACATAAATATTTATTTTAGTAAAAGAAGCATTTAGCATTTGATACATTTCTCATTGTTAATCATTTGAGCTTAGAATGTAGTCAATTTTGGATCCAAATAAGAAAAAGTCATATCCAGATTTTGGACCTAAATTTGAGGAAATGATACCCTAGAATTTTCTTATTTCTTTTCAGTATGTTCATCTCCAGCAACTTGTTTTTTCCCCCAGATAAATCATAAAATCTGTTTTATTGCATTACATCTTAAACTTCAGGACATAACATAATCAGCAGGGAATTTTGGGAAACAATGCAGACTGGGGTGTTTCACTCCTAAGATCCTGAGTCAGGAGTTGCATGGTAGAGTCCAGGACTTTTCATTGTAACTGAGCCCTCTAGATCATTCTGATGAGGATGGTCCACAGAACACACTTCACTCAACAGTGTCAGACCACATCCAAAAGCCTGCTAAGGCCTCTTGGGTTCCTACCTTCCCTAGATAAAGAATATTGGAAAGTAACTTTTATTTTGAAAGAAGTCTTCAAATTAGAGAGTTGAACTGGAGAGAAATTTCTAAAAGGTTTACCTGCTATAAGTGAAGCTATTTTTCAAGAGATAATAAAGTGCAGCCTCAAAATTGTTTACTATTATGAGATCACTTTGTGCTGTTTATATAAAGGAGATGAAAAGTGAAATCCTTTTTCTTCCCCCTTAAATCAAAGATTTGGTGACAATATCACCCTAGGCTAGAGAAGTAGAAAAGCTTACTTCATCCAAGTCATCATCAGGAGTAGCTGGTGTTCTGTCTGTTCTAAATGAGGCCATGGATGATGTCTCTGAATCCATAGAGTCCTCATCATAGCCAATAAACGGGTCCAAAACAGGCCTCTAAATGGAGGGAAAGTACCTATTTACTGACATAGCTAACAGTAGGGAAAGTTGAACGTTAAAATACTGTCAACTGGCATACGTGTAAGTGAATATAGAAGACATGGATCCTCTATGCTTCTTTGTTGAAATAAAAACATTAGGCATGAGCATAATTCCAATAAGTGTTTCTCTCATATTATTTCACTTCTGACATCTTAAGAAAAATTCATAATATGTAGCTTTTTTCATAGAAACACTGAAACCTCTTTCATATTACATTTTATATCATGATGAGCTAGTGTGGTTTACTCTTTCCTGTATTTAAACTATGACCAAAGGATTTTGAAAACTCAGGTATCTATGTGATGGAGATGATCAAATCTTAAGCCTTGTCATCCAAGTCCACATTAAAAACCAATGGTATACTTGGTAAAAACCAAAATAAAAATCAAATAGACAAACTGAATAACAAAACTTTGTGGATTATAAGAGGCTATACAGATATTGATGGATTGGGAGCATTGCTATCAATAAGATTGTCTGAATGAATAATGAAAATGTATTAATTGTCATAAGTGGGAGACATCAAATCATGTGCATTTCTTGAATATGACTCTCCAACTTGTCAGGTAATCCTTTCTACATCAAACCTAGGGGCATCTCCATTTAGAGAAAGTTATATTAAAGCAAACCCCTTTCAGGTTAAAATTTACAACATAATCATTTTTAGACTTCGAAGAAATGTCAACAGAAAATATTTTCTTCTAGCAAATAATGCCCATGGTTTGCTGCAACAGTTCTGGAACACCTGATTCATCACATCTTTGTAGGAAGATTCCATGCCAAGCCTCATCTCTCTGGCTGTTTGTGGCAAATGCCTGATAACTTTGATTTCTTATTACCTTAATTGGCTTGGAACTTCTTCTATGCTTTCTTCTACGGATGAGCTTTTCTCGGTCCTGGAAAACAGATGAAAGATTTTCAGATCCAGAATTGGTAGATGTTTCTTTATAGTTTTTTGCAAAGACAGAGTGTTCTTTCCCATAAGGCATTATATTTGGAATAGAATAAGACTTTGTTTTTTAAATTTTGGCAACTTTTGGGATTGATACTTAAATATATTCAAAACAAGAATCTTCTACAACTATTCCTGATGAGTTATGTGGATCAAGGAGCCTCATGATCAGAAAGTGTACTGTGTTCCTAATCAGAATCCTGTTTTATACTTGAACATCAAGTAGCTATGAAAATAGTTACTTATATTCCCCCAAAGCACAGTACTTTAGTTCTCCTAGATCCAAAATTACTTTAAATTTGTGTTAAAAATACAATTTCACAATAAAGTAAAACCGTATTCTTTTCATTTAGTCATTTGAAATGCATAGAAAGCTGTCTTTGGCCTATTTTTGCATCCTTGTTCTCACCTGCAGTCCCTGAAAATAGGACAGGGAACAGAGTAGCTAGCGGGTTGGAGCCATTTAGTGTTTCTGTTTTGTCTTCAGTTTTTAAAAAATTTTCTGGGAATCTCAAAGAATGCCTAGAAATATTGATCAATTTCATGATTTATTGTTGCTGTGAATAGAGATATCATGGGAATTTGGGGTTTATTCACTAAGCACTCCATGTATTTACTGTAAAAATTTAAACTAGATAGAATGTCTTTTGAAAAGTCCGATGAGTGTGCCTAAATAGCCCAAAATTCTATAAAAAATTTACAGCTTAATCTCAGGATACTCAAAGCCAGGCAAATTCCTGGGCTCATGAATTTGTAAAATGTATGAGTTATTAGGATGTGAAAATGAAATGAGGAAAACAGGGAGTAATGAGTAATCTTGTTTAAGCCAGTGGTGTTCGGGCTTTTTTTTTTTCACCTTTATAAGTAAAAATGCAGCCTCTATATATGAGACTTTTACAATTTACACATTATTGTGATGGTTAATATTGAGTGTCAATTTGATTGGATTGAAGGATACAAAGTATTGTTCCTGGGTGTGTCTACGTGGGTGTTGCCAAAGGAGGTTTAACGTTTGAGTCAGTGGACTGGGAAAGGTAGACTCACCCTCAATCTGGGTGAGCACAATCTAAACAGCTGCCATCACAGCCAGAATAAAAACAGGCAGAAGCACGTGAAGAGACTAGACTGGTTGAGTCTCCCAGCCTACATCTTTCTCCTGATTCTTCCTGCCCTGGAACATCAGACTCCAAGTTCTTCAGCTTTGGGACTTGGACTGGCTTCCTTGCTCTTCAGCTTGCAGATGACCTATTGTGGGACCTCACCTTGCGATCGTGTGTGCCAATACTCCTTAATAAACTCCCCATTATATATACATCTATCCTATTACTTCTGTCCCTCTAGAGAGCCCTAATACAATTATATATTTAAATTACCTTCCTAATCTAATGTATTCATTGTAACATATAGTCAACATAGAAATTTTAAAAAGGATGAATCATAAGTAATTATAAACAGAAGCTATAACCTTTCTCTGTCTCAGTGGCAGTGAATCACTTTTCTCACCTCACTCTGGAGACTATTGCCTAACTCCCTCCTTGCAATTCAAGTCTTTAGGCCTTGACTTGGTCCTGAAGTGAGAGCAACCAACGATGTCATTCACAGAACACAGATGGAGAGGCAAAGAAGAAAACCCAAAGGCACCTAGAGGTCTTAGTGCATCCTTACTAGCAACACAAACCTCAGCCAAACTCTGATGGAAGTAATAACTGCTCTACCCACTCAGTAGGTACTGAAGTAATGATCAGAAAATCTGGGCTGAAATTTTAGCTCTGTTATGTAATTATATTGTTGCTGTTCATCCAACAAATATTTGTTGAACTGTAACTATGTGCTAGACACTGAATTGAGACCTGGGAAACAAGGTATATATGTGATGTTGTTAGCATAGACAACATATTAAATCTCTGAGCCTCGGGATCCTGCTACTGGAAGGCAGTTACAAGACACACCCAACCTACCTACAAACTTATACAACGAGGCATTTAAAAGTTCTTTTAATGTGCTTTGCTGTTATTATTTGTGCTACCAAATTAGTTAACAAAGGGTTATAATTTAAAAGGTGTAAAGCAGTTGAACAATATAAAATATTGGAATACAGTCTCTAGAACAAAATTACATATTTAACATATGAACTTGGGCCTCTGGGGTTAAACTAAAATTAACTGCTTTCAGTGTATATTTTGTTGGCTACTTGTCCTTGGGAACAACTTAGGGTTTACAGATTGATTGACACGTACCCTTGTGAGCTCATCAATAATGTTCTGTTGCTCAATGACCTGAAGTTTTAGAAACTCTGTTTCTTGTTCTTCATTAGCTTGGTCGAGGTCATTCAGAGATTTTAATTTCTTCAGGGGTGGATGGGATGTTATTTTTTCTCTCTGGATTGGAAAAGAAGAAAGTACAGGTGGAGACTTTAAAAACCTCAAACTTTGGTTGTTAACATAAAATATCTGTAGAAAGTTTATGAGGCTCCAGCTAAATTTGGAAATTGCCCAGCCTGAATACACATACACCAACTAAATCCTCAAGCACATTTTATCTGCCATAATAAGTCATTATCATTGGGGATTGTCAAAGATCTCTATAGATGTATTGAAAGTCTATTAAGGAGTACATTATCATTTCACTTGTCCGCATATAACACAAGTAATGGTATCTAT
This sequence comes from Homo sapiens, assembly GCF_000001405.40. NCBI lineage: Eukaryota > Metazoa > Chordata > Mammalia > Primates > Hominidae > Homo > Homo sapiens. The sequence continues at coordinate 147,644,481 of NC_000005.10, forward strand.
TTCCCAAATATCATGCACGATCTTAGAAGACAAGGTGTGCCTGGGGTATAGGTCTGTAAATAGCATGTTAGTGAAGTCATGGATGGTTTCTGTGGCTAAGTTATGTCAAAGCTTTCCTTCTCCATTTCCAAGCTTTGGAAAGTGTGCAAATTCCTGGAAGCACTCCTACAGTTTTGCAAATATAGAAACCTCATAAAATTCAGAGCCAGCAACCTTCTCTTGCTTTCTTCATTAAGGCTTCCTTGCTTACATAAGGAAAAATCCAAATAGCACTGTATTTTTAAAATAAGCTGAGAAATGGCAATAAGTCAGGTTATTAAGGTAATATAATCAAGGAAGCTGCAGTTTTGCAGAGTCTGTGATACACACCATTTCTGAATTTTCCTTGGTAACGGCTTTTAGTTTTTCTTCCATGCGCTGCAAGGACACCATCAGTTCATCGTTTCTCTTGGCGAGGCACTTGTTCCTTTCCAGGAGAGGTTTACATTGCTTTTCGGTTTCCCGCACACGTTTTAACTGGGAAGAAATAAGTGAAGATTTGTGTCTTGCGTTTGGGGGACGTGGGGGCAGGGGAGTAAAGTGGTGGGAGTGAAAGCACCTCTGGAGACAGCCTTGTCTCTGCTTCACTATGTGGCTGAGGACTGACCACTGACATTTCAATCCTTCATTTAACAGACTGTTTGCTTTCTTTTCAGTTTTCTCTAACGGTTTTTCATCACAGCCTTCATAGCCTTATATCAATCCATTGTCTTAAGGAAAGTACTCCAGAGACTGGTTTTGGAAATGCTCGGGAGGACGCGCTCTCCTTGCTTTCTTTCGCTTCCCCGACTTGTTACTCCACCGTGCTCAGCTGCAATCCCTGCACCTGGAATGACCTGCATTAGCTCAGAGATAAAGGAGCTCACCCAGACCACACGGCCACTAAGTAATGCGACCAGGAGCTGAATCCAAGCCTGGTTATGTCCAAAGGTCATTCTTTCAGAGACCTTGTGGAAATCTCCTGACTCGCACTACAGTTGTTATTTTAAAAGAAATTTTATCGAGGGGAAAAAAACCACACGTAAGTTTGAAACTCTGTGGATGTTTGTGTAAGGATATCAAATTCTCCCCAAGCTTAGTAAAGTATGATTGTATTGTTATCCACCCATAATTAAGAGTGAGCATACTCTCATTTGCTTGGTTAGTCTAAAGCAGGGTTTCTCAGTCTCGGCGTCTGTGACATTTTGAGCCGGATGTTTTTTTGATGTAAGGTGTCCTGTGCAGTGGAGGATGTTTAGCGGCATCCTTGGCCTCTGCTGGCTAGATGCCAGTAACACTCTGCTAATTGCGACCATCAAAAACATCAGATATTGCCAAAATCGCCTGTAGTTGGGAACCACTGGTCTAAGTTTATGAAAATTGTCTTGAGGGGATTGTCAATAGTCCTCCCCTTTACTTTTAAAACACTCCTTTTTGTATATTTCATGATCATCCTATACATTATAGATTTTCATTTTCAGCTTCTCATGATTAGCTTATTCTTTTCTTACTAATGATTCTGAATGTGAGTATGTATTGGGAGAAGAGCAAGGAAAAAGGAGGGCTGTATTCGAAATATTTGAGAAGACTTTTTAAAGTGCGCACTACTGTTCTTGAGATTCTAAGATTTTGGGAAGTGCTGAGGTGGAAGACTTAGCTAATTATGAATATTTGTAAAATCTCATCTTACGATTCTTAAACAGCACTTCTGCAAATCCATCTCAATCTCAATTTCGTATTAAAGAAATAACTCCATTTCATATTAAAGGCCAAAACTGGGTTTATTTTTACAAATAATCTGACTTAGTCCTGAAGCATTAATGCCTTAGTCCTTAGTGCCTGAAGCATTAATATTAAATATTGCATACATATAAGGACAATAAGTTATTCTTATTTTTTAATCTGTCTCTTCTGAAGGTCAATGATGTGAGTTTTAAATATTTAAATTTACTTATTAATACAATTCACAGAAAATGCAGATATACATAAAGAAAATATCTATAATTCTATCACATCATACATCAATAACCATAGTCCCACAATACCCAACAAAATGTTCCTTTTAAGATACACCTTAAATAAAACACAGAAAGGTTGGAAAAAAGTGTGTTTGTGTGTGTATATATGTATGTGTAAATATGTATGTATATATGTATGTCTATATAGTTATAAATACATATATATATACACATACACATGTATATGCACACTAACACTAAAACAAAAATCTGATGTAGTTCAACTAATAACAACGACTTTAAGCCAAGAAGTATTACCAGAGGAAAAAAAAAGCATAATGATTAAAGGGTCAATACACACAAAAAATATAACAAATATTAATTTATATTCATCTAGTAACATAATTTCTAATATATTATAAATACATATTATTGTTCTACATATAAAGTTAAATTTAAAGAACTAAGAAGGATATAGACAAATCTTTTGGGAGAACAAGCAGACAAAAATATCAGTAAGAATTGAAAAATTTTAAACAAGATTATTAACAAACTTCAATCAAACTGCAACTAATAATTACAGAGTATGCCTCCTTTTCATGTAAACATGTAACATTGCTAAAATTGACTGTATGCTGAGGTCATAAAGCAAATCTCAACAAATTTTGAAGGAATGAAATATACAAAGTACATTCTCTGACTATAGTAGAATTAAGGTAGAAATTGATACCAGAAAGATAACTAAAAAAATCTCTAAATGTTTTGAAATTAAGCCATCTACTTCTAAGTGACCCATATATCAAAGAAAAATTACATGATATTAGAAAAATTTTTGAATGAAATAACAATATATTAAACTAAAGCAAGGCTTAGAGGGTCAATTACAGCCTAAAATGCATATATTTGAAAAAAGGAAAGGCTGAAAATAACTCTTATATGAATAGCTCTATTAAAAACAAAAACGTAAGCCATAGAGCAAGATATTTTAAATGCAAATGTACCACAAGTGATGATAAAAAAAATCCTAATAGTAACTGAAACAGTAAAGGCAGCATAACAGAAAATGGGCAAAAGGCTAAGGACAAATTATATCTGAAAGACTAGTAAATATTTGAAAAGTTACCCTACCTTCTTAATAATGAGGAAAATTAAAACCATAATGTAAGGTGTAAGAGTATGCCCTACATCCACCAACATGACTAACAATTATTTTTGTATGTTGGAAAAGATATGGAGAAACTACCACTTTCATTCATTATTGGTGGGAATTGTGACAACTCACTGTTTGGTAATAACTATTGATGCTGACTACATCCATACTCTAACATCCAGTAATTCTACTCCTCTGCATATTCCACCAGAAATGGGCATATTTTTTCAGAAACGACATGTAGAAGCACTGTTCTTCTCAAAACAGCTCAGAAGTTTTAAGAAACAACATAAATGTCCATTAACAATAACATGGATCAGTATATTGTGATATATTATTTGAATACTATAGAGAAATGAAAATGAATGAATTCTACATGCAACACAATGGATAAATCTCACAAACAAAGCTGAGTGAAAGAAGCAGAAGAAGTCAGACAAAAAAGAGAAAATATTGTATGATTTCATTTACAAAAAAATGTTTAATGGTGATAGACATCTATGGCGATTGAAGTCAGAATAGTGGTTAAGTTTAACAGGATGCTAATTGGGAGGGGTCACAAGAAGCGGGGGTGTGAGATGCTGGTAATCTTCCATTTATTCATCTGGATGGTGGTTTTTTGAGTGTGCCACTTTGTGAATATCTATTGAATGGTATCTTTATTATTTGTACACTTTTCTCTATTATGGTACGTATCTATAACATAGTATGTAATTCTGTAACATAATGCTTAACAACAACATCAACAAAAATTTTTAGTATATCTCACCAGTTCATTTCGTTCATCTCCAAGCAAGGTATTCCTGTCTTCTAATTTTCTTATAGTGGCATTCAATTCAGCTATTCTCTTTTGATTTCTTCGCAAATCCTACAAAGAAAAATTAAAATGGGTATTTCTTCAACAACACTTTTCACAAAGTTTGGGAATATCACTTATTATTCATAAAAGTAATAGGCTCAGTTCTCTTATCTGGCTCCTGAAGTGAGAATAAAATATTCTTTTATCCAAAGAGTAAATATTTACCCTTTTATAACTCTCAATATTCACCACTTGGGTTGAAGACCACGCCAGGTTGTAATTGCAAATGAATTCCATGTGGCAGATACTCCCTGGATCCAGGACTCAGGGCAGGGAGAGTGCAGAGGGTTGGATCAACTTATCAGAGCTGTGTGCTGTGGGACCAAGGTCATGATGTGATTACATAAGGTTCAAAGGGCATCCCTTGTGTCATGGCCACACATTGCTTCCCACAGCTTAGACAGCTGTCCTGGTATTACCATTAGCCACAGAGGGGAGAGAGTAGGAGGTAGGGATTAATATTGTCAATTCCTTCATACTCCTGAAGAAAAAGGTCAAGGTGAGAAAATGTTGATGTATTACCTTCATGTATAAAGGTCAGTAGTTTATAGGATAGGCCTGACTAGTATATTCTGCCCAATGCAACTGGCTTCTCCACTGGCAGAATGGCTGTGAATCACCTTACACAGGGCATTCATGGCTTAATTTCATGTTGTAGAGTTATATAAGACTGTTATTATCATATGCTAACAATTATATTATCATCTTACATTTTGATAATGCTGTACTGTTGACAAAGTAGTTTCAAATACATTATATCCCAGCATTCATAATATCCTAAAGGATTCAGTAGAACAGGTAAAATTCAGATAGGTAATAACTCCTTTAAGGTCTTGTGGCTAATGTCAAAAGATAAGTAACTAATATGTATTAAATGCTATGTGCCAGACACCATGCTCAACATTTTACATATTATCTCTTCTAATCTTTAGACCAGCCATATGAGGTACTACTATAGCTTCTATTTTACACATGAGGAAACTGAATGGTGAAGTGGTTTGCCTAAGGACACACAGTAAATGGCAGATTTGGGATTTGAACCAAAGAGTCTGACTCTAGAGCCCATTCTCTTGACAACTATGCTATATTGCGGGTACCTGTCAGTGTCAGAACTAAAACTTACAGAAACTGCTAAATCCTAGATAAGTACTCCTTCCACCACCTACTAAGATTATATACATATATATATATATTTATTCTGAATATCAATTCATAAATTATTCATTACTTAGTTCTAAGTAGTACTTTGGAACCCATCTCTGTTCCTAAATAATACATTTCCATTATTATAGCAGCAAAATAATTGGAAAGGTATAAGAGTTATAGCCAACTGCATATAAGCCCATTTCTATTGCGCACTTCCGAAAATAATTTCTCATATAAAATGATGAAAATTCATGGAAATAAGTGGTAAGTTCAATCAGACAATAAGTCTTCAGATGAAGATTAAAAATGGTTTTGTCTTTTATGCAGTTATACATTTTGACCCCTGTAGATGACAACCATCTTTATCAATTTCCAACCCAATTGTTCACAAAAGGGAAAATTACCAGTGTAGGCAAGAGGCAAAATATTTTCATCTAATTTATGTTTCTTATAATAGACTTAAGTTTGGATAGGTATTGCCTGGCTAGAAAAATTCTAGGAAGGATTTAAAGAAATCTATCTCATGTGATCTGCTAATGTAGTGCAGACCACTTAGTTGTCTATGAGTTTAGAAAACCCTGTTCTCAAGATACTAGCTGATTTTATAGTAGAAGGTAGATTGATTTCTTTGTAGTAAACAAGAAAAGAGCTTAAGTAAAAGGTAAAACTTGGGAGCTAAATAAAAGATGACTTGTGCATTCTTAACTTCAACTAGAATGGACTTACAGGACTGCTGCAGTGTTCGGAACCATCACCTGCCCTTCCTGGAATTTCTCGTTTTGGGCTGCTCATGTTGCACTCAGCCTCCTTGACCAGAAAGAGTTGTTCGTCCAAAGCCTCCTTCTGAAGTTGGAGTTTCTGTACATAGCCTGTCTGGGTCTCCAGTTCCTTTTCCAGGGAAAAGATGATCCTGTCCTTGGCTTTGATTTCATCCATCTGAATTAAATGAGACCCAGGACATTTTATTTAACAATGCTGTAAAGAAATACATTTTTACAATGGTGTAGGTTTAACTTCTTTTATCTGATTGATACAGAAAAAAAATCACGGATTTGATAAGTGTATTGGTTTCATGAGTAAGATGAGGCAACATTGTGTAATGAAGAAGTATCCTGGGTTAATTAGGTGTCAAGGAGAGTAATTTTTTTTCTCTCTAGTATATCCTGTGAAGATGTTTTGACTCAATATATTGTTTGAAATAGTCTGGGTTGATTAGATATGCAAAGGACAGTCTAACTTTAAAATAGCCATTAATTTTAATAAAGATGAACATTAAATATTCCACTCTAATGTTTCCTAGGACATTTTTTGATGTCACTTCTTCTTTGGGCAAATGGGTATTCAGATTCAATCAAAATAGCTGTTGCTCCTGTTAGTAGCTGGTCATTTGTAACTGAAGAAACTTCAGACTTCCCAGTGGCCTAGTCATTTTTCCAAGACTAACATGCTTGCATTCAGGTGATGGATTTGGAGGGAGGTCCTTCCACGGTTCATGTGTTATATCTCTTTCTGTTCTCACTTGTATTTCAGAGCAGCCAGTTCTTAGCAACCATTTTATCATTACTATAAGAAAATCATGGTTGGGATTAACAGGAATAGAAAATATCTGGCAATATTAACCACTATTTTCCCTCCCACATGTGTGAGATATATTTATTGATCCAAATATGCATTTCTGCTAAGCCTGGGCATGGCCTCAGAAGAATTTCTCAACTAAAGGCCACAGGCATTCAATACCAGTTGATTTGAGTTCCCTTGGAATGAAACCTTTTTGCCATCCTAGGATGAGGGCTAATGAAGTGAATGTCTATAAACAATTTTTAAAGAGAGCATAGCCATTGGGTGAAACCTTTCTTATCGTTTCACTATATTCTATGTGTACATTCAAAATGGAGATAAGGAAAAGACATTTAATACAAACAACATTACGCTGTTTTGCTTTTTCTAAAAGTGTCTCCTTATACAAAACAATACTTTTGTATAAATTTTTCTTTGCTGTGTGCTCTTAGACCAGAAAAAAAAAACCTGCAACAGAAATGGTGTTACATAGTCACGTATTTTCCACATATAAATATCTGTGAGCTACTGCCTGTGAGTCACATGCTTAAATTTTAGGTCAATTCTGAGAGAGCTTTGGGCTAAATTCTGCATGATCTTGTAATATCATCTGATAACTTGGTAAGAATTCAATATTGTCCCGTTAATTGGGAATAATAGCATTGTCTTTGGTTTCCGTCTCCTTGTAGAAGACTTGAGACCTGTGTTTTTCTTAACTGAGCAGCATGTTCATTTGTCAGACTTGTCAACTGGAGCATTACTTTTATTTGCAGGTTAACATAGCTCTAGTTACTTTTCATGAGTTGACATAGCTCTAGTTGTTTTTTATGTACTCACCTTGTTAAACTTGTCGAGAAATCATTCTATTACTGCCCACATTCAGCCTCATTATCACCATCATCACAGCTGAAATTTATTGATCTTTCACTATATTCAGGGTACTATACTCAGAGCTTAATATGCCTTATTTTATAACAATCCTATTCAGTAGGTTCAGTCGTCATCATTTTACAGGTGATGACTGAGGACCTGAAAGCTTAAAAACTTGGTCATAGTCATATGTCTAGTAAGTTGTGAAGCCGTATTTTTAATGGAATCTTCTAACTATAGAGCCCATTCTGTTAGGTACTATGCTATACTGGCTTTAAGATTATTCATATACTTTAAGCATTTCCCAAAGTGGTTTCCTGTGGGATATATAGTAATTAGCATTGAGAAAGCTTTATTGCGTAGCAGTTATGAGCATGGACTCTGATCTCAAAATACTGAAAATCAACCAAAGCCCTACTTAGATGGGAAAGGGTATAAACCAGAATTCTCTGGGGAAATTTTCTAGACAGAACAACTCCCATTTCTCTCCCTTTCAGTTCCAAAAATGGAGCTTGGGGTAGGGGTAGGCACAGAGTAAAAAGAAGGAAAAAATGAAGATGAGTATATCTGCGCTATCAAAAAAGTTTCCTATGTTATTCTGTGTTCATGCAGTTTGTGAACTACTCATAAGGTGGCTCAGATTTACTTTTTAAAATTTTAATGTTTATTTTACTTTAAGTTCTGGGATACATGTACAGAATGTGCAGGTTTGTTACATAGGTATACATGTGCCATCGTGGCTTGCTGTACCTATCAACCGGTCCTCTAGGTTTTAAGCCCCGCATGCATTAGGTGTTTGTCCTAATGCTCTCCCTCCCCTTGCCCCCACCACCTGACAGGCCCCAGTGTGTGATGTTCCCCTCCCTTGTCCATGTGTTCTCATTGTTCAACTCCCACTTATGAGCGGGAACATGCAGTGTTTGGTTTTCTGTTCCTGTGTTAGTTTGCTGAGGATGATGGCTTCCAGCTTCATTCATGTCCCTACAAAGGACATGAACTCATTCTTTTTTTATGGCTGCATAGTATTCCATGGTGCACATGTACTGCATTTTCCTTATTCAGTCTATATAATTGATGGGCATTTGGGTTGGTTCCATGTCTTTGCTATTGTAAATAATGCTGCAATAAACATACGTGTGAATGTGCCTTTTAGTAGAATGATTTATATTCCTTTGGATGTATAACCAGTAATGGGATTGCTAGGTCAAAACGTATTTCTGGTTCTAGATCCCTGAGGAATAACCACCCTGTCCTCAACAATGGTTGGACCAATCTACATTCCCACCAACAGTGCAAAAAGTGTTCCTATTTCTCCACAGACTCACCAGCACCTACTGTTGCTTGACTTTTTAATAATTGCCATTCTGACTAGTGTGGGATGGTATCTAATTGTGGTTTTGATTTGCATTTCTCAAATAATCAGAGATGATGAGCTTTTTTTTTTCATGTTTGTTGGCCGCATAAATGTCTTCTTTTGAGAAATGTCTGTTTATATACCTTGCCCACTTTTTGGTGGAGTTGTTTGCTTTTTCTTGTAAATTTGTTTAAGTTCCTTATAGATTCTGGATATTACACCTTTGTCAGAAGGGTAGATTGCAAAATTTTCTCCCATTCTGTAGGTTGTCTGTTCACTCTGATGCGAGTTTCTTTTGCTGTGCAGAAGCCCTTTAGTTTAATTGGATCCCATTTGTCAATTTTGGCAATTGTTGCAATTACTTTTGGCGTTTTCATCATGAAGTCTTTGCCCATGCCTATGTCCTGAATGGTACTGCCTAGGTTTACTTTTAAGGTTTGTATGGTTTTGGGTTTTACATTTAAGTCTTTAATCCATCTTGAGTTAATTTTTGTATAAGGTGTAAGGAAGGGATCCAGTTTCAGTTTTCTGCATATGCCTAGCCAGTTTTCCCAGCACCATGTATTAAGTAGGGAATCCTTTCCTCATTGCTTGTTTTTGTCAGGTTTGTCGAAGATCAGGTGGTTGTAGATGTGTGGTGTTATTTCTGAGGCCTCTGTTCTGTTCCATTGGTCTATATATCTGTTTTGGTACCAGTACTATGCTGTTTTGGTTACTGTAGCCTTGTAGTAGAGTTTGAAGTCAGGTAGTGTGATGCCTCCAGCTCTGCTCTTTTTGCTTAGGACTGTGTTGGCTATATGGGCTCTTTTTGGTTCCATATGAAATTTAAAGTAGTTTTTTTTTTTTAATTCTGTGAAGAATGTCAATGGTAGTTTGATGGGAATAGTGTTGATCTATAAATTACTTTTGTCAGTATGGACATTTTCATGATGATGATTCTTCCTATCCATGAGGATGGAATGTTTTTCCACTTGTTTATGTCCTCTCTTATTTCCTTGAGCAGTGGTTTGTAGCTCCCCTTGAAGAGGTCCCTAATGTCCCTTGTAAGCTGTATTCCTAGGTATTTTATTCTCTTTGTAGCAATTGTGAATGGGAGTTTATTCATGATTTGGCTCTCTGCTTGTCTATTGTTGGTGTATAGGAAAGTTTGTGATTTTTGCACATTGCTTTTGTATCCTGAGACTTTGCTGAAGTTGCTTATCAGCTTAAGGAGTTTTGGGCTGAGATCATGGGGAATTCTAAATACAGAATCACGTCATCTGCAAACAGAGATAATTTGACTTCCTCTCTTCCTATCTGAATACGCTTGATTTCTTTCTCTTGCCTGATTACCCTGGCCAGAGCTTCCAATGCTATGTTGACTAGGAGTGGTGAGAGAGGGCATCCTTGTCTTGTGCTGGTTTTCAAAGGGAATTCTTCCAGTTTTTTCCATTCAGTATGATATTGGCTATGGGTTTGTCATAAATAACTCTTATTATTTTGAGGTTTGTTCCACCAATACTGAGAATTTTTAACCTGAAGGGATGTTGAATTTTATTGAAGGCCTTTTCTGCATCTATTGAGATAATCATGTGGTTTTGGTCATTGGTTCTGTTTATGTGATGGATTACATTTATTGATTTGCATACATTGAACCATCCTTGCATCCCAGGGATGAAGCTGACTTGATCATGGTGGATAAGCTTTTTGATGTGCTGCTGGATTTGGTTTGTCAGTATTTTATTGAGAATTTTCACATCGATGTTCATCAGGGATATTGGCCTGAAGTTTTCTTTTTTTGTTGTCTCTCCTAGGTTTTGGTATCAGGATGATGCTGGCCCCATAAAATGAGTTAGGGAGGAGTCCCTCCTTTTAAATTGTTTGGAATAGTTTCAGAAGGAATGGTACCAGCTCCTCTTCGTACCTCTGGTAGAATTCAGCTATGAATCTGTCTGGTCCTGGGCTTTTTTTGTTGGTAGGCTATTAATTACTGCCTCTATTTCAGAACTTGTCATTGGTCTATTCAGGGATTTGACTTCTTCCTGGTTTAGTCTTGGGAGGGTGTAAGTGTCCAGGAATTCATCCATTTCTTCTAGATTTTCTAGTTTATTTGTGTAGAGGCATTTATAGTATTCTCTGATGGTAGTTTGTACTGCTATGGAGTTAGTGGTGATAGCTCTTTTATCATTTTTTATTGTGTCTATTTGGTGTGCTCTTTTTTTCTTTATTAGTCTAGTTAGTGGTCTGTTTTGTTAATTTTTTAAAAAATCCAGCTCCTGGATTCATTGATTTTTTGAAGGGTGTTTTGTGTTTTTATCTGCTTCAGTTCTGCTCTGATCTTAGCTATTTCTTGTCTTCTGCTAGCTTTTGGATTTGTTTGCTCTTTCTTCTCTAGTTCTTTTAATTGTGATGTTAGGGTGTTGATTTTAGATTTTTCCATCTTTCTGATGTGGGCATTTAGTGCTATAAATTTCCCTCTAAACATTGCTTTATCTGTATCCCAGAGATTCTGGTACATTGTCTCTCTGTTCTCATTGTTTTCAAAGAACTTCTTGATTTCTGCCTTAATTTTGTTATTTACCCAGTAGTCATTCAGGAGCAGGTTGTTTGATTTCCATGTAGTTGTGTGGTTTTGAATAAGTTTCTTAATCCTGAGTTCTAATTTCATTGCACTGTGGTCTGAGAGACTGTGTGTTGTGATTTCAGTTCTTTTGCATTTGCTGAGGAGTGTTTTACTTCCAATTATGTGGTTGATTTTAGAATAAGTGCCATGTGGCATGAGAATAATGTGTATTATGTTGATCTGGAATAGAGAGTTCTGTTCTATTAGGTACACTTGATCCAGAGCTGAGTTGAAGTCCTGAATACCCTTGTTATTTTTCTATCACATTGATCTGTCTAATGTTGACAGTGGGGTGTTAGCCTCCCACTATTACTCTGTAGGAGTCTAAGTCTCTTTGTAGGTCTCTAAGAACTTGTTTTATGAATCTGGGTGCTCCTATATTGGGTGCATATATTTTTAGGTTAGTTAGCTCTTCTTGTTGAATTGATCCCTTTACCATTATGTAATGCCCTTCTTTGTCTTTTTGATCTTTGTTGGTTTAAAGTCTGTTTTATCAGAGACTAGGATTGCAACCTCTGCTTTTTTTTGCTTTCCATTTGCTTGGCAAATTTTCCTCTGTCCCTTTATTTTGAGCTTACATGTGTCTTTGCATGTGAGATGGGTCTCCTGAATACAGCACGCTGATGGGTCTTCACTTTTTATCCAATTTGCTAGTCTGTGTCTTTTAACTGGGACATTTAGCCCATTTACATTTAAGGTTAATATTGTTATATGTGAATTTGATCCTGTCATCATGATGCTAGCTGGTTATTTTGCACACTAATTGATGCAGTTTCTTCATAGTGTCATTGGTCTTTATATTTTGGTGTGTTTTTGCAGTGGCAAGTACTGGTTTTTTCTTTCTATATTTAGTGCTTCCTTCAGGAGCTCTTGCAAAGCAGGCCTGGTGGTGATAAAATATTTGCTTGTCTGGAAAGGATTTCATTTCTCCTTCACTTATGAGGCTTAGTTTGGCTGGATATGAAATTCTGGGTTGAAAATTATTTTCTTTAAGAATGTTGATGGCTGGGCACTGTGGCTCACACCTGTAATCCCAGCACTTTGGGAGGCCGAGGCGGGTGGATCACAAGGTCAGGAGATCGAGACCATCCTGGCTAACATGGTGAAACCTCATCTCTACTAAAAATACAAAAAAATTGGCCGGGCATGGTGGCGGGCGCCTGTAGTCCCGGCTATTCGGGAGGCTGAGGCAGGGGAATGGCATGAACCCGGGAGGCGGAGCTTGCAGTGAGCCGAGATCGCGCCACTGCACTCCAGCCTGGGTGACAGAGCGAGACTCCGTCTCAAACAAAACAAAACAAAACAAACAAACAAAAAGAATGTTGACTATTGGCCCCTACTCTCTTCTGGCTTGTAGGGTTTCTGTTGAGAGATCCGCTGGTAGTCTGATGGGCTTCCCTTTTTAGGTGACCTGGCCTTTCTCTCTGGTTACCCTTAACATTTTTTCTTTCATTTTGACCTTGGAAAATCTAATGATTATGTGTCTTGGGGTTGATCTTCTAATGGAGTATCTTAGTGGTGTTCTCTGTATTTCCTGGATTTGAACGTTGGCCTGTCTTGCTAGGTTGGAGAAGTTCTCCTGCATAATATCCTCAAGTGTATTTTCCAACTTGATTCCATTCTCCCCATCTCTTTCAGGTATTCCAGTCAATTGTAGGTTCGGTGTTTTAACATAGTCCCATATTTCTTGGAGGCTCTGTTCATTCCTTTTCATTCTTTTTTCTCTAATCTTGTCTGCATGCCTTATTTCAGCAAGATGGTTTTCAAATTCTGATCTCCTTTCTTCTGCTTGGTCGATTTGGCTATCGATACTTGTGTATGCTTCACGAAGTTCTCGTGCAGTGTTCTTCACCTCTATCAGGTCATTTATGTTCCTCTCTAAACTGGTTATTCTAGTTAGCGGTTCCTGTAACCTTTTATCAAGGTTCTTAGCTTCCTTGCATTGGGTTAGAACATGCTCCTTTAGCTCACAGGTGTTTGTTATTTACTGACCTTCTGAAGCCTACTTCTGTCAACTTGTCCATCTCATCCTCCATCCAGTTCTGTGCCCTTGCTGGACAGTTGTTGTGAACGTTTGGAGGAGAAGAGGCATTCTGGCTTTTGCGATTTTCGGTGTTTTTTCCTCATCTTTGTGGATTTCTCTACCTTTGATCTTTGAGGCTGATGACCTTTGGATGGGGTTTTTGTGGGAGGGTCTTTTGTTGATGTTGTTGTTGCTGCTTTTTTAGTTTTGTTTGTTGTTGTTTGCTAGTTTTTCTTCAAACAGTCAGGCCTTTCTTCTGCAGGTCTGCTGGAGTTTGCTGGAGGTCTATTCCAGACCCTTATTGCCTAGATATCACCAGTGGAGACTGCAGAACAGCAAAGATTGCTGCCTGCTCTTTCCTCTGGAAGCTTCATCTTAGAGGGGCACTGGCCTGATGCCAGCCAGAGCTCTCCTGTATGAGGTGTCTGTTGGCCCCTGCTGGGAGGTCTCTCCCAGTCAGGAGGCACAGCGGTCAGGAACCCACTTGAGGAGGCAGTCTGTCCCTTAGCAGAGCTGGTGCGCTGTGCTGGGAGAATCTCCCTTGTCAGGATCAGCCAGTATCTTCAGAGCCAGCAGGCAGGAAAGATTAAATCCGCTGAAGCTGCTACCACAGCCGCCCCTCCCCTCAAGTGCTGTGTCCCAGGGAGATGAGAGTTCTGTCTGTAAGCCCCTGAATGGAGCTGCTGGATTTCCTGCAGAGAGACCTTGCCTAGTGAGGAGGACTCTAGAGAAGCAGTCTGACCACAGCCGCTTTGCTGTGCTGTGGTGAATTCGGCCCAGTCCAAAAATCTCCCAGTCGCCTTAGCACAGTCAGGGGAAAACCACCAACTAAAGCCACAGTAATGACGGTCACTCCTCCCCCCACCAAACTCAATCATCTCAGGCTGACTCTAGACTGCTGTGCTGGCAGTGAGAATTTCAAGCAAGTGTTTCTTATCTTGCTGGGTTCCATGGGAGCATGGGAGTGGGACTGGGACCCGCTTGTGAGACTGCTTGGATCCCTGGCTTCAGCCCCCTTTCCAGGAGATTGGACGGTGGTCCTGACTCATTGGAGTTCCAGGCATCGCTGGAGTATGAAAAAAAAAAAAAATCCTGCAGCTCAGTGCCTGCTCAAACAGCTGCCCAGATTTGTGCTTGAAACCCAGGGCCCTGGTGGTGTAGGCTCATGAGGGAATGTGCTGATCCGTGGATTGCAAGTGTCCATGGGAAAAGCGTAGTACCTTGGGCAGGTAGCACAGTCTGTCACTGCTTCCCTTTGCTGGAGGAAGGAGGTCACCTGGCTGCGTGCACTTCCCACATGAAGCGACGCCCCACCCTGCTTCTGCTGGTTCTCTGTGGGTCACACCCACTGCCAAACCAGTCCCAGTGAGATGAACTGGATACCTCGATTGGAAAAGCAGAAATCACCTGCCTTCTGCGTTGGTCTCGCTGGGAGCTGCAGACCTGAGCTGTTTCCATTCGGCCATCTTGGCCCCTCCCCTTCACGTTGTTATTAAAAGGGATTTCATGCCTACTTCAGCAATATGCCGGTGAAAGGAAGTCGTGCAAAAATTAGCAGATCAAGTGGATATACTTATAGATTTTATATTGAAAACCATCAACAAATGAAAATATTTAATGCAAAGCTGCCTTTTCATTGAATATTTACCTGCCAGCTCCAGAGTTCGAAGTCCTGATTCTTTCTTCATCAGTCACTGTCGTTTCAAAAACCAAAGGCAGGGCAGAGACCGATATTTCTGCACTGTGTTTGGTCTTTATTGTCAAACAGTGCAATAGAATGAGTTGACATAAAGAATTCAGAAAATGTGGCAATGGCAATATTTTACAGTTACACTCTATTGCAGTATAAAGAAAAATAAACATTAACTTTTAAAAATGCTCTATGGTAACCACCTTGAACTTAAAATTAAAAGCCTAGAGATATCACCCGAGGAACATAATTAGAATTCTCAGAAAGTAATTGCTTAGAACTAGAAGACAAAAAAGGAAAAGTGTAGTTTTTCCTAAAAAAAGCCTTATTTCCGGAGAAGCATAAAGTACATTCTAACAGGCGATAGTTGATGTGATAACATTAAAGTAAGATGTAACAGATGCTAAACATCCGAATGCAGATGAATATAAAATTTTTTGGTCTAAAATAATTAAACAAGGTCAACCTAGGACATTCTAATTTTCAGATGATAATTATATTTGTATTATATTTAAGCATAGTGAGAGGCCTACCTGGTTTTTGGTCAAACATGTTAGAAGGAAAGACCAACTCTGTAGGGGCTGAGGTAAGTCTTGGAAACTATAAATAGCAAACAACCTACTTAGGGATGACATCCAATTTAAAAATTATAATGGCTCCTGTTTTAAATGACTCCTGTATACTTTGGGAAAAATATCTATGTTTAAAATGACTAGGGATTTTATCATTTTGTATCTTTTTTCAGTCATGGTTTCTGGAAGAAAAGACTCAAGATGTTCTCAGTAGCTGCTGTTTTCAGACATCATGAAAGTCTTCTCCTACCCTCTATAAAAACAAACAATAAAACTCTACAAAGGAAAAGCCCACAAAAACATGCTGACTTTAGAAGAATCCATGATTTAGAATATTTTTATAAATATCTAAGAAAACAGGAGTCCTTTCCATATATATGGTCCTTGGAGATACTTTCCATATATATGGTCCTTGGAGAATCCAGTTTTTATGAGAAAGGTGATTTCCAAAATCTCTTACACTTTACAATTTCAATTTTGGCCTGAGCATATCTCTCGATTGATCTACCTACCTACATACTGATCTATCTTGGATAGAGCACTGGACAAAAGGTAGGCACTGTTTACAATCCACTGACAAGAAAACACATGAAGAAGCAAACCCCACAGCGCTCTGAAACCTGGAAGAGATGGGTTCTACATGGGTCTGATGGGATTACTGTACTAACCAGCCTCCGAATATCCCGCTCCGACTCCCACTTGATCTTCGAGATGGCTTCTTGGTGGGACTGATGCTCACTCCGAAGGTCCCCAGCCTTGATTTTATCTGCTTGGATCATATTGCTCAGAGCCTCGTCCACCTGCTTCTTGGCCGTTTTCAGGTCCGCAATTTCCTGTAAGAGCTTAAGGCGCTCTGTGTCAAACAGTTTCCGGGCCTCCTCCCGGGCCTCAATGGTGAGCGCTGTCCTTACTTTGTCACTGCTGCCGTCGCGGAGAGCACAGAGAGCAGACTTGAGCCTCTGGATCTCTCCATCACGTACCTTCACCGTCCTTGACATTTCCTGCTCGTGCTGCTTGATAAGGTTCTCCCTCACAGCCTGCAGCTCCTTCATCTTCTCCTCATGGAGCTTGGCTTTGAGTTCTGTCACCAGCACCGTGTGCTTGCGCTGCTCCAGCTCACGAATCCTCTTCGCTTCTTGAGTCTTCTCTCTTTCAAGCTTTGATACCTAAAAACAGAGAGGCGAAATGATGAAGAGAAATGAGCCTCAAAGGACGGGTGTGCTCCTAGGCAGGATTTGCAGCTCAGGCCGCTGTGATCTCTTAATTCCTCATCTCTTTTCCAATTCCAGGCCCTCTGAGAAAAAAGAACTACAGGCCTTGAAGCTGGGAATACAGTGTGTAAGAGGAGGAAATACCTGAGGATATTTATATTACTTTGTTCAGATGAATATTTGATGTTCTGGGGCCTTACTATGCAATGTGTGGTCTGCAGACAAGCAGCCTCGGTATCACCCAGGAAGCATGTTAGAAGCACAGAATCCCTGGCTTAGCCCCAGATCTATGACTCAGAATTTGCATCTTAACAAATCCCCATGTGATTGGTATACGCCTTAAAATTAGAAAGTATCGCTATCATGGTTTTTCCCTTTACGGGGAGGACTGCAAAACAGATCGCCTGGAGAGCTTTTTAGACTACACAACCCTAGCTAGATCCAAACTGATAAATGTGTGTCTTAGAATAGCTCACAGTTTGATATTGTGATAAGGCTAATAAATTAGTGCCTCAAGTGATATTATTGAGCATCCGTCTCCCTCTTTTCTTTTCTTTTTTTTTTTTTGAAGAGATGCTGCTGCTGCCAAGGAGGTGAAAAATGAAGACAGTTGATAATAGCCTCAACCTTACCTTTCTTAGTATGGCAGGTTAGTTTCATCCCCAAGTTTTACACACACACACACACACACACACAAACAAAAAACCACCACCAACAACAAAACTGCAGATCATTGGGTCCTCTCTCTGATGAAGGACTTTAGTGACCATTGTTATTTCTGAATGTGCCATGAATGTCTCTTTGAGTCCCTTTTCACTCTCACTCCTCCTTCTCCCTTCCTGCCCCACAAGCCAACACTCCAAGTAGTTTGATAAAATATTTCGAATAAGCTTTTTACCTCTCAGGAATTCCGGTTTAAAACTATTCTATGTTTTGCTAAATTTCCTGTGATAATATAGGCCTCCTTGTAGATTAGCAATGGCACTACCTATTGATCTAATCTGGCTGTGAGTCTCTGATTCAGTAGATCAGGTGGGGCCCAGACATTTGTGTCTCGAAAAAGCCTCTCCGTGATCCTGTTATGCTGTCCTCCTCCCCCACTTCATCTCTGCTGCTTGGCTCTGTCTCTGTCTTCTCTCTCTGTCTCTCTCTGTGATACACACAACCCCCGCATGCACACACACACATACACAGAGTAACCTAGAAAAAGGGGGCCGGGTGCAGTGCCTCATGTCTGTAATCCCAGCACTTTGGGAGGCCGAGGCGGATGGATCACCTGAGGTCAGGAGATCGAGACTAGCCTGGCCAACATGGTGAAACCCCGTCTCTATTAAAAATACAAAAATTGGCTGGGCGTGGTGGCAGGCACCTGTAGTCCCAGATACTTGGGAAGGCTGAGGCAGGAGAATCTCTTGAACCCAGGAGGCAGAGGTTGCAGTGAGCCAAGATTGCACCATTGCACTCCAGCCTGGGAGACAGAGTGAGATTCTGTCTCAAAAAAGAAGAAAAAAAAAAGAAGAGAAAAGGAAGAAAATTGGGGAGTCCCAGGAGTAATAGCTAGTTGAGTGATATCGAGTCTCCACCATCTGTAAAATTGGAAGGTTTTACAAAATAATAGTTAAGAACCTTTCCAGTTGAAAAATCTTAAGATTGAGACTCCATATTTTAACCACTGTAATATAAAGTGTCTGTGATGGCTAATACTGAGTGTCAACTTGATTGGATTGAAAGATGAAAAGTATTGTTTCTGAGTGTGTTTGTGAGGGTGTTGCTAAAGGAGATTAACATTTGAGTCAGTGGACTGGGAAAGGCAGACCCACCATCAGTCTAGGTGGGCACATTCTAATCAGCTGCCAGGGAAGCCAGAATAAAGGCAGGGAGAAGAAGGTGAAAAGACTAGACTCACTTAGCCTCTCAGCCTACATCTTTCTCTTGTGCTGGATGCCTCCTGCCCTTGGATATCAGACTCCAAGTTCTTCAGCTTTGGGACTTGAACTGGCTTCCTTGCTCCTCAGCTTGCAGACAGCCTATTGTGGGACCTTATGATTGTGTGAGTCAATACTCGTTAATAAACCTCCTTTTATAGATACATCTATCCTATTAGTTCTGTCCCTCTAGAGAACCCTAATATACAGTGTCTGAGATTTTACTCACCTTAATAGTTAACCTACCTTTAGCTAGAACAGTATTTTCTAAGTTTGCATAGTATTTTGTGAACAGTTTATTTTTAAAGGCGCAGCAATTATTCCCATGATGGTTATTCTAAAAGAGCTTGGGGCACAAGGGGATTTGGTGAAATAAGCAGCCAGATATCCTCAAATAACCATCCTCTGATCTCACCTCCAGCTTACACCTACGGTCCCTTCCTGGAGGCCTCTTCTTTCTTAGGCTCTAGACTTGTGCTTGTCCTATGTGGCATCCGCTAGTTACCATACTGCAAATTTGAAGTGAGATTTTCTCTCCATGTAAAATATACTCTGGATTTCGAAGACTTAGTGCGAGGTAAAGAATGTAAAATATCTCCTTTATCGTTTTTATATTGCTTACATATTGAAACTATAATGTTTTGGATAAATTATTCTAAACGATATTATTACAACTGATTCTGTTTCTTTTTACTGTTTAAAATTGCAGCTAGCAAGAAATTTTAAATTCACAGATATGGCTTGCATTTGGGATTCACATTATATTTCTCTTGGACAGTGTTGCTCTGGAGTTCTTAAAGGTTCATTTGGTGAACCTAGCTTTTCCCACACTCCTGGTGATATTCTCTTAGTAAAGCTCAGTTCTGGTTTTCCTTACGTATCTGCTCAAAACCACCCAGGCTCTTTTATGTTGTGGAATAAAATCTCAACAGCCCAGCTTCACCTTTCAGGCTCTCAGGAAGGTTTGGTTGGATTTCCAGCTCCTGCTTCTCCCTCTCTGTCTCCTCACCTGTCCCGTGCTCTAGGTGGGGGGGATTATGCTATTTTCTGCACATGCCTGCATCTCGTACCCAGATGCCACAGTTTCTTCTTCCTGACTTATTCTTCCATCAGCTCCTTTTGGGATCCTCACATTCCTCATGGCCTGGCTAGAGGTCATCCTCTCCTGTCATGCCACCCTACTCACCCAGGACAAAGCTCATTTCTCCTACCTTTGTCTTCTCAGTATACTTTTGAAACACCTCCTTAGTAGCGGTTTTCACAGTTTTCTTTGCATTTTTTTGCCCACTTGTCTGTCCTCATCACCTCCTCTTCTACCCTACCGCAGGCTGGTAACTTTTAGAAAGTTGCCAATGAGCCATCCTCATCTCTGTGTACCCAGTGGCTCCCAGAACAATATATAAGAAACCAGGTGGCATGTGTAGAACTAAGGATGTATGCTGTTATATCTCTCTGGCTAGGCCCCTAGCCAGAGGCAAGAATAATATTTTCTGTCATACAGTTTAGAGAATACAGGCTTGCAGGGTTACCAGATCAGCCCCTCCTCAACCCCTTCCCAGTATAAAATGACAACAAAACAAAACCCTAACATATAAGAATTCACTTCCCTCTGCTAGGTGTTTCTCTTGGTGCTTCAATAAGGACAATCTAGATCTTACTCTCCATCTTTCTAGAGTGAATGGAAGTGGGCATCTTCTAGATTGGGGTGGGCAAACTACCACCCATGAGCCAAATCCATCCTGCTCCTGTTTTTATAAATAAAGTTTATTGGGACACAGCCATGCCCATTCATTTACATATTGCTTAAGGCTGCTTTCATGCTACAATGGAGTTGAGTAGTTTCACAGAGACTGTCTAGTCCACAAAGCCTAAAATATTCACTATCTTGCCCTTCACAGAAAGAGTTTGCTGATTCTTATTCTAGATAATGCATTTTTTGAAAGGAAAAGCCTTGTTTTCTATTGATTTAGAAACTACGACAATTTACCTTCCATATAAGACCTTGGGAAAGTTACTTCAGCTCAAGTGATAGGAATTTAGTCATCTTCAATTTCTGCAGGATGCACTTACACTAGGCATCTGGAACAGTATCATGACTGCAATGGCTGGTGGGTAACAAGGGAAACTTTTAGCCATTCTTCTGAGAACAGTGAAAAACTGTACTAAAAGTGGACAAAGGGTAAGAAATTCTGGGTTTTTATTCCTGTTTCACTATTTGCTATCTCTAAGAAAGTTGCTTTATCCTTCTGAGGATTTTTGATTACACTTAAAAATGTCTGTAACTGGGTTATTTTTAGGGTTAAACTAGATTGTGTACGGAAAAGTACCTTGAACTGTAAAGTACTATGAAGTGTAAGGTAATATTATTACTGGATATAATAGGAGATACTCCTTGATCTAAAATTATTTATGTCAAATTCTCTGGAGGTGCATCAAATTGTATCTTCCTATGATTCTGTCATTTACCCCAAATTATCAACTCAAAGCTTTTGCCTGAGAACTGAAGAGGAGATGAAGGAAATTATTTTTAAAAAAGTAAAAATACAGGTGCATGAAACATGTATTCCAGCCTGAAGACAAAAACAAAAACAAACACTGTCTATCCCTTAAAATAATCCATGAAAACTAGAGAAAATTCAAAGGAACTGAGTAACATTTGACATGTTTTTATGTTTACTTATTTTGGTTGTCATGAAAACTGACATTTTTTTGCAGGATTTCTAGTTATGGCTTCTTTTTAAGTCTGGAAGAAGTGTTTTATTCTGAAGAAAAGCCAAACAATGTGACTGAAATTTTTGGGGAAAAAGGCCAATAAAAATTTTCTGAAAATTATTTGCAGTGCAGATGGCACCACTAAGGATATAGATTTAAATCTTAATATAAATCTTAAAATGAATATACAAAATTATAAACTATTCCTGAGTAACAATGAAAATATAAAGATGATAATACTTTGAAATGAAGAAAATTATTTAGTAGAAGAAAGAAACCAATTTTGATACATGGAGATGTTTTACGGAGAAAAATTTCAGCTCAACCATATAATAGCTAGCATTTATTGAGGGTTTAATATGAGTTAGGCAACTTTCTAAACAGGCTTTACACACATCAGTCCATTTAACCTCCCGGGCGGCTCTATGATGTAGGAAGTCTTTGTTTCATCACAAGTTGTGATAAGAAAAGTGAGAAACAGTCTTTACATAAGAACAATGTAAAGAAGACTCACTAAAGTACATTGTGGGCCAGGAGCTGGCTCCAGGTAAGTTCCTACACCTCCTTGTTTGCTCTGAAACCTTGGACACCTCGTATTTGCACCTGAAACCTTGCTTCACCTCTGTCAGCCTCAGTTTTCTCATCTGAAAACTGGGATTGTCGATATCATTCTCTTACGGCTATTGTGATGATTGATATAGGCAATGGATCAAAAGCTCTTTAGAAAAGCTGGAACACATTAGAGATTAATAACTATTAATACATGGTGGATATTATAATATAATTTTAATAAATACTGTGTATATATTAATATTATACACTATTACATTAATACCAACAACATAAATATAAAAGTACCCATATCATCCTGATAAGACTAACATTACTATATTACATTATTAAGATGGTAACTGTTTTTCCAACAGAAAGAGATGTTCAAAGATAAAGCTGAGTTTCTTCAGTACGTATTGTGTTCTCTGGCATTGGCAGCATCTAATCTTGACGTGGAAGACACTTGGGGTGCGTATGGGCCTAAAGAGTGGTGCGGGGTGGGGCAGGGTGAAGGGGAGAGCACTCGGTAGGGCTTTGAATGATGGGTTTCCAAATCCTTTCTACCCTAGAGGTTCTATGGGAAAAAAGATCATTAGAAAAGTTTAATCCTACCAAGGAAAGGTTACACTATGACAGGGAAAAAAGAATTTATGACTATCTTGCACAGACCTCATGTTGTATTTTTCTATTCTGTCCTACTTCTGGTCTAGCCTTTGCAAAATGCCAATGTAAATTCTGCCAAGAGAAAGATAGTGATGATTTGAGCTTCAAAAGTGATCTTAGAAATGTAGGATTAAAAATTGGACAGCTCAGTCAAAGGTAAGGAAAAGGTTGAGAGGTTATCAAGGCAAGCTAAGCTAACATAAACTTTGGCCTGGATTATCTGCATTGGATGTTCCTGGAGGAACACAGTAAACTGGCAGGGATTTTCATGGGCACAAAGCAACTCTCAGAGAAGAGGTGTGAAGGAGTCGCTCTAGGAAGATTGCTTACAAGGGAAGTCCTATACAACCTTACACAATCCAGTGCAAAGGATCCTATTTTTAAAATTTCTTGTTTTCAGCTACTTATGCTTCCTGAAAATAGAACTAAAGGAGTAGATAGGAAAATATACCCCATCCCAAATTTGGTACCTGTATCTGGAGGCTGTGGGGACAGTCACTCGAGGATAGAAAATGTTGGTTGATTTTCTGAGAATGCCCTAGAGGCAATAGATGCCTTGAATCAGACAGTGAGCATTACCTTGATCACCACCATCTTACAGAAGACAGGAATTCCCATCGCGGCTCCTCCACCAGCTGTGTCTCTTGGAGCAAATGAGTTAAACAGTTTGAACCTCATTTTCTTCCTCAGTGAAGGCAGAATAGTAATTGCACCCTGTCTTTGTCACGGGCTTGCTCTGATGGTTGTGAGGCTCGATGTGAAAATGCTTTGCAGTTTGAAGGGCTGTGCCAATGGGACAGCTCCTGTCTGGAGCTGATTATTCTCAGTCTTGCAACCCAGGCCTGTTGCCCTTCTGCCTCTGCCCTGAGAACCCTGTTCCCTGCTCCTGTCCATTCATTCCCTCTGTCACTGTGCCCATGCTGTTCACGAAACCATAGTTTATCTCTGAGGGAGAGTAAAAAGCCCTGGGGCAGCCCGTGGCATGTTCATACACACTAACCAATGGATCATGCACTCATGGTGTCCATAGAAGAGACAAATGGGGCAAATACCGCAACTTAGTGGCTCAGGGTGCTGCTCCAAGAAGCAGACAGATCTGGGTGGAAATCCTTTCTCTACCCAAGCCTGGAGTTCTCACCTAAGTGAGTACTGTAACGGTACTTATGCCACAGGGTTTGGGGGAAAGCTGTTAAAGAGAATCATGTGATTTCATTCAACAAGTAATTTTGAGCACCTCCTACAGGCCAGGAAGTTTCCTCATCTGTAAAGTAGGGATGACAATGCCCACCTCAGCAGGTGGAAATGAGGATGGAATGAGATAATGGCATGAAAGCACTTAACATGCTTGACACAAACTAATTGCTCAAAAATTAGCACTCACACATACACCCTTGTGAGGCAGATACTATTATTGTCCCATTTGACAGATGAAGAAGGAAAAACACAGAGGGGTTTTATAACCTTCTCCAGGCCAGTCAGGTGCTAGTGAAGCAGCTGGGACTCTGGCAGGATGAAATGTGCTTATCAGCCCATGACAGATAGTAAACATTCAATAAGTTGTAGCTATTTATATTATCAGCCCAAAGGTCTTAAAATTTGGCTCTATACACAATGGCTGTTCTGTAAATATCAGTGGGATTATTTGTCTTGCTGGATAAATGAATACTGCCCCATTACCCCAAAGGTTTCCACTTTTTAACTTATCCATTCCCTAGTAGCTGAACTGTCATTTTGTCATCAGAGCCTCAGAGCCAACCTGAGAGTATAAATTCACACCTTGGCATTGTTCATATTCTCTCTCTTAAAGCCTGGCCCTTTGAAAATACAATCCTATTTATTTATAATAAAAGTGCTTTATGACTTGTTTGCCCTCTAAATTCCCTTTGCTCTTTGGCGAAGGATGCTGACAGGCAATGAGACTTCCCTTTAGCTCCTGAGCTGGGACCGTAATTAACTGCCAAGGAGAGGGAGCCAGGCAGGGGCAGCCAGCAGAGAAAAGGACGAGGCTGTGTGCTCTCATTTAAGAGGCTGGCTGCCAGTCAATTGTTAGAGGAAGGGGAGATTATGCTTGGCCTGCGGGCTTAGACAACGGTGCCAGGCCCAAGATAAACAGGCAGCCTGGTTCAAACTTGAGAGTTACCCATTTTAAAAGGCTTGAATATGTGGAGTATTGGCAGTGTTGAAGTCCTCAGAGCCTCTGTTTCTGAGAATCTCATCAGTTTGTTCTCTGGAAAGCAGTAGCAGTTTAGGGTTCCCAGTCTCGAGATTGACAAGCTTCTTCCTAGGAATGTAGATTGTCATCCTGTCATAACTGCAATTAAAGGAGTCTGCCTCCCTTGAAGTGTGATGTTGCTGCAGGGAGAGTTAAGGCCAATGAAATGTTCAGAGATTGTCAGACCTGGATGGAATCTTACAGCGAGTGTTTGTCAACACGAAGGCTGGAAGTCATCTGCATCTGTAGTCCATCAGAATTGCCAGGGCTGCTTTACCGAATTACAAGTCCTGGTTCTCACCTCACTACTTTATCAGAATTCTTGGATTGTGGCCTCAGGAATCTCGATATTTAATCAGGTCCCCCAGGTTATACCATTGCACAGTGATGCTTGACAAGCACAAATATGGAGAAGCAGATTCAGTCATCTGAATTACAGATAGAGACACTGTGACATTTAAATTCATCTCCAAGGAGAGATAAAGACAAATAATGCCCCGTGTCTTCTGACTCCCAAACAAATGCTGTTCTAAAATGACATCATGTTCCCTTTGGCTTCAAGGAAACTAAAAAATTTTCTTCACAAACTTTACATTACAGTCTCTTTATCTAAGGTCAAGGCTTAGCTAAGGCAGGGAGCAAGAGGCTTTGGCAGATCCAAAGGCCACTTATTATTGTTAAAATGAAGAGAAATAGATTTTGGGAGAAATAACAAATTAAAATTTAATAATGATGTCAAGGAAGAAGAGGTAGACAAAAATGGAATAAATATATTTGTTGGCTTGTGACTATTGCTTATTGATCAAGAATGTTTTCTTACTGTATAATTATCTAAATAAGGCAACTTTATGCTGTCATGGTGGTCTCTGGTTTGCAAGGAGCGAAAACATCTTATGAATGCTGGAGATTTCAAAATGCTTTCCTAGACATGACCCTCTCTGATATTCATACCACCTTGGTGAGATGTGTGTTTGCTTGTGCATTTAGGCGATGGGATTGAGAGAAGTAAAGAGACTTCTAAGTCTAGTTAGCAACTGACTTAAATCTATGAATATTAAAAAGAATACTAATATTATAATGTTTTGCAAGTTTATTATGTGTCAGGCAGCTCTCTGAGCACCTGACGTAAATTTTTTTGTTCAATCCTCATAAGCACATAATATACTTATCTAATTCATACCTCAGTACAGCTGTGATGTGATGAAGAAACTGAGGTATAAGGAATGCATCATCTTTAAATTATTCCTCTATTCATTCAACAAATACATATTGAGATTTTAAGTTCTGGATATTATTTAGGCTCTAGGGACACTAAGTAAACTGAATTTCTGCTTTTGTAGAGATTGAGGAGTGACAGCACTAAACAAGTAAAAAGCAAATGTATGAATTACTATGAAATAAGCTAAGAATAGGCTATGGGGAGTACCTGACAATGGGGAAGTGTTCTGTTTTAGAGACTGTGGTCAGATGCTTGATGGTTGAGCAGACATCTGAAAGAGGTGAGTGAAGGAGCATGGAGCTGTCCAGGAAGAACAAGTGCAAAGGCCCTAAATGTGATTGGGGTCTCTCTCTTGATCCAGCAAAAATAGGAAACAGAATGATCGAGAGAGAGAAGTGGGAGATGAGTCAAAGAGGGGGATGGAGCTAATATCCTGTAGTGGTAGAGAAAGTCCTTTGAGTCTAAGAGAGATAGGAAGCCCTTGGAAGGTATTGGGCAGTGGAGTAACGTGATGTGCTACATTTCAGAAGGACTTCTCTGAATGCTCTGGGAGTTAATAACCTATAGAGGGCAAGAGTGGAACTTGCCCAAGGTCATGCAACTATTAAGTGTTTGGCGGTGGTAAGGGACACTGTCTGAATTTTCATATCTGGCTTCCTGAACCGGGCTTCCAGAGGAGGCTAAGATCTGTCTAGTGAGTATGCTATTTTCACTTTCTGTGTGTCCTGTGCTCAGTTCCCTCCTGCCACATGCAATAAGCTCTCCATGTTTACAGGGGACGTTGCCCTCTCTGGCAAAGGGCAGGAGTCCACTGGGGTAGGCCAGCAGGCAGAGCTGTGCTCGCTGCATGTGGACACAGCCAGAGCTGCTCTTAATGCCACGACCTCAGGTAGCCCTCGCTCACCTTGGACTTCTCTTGATGCAGCTCTATCTGAATGTCTGTGAGCTTGGTCCTGAGGTCTTCATTGGCAGCTTGAAGGGCAACAATGAGTGCCTCGGGCTTCTCGCCCTTATTTCGCCCTTTCTTGGACATTGTTCCTTTCTAAATGGAGTCTGTTGGTTTTTAATTTCTTTCAAGCAGGTGCTGCCATGTTACTGTTTCTTATCCTGGAGTACGATGTCTCAGCATCTACTGTGTGGTGCTCCTTGGTAAGGTCTCCTCAATCGCTGCCCTGGAAGCCCTGAGAAGAGGCAGAGATAGTAGTTATTGTTTTGGCAAAGACCTGGTCTAAGTGCCAGTCAGTCTACTCTCAGCCTGAGTTACCTGTAAGAGCCTCCTCCTGAGGCTCTCCTATCCTCAGTATCTCCTGTCCACTTGTACGTGAGTTTAGAGTGATTTTTTTTTCAAATAGCTAATTTAATTATATCAATATCTTGCTTAAAATCCTTCACCTGAAGCATAAATCCTTCATCCTTCACTCTTTCATGTCTTGGAGTGTTCTTTTTACCTGAAACTGCTCGCTCTTCTATCCTCATCTCCTCCATGTCACTCACTGATACTCCAAACATAAGGAACATGGTCGTTAAAGGAAGTCACCTATGTGATGACCTCAAAAGGCAGAGAGACCCAACTTTAAGAAAAGCCAATGTATAGAGACAGGATTACATGTAATAGCTAAACTGTGAGAAGTGGGGAATAACTATAAATGAATCACCGGATTAACTGAGTCACTCATATATTCATTCATTCATTCAATCAGTCAATATTGTTAGAGCTCTTTCCATATGCTGTGCTAGGTATAGAATTTGGAAATAGAAAAATAAGTCAGCCTTCCAATGGGAAAAAATTTATCTATCTATCTATCTATCTATCAACGATCTATCTATCTACGTCACCATCCATAATCTGATAAGAGTTTTTTAAAAAATAGGCATGAATTGTTTCAGAAGTATAAACAGTAAACTGTCTTTCCACCTGGGTTGAATAAGAAAGGCTCGCTGAAGAAGACACCGTTGGCTTGGAACTTGAGGAGTGGGTAAGATGATAACAGATGGAGAAACAGGTGAAGCATCCTGGGCAAAGAAAAAAGCAGGTGCCGAGACACAACAGAGAGAAATCACAGTGACTATTTGTGGGAAGAAATAGGGCCTGATTAATTACACCCCTAAATGTGGTTGATGGGCACTAATATTGGAAAGGTTTCCTGGAAAGGATAGATGGCGGGGAGGCCTAGAATTCCAAGCTTAGAATGTTGGAATCTTTTTTCAGCAAGCAATGGGAAAGCTATTGAAGTTCTTGGCAGGTGTGTGCCCTAACAGAGCAGTACTTTGGTGTGGTTATTCTGGTGGCAGAATGGAGAGAGAATGAATGCAAGAAGACCACATAGAAGGCAACTGAATTTGTCCAGGTAAAGAATGATGAAAGCCTAATCAGAATTGTGGCAAGAGGAGAGAAAAGGGGTGGGGGAAGGCAGATGTGTCTTGATTTACAAATTCTTGAATACTTCATAGGAACAAGGGGCCCAGAAAAATAGGAATACTAAATCATTAAAGTCAATGGGAAAAACATGACAAGATCCTAGAGAAAGCTTCTCTTGCAACCTTTCAGAAAATTGGGCATTGTGTATGTTGAGGAGCTTCAGTCCAGAGCTAAGGGGAACTCCTGCTGACCACCCATATGTTCCGGCAGCTGCTGCTCTCTTAAGACCCTTGTATCTAGCACTGACAAGCATGCTGGGATCCTGGGCTTTGTGCCATCTGCTCATGAGCACTGAAGCTATGCTCTTTGGAGTGTGTCCCTGGGGGAAGGGGGCAGGGAGAGGTTAGGAGACAGGAAGGATGAGACTGTCGGCAGCAGTCATAGAACTGTCCACCACATTCCATCCTGTGCTAGATGCTGGAGTTGTCCTTCACGCTTCCTTTGCAAATCTGGCCAAATTATTAAAGTGCAGGGCTGCGAGGTCTCTGAGAGGCCATCTTTTTTTGCTTTTAGTCTTGGAATGAATTCAGCAAGCACATATTGAACATTTGTGTGACCAGCACCAATAGGCAAAAGGATAAATAAGATAGTACTTAAACTCAAGTAGGTAGTGAGTGAGTAAATTCACATATATATATATATATCTATCTAACAGGTTTCTCTCTATATATTTGATTTCTAAATGTTGTTGTTGTTCTGGGCTTTTCCAGAGGACCTCCACCAGCCTCCTACGTAGTTATGACCCACAGTTCTATATCCACAGCCCCGACCATTATGCAAACACTAGACTTGTATATACATACAACACCCCATTATGCAAACACCAGACTTGTATATACATACAACACTTTACTTATCAAATCCACTTGAATAGATCTGATTGGCATCTCAAAACTAGCATAACTAATGCAGATGTCTTTGTTACATTAGTCCCCCCAAACCTTATTCCCCCCAGGTTTTCCTAGATCATTAAATGGCAAAACCACATGTCCAATTGTCCCAGATATAAGCCTAGAAATTATATTTTCTTCTATTTTATTCCTTGTTTCTCTTATTCAGTTCACTAAGAAGTTCTGCTTGCTTTGTATATAAAATCTGATCCGCTTTGGCCAATTTCCCTCAAATCCCTAAAGTGCTGCTGGAACACAGAGTAAAAAAGGAGCTTGGGAATAGCTTCATAGTCCCTTCATTGTTGTCTTCTTGAATGAAGAATAGGCTTTTCTAAATGCAGATATGAAATGGTAGAGGAAAGAGCTTAAGCAAAAACCTGAAGCCACAAATTTGCCTGGTGTATTTAGAAAAGGTTGTGAAATGGAAGAAGAGAGACGAGGTGAGATTTCGAAGGTTGTTGCATGATAGGCTAGGGAGTTTGGAGTGGATTTTACAGGCATGAGGAAACATGGCAGCATTTGAACATATGTGTAATAACAATAACAGCTGCTAGAGACTGACTGCTCACAACGAGCCCATCATTGGACGAAGGGCTTAACATACTGTTCTTACTTAATTCTCACAAAGTTTAGGGAAATATGATTAACTGAAAGATTAGATAACTTAACTAAATTGACCAAGGTCATTGGTGGTAATGCTCAGATTCAAATCTAAGCAATCTGAGACCGGGAACCAAGCTCTTTTTCTCTGGACTGCACTGCCTTGTATTTGCATTTTAGGAAGGTAACTGTCAGTATTATGGAAGATGGTGGAAGAAAGTCAGTTAGGCTGATTTAATGGTCCATGTGAGGGGTAATACAGCCCTCAACAGATAAAAAGAAAGTGGCAACTTTGACACATGGAGTCACTGATGGAATCGTGCCCAATTTTTAAACGTTACTATTGTTTTGAACATTCTTCTCTCCCATTGTAAATAATGACTATGAGTTCTACAGAATTGCTTGTAGCAAAAATGTGCAAAGGGACAGATACAATAGATACATTTTACATCTTAATTTATAATTCTACTTCAAAATATAATATTATGTGCCGGACTTTATATATTTTTAGCCTGGGAATTATTGTGAACTTAGTCCCACAAAGGGTGAGGAAAAGGAAAAGGTGAAAAAAAAATAGATGCACATTCAGAAGAGAAAAAAGCATCACAGGAAGTTATTGATAGCATCAGCCTATGGGTGCCTTAAGGTGAGCAACTTCATATCCATGGTCCTATACACCCCTCTGGTGGAGGAGAACTTTCCAAACTCTTCTCCAGTTGTAATGGGTGCCTGGCAATCTCATGATTCTCATACTCTAATTTTACTGCATCTCTTTTGTCTCCTTGTGCTGCTTTTTTTTTTTTATTTTCACAGCTTCTTTGAGATATAAGTCACATACCGTAACATTCACATTTTTAAAATGTACAATTCAGTGGTTTTTAGTATATTCACAAGGTTGCATAAACAGCATCACAATCAATTTTAGAACATTTTCGTCACTCCCAAAAGAAACTCTATACCTGTTAGCCATAATTCACTATTCCCCACGCAGCTCTCTCAGCCCTAGGCAACCACTAAGTCTATTTAGTGTTTTGTCTCTACTTAGTTTTGTCTCTGGATTTGTCTGTTCTGGACATTTTGTATAAGTGGAATCATATGACATTTTTTTTTTTTTTTTTTTTTTGTGACTGGCTTCTTCCACTTTAGCATAATGTTTTCCAGGTTCATCCATGTTGTAGCATGGATTGATACTTCATTTCTATTGCTGAATAATATTCTATTGTAGGGATAAACTGCATCTTATTTATTCATTCATTGCCTGATGGATTCTCTTGCTGCCTTTGTGTAAGTGGCTTAAGGTCAGGCTTCTACAGAAGCTGCCAGCCATCACAAGGGACATCACTCTTGAGTGCAAAAAAGAGAGTGCCTGGACCGGGTGCGGTGGCTCACGCCTGCAATCCCAGCACTTTGGGAGGCCGAGGTGGGCGGATCACGAGGTCAGGAGATCAAGACCATGCTGGCTAACGCGGTGAAACCCCGTCTCTACTATAAAAATACAAAAAAATTAGCCGGACGTGGCGGCCGGCGCCTGTAGTCCCAGCTGCTGGGGAGGCTGAGGCAGGAGAATGGCGTGAACCCGGGAGGCGGAGCTTGCAGTGAGCCAAGATCACGCCACTGCGCTCCAGCCTGGGCGACAGAGCGAGACTCCGTCTCAAAAAATAAAATAAAATAAAAGAGCGTGCCTGAAGGTATCACTGCACACAGGTGGAATGTTTCCGGACACTCCGAGAGTCCTTGCCACTGATGATGTCTGACCCAGCAGATTATCCGGAGGAAGGATAGGAGCCTTGTTCCATCCACTAAGGGCCAATCTCTACAGGAGCTTTACAACATAAAAAACTTGAAGGAACTTTAAGTGAACCCTAGATTTCTAGCTCCTAGCTGCATGGTCAGGCAGCAGTAGCCCCAGGCAACATTGTGAGGCATCAAATATGTGAATTTTAGCTTACTCTTCAGGCCTTCCACTATCCCTAATCAGGCACCTCCTACAGCCTCTGAGGCTGAGTTTCTCTGTAATGGTTTCTATCTCTGATAAAGATATTAGAGAAGTTAGAGACAGCCTCTTAGAAAGTTTTGCATTTTGAAGATCATTGCTTAAGAGCACACCTTTGTGGAGGAATGGATCATTAGTGAAAGAATTACAGGCATCATTCCTTCATTTATCAGACATTTATTGAGAAGGAAATATAGTGTAGTATTTTAGAGGAGGGCTTCCTGAATCTTTGGTCTAGTTACATCAAAATCTACTTGAGAGCTCTAGTGATAAGAAGCTCCACTTCTGGAGATTCTGATGTAGTAATTGGCACATGATTCTGATACACAGGCATCTCTGAGAACATTTGATTAAAAGTATGGGCTACGGAGTTAGACAAACCTGTTTAAATTCCACCTCTGCCTTTAGTAGCTGTATGATCTTAAATCACTTAATTCTCTAGGCCTCAATATTCCTCATCTTTCAAATGGGGTTTGGAGGGACGGGGATATGTAGTACCTATGACACTGGATTGCTTGGCAATTAAACAAACGGATGTAAGTGATGCTCTTGCACAGCTCACGACGCAAGAACTAACCATTTATTGAGTGCTTTCTATCTCTACTGTTAGCCACAGTGGAGGAAATAAAATACCCTATAAGCGCTGTCTTCAAGATGCTTAAATTGAATAAGAATGACAGGGGATGTGTAAAATTATTGATAACTCAAGTTCTACACTTACAGAAGACTTTATATATTAAAAGAGCCCTTTATTTAGGAACTGGCACAAAACTCTTGAGGGAGAGAAGCCACTGAGAGAAGAGGAGTGACATCAGCAGAGGCAAATGCAGCCTCTGTCCCTTCTCACCAAGGTTCCTCCTGGCAGGGTACTTCTGGAGACCAGGAGTGGGATGCCCCATCTGAAATCATCTTGAATCATCTACTCCCAATATAGTCCTTTTACATCTTTTAGTGTTTAGGCAGCTTCCAAATCCATTCTTGATAAACAAATTTTCAGGTCTAAAAATTCCCATTCAGCATTCTTCTTTTTTAATTGACAAAAAGTATGTATTTATGGTGTACAATATGATGTTTTGAAATATGTATAATTGTGGAATGTCTAAATCAAGCAAATTATCATATGCATTAACTCACATACTTTTTTTGTGGTGAGAACACTTAAAATCTACTTTCCTAGCAACTTTTAAGTATACAACACATTTCTATTAACTATACTCACCATGTTATACAACAGATCTCCATCCAGACTTACTCCTCCTAACTCACTGAAATTTTGTATCTTTTGACCAACATCTCTCTATTCTTCCCTCCCCACCTGCTCCTCACCTTTTTTTTGTTCGTTTGTTTGAGACGGAGTCTTGCTCTGTTGCCCAGGCTGGAGTGCAGTGGTGCGAACTTGGCTTACTGCAACCTTTGCCCCCCGGATTCAAGCATTCTCCTGCCTCAGCCTCCTGAGTAGCTGGGATTACAGGCATGCGCCACCACTCTCGGCTAATTTTTGTATTTTTAGTAAAGATGGGGTTTCACCATGTTGTTCAGGCTGGTCTCGAACTTCTAACCTCATGAACTGCCCACCTCAGCCTCCCAAAGTGCTGGGATTGCAGGTGTGAGCCACCACGCCTGGCTACCCCCTGGCCCGCTTAATCACCATTCCACTCTCTGCTACTGTATGAGTATGACCTTTTCAGATTTTCCATATAAATGAAATCATGCACTATTAGTCTTTCTGTACTTGGCTTATTTTACTTAATATAATGTCCTCTGGGTCCATCCATGTCACAAATGAAAATTTTCTTTGTTTTTAAAAGCTGAATAGTACTTTATACCACATTCTCTTTATCCATTTATTTGGTGATGGATACTGAGGTTGATTTCATATCTTGGTTATTCTGAATAATAGCATTATTCTTTTTGAATGACAAACACTGCAATATTAAAATCAAGAAATTGGAAACATCAAATCAATTTATAAGTATTTACAAATAATGATTCTAGGAGTGTAACTGAGTTGCAACTCAGAGGAGAAATGCTTGAGGGGATAGATATCCCATTCTCCATGATGTACTTATTTCACATTGCATGCCTGTATCAAAACATCTTATGTACTTCATTTATGTATATACCTACTACATACCCATAAAAATTGAAAATTAAAAAAAAACTTTTCAGAAGAAAAAAATGTGATGAATTCATGCTATCAATCTTAGGTTATAATCCTGGTTGTATACTCTGTGCAGGAAAGTAAAAATATCCTAGAAATACTGTTTTGATGTCCAACTACATTTTTATTTATTTATTTATTTATTTATTTATTTATTTATTTAGTATGGAGTCTCCCTCTGTCACTCAGGCTGGAGTGCAGTGGCACAATCTTGGATCACTGCAACCTCGGCCTCCCAGGTTCAAATAATTCTCACGCCTCAGCCTCCCGAGTAGCTGGCATCACAGGCATGCACCAACATGCCCGGCTAATTTTTGTATTTTTAGTAGAGATGGGGTTTCTGTATGTTGTCCAGGCTGGTTTTGAACTCCTGTGCTCAAGAGATCTGCCCACCTTGGCCTCCCAAAGTCCTGGAATTACAGGCGTGAGCCACCATCCCCAGCCTCCAACTACATTTTCTACTGACTCTCACATCATAAAATACCACACAATTCTTTGTCAGAAATGTAGCCACGTGGTCAAGAAAATATGGCCACTATTTACTGAGTACTCTTCTTAGCTTTTGGTAGATGTTAAAAAGTGTACCATTCCTACCTTTAGGTGGCTTCCAACCTAGAGAGGAGACAAACACCTGCAAAAAGAAAACTAATTCTAGAAAGCAGGGAATAGTAAATGCTATGAATGTAGCTCAGAGTGGAGTGATAAAGCATGAAGACTTCATAAAAAGGATGGCATTGAGCTGAGCCTGAATGATATTACCTACCTTAATGAAGCTCCTACTCTGTGCCAGGCAATGGCATTAACTCATTGAACTATTCCAATTAAACTTTGCAGACATTTACTTTTATTAGTTTTTAGATAGGGAAATTGAGGCTCAAAGAGGTTAATTAACTTGCAAAAAGTTACACAGTTAAGAAATGGCAGAGCTGCAACTCAAATACACATGTCAGTCTCCAAAGCGGCTTAGCTATAATAACACTTTCCTAAAGAGAGGGCAGGATTCAGCTCTGGTTGCCGACAGGCTACAGAGGTGGCAAAGGTGTCAGCTGGGATGTGATAAAGAGAGCGATTTCATACACTAGGAGAGTGTATGAAATAGAATGGTACAAAATAGAATGGTGATTAGTAACAGTTAAGAGTTTGGAATTTGAAATCAGAAACTGGTTTTGAATAAAATTTCCTAGCTGTATATTCTTGAGAAGTTGCTTAAACTCTCTAAGCTTCTGTTTCCTCACTGTAAAATAGGAAAAGTGCTGTATTTACCTCATTGAGCTGTTTCAAGGAATAAATGAGTTAAAGTATATAAGATAACTAGCAAATTATTTTTATCATTGTTATATTTCCTTTTTTATGACCTAACTATCCACTAAACATCATCTTAAATTTAGAGGGAATAGGAAACTGATTTATCACCTATTTGTGTTAAAAGGACAGGGTAGAGAAAGCACAGAGATCCCTGAAGAGACTAAAGAAATCCATGCTTCTGCTTCTGGGGAAATACGACCTACATTGACAGGGTCAGTATTCCCAGGGGTCTTGGCTTTGTAGCTGGTTCTGCCCCAAGCTATAAGCTGAATAAAGTCATTATTAATCTCAAGGTTTCCAATATGGCTGTTGCCACTGCAATGTGATGTGAAAGCAACTGTTATATAAAATAGTTGCGTTCACATGTATGAAGCTAAATGCTTCAACCCTTCTCTATAATTAATATTTGGATATGTCAATTCTAACAAAGCCTTCTTAGTTCTTCTAAGCCTCCCTTCTTTTCCAAAGATGATGCTTTTCAATGAGATGCTATTAGTGTTTAAAATGAATGAAGTAAACTTGCATACTTTATTCCTGGTCACCTGCAGTGACATCCTGTCACTTGTTAAACCCTTCTCCATGCAGGAAAAATGTCACACTGTGTATTCATAAATTTGACCCAAAAATTTAATGTAAAGGAGAGAGGGCTGCTATTTAAGCCAGTCCAACATTGAAGTTCTACCTTCTCTTAATAAAGGGAATGTGGTGGCATGGCTATAGAGTCAAAAAGTTTTAATCCATTACATGTCAGTTAGAGAAAAATGAATGTGAAATATTCACATTCAGCATAGTAGCAATTTTGCATCTTTTGGATTGTAAATTTCCAGGTTTGTATGACTTTTGGTTTGTTTTCTTTCTCCTAGTGTATGAAATCGCTGTCTTTATCACATCATCATAATAGTAGTTGTTACAAATTATTTAATGTCAATACACTGTTTCACATGAAAAGAATGCTATATAAATATAACCAAAAAGTTATTACTCATGATAAATAAATAATTTGGATCTCAGGTTTAAAACTTCACATTTGAAATATGCTTCATAAAGTATGGAGAGAAAGCACTCAGCACACATACAAGAGACATCCAGCCTCTTTAAGGGGGACTGCCAGGAAGGCTTGGTAGAAGTAATGTCTAAGTTGAGATCCAAAGCAAGTAGTATTCATCCAGAACTGATCTACTAAGCAAACCCTTGACTTTGCTCATGCAATTCTTTGTTTGATTTCCCTTTTCCTCCCTCAACTCCCTGGTGAACTCCATCCTACTCATCTTTTAGGGCCAGATCAAATATCATGTCATACCACTTTTCTTCATACCTCTTCACCATACCCCGGGTGGAATAAATTATTCCTTCATCCGGGTTTTCATTTTCACTTTGAAGATATTTCTTACAGCATTCATCACTGATTCTTCAATTTATTAACTCACTAAAATACAAATATTCATGAAGTGCCTGGTGGAGGACATGTGTGTGCTAAGCAAGAGAGACAGCATACTTGCCCACCCTAGGGGAGGAATCAGCAATTTAATACAGTGTGATAATCATACAGAGGACAGGAGATGGGCATCATAGGAATCTCAGTGAGTCAGGAAAGATTCCTTAGGAAAAGTGACATACTGGCCAGGTGTGGAGGCTCACACCGGTAATCCCAGCACTTTGGGAGGCCGAGGCAGGTGGATCGCTTGAGTCCAGGAGCTCCAGACCAGCCTGGGCAACATGGAGAAATCTCATCTCCACAAAAAATACAAAAAATTAGCCCGGCATAGTGGCAAATGCCTGTAGTCCCAGCTACTTGGGAGGCTGAGGTGAGATCACTTGAACCTGGGAGGTCAAGGTTGCAGTGAGCTGAGGTCGTGCCACTGCACTCCAGCCTGAGTGACAGAATGAAACTCTGTTTCAAAAAAAAAAAAAAGAAAGAAAAATAAAAGTGACATATGTAACTAAGATCTGTAAAATAAGAAGGAAGGAACCAGTAAGCAAAGGGTTATGGTGGGAAAGAAGAATATTCTAGGCAGAAGGAATGCTAAGCATGAAGACCTAGAGGTAAAAGAGAATAAGAATGATGCTCTGGAGAGACATACTGGCAAAAGTTTTGTGAGTGAATAGAAAAATGGCAAGAGGTCAGCTTGGAGAGGTAAGCAGTGGCAGATGGTAGAGGGTAGTCTAAACCATGTCAAAGTTATGGACTTCATCCACAAATCAATGTGTAGTCACTGGAGGATTTCACATAGGGGAGTGACTTGATGAAATGTTGGTTTTAGTAATATTCCTCTGGCAGTAGAAGGTAGAATGAACTAAGAAGGTGAACACAGGTATACAAAGAACAGTTAGGAGAATGTGGCCATAATCCAGTATATATACAGAATGATAACTATTCAATAATTATTATTCAGGTGACTGAGTCCCAGTTAAGAGTAAAACTGTGTGTTATTCATCTTTGTGCTCATTGTACCTGTCAACAATGACTACCATGAAGTTCAATCTAATTAACATTGATCCAGATCCAAGGAAAACACTGAGATTGAATGACATATTTTGTAATTTCTACAGAGACCATTTATAATAAGCTTTATTATGGGAAATTTCTTTTATTTTGCAGGAGCCCTTGAATGGCTGTTTCAGGTAAAAGTTAAAGCTTGATGTAACACTAGAATAAACAATAAAATTAAATGTATTTTTCTTTAAGCCACTTGCTGACATTTCTTAATCCTTGCCTCCATCCATCATAGTAACAAGCTTAATTTCACTCCTCAGCACTGGGTAAGTCATCTTGTATTGTACTCTTTTGTCTGGATTTAGAAGGCTTTTGCTAGGATGAATTTAACAAAGTAAGTCTTTAAGTGTCATATAGTCTTATTTTATTGTATTTTTTCTCTGGATTCAAAGTGTTTTACAGCTGTTGCAGAGTAAGAAGTGTCAACTTCATTGGACATGAAGGAGAAATCTCAAACAGAGCGGGAAGCAATTATGTATTCAAGGTCAGGCAGAGCAAGAAACATGCATCAGAGCCCCCACCTGAGGCAGGTAATTGCTGTATATGTGCACAGTTACTAAAAACAATCTGGCGACCAGGTGTGATGGCTCATGCCTGTAATCCCAGCACTTTGGGAGGCCAAGGCAGGCAGATCACTTGAGGTCAGATCACTTTGAGACCAGCCTGGCCAACATAGTGAAACCCCATCTGTACTAAAAATACAAAAATTAGCGGGGCGTGGTGGCACCTGCCTGTAATCTCAGCTATTCGGAAGGTTGAGGCACGAGAATCACTTGAACCCGGGAGGCGGATGCTGCAGTGAGCCAAGATCATGCCACTGCACTCCAGCCTGGGAAACAGAGCAAGACTCTGTCTTAAAAACAAAACAAAACCAAACAACAACAACAACAAAAATCCCTAGCATGTAAAGTTAAAAAAAATGCCCAAATTATTGGAGGGAGTGGCTTTCATAGAACATATTTATAACTGACAGCAAGATTTTCTATTTTAGGCATAAGTGAAACATATATAACCTATTCTGTTGTTTCCTTGGTGACTGTTTTCAAAGGTCTTGAATTTTTTTAAAAAGCTATCATAAAGCCACCTTTTCAAGGTGTCAGACATGAGCAGAAATGTCTATATATAGGAGAATAATGTGTGCCTGCTACTTAAAAAAGGCAGAACAATTTCAATATAAAGATGTATACAGATTAATATTACTTAAGTAAAAGTACATGAAGGTTGGATAAAATAGCTTTCGGATATATTACATAGTTCTATTATAAAGAATTGCATTTAATTTTCCATACTTTACATAAGAGAAACTGGCTATTAGTATTTTCCCTATGTTATACTATGGTATCTATAATATAGGAATAAATTACAGAGCAATACAGATCTGTTTTTAACACTGAGGATTCTTTTTTGAGTTTTGTCCCAGGGGTCAGTGCTCACCTACATTTTCTGTCCAGTTGATGGGATCTTAAAAGCAAGACCGTTAGGTTGACTAATGGAAGGTAGTCAACGTATCCACATAGGCCAAATTCCACAGGAAAATCACTTCAGGAATCAGACCATCAACTAACTTTTAGACCATAATTATGTGCAAGGCATTGTGGTAGAGTTAAAGATAATACAATATGTATCTACCAAAAAAGCCTGCATATTCTAAGTGCCAGAGAACACACACACACACACACACACACACACACACACACACTGAGAACAAGAGGAATTGTATCATGAGGCCAAGACTATATCTGGCTCCCTGTTAAATCCCAGTGTCTAATATAATATTGGGCATAGGTAAATTCTGAAAAAATACTTCTGAATAAATAGATGACTTCACCAAAACAGAAGATTTTATGATTAAGGCTGGGAAATGAAGGGTGAATAGGAGGGATTGAGGAAAGTTAAAAAGGTAGGACAAGTGGAGATAAGTGTGAGGAATAAATTGTAGATCACTGTGTTTGGTATGGAAAGTTTAATCTGAGAAACCAATAGGTGTGCAGTTAG
This sequence comes from Homo sapiens, assembly GCF_000001405.40. Taxonomy (NCBI): domain Eukaryota; kingdom Metazoa; phylum Chordata; class Mammalia; order Primates; family Hominidae; genus Homo; species Homo sapiens. The sequence continues at coordinate 147,684,631 of NC_000005.10, forward strand.
AAAAATAAACTGGAGGCAAACTATGTATGTCTTGCCTGCCTAGGTAGTGAATTTTTACTTGGTTTAATAATTACTGGGAATGTGATAAATATTTTTAAGAGAAGAGGCACGCTCTATTTTTTTTCTAAGAAGGGCTAATCTTGAAGTTATATGCAGAGCAGAAGGGAAGAGAAAGAAATTAGAGGCTGTAGGTCCTGATAGAAATCTATTGCAAATGATCAGAGATAAAAAATGAAGCTTGGATTATGATGGAGGGGTAGAAGAGCTTTTCTCTTTCCTAAGCTAAAGGAACTTACTCATCTCACCATTATCATTTTCTTCATCATTCCACATCTTCTCTTTAGAGAGCACTTAGTGTGTGCTGACCACTGTACAATGCAGCAATTTTTGTGCATCCTTCCATTTCATACTTAAAACAAGATTATGAGATACATGGAGTTATTATTTCCCTATAACTTGAGTTAATAGGAGGTCAATCCCTTACGCAAAGTCACAGTGCTAGCAAAAGACATAATTAGAATGTGTTTGAGCCTGAAGCTTCTTAGTGCTTCTCTCAAGCTAGTATGTAATGCAGAAAAAGTCTGTATAATGTGCTCATTACTAGGCAATAGTCAAAGAGAGAAGGAAAGGTTGAAGATGATACCCAACTCTCAGTAAGGGACATTGGAAGAATGTAGGTAACATCAATGAACTCAGTAAGATCAAAGAAGTCACCCATGTGTTTCAAAATAAGAAAAGCTAATATTTTCAGGGGGCTTAGTATAAGCTAGGCACTACAGTAAATGATCTATATTAACTATTATATTAAGGAAAAAGAAGCTCAAAGAAGAAATATAGATTGTGCAAAATTGTAGGTGGTAAATAGCAAAGGCAGTGCATAATAACATGGCTAGCCTTACTCCGGAGCCTATAAGCCCAACTGTACCAGAAATACTGTACTAGAAATACTTCAGTTTGTTTTTACAGAAATCATATTTGAGGGAAAGCAGTACCATCTTCTTACTATTTATTGATTTACCTACTTAAAAAATTTATTCCACAACTTATTTGAAAGCAATTTCTAAGCACTTTATAGAAATAAACTTCAACATAATGTGATGTAAGGCATTTAAAATGAAGTAGATAGCATATATGTTTATATATATAAAGATAGGTGTTCAAATAGCAGTAATTTTTTTTGAATGGCAGATGATCAGAGATCTTAATTTAAAATAATTGAGGCTTTTCTTTTCCTTAAGGTTTCTATAATTGTATAGCTTCTATAATCAGAATAAAATAATGTTTCTGGCATAGCGCAGGGTGGCGGATATGGTGGGAAGCAAAACACAGAATTCAGTGAGGACAAGTGGAGCAAAGGGAAAATAAGGTAGACAACCAGCTGAAGCTAGGAGTGAGGCTGGAACACAATGGCCATGCTTTTGGCATAACATCATGAAAAGCTGGAATTAATGCAAACATAGGGACCTTGTTCCTAATCTGAAATGCTTTGGGCTCTAAAGTGCCTCTCCTCTTCATTGAACAGAGAACCAGCCATTAGTCACAGCGAGTCACAGCACAATTGTCCACGCTGCAAAACCTGACTTAATTGGAATCAACAAGGCCAGAACAAACTTCTGAATGTATGCCAGTCTCTTTTCATGAAGGGACTGTGCAGTCAGTTAGATTGGAACTTGAATAAATCGTTTTTTTGGAAATCAGTGTTGGTGGGGGGGCACTGTTTTCCATCAAATCTACCTTTCTTGGGGAAGCCAGCCTCTCTCACGCATATCTTACCAAACTCACGGGTACAAATCACTCAAGGAAATAAATTGGATACCCTATAATGTTCACTTTTTTCCCTTCAATGTCTCTATCACATATTTGCTCTATAGAAGCAGGGATTTCCCTGGGCCTGTTCACCACTGTATCCGCAGTGCTTAGCACAGTGCCTCATAGTAGAAACTCTAAAATGTTTGCTGAAGGGGTACCTGAATGGAGCCAAAATGAACTTATCATTGGCAAGAGTAAAGAATTCCTTAAACCCGCAAAATTTTAATGTTGTTCTTCCAAAGCACAGATGACTACAGCATGAAGTGTCACTTACCATTGAGTAAACCTAATGATGTTTTATCCACATTAAACTCTGTAGTATATTAATTGTATTTATATACTTAAAAATTGAGCAATATATTTCCAAATGTAAGAAATTTATATTTGAGAAACACATTTTCCTCCCAGCATTTTCTTTATTACCTGGCACATGAAACTAGGAATTATAATTTCTCATTTTAAGTTTTAAGCTATTTCTATAGACAACTTATTAGGAAAAACAAATCTCCAGGGCTCATAATTTTTTCTTATATATCTTAAAATCTCAGAAGATTCTGGGAGCCATTGTTTTCTTTTTGTATAGTAAGCAATCTTTGATATTCCAAAGCCCTGGAGTCCTGGCCTATAATATTCTAGATCATCATAGCACTTGTAAAGATAATTACTGTTCTTCATCCACTTACTCACCTCCTACTGTGACAGATGAATACTACTACTACTACTGCTAATCATCATCATAATTGTCATTATTGACCATTTACTACTGCTGGTCACTGTGCAAATCTATTTACATGCATTATCTTTTTAATGCTCTGAGGTGAGTGTTAAAAGTCATCTTCCAGCCTTGAACGTATGATTTATGAATCCTCTCTACAACTCTTCCCCACTGGGAGAGACCAACATGTAAATAATGAACTGCAGGCCTGAAGATGTAATGAGTGCTGAAACAGAGAAGCAAACGAGGCACTACTGGTACTCAGAGGAGGAGCTCCAACTCCCTGGGAAAGACAGAGAGTGTGTCTAACAGAAGGGATGGCTAAACTGAGTCTTGAAAGATGAGAGAGGATTTGCCCTGTGGTCCTGGCAATAAAGAAGAATTGAGTAAATATTATGTAAGAAAATTTGGTAAGAATTATGGATGTATCAAGACTATTGATTAGCTTGGAGTTGCAGGTAACATGCAGAAGGAGGAGAGAATTTAGAAAGGGCTCATTTTTATATCTGATATTAAAACTGGTCTATTCTTACCCTTCACACGACAGGTAAAACATTTAATTTGGGAGAAGACAATTCTATTTTCTCAACTGCAGAATGGAAATAAGCTATTTAATAATAACTCTATTGCAATCTTTCTACATGCCAAGCACAGTATTTACCACTGTACATGTATTAACTCATTAAAACAAATTCATGAAGTAGGTATCATTTTGCAGTTACATAAAACACAAAATGAAGACTTTTAAATTTGCCCAATGTCATGCAACTTGTATGCGTAGGACCCATTCATTGACTCAGTTAATGTTTTTTGAGAGCCTTTGATGTGTCTGACAAAATTTAAAATCACTTCAGCCTGATTCCAAAACATTTGTTTTAACCGCTGCATGGTCCTTGTCTTTCTCTTAGGACCAGAAACACAACACTCTTTTTCATATCTATTATTGCCTTTAGAACTCTCAGATGACTTACAAAGAAGTCCTGTTCTATAGAAGTCAAAGTGTAAGGCCACTAAACACATTTGCTGTCCAGAGCATTATGAAGATTTAACACAAGGCTATGTATCATTCATTGTCATAATGTTCTGAGCACTGATTGAATTAATCGCTTAGGGCTTTTCACTTAGAAATCCCATTTTTTAGGGTGGTTATAAACTAGCAGTTAATATTTTTCCTATGTGAAATAGGGTTCAGGCAAGGGAGTGCTTTAATCCTGCAAAACCGTATGCACAACATAGCTATTGCATTGTAAAATGATCACATGAGATAGATAATTAAATAAAAGGGGATTTGGTGCCTAGATCTAGGGTTGTGGTTGAAAAACTTCTTATGATGTTGCACTGGTTGCTTCATAGAGTCTGATTAAATGCAACTAATAATAATAAATAATAGTCATTAATATTTCCCTTTTAATCATTCACATAACAGAGACTTAGTGAAGATAAATAATTGACCTTCTGCTCAGTGTTGGTAAGCAATGGAGATAGGATTTAATCTAAGCTGTTAGACTCTAGGGCCCATTCTCTCAACCGCATCACTATAGTCCCACCCTTAAAGGATGGTGGCAAAAGATACATGGAATAAGGCCGGTAAAGCGTTTCACATGGTATGTGTCAAATAAGTGCTCTGTTCTAAAATCAGCTTCTTCAACAAATATGTATTGAATGCTGCATAGCTGCCAAGCACTGTACTTGGTATGGAAGATACAGCAGTGAATAAATAAAACAGACATACATCGTTGGCTCATGGAGCTGCTATGTTAGTTGGAGACCCACATAATAAGCATGCTAAGTAAATATACTGTGCTAGATTATAATAATAATGTGTTATGGGAAAAAATAATACAGAACAGAGGTCGACAGGAAGGATCCAGGTGGTGTTGTGATTTTAGATCTGAGAAAGCCTAAGTAGTTGCTATTTGATTAAAGGCTGATGCCTGGGGGGGAAAGCGTGCCAGGGTAGTGAGGAAATAGTACAAGAGCTCCACAGTGAGCACAGACGTCCAAGTTCCAGGAACTTCAGGGAGCCGGGGAGGCTGGAGGAATGAGTGAGCTAGGACAGCAGCCAAAGAGAGGGCAGACAGTAATGGGAGGGCAGTGTGTGCAGACCATGCTGTGCTTTTTAGGCCATTTTGCATTGATTTAAGCTTTTACTCAGAGTGGGTAGGAAGCCACAGGAGGAGTTGAGAGGGGCAGTGCCCTGATCTGACTTAGCTTTTAACATTTTACTCTGACTGCTCTAGTAAAAGGAGAAGACTGAGCATAAGGGTGGAATTAAGCGGACTGGTTTGGAGGTCACTGCAAAAATCCAGCTTGGAGATGGTAGCGGCTTAGAGAGTGGAAGCAAGGGAGGTGGTGATAGGACTAGATGCAAGCTGATGGTAATCCTTTTTGGGTGGATGTTTCATCAGAATCATGGGATCAGTAAGTTGAGCTGAGATGCAGAGCCACGTTGATCTGATGATGTATTAAACAGTACACGTTACTGTTTGTTCCTAAAATGTATAAAGCTCTCACTCTAAGCAGGGCATTGTGCCAGGCACTGCAGCTAAAACACTCTGAGGGTGTCCATGCCCTCAGAGAGCTGTCCTCCTATTAAGAGGATAATAGTTACACCATAACTATATGTGGCTGCAGAATATGGCTATAGCACATTTGTTCAATGAATATTCACTGCATACACAGTTTTAGGGGCTGGAGATAGAGCTGAGGATAGAATAAACAAACATCCTTGCTTTCCTGGAGTTTATACTCTAGCAGAGTGAAACAAAAATCAGCAAGATAACTATGTAAGTTACATAGTATGTTAAAAGGTAATAATGAGAGACTTCATGACGATCTAGCCCACACCTGTGCAACACTGTCATAGTGAAAAATTAGAAACAATGCACTGTCCATGTAAAGGGGAACAGCTTGGGCTGGACACAGTGGCTCACACCAGTAATCCCAGCATTTTTGGAGGCTGAGGCGAGGGGATCGCTTGAGACCACAGGTTTGAGACCAGCCTAGGCAACATTGTGAAACCCTGTTTCCACAAACAAACAAACAAACAAAAATTGTTAGGCATGGTGTTTGGGAGGCTAAGGTGGTAGAATCACTTGAGCCCAGAAGGTTGAGGGTGCAGTGAGCTATTATGGCACCACTGCACTCCAGCCTGGGTGACAGATTGAGACCCTGTCCCTAAAAAAAGCTTAAAAAACAAAAATAAAAAAGGGACCAGCATAATAAAGTGGTATGTCCAGTCTATAAATTACTATGCAATAGTTTAAAAACACATAGGAAGATCTACATGAACCAATGAGGCTAGTTGCACCTCAAAACATTTAAAGAGCAAGATGACGAATGAAGTCCAAAGTATAATGTCATTCATGTAAAAAACTAAAGAGATTATATATATATATATATATATATATATATATATATATATATATATGCACATATGCACACACATCTATGTGGACCTATAGGTACATACATGCATAAAAACATTTTGGAAAGATATATGAGGTAACAGGGTCCATCTCACTGAGGGATCAAAAAGTCTTCCTGGATGCCTCACATGGTTCATTGCAAACCCTCTGGGGAATGTGTCTCAGGTGAGTGTGTAGCTCCTTCTCCAGTGCTTCGTGGCTATTGCATGACGCATACTGTGTGGCCCTCTGCTGGATAAACCTAACCTTGACCACAACTCTGACAAATTATATACCTGGATCTGTTGCTGGAAATGCTGAGACCCTTTGGGTACACAGGATGGGTCCTGGGAGAAAATGGGATTTCTCCTCTCTCCCTTGTCTCCAACACCTTCCTGGGGGTAGGTGCCTGAAGCTCTATTCTGGTCTCCTTTTCCTCATGGGTTATCTCACCCACTCATTCAGCCTTCTCAAGATTGGTTAATGTGACGGACTACTCCAGTCAAAGTGCTAGCAGATAGGGAGGTTGGTATTTTAAAACTCTCTCATCCCCCAGATACATGAGTTTTATTTTAAAAGTGGGATAGGAGACACAAGCATTGCATAAGATTGTATATGAGAAAACACTGTTACCCATAAACCACTGTAAACATATTCCATTATTAAAATGATTAATATTTGTTCTCCCACCCTCTCCATTGTGCACAGATGAAATGTTATTGTTACTATTAACCTTCTCACCTCCTCCACGGTACACAGACTGGGGAATGCTATTAATAGTTTCCCCCCATCCCCCACCCAGCTCCTTCTGTTACTGTGAAGTAATTTGGATGAACTATGCTAGGCTTAAAAGGCCAAGGATTTTTCATCTTCCCTATTCCAAGTAGCATTCTTTCTCCTTATTGTTGAAATTTACAAAGTACTTGAATACGATGCAGACGCTATACTCACCTCACCTTTTATATGAAAAAACTGGGGCTCAGAATCATGCACTTACCCAAGGCTGCACAAAGCTGGGATTTAACCCAAGCCTTCTCCCGAACCTTGTGTTCATATAGCACAACCCAAGCTTTGGCCCTGAAGGATTCTTTACCACATAGACTTTCTCTCCTAAAGTCTAGCCCAGAAGAGAGGAGTGTTTGCTTCTCTTTTGACTCAAGGGCACATGAGGGTGCTGGCTGGTCAGTGGAGGTAGACCTGGAGCAAAGGCGATGTGATGTCCACGCCTCATGGGAGGGGAGTCTGTGCATGGGAGCGGTTAAGCAGCGCCGTGGGTGACTCCTTGAGACTTTTTGCTCCTGTGTTTCCCTGTGCATGTGTTTGTCTCTGTGTCCTTCTCTCAAGTCTTTAAACAGGATGGTCCTTCCTGTTTCGGAGACTTTACCTGTCCCATTCCCTTTGCAAAGTCCTGTCTTCCATAGATTCTAATCATCTCAGCTCCAGTGTCATTGACTCAAGGAAGCTGTTGTTGGTTGAGTCACGTCCCTCAAAAGATATGTTTAAGTCCTAACTCCCAGTACCAAGGAATGTCACCTTACTTGGAAATAGAGTCTCTGCAAATGTAATCAAGATGACTGATGTCCTTTTAAAAAGGAAAATTTAGACACAAACATACAGATATATCCAGGGGAGAATGTCATGTAAAAATGAAGGCAGAGATTGGGGCATTGTGTCTACAAATCAAAAAACATCAAGGAATGCCAGTGACTACCAGAAGCTAGAAGAGAGGACGGAATAGTCTTCTTAGAGCTCCGGAAAGAACCAAGCTTGCTGACACCCAGTTTCAGACTTCTGGCCTCCAGAACTGTGAGAGGATACATTTCTGTTGTTTTAAGCCACCAGTTTGTGGTAATTTGTTACAGCAGCTCTAGAAAATAAATACAGATCTTCCTGAGATTTTCAGATCAGGCCAGGTTCTTCTAGTGCATGTTTTCACAATATCAGCTATTTTTCTAAATAACATGTATCACAGCTTGTGGTTATAAATTTGATTTTTTAAATCAATATTTATCTCTCCCACTAAAATGAAAGACTTGTGAAAGTAGGGAGGGTGTTTGCTCATATGACTAATATAAAAACAGTATGATAAACATTTTTTAAATGAAAGAGAGTAAATGAATGAATGGATTGATGAATGACAAGAAGAGAGTGCAGCACTTGTAATTTTGACCTGGGGACATGCGGAAACGGTCCATTTGAAAGCATAATAAAGCTCGCTCTCTCTTTCTCCATCTAGATTTGAACGATGGTCTTTTTAAAAGTCTATGGGTAATAATAAGATTGACAAAGCAGTTCCTAATATCAGGGAAAACTGTCAACACTAACACTGATGATAATTACTGTAAAACTGTGAAAAATGAGAACAAATCATTTCTGTTAGAGAAAATGAATGCTTTTTATCTTATATCTTATTATCAACCAGCACAATCATAATTATGTGTGCCACCAATTTTGTATATGACCTAAAATTGTAAACAATTTTTATTTGAGGGAAACAGTAAAATTATACATTTTTTCCTATCTTTAAAGTTAGCTCTTTATAAATATAATATGATATTCACATATCATAAAAATTACTGGAAGAATGATGTTGCTTTATGCTTAAGGACAAGAACTCTGGAGTCAGACCCTAGGCTTAAAGGCCAGCTCTTATCTCTTACTAACTGTGTGACCTTGGGCATGTTACTTAACATCTCTCTGCCCAGCTTTTAATTTCTCCCTCACAGAGTAGTTGTTTGGATGCATCTAATAAACTAATACTGTTCATGTAAATACATACCAAAGTAATAAGCACATTGTAAACCTCCATACATTTTCACCATTAATATTATCAGACATGTGACATTTGATGAGATCATGGTGAGTAGTCATTCAGCTTTTCTCACCTACTTACATCAGAACTACACATTGCAAATCACTTTCCCTTTTCATCTTTAAGAATCAGACAGCAATGAACAAAATAGGTGAGTGATGTGTGGGATTACGGGTGGCAAAGAGATATCACAAACACATTTTTTAATAAAAAAAGGGGCTGAAAACATAAATGTTTTAATTTGTGGCAAGAGAGTAAGAGGCACAAAATAAAATGTTACAATAAAAAAAAAATTGGAATTAAAACTCCCTGCTTTCATTCTTTTGAAAGCATTAATTTATTTTATAGTAGATTTTTAAGTTCAAGTTTTTGCACTTTCGTTTCAGTCCTGTCAAGTCAAAATTTCAAACGACTGTTAAAATCTTATGTTAACTGAATGGTTTAAATCCTTAGAATTACAATTAATTTGGGGGTTATACTTCTGATCAAATAAATAGAATTTCATAAAATCAAAGTAATTAAGCATATCTGCTGTGGTGGCCCCTTCTCAAATAAATCCTTTCTACTAACAACATTTTCAAGAACTTGGTTGTTGAAGTTCCAGATAGGTGAAGTTTACGATGGACACTGGATTAATAGCTTCTCTTAGTCTGCAGCTGGGCTACATCAATTCCCACATCTCCTCTCCTAAGAGAGCCAATTAATATTTTTAAATTGGTATCAGAATAGCCAGGCTAGAACCTAGCTCTTGTCCTGGTGTCAAATGTGATCACTCTCATTCAACCTCAGATTTAATGTTGACTTGTCTGCTGGAAATCTCTACTGCCTACACTGGGAAGATTCCAAGTTTTTTTAGAAAAAACCCCTTTAATGATCCATTTTGGCTAGAGAGGATAAAGTTGATTTTCCAGGGAGATGTCAGCAGCTTGCGCTCTTTTTGGGTGTCTCTCATCTTGTCTTTGTGGTTAATTGTGGAGTCACAGTCATATCATGGGCAGCTAAAATAGGAACAGGACTCCTTGATGGGCTGTCTACACCACAAGCAGTCATTACCCCGGGTCAGGACTTCCTGAGAAATAAAGAGGGTATACAGGAAAATGAACAAGGCAACAAGATTCCTACAGATCCTATAATTGTCTAGTGAAATTGATAGGCTATGCTTGTCAAAGCTGCTGTTTGGCATTCTCCCTTCCTGTCTCTCCCTCCCTCCTGGTGACTGGCAATGTCCATCTGCAGCTTTTACAATTTGATGTGTAATTTGGCCTCTCATGTCTCCCTGAATGTGCCTTCATGTCACTTCTACTTTTGAGACTGCATCTTTCTTAAACTTATCTCTTGGTATTTTTCAGATTCACTCTTCTTTGCTGTTGAATAGCCAGAATTCATCTTTGAAAAATTTACTGTGAAAATAAAAACAACTGTCAAATGAAGAAAATAAAACACAGAGTACTCAACTGTTTTGTCAGGCATAGAAATTAAATTTTAAGTCTGTTGTACTTTTGATGAAAGTATGCACATATGGGCTCAGAGCTTATCAAATTGTGACAAATTTTGTGTTTGTTTAAGGTTCCACACTGGAGGCTGAGTAACTTGGAGGCACAGGATAATAAAAGCACATGCAAGCGAGCCAATTTGTTTTATATGTAACCATTTCAGATGCAGGATCAGAAGGATTTTCTCCCTTCATTCTCAAATTTCTGCTAGGCATGAGTATTTATGATCAAGCTAGACTCAAAACAAACTAACAATGCGTTAAATATTAACACCCAGGACTCTTATGGAATGATTTTTTTTGTACTAAGTTTGGCAGTTTAGGGACAGTTGCCAATGATCCAACTAAATTAAAGTGCTGTTGAATACACGCTTAAATAAAGAAAAGCCTATTTAGTAGTTGAGAGGCTAAAAAAGAAAAGAAAATTGGCACCAATTGCCCGGCTTCCTTCCACAACTACCTCTAAGGTAGAAGACTCTCAAGGATCCAGACTTCCTTTTCATAGACTCCAGATAGATGAGGTTTATGATGGACACTGGATTAATGGCTTCTGTTAGTCTGCAGCTTGGCTATATCAGTTCCCACATATCCTGTCTCGAGAGAGCCAGATGAATAGGATTCCTCCTTAGGGCATTATTGAATGGCAATGGCACTTCTCCAATAGTAGCATCCCTAGCATGGGCATCAGGCCCAGATATTTATTATATGTTCTTCCATAGCTTCTGACCAGCAAGTAAGGTTTGCATTTCTCATTTCTTCCTCTATTGTTACGGAAGTGAAAGGTCTGTGTGTGTGTGTGTGTGTGTGTGTGTGAGAGAGAGAGACAGAGACAGAGACAGAGAAAGAGAGAGAGAACAAGTGAGCAAATTCAGAAACTTTTCCCCCTCATTTATACTAATTTTTAGGTACTGATTGATAGAAATTGAGATTTAACTCTTGATGTAACTGCTTGACTTAGACTGAGACCTAAGTTATATATAATAGAAACTTTTTTTCTGGCAAAATTACATAGAATAACACATAGTTCTATTATATTATACATTTTAAAGCCCACAAAGATGAAGTGTTTAAAGTCTGAACATAATATTCTAATATTTGCTTTCACTTTAAAGGAGAGACAAAAATACAACAATATTTTATGGAGATCTTTCCAATTACAGGCTTCTACCAGCCTTAACTTTCCTTATCTCAATAAAGGTTAGGACATCATATCCCTTATGGAGGTTGGACAAAATTTAGTAAACATATACTGAGTGCCAACCATATTTAAGATATTGCTCTATATAAGGTTTACTGAGACCGACATGTTGCAAAACTTCAGGAGATGCCATTCATGTATACTTCTGATATGGTTTGGCTGTGTCCCCAGCCAAAACTCGAATTGTAGTTCCCATAATCCCCATGTGTCATGGGAGAGGCCCAGTGGAAAGTGATTGGATCATGGGACAGTTTCCCTCATGCTGTTCTCATGATAGTGAGTGCATTCTCACAAGATCTGATGGTTTTATAAGGGGCTTCCCCATTTGCTCGGCATTTCTCTCTGTGCCGCCATGCAAAGAAGGATGTGTTTTCTTCTCCTTCTGCCATAATTTTAAGATTCCTGAGGCCTCCTCAGTCATGCAGAACTGTGAGTCAATTAAATCTCTTTCCTTTATAAATTACCCAGTCTTGGGTATTTCTTTACAGCAGTGTGAGAACAGACTAATACAGTAAATTGGTACTGCAGAGAGTGCCATGCTGGTATAAGGATACCTGAAAATGTGGAAGCAACTTTGGAACTGTGTAACAGACAGAAGTTGGAACAGTTTGGAGGGCTCAGACAAGACAGGAAAATATGGGAAAGTCTGGACCTTCCTAGAGACTTGCTGAATGGCTTTGACCAAAATGCTGATAGTGATGTGGACAATGAAATCCAGGCTGAGGTGGTCTCAGATGGAGATGAGGAACTTGTAGGGAACTGGAATAAAGGTGATTCTTGCTATGCTTTAGCAAAGAGACTGGCAACATTTTGCCCCTGCCCTAGAGATCTGAGGAACTTTGAACTTGGGAGAGATGATTTAGGGTATCTGGCAGAAGAAATTTCTAAGCAGCAGAGTGTTCAAGAGGAAGCAGAGCATAAAAGTTTGGAAAATTTGCAGGCTGATGATGCAATAGAAAAGAAAAACCCATTTTCTCGGGGAGAAATCTAAGCCTGCTGTAGAAATTTGCATAAGTAACAAGGAGCCTGTATTAGTTCGTTTTCACACTGCTAATAAAAACATACCTGAGACTGGGAAGAAAAAGAGGCTTAATTGGACTTACAGTTTCACATGACTGAAGAGCCTTTAGAATCATGGCAGGAGGTGAAAGGCACTTCTTACATGGTGGCAGCAAGAGAAAAATGAGGAAGAAGCAAAAGTGGAAACCCCTGATAAACTCAGCAGATCTCATGAGACTTATTCACTATCATGAGAACAGCACAGGAAAGACCAGCCCCCATGATTCAATTATCTCCCCATGGGTCCCTCCCACAACATGTGGGAATTCTGGGAGATAAAACTGAAGTTGAGATTTGAATGGGGACACAGCCAAATCATATAAAAGCCAAATGTTAATCACCAAAACAATGGAGAATATGTCTCCAGGGCATGACAGAGGCCTTCACAGCAGCCTCTCCCATCACAGGCCTGGAGGCCTAGAAGGAAAAAATGGTTACATAGGTTGGGTCTAGGGCCACCCTGCTGTGTGCAGCCTGGGGACTTGGAGCCCTGCATCCAAGCTGCTCCAGCTGTGGCTAAAAGAGGCCAAGGTACAGCTCAGGCCATGCCTTCCAAGGATGCAGATCCTAAACCTTGGCAGCTTCCACATAATGATGAGCCTGCTGGTGCATAAAAGTCAAGAATTGAGGTTTGGGAACCTCTGCCTAGATTTCAGAGGATGTACAAAAATGCCTGGATGTCCAGGCAGAAATTTGCTGCAGGGGCGGAGTCCTCATGGAGAATCTTTGCTAGGGCAGTGCAGAAGGGAAATGTGGGGTTGGAGACTTGACACAGAGTCACCACTGGGGCACTGCCTAGTGGAGCTGTGAGAAGAGGACCACTGTCCTCCAGACCCCAGAATGGTAGAGCCACCAACAGCTTGCACTGTGTGCTTGGAAAAGCCGCAGACACTCAACAGCAGCTGTGAAAGCAGCTGGGAGGGGGGCTGTATCCTGCAAAGTCACAGGAGCGGAGCTTCCCAAGGCCATGAGCCCACCTCTTGCATTAGTGTGACCTGAATGTGAGATATGGAGTCCAAAGAGATCATTTGGAAACTTTAGGGTTTAATGACTGCTCTATTGGATTTTGGACTTGCATGACCCCATAGCCTCTTTGTTCTGGCCAATTTGTCCCATTTTGAACAGGTGTATTTACCCAATGCCTGCACCCCATTGTATCTAGGAACTAACTTACTTTTGATTTTATAGGATCATAGGCAGAAGAGACTTGCCTTGTCTCAGATGAGACTTTGGACTTGGACTTTTGGGTTAATGCTGGAATGAGTTAAGACTTTGGGGTACTGTTGGAAAGGCATGATTGTGTTTTGAAATGTGAGGACACAAGATTTGGAGGGATGGGGGTAGAATGATATGGTTTGGCTGTGTCCCCACCCAAATCTCATCTTGAACTGTAGTTCCCATAATCCCCATGTGTTGTGGGACGGACCCAGTGGGAAGTGATTGGATGATGAAGATGGTTTTCCTCATGCTGTTCTCATGATAGTGAGTGAGTTCTCACAAGATCTGATGGTCTTATTAGGGCTTCCCCCTTCACTCAACACTTCTCTCTCCTGCTGCCTTGTGAGGAAGGACGTGTTTGCTTCCCCTTCTGCCATGATTGTACGTTTCCTGAGGCCTCCCTAGCCATGTGGAACCATGAGTCAATTAAACCTCTTTCTTTCATAAACTACCCAGTCTCAGGTATTTCTTCATAGCAGCATGAGAATGGACTAATATAGCTTCCTAGAGTTGCTCAAAGTGGAAAGTGGTTGTACAAAAATAATCTGGATTTTCACTGGTACTCTGTGGGCCATAGAAAAATGCCACCTCCTCAGCTCTGAAAGGCTCTTCACAGTCTGGCTTGAACCTCATTTATCACAATCTACGTTATCTAAGATTTGGCCATATAAGATCTATTCACTGCCTACCTTTTCCTGTAATTTGTCTATGCTCTTCTATCCCCCAGGCCTTTGCTCATGCTATGATCTAATCAATAAAAGAGAAAATATACACCCATCTATTATTACATACAGTAGGAAAAACACTAAAGCATATCACATTTGAAATGTAGGGTAAAGAAAATTTAAAGAAAATAACGGCAGTTAAAGTTCTGATTTGGTAGGTTGAAAGAATTGCTGCTGGCTTGAGTATGTGTTGACATGAGCACAGTTGTGTTCAAGTAAGTCAAGATGGGTTACAGTAAGAAAATGTGTACAATTGTTAAATAAGACAGAATCAGGCTCTAGCCTGGGTGGAAATGGTGAAGAACAGATGTAGAGAGAATTCCAGGGCAAGAAAAAGTAATTGAAAGATCTAGGGAAGTTGTTTACATTGGTGAAAAAAAAACAATTAGAGAGGGACTCTTTAAATAACAGCAAGACCTCAAGAAAAGAGGGTAGGCAGAGAGGCAAGTGAGGTGGGATGAAGGCTGAGTGGCTTGGGGAATAGAGAGGAATTAAGAAACATTTTTTACCCCAGCCATAAATGAACTAGTTTTCTTGAACATCTTACTCATAAAAAAAACCCTAAAATTTCTGGATTAACAACAATAGCAAAAGCCAATCGCAGAACAAAAATAGAATTCCAGAAATACAAACACCACAGATGGCTCTATCCTTACAGCATCAGCTAAAATGTGATGCCTATTGTACACTGGGGATAGGCAACAAATGCTAGTGTTTCAAGAGTAGGACTTTCTTTGTATGAAGGAGTTTGCATAAAATTGGGTTTCCAAAGAGAACTAAAAGCAACCTGCCCTTCCTGAAGAACACCAAGGAAAACTGTCTATTCAAACTTGGTGCTGTGTGAAGCAGAAAATTATTCTCTGGCATGAAGCCTCACGTCATCCTTCATGGTGGTGTGTGACCTAAATGTACGCTATCTATGTTGGTTGAAAGCATATTGGCTGAAAGGCCAGTGCTCCCAATGATCAAAGAGAAGCAAATTCAAAACCTCTTTGGAGAAACACCCTTTTAACACAGACCTCAAAACATTTCCCCAGATAAAGTTCTCAAGTAGAAAAGTTCATGGAGTGGAGGGAAACAGAAATAAAATCAGACCATTAGAGATTCAAATATTGAAATTATTAGTCATAGAGTACAAACTATACTAAAAATAGTTAAAAATATGAAAAATATTAAAAATAAAATAAGGGATATAAACAAAGAACTAGTGGCTATAAAAATAAATCAAACCTTTAGGATGGAGAAAAATAATTATAATTGAAAATTAAATGGATGGTAAACATTAGGTTAGATACAGATAAAGAGACATTTAGTGAACTAGCAAATAGATCTAAAGAAATTATTCAATAGTAGGAACAAAAAGACAGATATTTAAAATATATATACACGGTTAAGATAAATGGAAATCAGAGTGAGAAAGGCTAATATATGTCTCATGCAGTTTCTAGGAGAAGAAAATAGGCAAACCTGGGACAAGTATACTAATATTTGAGGAGATATAACAGCAGCTTTAGAATTTAGCTGTCTTTAAGTGTCTCATGGGAGAAATTCAGCTGTGTATTTGTTTCCCCATTTTGTCACTACTAAAAGCTTTGATCAGAACCAAGTCTAGATTCTCAGCCCCTAGCCATAGCCAGGAATTAGCAATCTCTGAGGGAAAAAGCAACTGCTGATCTTCAGATCACCTCTGGAAGTTTATTGCCTTTCTGGAATTTTAGTCCCCCTAAACTTGCTTTCTTTTGTAGCTCTCAGATGCCTTTAATATAGAATTTTTGTAACATATCTGGCTTTTTAAATTGTTTTCAGTGGAAGCATGGACCTGTCATGGGCTACTTCATTCTAGCAGAAAGTGGAAACTAAGGGTGGTGTCTTTGATATTTGAGCATATTCATTTGGTTGGCATATGTATGTGGTTGGAGGAAGGTATAATAATAAAGAAAAGTATGGGAGCTGGGAGTGAGATTATGTAGAGTCCTGTAGGCTATGGTAAGAATTTGTTTTGTAAAAAAAGCTGTAAGGTCAAAATATGCTGAAGACCAATGCCATAAAGGAAAAAGTCTCAAAGGAGAGAAACAAGATAAATAAAAGGAATATGATTCTGGAAAGGGAAGAGGGTATCCTGGGATTAGACTCAAGAAGGATGGATCCAGAGGCAGTGAAAGAAGTTAAATTACTTTGTGATCAGATACTGGTTTGTGGTTGATTAGTGGAGACAGAATATTTTAAAGATAAAAGGAGTGCTGATTCCTTTTCCTTACCCTCATAGTTAGTGCAAGTAAGATGAAAAGCAGCCTCTACTTGAAAAGGAAGGAAGGAATCTTCTTGTGAGCAAAAGTTACTTGTTATGGTCTGAATGCTTTTATCCCCCTAAAATTCATACGTTGAAATCTAACCCCTACAGTTACAGTATTAAGAGGAGGGGCCTTTGGGAGGTGAGTAGGTCACAAAGGCTTGACCCTCATCAATCTTTGATCATTGGGAGCACTGGCCTTTCAGCCAATATGTTTCAACTAACATAGATGGCATACATTTAGGTCACACACCAGCATGAAGGATGACTTGTGGCTCCATGCCAGAAAATAATTTTGTCCTTCACACAGCACCAAATTTGAATAGGCAATGCAACAAGTGCCATTATGAAAGAGGCCCAAGGAGGCTTGTTTGCCCCTTCTGCCATGTGAGGATGCAGCAAGTAGGTGCCATTTATGAGAAATGAGCCCTCACAAGACACCAAATGTGCTGGTGCCTTGATCCTGGACTTATCAGCCTCAAAACTGTGAGCAATAAATTCCATCATTTATAAATTACCCAGTGTAAGGTATTTTCTTATAGCAGCTAGAATGGACTAAGCCACTAGTGACCACTCATTTTGCTTGCACATTATCTCTCCATTCTTCTGATAACAGAACTGCCTTTGGGGAAACATCCCTTCTCATTCTGAGTCCATATGATTTTAGTAGAGTCAGCTGCATTTTTCCTTCTGCCTCTTTCTAATTGCCTGACACAAAAGTCGAAACATGATCCAGAGCAACTGCTTACAGCAAACACACTTTTGTCTAGTGAAACCCAATTCTAGAACTTTTGATGGAACTATTTTACTGGGGTTGATGGAATATTAATCTGAACCTGCTAGTGGCTACCTTGCTAACACAAGGGAAGAACCAAAACAGAAGAAACAGCTAAGCTATGAGGATGCAAGGGCATAAGAATGATACAATGGACTTTGAGGACTAGGGGGAAAGGGTGGAAGGGGGGGTGACGGATAAAAGACATTGAGTACAATGTACATTGCTTGGGTGATGGGTGCACCAACATCTCAGAAATCAACACTAAAGAACTTATGTACCAAGAAAGAAAGAGGAAGGAAGGAAGGTAGGAAGGAAGGAAGGAAGGAAGGAAGGGAGGGAGGGAAGGAAGAGAAAAGAGGAAAGGAAAGGAAGACAGGAAGGAAGGAAAGGAGGGAGGGAGAGAGAGAGAGACAAAGAAAGAAGAAAGAAAGAAAGAAAGAAAGAAGGAAAGAAAGAAAGAAAGAAAGAAGGAAAGAAAGAAAGAAAGAAAGAAAGAAAGAAAGAAAGAAAGAAAGAAAGAAAGAAAGAAAGAGAGAGAAAGAAAGAGAAAGAAAGAAAAGAAAAGAAAAGAAAAAAAAAGAGCAGAAGCCAAGGGGGAAAGAGACTGACAGGCAGCAAGACAGAAGCTGATGATCCAAACATGGTTGAGTATGGCTCTATTTCTATACTTTCCATTTATATGAGATAAATTATCTTTCCTGCTTATGTCAATTTGAGTTGTGTTTTGGCAAACTGCAAAAGAAAGACTCCTCATAAATATACTTGGGAAACTCTGCAATAAATGGGATTTGTTTCCAATAGGAGTTTAACAAGACATTAAAAATCCTATAATTTCAAAGAAGTAAAGAATCTCAGAGATAAAGAAGATACCCAGGGAAATGTTTTGACTTGCCCCAAGTCCCATAGTGAGTGAGTGGTGGATCTAGTGCTAAAATCCAGGTCTCCTATACTTTTCTTCTCTCAAGAAGAGATAATGATATACAGTCATGTGTAATTTAATAAGGGAGATATATTCTGAGGAATGTATCTTTTGGTGATTTTGTCATCCTGTGAACATCATAGAATGTACTTATACAAACCTATATGGTAAAGCCCACTATACACCCAGGCTATATGTTATAGCCTATTGATCCTAGGCTACAAATGGGTACAGCATGCAACTGTACTTCATACTGTAGGCAATTGTTAAGTCATAAGTATTTATGTATCTAAACATACTTAAACATAGAAAAGGTACAATAAAAATACAAGATGAAAATAAATGGTACACCTGTATGGAGGGAGTGCAGCTTGCTGGACTGGAAGTTGTTCTGGGTGAGCGAATAAGTGAGTGGTGAGTGAACGTGAAGACCTAGTCATCACTGTATATCACTGTAGACATTATAAACACTTAGGCTACACTAAATTTACATAAAAGTTTTATTTCTTCAATAAGAAGTTAACCTTAGCGTACTGTAACTTTTTTTTTTTTTTTTTAGTGACAAGACCTCACTATGTTTCCCAGGCTGGTCTCGTGCTCCTGAACTCAAACAATCCTCCTACCTCAGCCTCAAAGTGCTGGGATTACAAGCATGAGCCACTGTGCTTGGCCTTTACTTTAACTTGTTTACTTCATAAACTTTTTTTTTACTTCAACTTTTTTACTTCATAAACTTTTTAATTTTTAAACTTCTGACTCTTTTGTAATAACAGCTTAAAACACTAATATTTTTGTACTGCTATACAATACATTTTCTTTTTTATATCTTATTCTGTATACTTTTTCTATTAAATGTTTGTTTTTACTTCTTAAATGTTTTGTTAAAAACTAAGACACAAACACCAACCGCACATTACCTTAGGCCTGCACAGGGTCAGGGGTCAGGATCACTAGTATCTGTCTTCCATCTCCACAGCCTGTCCCACTAGAAGGTCTTCAGGGGCAATAACATGCATGGAACTGTCATCTCCTATATTAACAATGCCTTTTGGAACACCTCCTGAGGCTGTCTTACAGTTAACTTTTATATTTAAGTGGAAGGAGTATACTCTAAAATAACAAGGAAGTATAGTATAGCAAATACATAAGCAACATAGTCTTTTATTATCATTATCAAATATATACTGTGCATCATTATATGTGATATACTTTTATAGACTGGCAATGCTGTAGATTTGTTTACAGCAGTAATACCACAAACACGTGAGTGATGCATTGTGCTACAACATTACGACTGCTACAACGTCACTAAGCAAAACGAACTTTTCAGCTCCATTATAATCTTATGGGATGGACCACCATGGTAGATGTGGTCCATCTTTGACAGAAACATCATACAGAAACATCATTTTGTGGGACATGGCTGTATGTTCCATTTCTCTCCTGGCCTCCTTTTACTGGGAAGTTTGGTGTTAGGGAAGAGAGGAGGAGGCTCCAACATTAGAGGCAGAGCAAGGTAAGAGGAAAGACAACCAGGGAGTGAGGAATGATTCACTCTCCCAGAAGATTAAATTAGCCATTATTAGCTTCTTCATGGAAAGCCAACTGGATTCCCTCTGGTAATCAATTGCCCCAGTCATTACTCAAAAGTCAAGTCAAGCAGAGGTTTCACTTCCTTAACTTGTAAATATCTTTGGCTGTCAATAATCATTTCTACTTGATACTGTGGTTATTCTGATTTTGCAGAAAGGCTCTATGGTGGAGTTAGGAAGAAGCTTCTCCAAAGAAGCACTTTATTTGACTGTGTTTGAAGGTAGGTAGTCATAGGCCCACTGGAGCTGTTTTCTCAAGGATGCAGCATTTTACAGGAAGAGAAAATAGCACTAATAATGTAGCAGAGTATGAATTACAAGGTACAAGCAAACATCTGCACACAAATCAGCCAGGATAATTTTATCTCATCAGATGCCACATTCAGGATACATGAGTGAAATCTCTTTGGAATATGTTCGTTGTTGCTGCAAAACAGAATGTTCTTCGCTTTAAGAATAATTTTCCTCTGGTTTCTTAAAATGCCTTTTACATCAGTTAAACCCATTATAAGTGTGTGAAAAACTTGTGTTGATCAAGCTGAGTTTGAACCCTCAAATTCTAACAAAGTCACTTGTCTTCTGCATCATAAGCAGTGGATTATTGGAGCCAGGAAGGGAATTCCAGGAACCCCTTCACTCAGAGACAGTGAATGGTCAGTTGTTAAGTAAACAATAAGGCCGGGTATGGTGGCTTATGCCTATAATCCTAGCACCTTGGGAGGTCGAGGTGGATGGATTGCTTGAGCCTAGGAGTTTGAGACCAGCCTGTGCAACATGGAGAAACCCCTTCTCTACTAAAAATACAAAAATTAGCCGAGAATCATTTGAGCCATGAGAATCATTTGAGCCTGAGAGGCAGAGGTTGCAGTGAGCCAACATTACACCACTGCACTCCAGCCTGGGTGACAGAGTGAGACCTGTCTCAAAAAAAAAAAGTCTGAGGTCCTGTGTGACTTTTGGCAACACCCCATCATCTCTACCTTGGGCGTCACCTTTCCGATATGCAAAGCAAGTGAAATATAAGGTTACTTCCAGGGCAGAAGTGCTCTGACCTTCTATCCACAGGATAAAGTGTATGGCTGGGAGACTGGTTATGCAGTTTGTCATAAAACATTGAAAGAAAGCAAAGCCTTCATATTATGCATAATTAAGGACTTACCATTTAAAACTATAGTTCTATTTTTTATGTATAAGATGAATAATGTGTTTTAAATGGACTGTTTTGATGTGGATGTGGGGAAACACTCCTGTGTTGTAGTGGGAGTATAAAGTAGCACAAGCTTTCTGCAGAGTAATCTGGCAACATATTTAACAATTGAAAATGTAAGTAGCCTTTGATTTAGACACTCTGCTAGGAATTTATGTTATAGGTATACTTGAACATGTGTGAAATGATTTTTGTATATGGCATTATGCAATTATAGTATTGCTTCAGGTAGTGAAATGCTGGAAATAACCTAAATATTAGTATCTATAGTGGAATAGCTCTACAGTGGAATATCATGCAGATATCGGAAAATAAAATTTAGATCTGACAGGAAAACCTTAAAATATATTAATAAGGAAAGACTCTTACAGAAGTGAATTCCCTCGGTTCACTGATTCAAGAGAGGATCAGAAGGGATACTGGTTTTTTCCATCTTCCCCAAGACTGGAGAACCAGCAACTGCATTCTAACAACGTGTTGACCAGCAATGCTTTTCAGTCAAGGCTGGCAAGGAAGAGGCATGGGGATTCTGGCTGAAATATTGAGATATTCAAACTCCTGGACTCAAGCAATCTTTCTGCCCCAGCCTCCCAAACAGCTGAGACTATAGGAACGTGCCACTGTGCCCAGCTACAAATTATTTTCTTAACACTTTTTATGGTCATCTGGCTTAACAGATATCTCTTTAAAAAAGAAAGCAAAAAATAACAATAATACTGTAATATTGAGTACCTACTATGAAGTAGCACTAGAAATCTTTGTATATTCTACCATTTATCCTAAAAATTATGATCTACCCAAATATTACTGATGGAGTATTTCTAATTTGAAAATCCAAAATCTGAAATGATGCTCAAAGGACATGCTCTTCAGAGCATTTTGGATTTCGGATTTTTTGGATTAGGGATGCTCAACCAATATACTGCAAATACAGTGTTCCAAAATCTGAAAAAAATCTACAATCTGAAACACTTCAGGTCCCAAGCATTTCAAGTAAGGGATATTCAACCTGTATCTCCATTGGTCAGATGAGAAAACTCAGACTCAGGGAAGCTTAATGATTTGCCCAGAGAATGACAGTCAGTAAAGAATTGAAATTAGTATTTAGTTCTTTCTGCTGTCAAAGCTAATGTATTTACCTGTGTGTTATACTTTCTAGGCCTTTTTTTGAGGGTTATGAATCATAAACTTTTTAATACAGGCAGTTAAACAGGCACTATGATGTAAATATATATTAAATAATTCTAGGTACTGTGTTAAGTCTTCACCAAGTGCAGCCACCATGTTGAGTCCCAGAAGGGACAGAAATGAACACGTGCTCTTAGTAATGCCTGGGGTCTGTGTTAGATGTGCAACCAGTATTAATAAGTGCAGTGTTTCTGAAACCTTAGGCATGTTTGTAGCATCCTCGCAATCTTCACCATATCCACATGCCAACTTAACGTTACTTAATTCATTTCTATGTAAATTAACTCATTTCTTTTCCTTAAAGTCCAGCTATTTTAGCCTCAGCGTAAGCACCATATCTGTTAAAAGTTGCGGTATGTCAGTAATATTTTCTAGTACATGCTACAATAAGTATATCACTATGGGGAAAAATCCATTCATGTGCCATCAACACCACACTCTGGGAAATACTAGATTAATACCACATTATCTCAGAGTGACGCAGCCCCCTCCTAGGCCCCATGAGATTTTCTTTCATAACTTTTATGATGTTGTTGCTCCCAGAACTGAAATATGTAGCTACCAGTGTTTCCCTAGCATTGGTACACTCTCCCTGGTAACATATCCTGCTCCAAAATTGATAGATATATTCATTTTCCATCATGCACCACCCTTCCTAAACATTTGACTGACTGTGGATGTAATGCACAACAGTGGGTTTTGATACTAAATTTACGGTGAGTCAATGACTGATATGCAAATGAGATCAGCAATAGTAAGTACAGAGTCTTCTTAGCAAAATGAGTTGAAATAGGAGATTAGGGAGGAGTCATGATTTGAACCAAATGCTTCCACAGGACAGAATATAAGTGTTTTGAGGCAGGCTACATCAACTTGTCTGAACAAAGTCAGTTAGAAAAGACCTTAAGCTGGATGTGATGTCTCAGCATTTTGCCCAAAGATTGTGAGAGAAGAGGGCAATTTAAATTGGTATTTTATATTTATCAATAAATATTTGCCTATTTTCTAAAAGATATCCTTAGGAGACATTCTGGGAAATGTGCAACTATTGAGTCAAAGATTATGAAATTATTTTACACATTTAAATACATATGGTGAAGACTAAGATTTAAGTGACAATGGAAAAATAGTGTTGACTTCAAAACAATAAAGCTAACAAAAAATGAAAAACAAAATCAAATGTAAAGAAATGTGGACCGAAGAAAGATTCATACTTCCCTCAGCATTGAGTCTCAGACATTAACTCTCAAAACTTGAAGATAACCCATATCACCTGAGGAGTTTGTAAACCACACAGCAATTAGGTTCTACCCATATAAATCTGAACTGGAAGCTCTGAGATGAGGACTAGGCATCTTCATTTTTAGGAGGCTCCCAGGTCATTCTGATGCACACCACATTCCAAAACACTGACTTAATTAACAGCTAGTCACGTAGAAGGAGAAACAGGTTGGAATTATAATTACCAACACTTACATGTTAATTATGATTAGTTTAATAATCTACAGAATAAATAGTTCTGTAACCTTGTTATTTTTCATTCACAGTTTTAACTTCTGTTTATTCAATTCTAATGTTAACTTTCTGCTCCCCCTACCACATTTCAATGTTCCTGAAATCGAGATGCTTTTTAAAATTGATGTATGTTTTTTTCCTGAAAAGACGGTAGTAAATCAATGTTGCAAAATGCAATGAATTATGTCTTAATCAAAGAAATTCGACAGTTATGAGAGACCTCAAAGATTCACAACATGAAGCCCTTTGTAACATTGTAGGTTCCTGGGTTCAATTTGTGAGGACTCTGAAGCCAGTATGCAGCTGAGTTTACCTCCTGGGTGTGAACGCAGGCCATTACACACCATGGCAAGTTGGCCTTACTCTTTAGAGATGCAGTGACTCTCCTAAAGTAAACAACCACCTCAACAGCACATTTTGTTTCCTTGTTAAAATCATCCTCTCAATGTATCCAGTTGTTAGTGCTGGTGATGGAAGTGAAAATGTTTAAGCATGATAGTTTAATCTAAAAGCAAGTATTTTGAATAAATCAAGGAATTGAACTGTGGTAATAAATTTTACTTGCTTTGTTCACGTTTACTAAATAAATGACATAAATAGATTTACGGAGCTGTCCAGTGTTTAAGTGATATTTTATAACTGTATTATGAAAAATTAAATTACATTAGCAGAATTGAGACGATCTCAGTATCCAATGAGAATGTTATGGATTTGTATTATGAGACTCTTATACATACTTGCATGTATTTGTGTGTGTAAATCCAGACACACTTAGAAATATTTATGTGGACATCTATACTTACATTCATACATGCCAACTATTACATATAAAAATATTTCTATATATAATAACAAAGATCTATAAAAACACCTATATAAATATGCACACGTATATATACTGATGTATACAGTATATGTTTTAAGATATTTAAAAAATGGAATTAAGTATTTTGTATATCGATGACTTACTGTGAAGTCAGTATAAAGAAAGAAAGAGGTAAAAATATCATTCTAGGCCGGGTGGGGTGGCTCACGCCTGTAATCCCAGCACTTTGGAAGGCCGAGGCGGGTGGATCATAAGGTCAGGAGTTCAAGACCAGCTTGGCCAAGATGGTGAAACCCCGTCTCTACTAAAAATACAAAAATTGAGACAGGAGTGGTGGCATGCATCTGTAATCCCAGCTACTCAGGAGGCTGAGGCAGAGAACTGCCTAAATCCGGGAGGCGGAGGTTAAAGTGAGCCAAGATCATGACACTGGCACTCCAGCCTGGGCAACAGCGCAAGATTCCATCTCAAAAAAAACAAACAAAAAAACAATCGTCCTAGTCTTTCTTCTTTTGTTCTCCTAATCGTAGTCTTTCTTTAAGGTGCCATTGTCCTCTGTATTTCATTTTATTTATCAATGTGCATGCCTCATGTCTCTATTAGGCTGGAAATTATACAAAGGCAATGATGTTCTACTTGTCTTTGAAATTCTTCAATGCCTAATAGAGTGATCAGCCTGTAATAGGGGCTTAAAATCCGAAGGAGTATTGATGAATAAATGAGTCAGGAAATATGAACAACACTATGAGTTCTTTTATTAATTACCTTCTTGAACACAGGCAAACCATTAATTTACTTGGAATCCAGTTTACTCATCCTTACAATTACAGGGTGGATTTAGTTATTCTTCAAGGTATCATACAGATTTTTTGTTTCACATATTAAAATTTTTTCATATTATAAATGCTTTATAACATTATTGTGATATATGGATTCTGCTGAAACATACAATTTTATCACTGCTTCCATCAAATATATTAGCTATCAAAAAAAGAAAGTTAAAAAGACTAAAATCAGGAGGTATAAATTTTATATACAGCAAAATGTCAGGGAGAAGAAAAAGATTTAAGGAGCACAGGCTTAAAATCAGTAGTCCTAGAATCTAGTCTGGGCTTTACGACTTACTAGCTGAGTGATCTTCACAAATAAGTCAATTAACTCCTTAGGCTCCATTTCCTGGTCTGTAAAATAAAGATTATAATACTTGCTTTATCTCCTTCTCAGGGTTGTTGTGAGGTCCATTAAGATAATATATGTGAAAGCAGTTTATATAG
Source organism: Homo sapiens (assembly GCF_000001405.40). Taxonomy (NCBI): domain Eukaryota; kingdom Metazoa; phylum Chordata; class Mammalia; order Primates; family Hominidae; genus Homo; species Homo sapiens. The sequence goes on from NC_000005.10 coordinate 147,710,655, forward strand.
TGCTGCATAAAGGAATGTTGTAGTTTTACCCCTCAATACCAATGTTTTAATGGCATTAAACTATGTATTGTTATGGCACAATGAATTCAAAATTCACCAAGGCTCTGCTAAAGAAAAACATAAAATGATAGATGTGATGGGAAACAGTTCTGAAATCTTAATTACATTATGCAAATGTGAGGCAATATTATTTTATATCTTGATGCAGATTTCTGAATCGGTTATAGGGATGCATTCCAAGTAGTAAAGTGTCTAGGTAACAAATGAATGTTTCTCAACAGACAGAGGAATAAAAATCTTTCTACTATTTCCTATTTAAACCAAAAGTCTTAGGCTTTTAAATCTTTCTAAACATTATTTACTATTGTTGAACAGGTAACATGTTAAGTGCAGTAGTCTGCAATAGTAGAGACATGAATAGATCTACTTTAAAAATTAACTTTTTAATTTTTACTCTCATGAAAACTTTGAGAACAAGGACTTAATGGCAAAAGCAAATATGACCATTACTGCCAAGAAACAGATGCTTGTGTCTAGTATAAGGGGAAACATTCATCTAACCCAGAGCCTTAAAGTCATAATGAGGTTGTTGTGGCTTCTTAGAGTCATAATGAGGTAGTTGGCAAGTCCACGGGAGTGATGGTAAAATGCCTTACTCTATTAATTTACTCATTTATTAGTTCATTCAACAAGTATTTATTTTGCATTGGGTACTTTGCTTGGAAGTGAGACCTCAGTAGTGAATTACAGGGATAGGTTTATTTTCTTGCCAGACCTTTCAATCAGGCAGAGAAAACAAATATTAAAGAAAAGGAAGGCAAAGGGGGCATATTGGTTAAGAGTATAGACAGCCTAAAGAGAGAGGCACTTATGGATTTGGGGGCAACCTAATTTTATTAAGCCTCAGTTTCCTCATCGATAAAAACAGAATAGTGTCATCACTGATCTCATGGGTCTTTGAGGAGATTAAATGAAGCAACGAGTGTAAATCATAGTGTGTAACCCATAGTAATTGTTGTTGTTGTTTTTTGAGACAGAATCTCGCTCTTGTTGCCCCAGCTGGAGTACAGTGGAGGTATCTTGGCTCACTGCAACCTCCACCTCCTGGGTTGAAGCGATTCTCCGGCCTCAGCCTCTCCAGTAGCAAGGATTATAGGCGCACACCACCACACCTGGCTAATTTTTCTATTTTTGGTAGAGACAGGGTTTTGCCATGCTGGCCAGGCTGGTCTTGAATTCCTGACCTCAGGTGATCCACCCGCCTCGGACACCGCGCCCAGCCCATAGTAAATTTCCAAGAAATGTAGACTTCATGGTGTTGATAAAGATATCTTTATCAATTATACAACTTTAAACCAGTTAAATAGCCTTAATGCCATGTTAGAACATTCTACAAGGAATCTTGCTTTATTCATGTCTTAGAATCTGAATATTTATGCCATGTTGTACTTTGAACTTTGTTTTCAGATCCAAATATCCCACATTCTCACCTTGGCTTTGCCGCCTGTCTTCTGTTCTGGCCTGCCCTTCTTGTCTACAACCCACAATCACTCACAGAAGTCATGTTTTCCAGCCACTCCAGGAAATAACTGCACAGGCCACCTGATCAAGGTTCACATGGGAGTTCGTCAGCCCAGGGAAAGGATTCAGCCAATTTTCTTTTTTGTAACGAAGCAGTTTACCCTCTCTAAATCTCAGTTTCTGCATTCACTAAATGACAGGATTTAATGTGATAGTGCCTTTTTAAAATCCATTGTTTTATAAATTCTTGTTTCTATTTTTGTAAAATTTATTTTGGTGTGAAAATGATGACATTTTACATACAGGACTCTTCTAAAATCATATGAAACCCATTGAAAAAATAGGAGCAAATAGGCCAGGGAACAAATTTTAGAGCCCTTCCACTAACAATATTACGGAGGGCTGCATTCTCATCTCTTCGTGTGGCTTTCACACATTATAAAATTGCTTTGCCAATATTGCTTAGTGGAGGTGGGGGAGGGGATATTTTAAAACTAGGAATTGGATGTTTCACTTGGTTGCTCCCTCATCCATCTTAATTTTGACATCGTAACCACACAGCACCCAGCACCCACCCCTTCCACTCTGATGGAAAGAATAGCTATGCCTACGAATGCTTAAAAGCAAAAATGGAAGGGCATACATTTTACTGCAAACACAGACGTTTCTCTTCCTCTTTCTCAAGTAAAAGCCTAAGTAGTAACCTTTTAGAGAATGCTAAGAATTGAAATAAATTCTTTGTTGAGTTCATAAATCCAAGTAATTCTAGTAAGTCAGGGTTCCTTTAAGGAATATGGATAACGATTTAAAAATATGTTAAGGGAAGGGAGGGAAGCAAAAGTAAAAGGAACTGTTAAAACCAGCAACCTCCATAAATAAGCCACATCCTGAATATTAATAACGTATTGTGTAAAATTCATTAGATACATTTTATGTTTCAGACATCTATAGCCAGCAATGATACAATGGAGCTAGACCAGATTTTTTTTTAACTTCAAGGATCACAGAATTAGTATACCTTAATTATATTAATACAAAATTGCTTAACATTTGTTTAATTTCTTTGACAGTTTATGAACCAGGAAGACTTTTTTGTAAGTGTGAGCCTTTCACTAACATCAAGGTTCCATTTTTTTACGTGAGACATTTTTTAACAAAAAGTGACAATATTAGAAAAAACAATAAAAGCTAAACTTTATTGAACATTCACTATATACCAGGTACTATACTTGGGGCTTTAAATGGATCAGTTTACTTAAAACAGCATAATGAAACAGGTAATCCCCTTTTCAATGAGTAATAAAACTGTAGGAAATGATACAATTTTAAGTACATATGAAATTCTACTTAATTAATGGCAGACTGGGTAATTCTGGACAATCGCCAACCAATAAAGACAATTTAAAAGGCTAGGAGAAAAACTGCAAATTTTAAAAAGCATTAAAGAACACATGAGATTATAAAGAATTACCAGGCTGAGATCTGAGGGTAAATAGGAGACCACAGCCAAGAACATAGAGCACTCAGGGACTTTTGCTCTGGTGATATTTGCTGATCCAGGAGAAATGGCTAAGAGGCTGAACGGAGGTTTTGGCAGACTAATGGGGGCTAGATGGAAATAGCTGGTGTCTAGGTAAGCTTGATTATTATTCTTGTTTTTGGGCTGGGACTTCAGAGTGCCACATTCTAACGGCAAAGGCAAAGCAAAAGTAAATGAGTACTCATGACGACTGCAGCCCGACTGTAAGTCATCTGGGTGACCTAGACAATCTGAAACCCTCTATTTAGATTAAAGTAATTCCAGATTGCTATTTTGCCTACAAGCCTGGAAAAAGCAAAAGACAACTGACTTGGGACACTCAAATAACTTCTACTAGCAATAATTGAAACACCATACTTCACACACAATAAAAGGTAACCAAACACATGAGGAGATGAGACAGCATGAGTAAGAACCAGCAGAACCAAAAGACAACAGAAACACACAAAGACTTCAAATACTGTAGCCATTACAAAGGTTCTGTAAAACAGCCATGCCTACTTCAGGGGATAAAAGTCATGCATGAAAAATTTGAAAGGCAACCTGAAAATATAAAAAGTGATATTATATAGGAAATTTGGGAAAGAACAAAATAGAAGTTATAAAACAGAAAAATATAACAACAAAAATTAAGAAATCAATTGATGAGTTCATTGGAATTTAGGTGTAACAGAAGAATCAGGGAATGAAAAACAGGTCGAAAGCATGGAGAGACCAAAAGACGGAAATGATGCAAGAAACAAAAGAAAGTAAAAGGCATAGAAAACACAGCATGGAAGTCTGTCATATATTCAATAGAGACTTAAAAGAATCCAAGAGACAGAATGGGGCTGAGGCAATGTTGGAAGAGCTAAAGGCTAAATTTTTTTTAGAATTGATGAAACATATCTATCCGTGGAGTCAAGAATCCCAGTGAATACCAGCAAGAATCACAGACAACGAGGAAATCTTAAATGCTATCCAAGAAAAATAGATGACTGGCCTATAAAAAGATAACAGTTACACTGAGAGCTGACTTCTCAACAGCAACACAAGAAGCAGGAGACAGTGGAATATTTTTCATAGGTTGAAAGAAGGTAACTACCCAAATTTGAATTCCATACCCACTGAAAATGTCCTTCAAGAATGAAGGTAAAACAAAGATGTTTTAGATGCACACTGAAGAAAAATCTAAAGGATGTTACTTATACAAAAGGGAAATGATACAGAAAAAAATGAGTGAGTAAAAGTGATATCTGGGCAAATGTAAAAGAACATGGATTATTAACAATATGAAAATATACATAATTATAATCATAAAGTGATAGCATCTAATTCTGTAATTCAAGAACAGCAGATATGGTTTTAAGGGCTAGAAGAAACATAAATGTATGTATTACAATTATTCTTTGATAAGAGAAGAATATGTTACAATTACTAGAATTAACACAAAGATTAGTCTATAACTTCTAAGTTAATAGAAGAAATTGAATGATTAAAAAATTTCCTGTCGATTCAAAATAAATCAATAAAGGAACGAGGAAGAAATTAATGTAGAGCCATTTGGGCAGACAAAAAACATAATGAGGTAGTAGATTTAAATCTAAATATCAGTAATTGTATTAAATTTAGATAAATGAAATATACCAATTAAAAGATAGAAATTGGCATACCAGGAAAAAATAACCAAACAGAAATCCAAAATTCTATGTTCCCTAAAGAGTCTTTCTATTAATATACACATATAAAATAATTAAATATATATGTATTACATATTCATGTTACTATATTATATATAACATAAAAACAAAATTTAAAGCAGCCTGTGACGGCTGTATTAATACTAGAAAAAAAAGATTTTACTAGAACAAATAGGATAATTCATAATGATAAAATTCCATTTCTCCTCGGAAGACATGCCAATTCTAAATTTGTATGTATATATTAATACAGCTTCAAAAAACTTAAAGGAAAAATTGACCAAATTTTAAAGGGAAATAGACAAGACCATAGTCGTAGTAGGAGTTTTTTCCTAAAACATTCATCTCTGAGTAAAACATATCCCTGCAAGATATAACATACATCATATCATCTCCAATGATATTGTTTTAAAATTATATTTCTTTTTTTTTTTTTGGCCAATTTACTTTCTTTTTTTTTTAATTATACTTTAAGTTTTAGGGTACATGTGCACAATGTGCAGGTTAGTTACATATGTATACATGTGCCATGCTGGTGCACTGCACCCACTAACTCGTCATCTAGCATTAGGTATATCTCCCAATGCTATCCCTCCCCCCTCCCCCCACCCCACAACAGTCCCCAGAGTGTGATATTCCCCTTCCTGTGTCCATGTGATCTCATTGTTCAATTCCCACGTATGAGTGAGAATATGCAGTGTTTGGTTTTTTGTTCTTGTGATAGTTTACTGAGAATGATGTTTTCCAATTTCATCCATGTCCCTACAAAGGACATGAACTCATCATTTTTTATGGCTGCATAGTATTCCATGGTGTATATGTGCCACATTTTCTTAATCCAGTCTATCATTGTTGGACATTTGGGTTGGTTCCAAGTCTTTGCTATTGTGAATAATGCCGCAATAAACATACGTGTGCATGTGTCTTTATAGCAGCATGATTTATAGTCCTTTGGGTATATACCCAGTAATGGGATGGCTGGGTCAAATGGTATTTCTAGTTCTAGATCCCTGAGGAATTGCCACACTGACTTCCACAATGGTTGAACTAGTTTACAGTCCCACCAACAGTGTAAAAGTGTTCCTATTTCTCCACATCCTCTCCAGCACCTGCTGTTTCCTGACTTTTTAATGATTGCCATTCTAACTGGTGTGAGATGGTATCTCATTGCGGTTTTGATTTGCATTTCTCTGATGGCCAGCGATGATGAGCATTTTTTCATGTGTTTTTTGGCTGCATAAATGTCTTCTTTTGAGAAGTGTCTGTTCATGTCCTTCGCCCACTTTTTGATGGGGTTGTTTGTTTTTTTCTTGTAAATTTGTTGGAGTTCATTGTAGATTCTGGATATTAGCCCTTTGTCAGATGAGTAGGTTGGGAAAATTTTCTCCCATTTTGTAGGTTGCCTGTTCACTCTGATGGTAGTTTCTTTTGCTGTGCAGAAGCTCTTTAGTTTAATTAGATCCCATTTGTCAATTTTGGCTTTTGTTGCCATTGCTTTTGGTGTTTTAGACATGAAGTCCTTGCCCATGCCTATGTCCTGAATGGTAATGCCTAGGTTTCCTTCTAGGGTTTTTATGGTTTTAGGTCTAACGTTTAAGTCTTTAATCCATCTTGAATTGATTTTTGTATAAGGTGTAAGGAAGGGATCCAGTTTCAGCTTTCTACATATGGCTAGCCAGTTTTCCCAGCACCATTTATTAAATAGGGAATCCTTTCCCCATTGCTTGTTTTTCTCAGGTTTGTCAAAGATCAGATAGTTGTAGATATGCGGCGTTATTTCTGAGGGCTCTGTTCTGTTCCATTGATCTATATCTCTGTTTTGGTACCAGTACCATGCTGTTTTGGTTACTGTAGCCTTGTAGTATAGTTTGAAGTCAGGTAGTGTGATGCCTCCAGCTTTGTTCTTTTGGCTTAGGATTGACTTGGCAATGCGGGCTCTTTTTTGGTTCCAGATGAACTTTAAAGTAGTTTTTTCCAATTCTGTGAAGAAAGGCATTGGTAGCTTGATGGGGATGGCATTGAATCTGTAAATTACCTTGGGCAGTATGGCCATTTTCACGATATTGATTCTTCCTACCCATGAGCATGGAATGTTCTTCCATTTGTTTGTATCCTCTTTTATTTCATTGAGCAGTGGTTTGTAGTTCTCCTTGAAGAGGTCCTTCACATCCCTTGTAAGTTGGATTCCTAGGTATTTTATTCTCTTTGAAGCAATTGTGAATGGGAGTTCACTCATGATTTGGCTCTCTGTTTGTCTGTTGCTGTTGTATAAGAATGCTTGTGATTTTTGTACATTGATTTTGTATCCTGAGACTTTGCTGAAGTTGCTGATCAGCTTAAGGAGATTTTGGGCTGAGACAATGGGGTTTTCTAGATATACAATCATGTCGTCTGCAAACAGGGACAATTTGACTTCCTCTTTTCCTAATTGAATACCCTTTATTTCCTTCTCCTGCCTAATTGCCCTGGCCAGAACTTCCAACACTATGTTGAATAGGAGTGGTGAGAGAGGGCATCCCTGTCTTGTGCCAGTTTTCAAAGGGAATGCTTCCAGTTTTTGCCCATTCAGTATGATATTGGCTGTGGGTTTGTCATAGATAGCTCTTATTATTTTGAAATACGTCCCATCAATACCTAATTTATTGAGAGTTTTTAGCATGAAGGGTTGTTGAATTTTGTCAAAGGCCTTTTCTGCATCTATTGAGATAATCATGTGGTTTTTGTCTTTGGCTCTGTTTATATGCTAGATTACATTTATTGATTTGCATATATTGAACCAGCCTTGCATCCCAGGGATGAAGCCCACTTGATCATGGTGGATAAGCTTTTTGATGTGCTGCTGGATTCGGTTTGTCAGTATTTTATTGAGGATTTTTGCATCAATGTTCATCAAGGATATTGGTCTAAAATTCTCTTTTTTGGTTGTGTCTCTGCCTGGCTTTGGTATCAGAATGATGCTGGCCTCACAAAATGAGTTAGGGAGGATTCCCTCTTTTTCTATTGATTAGAATAGTTTCAGAAGGAATGGTACCAGTTCCTCCTTGTACCTCTGGTAGAATTCAGCTGTGAATCCATCTGCTCCTGGACTCTTTTTGGTTGGTAAGCTATTGATTATTGCCACAATTTCAGATCCTGTTATTGGTCTATTCAGAGATTCAACTTCTTCCTGGTTTAGTCTTGGGAGAGTGTATGTGTCGAGGAATTTATCCATTTCTTCTAGATTTTCTAGTTTATTTGCATAGAGGTGTTTGTAGTATTCTCTGATGGTAGTTTGTATTTCTGTGGGATCGGTCGTGATATCCCCTTTAGCATTTTTTATTGCGTCTATTAGATTCTTCTCTCTTTTTTTCTTTATTAGTCTTGCTAGCAGTCTATCAATTTTGTTGATCCTTTCATAAAACCAGCTCCTGGATTCATTTATTTTTTGAAGGGTTTTTTGTGTCTCTATTTCCTTCAGTTCTGCTCTGATTTTAGTTATTTCTTGCCTTCTGCTAGCTTTTGAATGTGTTTGCTCTTGCTTTTCTAGTTCTTTTAATTGTGATGTTAGGGTGTCAATTTTGGATCTTTCCTGCTTTCTCTTGTGGGCATTTAGTGCTATAAATTTCCCTCTACACACTGCTTTGAATGTGTCCCAGAGATTCTGGTATGTTGTGTCTTTGTTCTCATTGGTTTCAAAGAACATCTTTATTTCTGCCTTCATTTCGTTATGTACCCAGTAGTCATTCAGGAGCAGGTTGTTCAGTTTCCATGTAGTTGAGTGGTTTTGAGTGAGATTCTTAATCCTGAGTTCTAGTTTGATTGCACTGTGGTCTGAGATATAGTTTGTTATAATTTGTGTTCTTTTACATTTGCTGAGGAGAGCTTTACTTCCAACTATGTGGTCAATTTTGGAATAGGTGTGGTGTGGTGCTGAAAAAAATGTATATTCTGTTGATTTGGGGTGGAGAGTTCTGTAGATGTCTATTAGGTCTGCTTGGTGCAGAGCTGAGTTCAATTCCTGGGTATCCTTGTTGACTTTCTGTCTCGTTGATCTGTCTAATGTTGACAGTGGGGTGTTAAAGTCTCCCATTATTAATGTGTGGGAGTCTAAGTCTCTTTGTAGGTCACTCAGGACTTGCTTTATGAATCTTGGTGCTCCTGTGTTGGGTGCATATATATTCAGGATAGTTAGCTCTTCTTGTTGAATTGATCCCTTTACCATTATGTAATGGCTGTCTTTGTCTCTTTTGATCTTTGTTGGTTTAAAGTCTGTTTTATCAGAGACTAGGATTGCAACCCCTGCCTTTTTTTGTTTTCCATTTGCTTGGTAGATCTTCCTCCATCCTTTTATTTTGAGCCTATGTGTGTCTCTGCATGTGAGATGGGTTTCCTGAACACAGCACACTGATGGGTCTTGACTCTTTATCCAATTTGCCAGTCTGTGTCTTTTAATTGGAGCATTTAGTCCATTTACATTTAAAGTTAATATTGTTATGTGTGAATTTGATCCTGTCATGATGATGTTAGCTGGTGATTTTGCTCATTAGTTGATGCAGTTTCTTCTGAGTCTTGATGGTCTTTACATTTTGGCATGATTTTGCAGCGGCTGGTACCGGTTGTTCCTTTCCATGTTTAGCGCTTCCTTCAGGAGCTCTTTTAGGGCAGGCCTGGTGGTGACAAACTCTCTCAGCATTTGCTTGTCTGTAAAGTATTTTATTTCTCCTTTGCTTATGAAGCTTAGTTTGGCTGGATATGAAATTCTGGGTTGAAAATTCTTGTCTTTAAGAATGTTGAATATTGGCCCCCACTCTCTTCTGGCTTGTAGGGTTTCTGCCGATAAATCTGCTGTTAGTCTGATGGGCTTCCCTTTGAGGGTAACCCGACCTTTCTCTCTGGCTGCCCTTAACATTTTTTCCTTCATTTCAACTTTGGTGAATCTGAAAATTATGTGTCTTGGAGTTGCTCTTCTCGAGGAGTATCTTTGTGGCGTTCTCTGTATTTCCTGAATCTGAACGTTGGCCTGCCTTGCTAGATTGGGGAAGTTCTCCTGGATAATATCCTGCAGAGTGTTTTCCAACTTGGTTCCATTCTCCCCATCACTTTCAGGTACACCAATCAGACGTAGATTTGGTCTTTTCACATAGTCCCATATTTCTTGGAGGCTTTGCTCATTTCTTTTTATTCTTTTTTCTCTAAACTTCCCTTCTCACTTCATTTCATTCATTTCATCTTCCATCGCTGATATCCTTTCTTCCAGTTGATGGCATTGGCTCCTGAGGCTTCTGCATTCTTCACGTAGTTCTCGAGCCTTGGTTTTCAGCTCCATCAGCTCCTTTAAGCACTTCTCTGTATTGGTTATTCTAGTTATACATTCTTCTAAATTTTTTTCAAAGTTTTCAACTTCTTTGCCTTTGGTTTGAATGTCCTCCCGTAGCTCAGAGTAATTTGATCATCTGAAGCCTTCTTCTCTCAGCTCGTCAAAGTCATTCTCCGTCCAGCTTTGTTCCATTGCTGGTGAGGAACTGCATTCCTTTGGAGGAGGAGAGGCGCTCTGCTTTTTAGAGTTTCCAGTTTTTCTGTTCTGTTTTTTCCCCATCCTTGTGGTTTTATCTACTTTTGGTCTTTGATGATGGTGATGTACAGATGGGTTTTTGGTGTGGATGTCCTTTCTGTTTGTTAGTTTTCCTTGTAACAGACAGGACCCTCAGCTGCAGGTCTGTTGGAGTACCCTGCCATGTGAGGTGTCAGTGTGCCCCTGCTGGGGGGTGCCTCCCAGTTAGGCTGCTCGGGGGTCAGGAGTCAGGGACCCACTTGAGGAGGCAGTCTGCCCGTTCTCAGATCTCCAGCTGCGTGCTGGGAGAACCACTGCTCTCTTCAAAGCTGTCAGACAGGGACATTTAAGTCTGCAGAGGTTACTGCTGTCTTTTTGTTTGTCTGTGCCCTGCCCCCAGAGGTGGAGCCTACAGAGGCAGGCAAGCCTCCTTGAGCTGTGGTGGGCTCCGCCCAGTTGGAGCTTCGAGGCTGCTTTGTTTACCTCAGCAAGCCTGGGCAATGGCGGGCGCCCCTCCCCCAGCCTCGCTGCCACCTTGCAGTTTGATCTCAGACTGCTGTGCTAGCAATCAGCGAGACTCCGTGGGCGTAGGACCCTCCGAGCCAGGTGCGGGGTATAATCTCGTGGTGCGCCGTTTTTTAAGCCCGTCGGAAAAGCGCAGTATTCGGGTGGGAGTGACCCGATTTTCCAGGTGCCGTCAGTCACCCCTTTCTTTGACTCGGAAAGGGAACTCCCTGACCCCTTGCGCTTCCCAAGTGAGGCAATGCCTCTCCCTGCTTCGGCTCGCGCACGGTGCGCGCACCCACTGACCTGCGCCTGCTGTCTGGCACTCCCTAGTGAGATGAACCCGGTACCTCAGATGGAAATGCAGAAATCACCGTCTTCTGCGTCGCTCATGCTGGGAGCTGTAGACCGGAGCCGTTCCTATTCGGCCATCTTGGCTCCTCCAGGCCCTTAAAATTATATTTCTTTCATACTAAAGTGTGGGAGGAAATATGGGTATCACCTTCCTGGCGATTTCCCATGGCTGGGACCTCTTAGGAAGCAGTCTCCCTAGAGTATTTCAAAATAATTATGAAATACCTACTTCCTGTCGAAAGGTGTCCCTCCTATTTACTCTGAGTTTTCATAAATAATTTACAATACAAAAGTATTTGATGGTGTGACATTTTAAAGACAAGGAACAGAATGATTCCTAAAGGCTCCTCCATATCTATAACATTTTAAAAAATCAACCGATTGCTGTTTGTAATCTCTCCCTGATTTTGCTGCAAATGACTAATCTTAGTATTTTCCTTCTTGTTGCAGTTCTCACCTTGATGATTTTATAAATACCTGTGCAATCATTTAAGGATGCTGTTATAACTTGCTATCACAGGATTCAGGTTTGTCTCTTGCTCTTTTTAGTTATTCCTCTCCCCGTCTTTTCTCCTTTTAACTCCCCTTCCCTACTCTTTTCTTCTTTGTTTCTGATTACCTGCTTTGCACGTGTGAGGTACCTTGTGTAAGTAGCAGCTTTTTCCTAAAAATTCCTCTTCATGATTTCCCAAATCTCTAAATCTTGGAGGATTTGCACCAATGAGTTCCAAAATGTCACAGGCTATAATTTATTTATATTTTGTCTCATTGAGTGAAGAGTATTTGACCTGTGGTTTTAAAATACATGACTAGCCCCAGCCAAGTGTAGCTAACGAAAGAGTTGCATGGGACAATGTCAGTCATAGAAGGAAGGTGATAATATTTCGGTATTATTAGAAATGAAATGAAGAAAAAACTAAATCATCTGATACTGAAGATGACAAGTTTGGTGTTTTGTTCGATGAAACAAGACTACCTATCATTTACTGTTCTCTTGATGCCAAGGTAATTAATGTTCTTAAAAAGTTATCTAACTTAAAAAAATTAGAGATAGAAAAGAAAGTTCATTTCCATTCCATCCTCTTTTTTTTTATCCCTCTGCATCCCCATTTCATGTGGTTATTGCAGGAGAGAATACATTGCTTTTATAAAACTAGTATAGTTACACAACATCAGCAAAGCATTTTTGGGGGATGAAAAATAAGAATATTATGTTATTAATTACATTTTGAATTTCAAAAAATTTAACCACGCATCATCAACACTGTATTGCAACTAAAGGAAATAGTGGAAAATTTAGAATACTGTATATATTTTGCATTTCACTAGTAGGGTTGGCTTTCCTAAGCTACTTGGCCTTTATGTCCTGTTCATCTTATTTTAATATAAGATTAGAGAGAATACCATATATCCTACGTTATCAGATACAAAAAAATCTAGATATACGTATATTTTTGTAAATAGGTTGATTTACCTGGCATTTGGTATCTTAGCCCTCTCACATATGTTAAATGGAATACTTTTCAAACTAACATGTAAAGATCATGCCAAATAACTCTTCCAAAAATAAGAAACATTTGTATGATTAAAGACATTTTTCAAAGAGAATGGGGGGAAAGTTTAACACAATGACTTTGTACATTCTCGATGGTATGTTCTATTACAATTTTTTGTTTGGGCTATTAACATGAATTTTGTGCAATACTATGAGGGGAAGATTGGTTACTTTTCAAAGAAACCACTTATTTTCTCTCAAAACTGAGTGTCTAATCAAAGGCAATTTTTTAGAACAGGTTATCATTGGTCAAATGTAGTAAAAAGTTGATATTCCTCTTCAATATTCACAAGATGACTCTCTTACTCTTCTGTGTCTTTCGACATAGTTATTTTTAGCAATTACAGCTCTGCCTTTGTCTCATTTACTATGCAGTCTGTATAACCATTATTAGACATTACAGGAAAGAAAGCCACATGGCTTAAAAAGTACTCATTCTGTCTTATCCACCAGCCATGGCTGTCTCTTTACAGTAGCCTAGGGAGAGTAACCCCAGACACATTAACACTTTACAAAATATAATGAATGTGTAAAACCCCCAAAGAGAGATGTATAACGTACCTGAAAATACTGTGGTGAAATGACCTAATAATTTTTCACTGCCCGTGGGAAAGTATTCTCACATCTCCAGAGGGGCTTTAATACAATCAAATTCAATATTCAGAAGATGCTATTTATTATAAAGAGTAATTCACTTAACCAGACACTTCAGTGAGGACTTATTTTGTGCCACTGAAAGAGGATAGGGCTACACAGATAAGAAGAAAATTACATAATTCTTTTATTAATAAATCTACATTTTTGAATATTTACTATTTGTCAAGCACTGAGTTAGGTCCTGTGGATACAAGGCACAAGACCTTAAATTTGTTTTTATTCTAGAGTACTTATAATGCAAGGTAGTTTTCTTCTACCATCTAAGGTGCCATATGCTTACAAATGATGCCCTCTGTAAACATTCCAAACATACATTTTCTACCACCATTATTTTTGTTGTCTTGCTCTTATTAATTGATCCCACCTGCAGCTTGATAGAATATGGCAAGGTGTTATATAGAAATATCTTCTTACGTCTTTCTTGCTCTTCTTCAATAACATAATAACAATAAAAAGACAAACTGTAATGTGTTATGTACTTGTTGTACCCAGCATTGGTCTAAGTGCCTTATAGGTATTGTCCCTAAAATCCTCTAAAAATTGATCAAATAAAAACCATTATCATTTTAATGTAATGAGAAGAAATTCTGGTTCAAAGTGACTCACTAAATCCCTTGAGTTAACCAGGCTAATAGGAGGCTCAGCTCAAACTCAAACTCAAACTCAAACTCAGGTATATTAAATACAATGGTGATATAGAAGGAAGATCTTACTGTACCCACCCTATCTTCCTTCACAAAGTCTTCCTAAATTGGGTAAGTTTGAACTGGTTTTAAAAGAGTTAGATCAGGAGATTGATGTTTTCTTTTCCTTTTTAATCACTGTCTTCATAGATAGATAAAAAACAAGGAAGGAAGGAAGGTGTCAGAGGCATTCAAACCAGAACAACTCCATCTTGAATAGGAGCTGGGTAAAATAAGGCTGAGACCTACTGGACTGCATTCCCAGGAGGTTAGGCATTTTAATAACAGATGAAATAGGAGGTCAGCACAAGATACAGGTCACAAAGACCTTGCTGATAAAACAGATTGTGGTAAAGAAGCTGGCCCAAACCCACCAAAACCAAGATGGTGATGAAAGTGACCTCTGGTTGTCCTCATTGCTCATTATACATTAATTATAATGTATTAGGATGCTAAGGGACACTCCCACCGTGCCATGATAGTTCACAAATGTCATGGAAACATCAAGAAGTCACCCTATATGGTCCAAAAATGGGATAAACTCTCGGTTCCGGGAACTGCCCACCCCTTTCCTGGAAAACTCATGAATAATCCACCCCTTGTTTAGCATGTAATTATTAAAGAAGTAATTTTAAGTATAAACAGGTGAGCAGCCCACACCACTACTCCGCCCATGGAGTGGCCATTCTTTATTCTTTTACTTCCTTAATAAGCTTGCTTTCATTTTACTCTGTGGACTCATCCCGAATTCTTTCTCGTGCAAGGTCCAAGAACCCTCTCTTAGGATCTGCACTGGGACCTACCCCTTTTTGGCAACATGTTCTTGGCAACCACGAAGGGACTATCCTGAGGAGATCCCTGACCCAAAGGAAATAGACTGCAGAACCAATTGGCTGACTTTGGGTAAGTGGTGGGGTAAACCTTACCCAGTTAAATGATGGTATTGGGTTAGAGTACCTCCTAAGACAGAGAAGGTTAAAGGCCCCTCTTAATAAAAGGCAAGGATGCTTGACCAAACTTGGGTTCCAGCCCCAACTTAGGAAGGTTAGAGTCCTTCCTAAGATTTAGAGGTTTAAAGGCCTCTCTCAGTGAAGTCCCTCTTGGTTAAAAATGGATTTGGCATAATGGGATGTTAATTGCTATTCTCTTTGGATTAATCTGCCTTGCACTCTTTGCTGACAGCTATGGGTGACAGGACTAGGCATGTACACGATAACTGGACATGGGGAGCTTTTTTTCTCTGGAAAGGGAGAAACTCGAGAGCTGATGGGACAGTAGTGAAGATTCCTTCACTATTGACAAGTGGTGACCTGAACTTTTGATTCAGTGTTGCTGCAATAAGTGGGTCTTTCTCTGCCTCTCTTAGCTCCTTGCCTTCCCCACCCTGCCACAGACAATGCTTTTCTCCTTTTCTCTCCTTTTATATCTTTTCTGTTACTCAGGGCGACCATCTTGCCCAGACACCACATGCTGAAACACTTGGTCGGAAGGATCATTCCACCCCACTTTGAGTGGATCAAAGATGACAAGGCCCAAGTAGGGGCAAGTTTGAGCCTGGCCAGTTCAATATTGGGTGCTAACTGGAGTGGCTAATGTCTATGTTTTGTCACACGTATTTTGCTCTGCTCAGAATGGAAGAAGATGGTTTTCCTTTGTGTTGCGGTTTGGCCCCCAGGGCTGTGGTGTGGCGAGCCAAGTCACTAGGGCTGCCCAAGGAAAGGGAACACAGAAGCCTGGCGTGCTGGCAAAAGGGTGGGAATTTCTTACCAGTCAGGCTTTGGGCCTCCCTGTGTGCATAACTGGTTGAATAAATGGCAAAAATAACTGTTCATCCCCTCTGTAAAGTTTTGATTAATGGGAAAAGAATTTGTGAGGTACGTCTGAAGCTGTAGCAAATCTGGTGTACTTTGTGCTATAAATTTATCTTCCTGTATTGTACTGCCATAAAGAGGAGTACCTTAGGATAGAACATGGGCTTAGGACCCCATAAGCCCACTGTTAAAGCCAGCCTGGCAAGTTGGTCAGTAACAAACTTTGCTGCAGGTCCCTGAAACAAACAAGCAAAAACAACTGAATGAAGTTTCCTTCTCGTCTTGTTTTATGTCCTTGGAAGCTTGAGCTTGTGACCATATGGCAGTACTTTCTTTTAGTCTCTGCTTATCCAGAGGACAGGAATTTAGGGGTTCATGTTGTAGTTAGCCCCAAAAATTACCTCAAGCAGTTAAAAGCCTTTGCAAGCTCAAAATTGGCTGCTCTAGACTCCCTCTGGGAAGAGCAATGGAAATTGCCCAGTGCTGTGGCTTAGTAGCTAAGGCTTTGTCTTTTCACAATGACGGCCTGGGTTCAGGGTTCAATTCCCAGCTTAGGGAATGGGTCCTTTCTGGCTTAATATCTGTGTGACCTTTACCATTTGTTGATTCTCTTCTCCTCCATGAACTACTTCTGGCTTCATTTCTTGAATCTTCCTTTCTCTGAGCTACCTGTGGAGATTCTAAATCTTGTAAAAACTGCTAACCACCTCTTTGAAAAGAACTTGTCCATTCATGGTCAAATCATAACCTTAGTTAAGCCTTATTGGTTTCACCTGTGAGTTTATTTTTGGTAAAGTTTAAAAGCCAGAAATATTGGCTGTTTTGCCCAGCTAAAGTAGGGTGTATTTGTCTGGTTTTACACTGATATAAAGAACTTCCCTGAGACTGGGTAATTTATAAAGGAAAGAGCTTTAATTGACTCACAGTTTGGCATGGCTTCAGAGGCCTCAGGAAACTTACAATCATGGCAGAAGGCAAAAGGGAAGCAAGGAACCTTCTTCACATGGCAGCAGGAGAGAATGCAGGAGGAACTGCCAAACACTTTTAAAGCATCAGATCTTGTGAGAACTTACCGTCATGAGAACAGCATGATCCAATCACCCACCACTAGGTCCCTCACTCAACACATGGGGATTAAAATTCAAGATGAGAATTGGGTGGCAACATAGAGCCAAAACATCTCATAGGATAGTAATAAGAGATTTAAAAGGATTTTATTTTTTAAGGAGTACTACGGTTAAAAGTCAGCTCAATTAAAAGCAGATATTCAAGCTATAGGTATATTTTAAAGGCCTTTATGTTTTATTCTCTTCTTGGATTGTGTTTTTCTGGAAAAAAGGTTTTTTTCTTTTCTTCTCAGTAGACTTAATTGTTTTTCTCCATTTTGTCTTCTTGCTACTCTTGATGCACACATGAGAGGACCTAAGATAATACAACCTGGGACTCCTTGGGAAAAACAGAAGAGGGGCCACAGACTGCGTTTTGGGAAAAACGTCTATTTTCCTCATGAAACCCCAGGGATTAAAAGCAGACAGATCCCTCTTAAAATCTAAGGCTCTGTTCTGTTTTGCTTTGCTTTATCTGACGTTTTTTGACTTTTTAGGGGTATCAGAAATTACTTCGCAGTATGTGAGAATTTTGATTTATAATAACTAGGTAGGAAATATACTTTTAGGGGTGGCTAATGGCAGTCATGAGAGGATACTTGGCTCTTTGCACATTTGGATTGGGAGAAGCATGCTCTTGGCCATCTGGAAGGTATGGAAAAGTCTCCACCCCTCCACTGAGAGATAAGGCTCCCATCAGGGTGGGCTAATCACAAAATGAGTTGATTGGTTTTGGGTTGCCTTGCAATAAAATGCATGGTAAAATCTTTGCATTGTCTTGTTCTGTAGTGTCCTTTTGGGATTCAAGATGTAATATAAAAATGGGATCCTTAATTTTGGGAGATCTGTTTTGTCTTCCAGCTGTGCCACATTATTAGGTCCTAGAAACTGTGTGTTTTAAAGAGAAACATTAAAAACTGGCAAATGAAAAAAACTTACACGTACTGAAACTATTTCTGTCTGTGTATTTATATTTGTTGTGTGTGTGATGTTTATATATGAAAGAGCTCTGATTAACTGGCTGAAAAATAATAAGTGCTTAAATCAAATATTGTCAGAAAAACAAAAACTAATGCCTTTTAGTTCACATGACTTAAATAATCTTTGGGAAATAAAGACAATTATAAGATTATTGGTAAAATTTGGAGATTTGACCTAAATTAGGCAGGTCAGATATTTGGTTTGCTAAATGCTTTAAGGTCATAAACTGCTTCTCTGACTTTTGAAAATTGTTCAGCTTACCTGCTTTAGAGCCATTAGATCCTAGATACGGTATGGGGACATGTGGAATTAGCCATTCCCCCTAGCAATGCTGGAAAGTGTCAGACCTTATCTGCACTTCTGTCTGGTGTCCTAGGTGCCACACCTGGTACATAATTAGAATCACTTGCTTACCAAGTTTTTCACCAAAAATAAAAGTGGCTAAGAGTTAACATTGTAACATGTAATTGAGACTACTGAAGAAACAGTTTTACATGCAAGGTGTGTAAGGGAGAAGGGAAGGAAGAGGAGAGAAGGCAGGAAAGAGGGAAGGGAGGGAGGAATTTCTCTCTCACATAGTGTTAGGATGTCCCTGAATTAAGAGTTGGCTGACATCAGTTTTTGTCACAGATGCATGACCTTGGCTAAGAATTTAGCCCTTTCATGACTGTTTTCTCATTTATAAAGTCATAATCCCAGCCTTGCCTAGGTCACCTCCTCACTTCTTGAGAATAAAATCAGAGGATGCTCGAGACAGCCCTTTGAAAACTAAAAGAAGATGCTTAGGTGTCATCAGTAAACCCTGGGTGTGGGGCAGGGGAGGACAGAAAAATCACTAAGCCTTATGTCTCTAAACCATTATAATTTCAAAAGGTTAAAGCAAGGTTAGATGTTGTCACATAAAAAGCTTTGTTCTGGCCAGGAGCTGTGGTTCACGCCTGTAATCCCAGCATTTTGGGAGGCCGAGGTGGGCAGATCATGAGGTCAGGAGATTGAGACCATCCTGGCTAACATGGTGAAACCCCGTCTCTACTAGAAATACAAAAAAATTAGCCGGGCGTGGTGGCGGGCGCCTGTAGTCCCAGCTACTCGGGAGGCTGAGGCAGGAGAATGGTGTGAACCCAGGAGGCGGAGCTTGCAGTGAGCCGAGATCGCGCCTCTGCACTCCAGCCTGGGAAACAGAATGAGACTCTGTCTCAAAAAAAAAAAAAAAAAACTTTGTTCTGTGAAATATTTATTCCCTGCAAAACTTTCTGAACAAAGCAGAGGAAACACAAGAGTCAAAGAAGATGCAGCTGAGTGCTATGGTTAAGGAAGCAGACACTGAAGTCAGCTCAGCCTGGTTTGAAATAAGCTTGGCCATTCATTATCTACAAGACCATAGAGGTTGTTTAACCTTTCTAAACCTCACTTTCCTATCTGTAAAATAGGAAGAACAGCCATCTGACAAGATGATTCCAATTATTAAATAAAAATAATGTAAGCAAAGAGCTTGGCATTGTTCCTGGCACATAGAAAATGCTCAATAAATGGTCTCTGCAGAGTCTGGCACACTCGGTGATTTCCTACCAATACACTTACATTTGTTTAACCGTGGGTGAAGCCTGAGTCATTTCAGGCCAGTTAGAAGGTTGATAAAGAATGTAAGCAGATTCAAGGTTTTAGAAACTGACAAAGATTCTTTGCCTGGCCAAACTTTCATCAGGGTCCTAAGTCCATCTGTGTATGTCCTTGTAAAATTCAGGTTTAGCAAAGAAGCTGCTAAGTCAGTTTGGCAAAAAGCCTCCACCCTCAACATCTGATCACCCTCAATATATGATTAGGTTCCTCATCCTCCACTGCCTCCCATGTGATATCGGATCATCTTGCCCTATTTTTTTTTTTTGTTATTGTTTTTTTGAGGTGGAGTCTCGCTCTGTCGCCAGGCTGGAGTGCAGTGGTGCAATCTTGGCTCACTGCAACTTCCACCTCCCGGGTTCAAGTGATTCTCCTGCCTCAGCCTCCCTAGTAGCTGGGACTAGAGGCACACGCCACCATGTCTGGCTAATTTTTGTGTTTTTAGTAGAGACAGGGTTTCACTATGTTGGCCAGGCTGGTCTTGAACTCCTGACCTCATGAGCCGCCGGCCTCAGCCTCCCAAAGTGCTGGGATTACAGGTGTGAGCCACCACACCCAGCCCATCCTGCCCTATCTTAAGCCAGAATCCTATTAGTTCAGTTTAGTCAGAATTTCCCTTACCGCTGATGTTTGCTGTTGGTAATTTTCCTTCCACTGACCCTCACTCTGCTTCTTGGCTATACATTCCCACTTGCTCATGCTGTATTAGGAGGTGAGCTCAATCTCTCTCCCCCACTGCAAGACTGTCACAGTGGTCCCTATATTTATCATGATGGTCCTGAATAAAGGATTTTTTTTTTAACCATGCTTTAACAAATAACATTGAATAATTTTTTCTTTAACAGAAGAATTGAGGCCAAGTTGTTAGATTGGAACAAAATGAATGGGCAGGAAATGAAAGTGAGTGTCCCCGGCCAGATTCACAGAGGCAATGCAATGCAGAAACAAGGGTCACGTCAGTTCTATTTTGGATGGACAAGGGGAGAGATTTCAATGAGACCACGACGATCTGGTTTGACCATAAAAGGCACTGCTTGGAATTTTTAGAAAAAGAAATCATGAAAGATGAAATAAATCCTTTGGGGGGTTGCGAGGTAATTTACACTTCTGGGTAAAGCAATGGTAATATTTCAAGTAGCTCACGAAAGACTAACTTTACACCTGCTGTCCTGGTACGACTATTAGCAGTGTTCTAAAAGTGCCCAGGTCTGGACAATAAATTATACATAATACTCTTACTTCTGAAGCCTTGGGAATAAATGAGGACTGTTTGGAAGGATTCTCAATGAGGCTTTTGCAGAAGTTGTGAAAGTAGCAGTTTCTCAAATAACATACTTAAGTTCGTGATCTCTTAAATTAATGGTCATGTTTTTCTAGGAAGAAGACCTTTGGATTTACAGTCCCAGCAAGCACAGCAATGCCTTATTCTTTTTATCTAGATTATTTTCCTTTAAATTAATCGTCATGTTTACCCAGGAAGACCTTTGGATTTAGAGTCTCTGCAAGCACAGCAATGCCTCCTTCTTCCTTTTATCCAGATTATTTTCTTCCAAGACAACTGCAACAAAAGTTTTGAAAAATAGGTCACCTAGATTTCAAAACTATTTTGTTTCCAGCCATCTGGGGCTGAGGATGATTAGCTGTTCTTGGTATCATGGCAGAAACCCGACGCAACACATTTATTTGCACATCTCCCAGTGTTGCAGCATTGTTCTGGGTATTTGATATTCAGACGATGTATCAAGAATTTGAGCCTTGGAGAAGAAAACCACTCAGCATTTCAATTAGAATCAGTGTGTTGTGCATACAAAACATCACTACAGAAAATCTTGGAACATGTTGTATTATTACGTGGGTTTTTAAAACTAAATATTGCCAAGTAGTTGCAAGGTAAATTCTAATCTGCATGGGTGATCTCTTTTCCATCCCTGAGTTTTCCTCAAAGAAAGGTGGTAAATACAGACTCCCGGTTTGCACTTCCAAATTTTTACCCCTTTAGGTTTCCAGTCTATGTTTAGTGAATTCTTCTCAGCACACTTAATAGACTCTGTATAAAGCTTTGATTAAATGGCATCTAAGAAAGCATCCCATGTGAATCCATGTATTTCTTACAATGCCCAAAATAACTATAAAAATGTTTAGTGGCTTCATTTACAATAATTGCCATTTTTGTGCCCTTCCCCCATCTTGCTGGATAGATTCTTAATGTTCTTCTCTTTCACCATGCGTTTGTGGAGCTGCCAGCGTTCTATTCACAGCTGCTAATTATCAACACAGAAAACAGAGATGGCTCTATCTCTTGTAAGAGTATGTTAGAATTTAACTGCAGCTATTTCTCCTTGTCTGCCTCAATGGTGGATATAGGAGAAAACATAAGGCTAATTGTATTCAGATAGTAATAATGAGGTAATACTACTATTAAAATAATAATAGCAACTGTATATTGAACATTTACTAGGTGCAAAGAACTTTATTTGCATGATGTCATTAATCCTCACAAAACCCCACAATGTAAGTGCTTTCACTATATTATTTCAGTAAAGAAACTAAGCCTTAGAAAGGTTAACTAGCTTGCCCAGTGTCTCACAGCTGGGATCACACGATTTAAACCCAGGTTTTTCTGGCATTTGATTTTATTCTTAATTTCACGCTGTGATGTTTATCTTTTATGGTATTATGTTCTGAAATATCTAACACCATTCTGCCATTTGATCTCAAAGCATTGTATTAGAATTCTTCTGTCTTCCTGGCACCTTCAAAGAAATATCCAAAATTAAGATCCTTATAATGCTTACAGAATTTTAAGTTGATAGAGATTGGCTGTGCAAAACAACTTATAATTAACTCATGGTTTAGGTGAGGATTTTTTCAATCCATTAAACTCTGAAATTCTTAAGGAGAGAGATGGTATCAATCGTTTCATCCTCATTGATGAGCACAATAGTTGACAGGTAGTTGTCATCAGGAATGCTTATTGAGTAAATGTGGACAAAAAATAGACAAAAATGTTACTCATGATAATATAATTCACTTTAGATGTGAGAGCAACTCAGATACAAAAGCTGAAATGGACAATTTCAGTCCATGCTGAGCTGTGCTCAAAAAGGGATGGAATGAACAAAGAATGTCTTTATGTTTATGCTGTTACTGAGCTGCCTCATTCTTGCCTTTCCTAATTATTATCCTTTTGTGCTGGCACTTTCCACTTTGCTCCCTATGCCTTCTGGTCAGGCACTTCACTCACCCTTTGGAGAAAGCAATTTTTAAAAATATTTATCTTTTTTTATTATACTTTAAGTTCTGGGATACATGTGCAGAACATGCAGGTTTGTTACACAGGTATACATGTGCCATGATGGTTTGCTGCACCCATCAACCCATCATTTACATTAGGTATTTCTCCTAATGCTGTCCCTCCCCTACTCTCCCACCCGCTGACAGGCCCCGGTGCGTGATGTCCCCCTCCCTGTGTCCATGTGTTCTCATTGTTGGACTCCCACTTATGAGTGAGAACATGCAGTGTTCGGTTTTCTGCTCCTGTGTCAGTTTGCTGAGAATGATGGTTTCCAGTTTCATCCATGTCCCTACAAAGGACACAAACTCATCCTTTTTTATGGCTGCATAGTATTCCATGGTGTATATGTGCCACATTTTCTTTAACCAGTCTATCATTGATGGGCACTTGGGTTGGTTCCAAGTCTTTGCTATTGTGAACACTGCTGCAGTAAACATATGTGTGCAGGTGTCTTTATAGTAAGAATGATTTATAATCCTTTGGGTATATACTCAGTAATGGGATTGCTGGGTCAAATGGTATATCTGGCTCTAGAACCTTGAGGAATTGCCACACTGTCTTCCACAATGGTTGAACTAAATTACCCTCCCACCAACAGTGGGTGAAGGATATGAACAAACACTTCTCAAAATAAGACATTTATGTGGCCAATAAACATATGAAAAAAAGCTCATTATCACTAGTCATTAGAGAAATGCAAATCAAAACCACAATGAGATACCATCGCATGTCAGTTAGAATGGTGATCATTAAAAAGTCAGGAAACAACAGATGCTGGAGAGGATGTGGAGAAATAGGATGTGGCAAATATACACCATGGAATGCTATGCAGCCATAAAAAATAATGAGTTCATGTCCTTCCCAGGGACATGGATGAAGCTGGAAACCATCATTCTCAGCAAACTAACACAGGAACAGAAAACCAAACACCACATGTTCTCACTCATAAGTGGGAGCTGAACAATGAGAACATATGGACAGAGGGGGGAACATCACACAACGGGGCCTGTTGGAGGGTGGGGGGGCTAGGGGAGGGACAGCATTAGGAGAAATACCTAATGTTGATGACGGGTTGATGGGTGCAGCAAACCACCATGGCACATGTATACCTATGTAACAAGCCTGCACATTCTGCCCATGTATCCCAGAACTTATACTATAATACAAAAAAAAAAAAGGAACGCCTTTTTGTTTTTGTATTTATTTGTGATAAACTTTCCATCCTTTCATTTACCATTGCTGTTTCAGCACTTTTGCATGTAAGGTTATTGACAAAACTGATTGTTTTCCAAGAAGGACAACAGGAATTGATTTTGGGGTAAGATTTACAAACTACACGTAGATCATAACAAACTGCTAATAAACTGCCTTCTGTTTCTAGTGGGTTGTAAACAAAGTCTGATTTATCCTCTGTGTAAAGTGGACAGATGGAGGAGGTATCCCGAGGCCCTTGTAGACACCTATTTAAGAGTGAAATGCTCTACTACTGCAGGAAGCAGAGTAAATATCCTTTCAGTAGTTTTGCAAGAATGCAAACAGAGGGTCAGACAGGAAACACCTGAAAGTGGTATTCCTGCGATCTGCATATGCTGGGTCAGATCTCTGCTACTGAGGTGTCTCTATTTCTATTTGTTTCTCTCCTGCCAGACTTCAGTTTGAGTGTTAGCTTTACCAACAATAAGACCTTGGCCAAATTACTTAAACTGTCTTAGTTCCCTCATTTAAAGAAAGTGCATCGTGTGAAATTCAAGTGAGACAACTTACAGAATGTGAAAGTGATTGTCAAATGGTAAAGCGCTCTTCAAATGTTGCTTATTGTATTAGTCTGTTCTCAGGCTGCTAATAAAGATATACCCAAGACTGGGTAGTTTATAAAGGAAAGAGGTTTAATTGACTCACAGTTCCACATGGCTGGAGAGGCCTCACAATCAAGGTGGAAGGTAAATGAGGAGCAAAGTCATGTCTTAAATAGTGGCAGGCAAGAGAGCTTGTGCAGGGCAACTCTGGTTTATAAAATCATCAGCTCTCGTAATTCTTATTCACTATCATGAGAACACTAAAGGAACTGCCCCCATGAGTCAACTATTCCACCTGGCCCTACCCTTGACACGTGGGGATTATTACAATTCAAGGTGAGATTTGGGTGGGGACACAGCCAAACCCTATCACTTATCATTATTACAGGCATCATCTTTCAAAAGTTTCCACTAATTGGATGATGAATGATTTATTGTTAATGATTAGCCTTCTTTCATAATTGGCCAGCTCAAAGTTCTATTTATTAGGCATAGTATTTAATGTTTTTTAGCTGTTGTACTTTCTAGCAAACACTGCTATTGGTAGCTCAGTGTAGGTTCTATTTTTAAGAAATAAAGTCAGCACAGTGGACTAGAATGAATGCTGGTTTGAAGTGAGTAGTTTCATAGTTCTGGTCTCAGGTTGGAGTGCAACTTGTTACCACTCTGAGAAAGTCATTCAACTTGTTACCACTCTGAGCAAGTCATTCTCCTCTCTGAACCTCAGGACAGATTAAATAAGGCAATGCCCATAAATCAACACTCTTTCCTACCCTTCATTTTTCAACTAGCTCAAAAAAATACAGTGAACTGTTTTTCACCTATAATTCTCAAGAGTTGGGGTTTTCTAGTTTATCTATTTCCTGATTAATTAAAATTAAAAATTTGGGGGCCGGGCACAGTGGCTCACACCTGTAATCCCAGCACTTTGAGAGGCCATGGCAGGTGGATCACTTGAGATCAGGAGGTCAAGACCAGCCTGGCCAACATACTGAAACCCCGTCTCTATTAAGAATACAAAAAAAAAAATAGCTGCATGTCGGGGCACACATCTGTAGTCCCAGCTACTTGAGAGGCTGAGGTAAAACTGCTTGAACCTGGGGGGTGGAGGTTGCAGTGAGCCAAGATTGCGCCACTGCACTCCAGCCTGGGTGACAGAGAAAGACTCTATCTCAAAAAATAAATAATTAAAAATTAAAAAATTAAACTTTTCTTTCAATCATTGCCAGAAGCATTTTAGGAAGACTAATCCATATCACTTAAAGAACATTATCTATTTAGGGGGTATCATAGAGTTTATTTAATCAAAACCCTGTACTTTTATGAGGTTGGATATTTATATGTTGGATATTTATAAGGGGTATCATAGAGTTTATTTAATCAAAACCCTGTACTTTTATGAGGTTGGATATTTATATGTTGGTTTCAACATATAAATATTGAAACCCTATATTGTTTCAATACTGAAGATATTCAGGTAACTTATGGCAATGTACGGAATTTAGGGTCAATCTTCACATATATTTGCTAAGTATTACTATTTCCCAACTGAGTTCCCAAATTAGGGAAGAAGAGAGAGGTTTTCTACAATAGACATTGTGCCTGATAGGGTAAGATTTGAGTTGTGCTTAGTTAGTAGTCATGCATGAGATATATAATTTATAAGATCACAAGTGTTCACATATGCTTCTTACTGTAGGGCTGACTATCTGATGTCAGGCCCAGCAATCTCCGTTCAAGAACACAAATTTAGAGAAAAAAGCCAGAATATTTCCAGAAATATTTATTGTAATAGAAATTTTGAATGCTGTAATATTTTAATTCCTGAGACTTAAGTATTGCCTGATGTGGCAGAATGAAAATACTTCCCACTTTAATGTCAAAATGTCTCTTAATAAAACTAACTATACAGCAGAAGCATATGATTATCACAAAATTTTCTGTGCCCTGTTCTAGTCTTGTTATAACTCTGCTCTTGCAGTGTTATAAATCAAGACTATAAATAAAGATGTAACTTTTTATTTTCTCAGTTTTAGACCAAGATATTCAAGTACTTTTTCCTATAGACAGAAATGAAGAAAGCACTTACTAATAAATAGCACTGAGATTTTTATTTTCCTCAACCAAAATGGTGATGATATAAATTTAGAATTGAAATCCTCAAAGGTTGGAAATGTTACACTGAGTGGGATCTTCCCAAAACTCTCCTACTTTTGTAATCTTTAAGGTATACTTTCTGACAATGAAAGCAATCAAGCTGTGACAGACCTCCAGGTTTAGCTATTTAAAATAATATTATTGGAAAGTAACATTCTCACTAAAGGTGGTCAGAATTCTAGATTGATTAAGTTGGGTGGTTTAAGTGTCTGAGTTACAAGTGTCTTATTGAGTGCAATATATCGATATACTTATTTTTCAAAATGTTATAATGGGTTTAAGTATCAATACCTTGCAGACAAAAGAAATTTGAGATGTGTGCTTTATAAGAAAATTCACAGCATGGAAATTTAATATATAGTTCAGGAAATTTAGTTCTGAACACTACCTTAGAACTTCCTTTACAGAACGTTAGATTTAAGATGGTAAGTGTCTTAGTAAATATAAGTTGATGATTAAGAGCTTGGGCTTTGGAGTGATAAAAGCCCAGAATCAGATATTGGTCCTCCCACGTAACAGGTGTGTGAGCTTGAACCATTTACTTTCACAAGTTTTTTTTTTCCTTAAAAGAAACAATTTATTTAGAATAAAACAAAAGCAGCTCAACTGTGAGCACACGTTTGAGAGACAGCTACTCTTAAGCTGTATGAGCCATAAAAAGGGTTTTTATTTACTTTTCCAGAAATCTTGTGTACACAGCACGAAGCAAAGAGGTCATTTTTTTTTCCCACTTAAAACACCAGCATTGGAATCACAATAGCAGATACACAACTTTAAGCTGCCATTTTAGTAAAATGCACAAATACTAAACATACTAGCTTTCTTCCATCAGAGCCCCATATAAACTCCACATAAGCCACAACTTCTCTTCAAAAAGGTCCATTAGAGCTTTGAATTCCATATCTTCATCCGCTGTTCAACCAGTTTTGCTTGTGGCGTGGGGGAGAGAAAGGTTATTCAGTACAAATGTTTACAATATTAAAAATATATGTATTTCCCCTATGTCATTATAGATGAACATAACATTAACAAGACCTTCCTGGATAGTTCACCTCAACTTCAAAAAGCAGCAATAGTACCCACTGGCATAAATCTTGAAATGAATTTACTGTATGAATAGACATATAACAAGACTGCAATTGCAGATAATAAGACTGAAAATACCCTTTATACTCGTGTAACTGAGTAAGCATGCCAAAAAATTCAGAAAAAAAGTTTCACAATCAATTTATAATTTATCAATATATTCTAAATATAACTTAAAAAGTGAAACTACAAAAAGGTGAAGTTTAGTCAAACTTTTGGCCCATCCATCTACTAAGTTTTTATCTTCCCATAAGAAAAAGAGTGATAAAGGTGGCAGCTACCTCCCATGATTGTCACTAGGATTTAATGAGATCACGAGATAATCACAGTCTTTACTAAGACCCAAGATATAACAGATGCTGTAAATCAAAGAAAGAAACTGGATTAAAATGTTTTGAGAATCAGTTTCATAACCCTTGGGCTCTTCATCCAAGGATCTTTAAACAAGATGTAGGATACAAAATTTTTGCGGGTGAAATGGAGGAGGGATTTGTTTAAGTGATTTGGGGCAAGAGGGTTTGAAGGACGGTAGGTCACACCTGCTCCTTAAGCCTCACCAAGGGGAAGGGGCTCTGCTCACAGCAGCCTGGTGAGGGGCTTGAATGAGCCTGCTGGGGAAAGCTTAATATGGGTCTCCCAGAACTTTAGAGGCAACAGACTTGAGTCAGACTCTCACCAAGAAAGATGGAGGGCAGCAGAGAAATGCACGAGCGGCTTTCCTGGGAGGGTGGAGGCGAGGTGCTGCGGCATCTGCAGGGTAACTGCATTCTCTCTCATTTCTCTAGCGGGTCAAAGAATATGTGAGATTCCCCACACATTTATGCCACAGGAGGAGAAAAGCCTGCCTAGGGGTGTTTTAACTTATGCCCAGAAGTACCACCTGGAAGAGGCAACGAGACTTTATTCATAAGAATCTAAGTGGAGCATTCTCCCAGACAACCAGCGGCGGAGCAAGGAGGGGCTGGCCAAACAGTGACGTTGACTGGTGCATGAGACGAACAGAGGCTCACAGAAGAGCCTCTGAAGAGCCCACAAAAAATGTCCATAAGGTAAAAGAGTCAGCTTTGAACTTATTTTTCAGTAGGCAACAGAAGCTTCACAGAAGAGAGCTTGAAGCTCTCTTGAAGCAGCATCATGGTTCAAGCAATACCTTCTCGGTCACACTGTGCCCCTTCCCTTTCCAGTGCTCCAACTTCAGTGAGGGAGATAGAGGGTGAGAAAAAAGACAAGAAGACATCCTTTCCCGCTTAAATCAAGTTCTGAGCTCTGATCATCCTCTGGGACTAGACAGCCTAATTTCTGAAGTTAGACTGTCTGTGATTTAAAGAGATTGCAGGACTTTCTAGACTGATCAGAGAAGTCACAGCCCCTGCCCATTTTCCACCTAGGGTCATAGAAAGACTATGTCTAGTATGCACATTTTAAAGACAGCAATGGAAAATGAAAATAAAGGGTTTTGGTTCATGTTCCATGAGCTGAATTTATTCAAAGTACAACTGATTATTGGTATAAACAGCTCTTTCTCCTTTTTAAATCAACTGGAACCTCACTTGCTGGACACAAGACCCTTATTTGTACAAGCAAATGGTTTCTTTTTTTGAGTCACACTTCTAACCTGCCATCCTGGCTTTAGCCAGATGCCACCAGGAGTGCTTGTTAGACATACCCAGCCCAGTTTTATATAAAGCCAAACAATATGAAAAGTGGGAATGTAGGCAGCAATAAGATGTAATGTCTAATTATAGAATCAGAATGCAAGACATACACTAATCACAGATATAAAGAAGAAATTGGGGACTGATTGCCATTACATACCTAACAAAAATCTATTGATTATCAGCACACTGTGAAGCCAGACTGCACATTGCTGGAGGTTAGGGAGCTGTGACAAAAGGACTGGTTATAGCCTTGTTTCTAAAGGACAACCTGATTTCATGCAATTTCTTTTAACAGTTGATTGAGAGCCTTGCCCAGGCTGGAACCTGGTAGTTGTGCTGATGAACCTACCCTACAACCCAAGGGCCTTCCCCATTGCTACTCAGCACACTTGAATTTCCATAAACTTTTGGACAACTTAGAAGCAGTGTGGAGGGGTCTTAGCAAGCCCGTCATCTTTGTCTTGAATGCTCTTCTCTCATCTTCCTGGAATCCCCTGGCATAATGAAAACTAAACTTGAAGCTCCAGTGTCAGGCTCTGTCTTCATAACCAGAGCTTAGCAT
The DNA here is from genome assembly GCF_000001405.40 of Homo sapiens. Classification (NCBI taxonomy): domain Eukaryota; kingdom Metazoa; phylum Chordata; class Mammalia; order Primates; family Hominidae; genus Homo; species Homo sapiens. The sequence goes on from NC_000005.10 coordinate 147,740,747, forward strand.
AGTGATTGGCACTTAGTATGTGCTTGATAAATGATAGCGTGGGTGGGGGAAAGGGTCTTATTTTCATTACTGCAATCCATCTTGAAGGGCAAACCTCACACAAAGGGTTGGTGAAGAGGAATATTGTCTCCAAAATGAGCTGTGGCTTTCTTTTACATGGGGAGGCATTTTTAATATGATCATAGATCGCTACAGCTGGAAGGTCCAATAAGATAATATATTTCAGCCCTTCACAGTATCCTAGACCACTATCGCCTCATATCATATTGGCCCAGCTTCTTGGGATGAAGCCGATCAGTACAGAGATCATCCCTGTCCCTTCAGGTCTGGAAGTGTATTACAGACATATCCTGCTGCAAAACCCTGATCAACTAAAATATAAGCTCGCTAAGGTAAATTAGGTGTTAGGATACCACTTGATTAAAAAAATGTTTTACCTTTTACCTAAATACTAAAATAATTTCAGTATTTCTTCAAATATAAATTAATAGTTGCACAGAGTACATTTAAAATAACTCCAATGATAACTGCATTGCAAAAGAAAATCAGATATATACTTTTCAAAAAAAGAAATTTTCCAACTTCAGAATGTGATATATCAAAATGCTCTTTCTTTGAGAGAGTACAATCGTGTGGTATTTATTTATATGTCTATTCCTTTGAGTTGCATTACCTTTATATACATATAAAATGAATATATATAACTTGTTTAATATATAAGAAGGTAAAAGGTATAAGTATATACTTTTTCCTAGAAGCAAGAAATTTTGCTTACTTTTAAAATTCACCAGAATATTAAGAAATCTTTGTTTTACTCTGATTTATCCATTGAGCTTGGTAGTAAATTTGTTACTCAATGAAAGAAACTAATTATACAGAAAACTGGTAAAGATGGGTAATATTCATTCTAGGTTTTAACTAAGGGAAAAATTTTCCTTCAGCAAAGCACAAGAAAGTGTTTTCTTTCTAGCTCTAGGGAAAGCCTGTAAACTATAATTAAGTATTGAATTAATGCTACTAGTTTAGAATCAACGGTCAGTATAATCAATACTTGAGCCTTCATAAAGTATGGGGACAAGCATCAGCAAAACTGCTGGAAAAAAACAGAACTCAAGAATAACTCCATTTGCTGCTCTATGTCCCAACCTTAACAATAAAGGGGACAATAGTATTAATGCTGGACAAATAGAAGGTCCAGCTTAAGATTTTATTTAAACACACACACATGAACTCTATATTAAACGACAAAAGCTTTGCCACTATAAAACCACTCTGCTAACTAGTGTAATATTATTTATATACTTTATATATAATAGCGTACTATTATTTGCTACTTTGATATTGCTTTATCTGTGACCTTCTTTCTTTGTTCCGCATTAGCCCTGTGGATCATTATATATATATATATATTTTTTTTACTATTGTATTGTATCTTTCAGTGGATTTTTTGTGGGACTTTGGCTGGGTTGCAATATGCTCCTTAAGATAACGAGAGACATCCTGAGCTGTCACAAAATCCCTGATGCTTGTTTATTCAATGCAACTAAAGTGCAAGACAGTCCCCTCTCAATGCTTGCCTTCCAGGATTACGCTAACATTCTGCTCTGTTTATAAGTCAACTCGTTGGGCTCTTCTGTGGCAAGGAGCAAGTTGTTCTCATTCCTACCTTCCTACATAATCATTCAAGAAATATTTGTTAAGCATTTACTATGTGCCAGGTCTATGGGAAACAACTAACGAAGTCTAGCTCCCATGAAGTTTGCAATTTTGTGAGGGAAGACAGGCAATAATGACAAAAAATAAATTAAATAAATTTGAAGGCTAGCAGGTGACAAGTGCTAAAAAGAAAAAGTCCAGCAAGATAAGGGAATAGAGAGATGGGGGTTAGTTTATGTGGTATGATGAAGAAAGTAGATTGTTAGTGCTCAATAAATGCTTATTATGTATGTGAATGAACAGCTGTTCATAATCCTACGTTTGTTATGTCAGCTGGTCCTTCAAGAAATGATGCTAGTCCTTCCTCCAGGCATTTCTTTTTTAACTTACTGAGTTGTTAATGATCCCTACACTATTTCGGTGTTAGAATTGAAGAAATTACTGAAATGTAAGTACTAATGACTTAAAAAAAAAGTCTAGCACAATTCTTGGCACATAGTAGATATTTTACAAGCCTCCTTGATTTACAGCATTGGAAACCTGAAATAGAACTGAGTTTTGACTCACCTTAGAATTCCATACATTTTCCTAATCTGCAATGTTAGGCTTTTTCCCTGTGAGAAACTTTCCAAATAGTACCTGTAATCATAATCAACTTTACTGAGTACTTATTATGAGAAATAAATGAGTTTGTTCCATGTTAGTTCTTTAAGTCATCATCTTATGAATCCTTACACTGACACTGAGAGAAGTACTCATGTGGATCCTTTTTTCTTTTTTTGGATTGCAGGAGGTGCGACAGGCTTCAAGCCAAGGCTGTCTGACCTGAGACAAACCAATGATCACTCTCACACGCATTATCTAAATAAAACTTATCCACTTAATTTGAAGTGACTTTTTTGTAGAAGGCTGGTTAACCTGCTAAAGATACAAAAATTGCTGATGGTACTTGAATAGTAGTATTTGAGTGGGTGTTTGTGGAGGAGAAATCTTTTAATTAGAATCTGTGCATCCCTCACAATAAAATGCAGGCATTAGACTTTGATCTCAAAGGAAACTTATAGCCCTGTTATTTTTAAAATATCTACTGTTCACTAATGGGATTAGGTTGAGGTTTGACACACAGAAACCTGGATTAGTAATTTATCCTTATTGTCTCTCCATTATTCAGAAAATAATTCACAGATAGGCTGCTTGATTGGACAGTTCAATGCTACTTTGAGTTTTTATTTGTGAATGCTCCACAGTAGTGAATATCCTAATGAGTATAAGGATTCTGCCAAGGAGATTTGTCTTCCTCCTCTTGTTTTTGGTCTAGGGTATTATGTTTTGAGTTGGCTCTGGTTTCCTTGTGAATTCTCCAGAGCTACCAGAAGGCCCTTGAAGCCCTTAACCTCTTAATGATGTTCTTCTCCAAAAGGCTCAGCCCTGAAAAACAGAATTGAAATATGCTCCTCTGTGGAGGCTGGCATTTTTCCAAGGCTAATCAGAAGGCTGAATCCAGTAACCCTCCCCTGCAGCACTCAGCTAGCTAGCCAGCTTTCTTTCCCCTCCCTCCCTCCCTCCTTCTCCCTCCCTTCCTTCCTTCCTAACTTCTTTCCTTCCTTCCTTCCTTCCTTCCTTCCTTCCTTCCTTCCTTCCTTCCTTCCTTCCTTCCTCTCTCTTTCTATTTTTCTCTCTCTCTCATTAAAGCAAGTTGCTTCATTTGTTTCTTAGGGCAAAAAATATCAAATAAATGAACGAACACAGCAAATTGGCCTGTTTCCAAAGGGCAGCTAGAGATATTGAGGAGAGGACCCAGGATGGCTCTTGAATTATTTTTCCAGCTGTGCTTACCAAAAGAAAACAAGTCTTCTCTGGCCAGCTGTGTCATATTTAATGATGACAGGGGGCACTATGTCTATAAGAAGCCACCAGCTTCCACATGACCCTTTATGTGACACCATTAAGATCACACCCAGACTCTTAAAAGTTCACTGAACTTCTTTGAGGTTAATAAATAAATTGCCAAAGATTCTCCAAGGCCAAGTAAGGCTTAGGCCACTTCTATTTTGGAGCCTCCAGTTGCATTAAAGATGAATAAAAATCCAAAAGAATTCTCTGAAAGTTGTTACATATTTTAAACCTATTAAACCCATTAATACTGTTTTAAAGCAAAGATACAGAGCAATATCAGTGTGCTCCTTACAAAAATAATTACAGCATTTATTATATAAAATTAATCATAGTTTACTATAAGCTGTTTAATGGTAAAAAAATTAAAGATTGGTACAAAAATATAAACATTTAAAATGGGTGATGGATGTCTTTCAGTCCTGTTACAGTATCTCTGTGAGTGTACCCAGATCCTTGTGTGGATATAGTTTAAAAGTTAGGGCCAGGCACAGTGGCTTATGCCTGTAATCCCAGCACTTTGGGAGGCCAAGGTGGGCAGATCATGAGGTCAAGAGATTGAGACCATCCTGGCCACGATGGTGAAACCCCTTCTTTACTAAAAATACAAAAATTAGCTGGGCATGGTGGTGCGTGCCTGTAGTCTCAGCTAGTCAGGAGAATGAGGCAGGAGAATCGCTTGAACCGGGGAGGCAGATGTTGCAGTGAGCAGAGATCATGCCACTGCGCTCCAACCTGGCAACAGAGCTAGACTCTGTCTCAAAAAAAAAAAAAAAAAAAGGAAATAAGGTCTGGCCTCAGCACCTATTGTAGATTCTGTAAGATGCCATTGAGTACTTCTTGAACACTAGAACCTAAGGGAAAACATCAACAAACCGACCTTGGCGGATGCAACTTAGATCTACACTAAGAAACACTTTACCAATGATCTGAGAACAGCATGTCAGCAAAATATTAACCAGTGCAAGAAAATCTTATTTTAAGACTAAGCTGTCTTCAAATAATTTGGAGAACTCAAGATCTATTATTTTAGGTTTCCAAACCTTTGAGTTTTGTTGGATTCTGCTTGATTAACCACTCCTTGCTTTATTAACAGAGAATGCCAACAGTAACAAAATCTTGACTTGCTATCTCTGTATCATCACTGTAAGAACTAGTGATTGTCTTTGGTTTCACTTACCTAGGATTGTCTTAGGATTCATCCAGGAGGACAAAGATACCCATCCTGCCCTAATCACTCCAGACCACCATGGAGGTTTTGGTTCTGATATTTGATTTTTATGGCCTTTTGTACTCTCCTCTTTTGTTGTCAGCAATTATATTTATCACATCTGCCACTGAGCCTGCAAAGAATAGACTCTCATCTGCTCCGTACTTTCTTATTTCTTGGGAGATTAAAGATTAAAGAACTAACTTTGTTGACTGTGTCTTAGAAAAAGACACAGACATCATTAGGACAATGTTATTATGAATACATGATACATGGCATTAACTTCAATGTTTGGACTTTAGTTAATTTATTTTTGTACTTTTACTTTGTCAGAGACTCTCTGAGTCTCAGATTCTTCATCCATAAAATTATACACAGAATTTTGGTGAAGATAAGTGTATTTATATAATGTAATAGAATAGATGTCATGGTTTAATAGGAGTACAATATTATATATAATTACACTTAACTGATATACACAAGTATTTACAATTATTATTGTTTCTGATTATTAGTGGTGTTGAAGATAGAAGTTTCCAGACAACTGAATTCTGGGAAGATGAGATCAAAGTTTGTAATTTTGAGAGAATAGGATCCAAGTTGGAAAAATCCAAAAGTAAATATGCAGTTAGAAAGAACTGGACTTTTGCATGCATCAGACTCAGCCAGAGGAAATAGGTATATTTAAGATTCTTTTGAGCATCCCTGCTATCCTGGCATAGCAGGGCTTTACCATACTTCCAGAAATGCTTAAAGGCCTTTCATTCAGACATGCCAAGTAGAGGTATTCCCTCATCAAATTCTCTCCCAGAAAAAGCTCGATGACCTGGGTTGTACTCATGGACGAAAGACGGGAATAGAGTTAACACAAAGATAGAACTTCAGAACAATTTTCTGTGGCCAATTGCCCTTCTGGGACTTTAGGTTCCCTTATGCATTATAAACTAGAGTTTATATATAAACAAATGAATATATGTAAATATAATATACAAAACATAAATAGCAAATATGTAAAATAAAATATATAATTTATAAAATTTTCTATTTATATATCATTTATCATGGAGTCTGAAACATGGAAAGTACTCCAGAAACATAGCTTGTTCCATTACTGTAGAATTAAATACTCACCAAAACATCAATCAATTATACAGCTTTGTGTTTTCCTCTATTTTTATACAGTATCCTCATTCATTCATTAGTATTAAAATATACACTTTCATTTTTCTAAAAATGGTTATTACTCAGAAATTCTCATATATGTAACATTGGAAACATTACTACTATTCACATATTTAACTTTATAATTGGTGACCTAGTAGTCCACTGGTTTCCTTTAACACAGTTTGTTTAATGATTCCTATAACTTTGAACATTGTTAAGCTATTTATTCTGCTAATTAAAAAACGAAGTCACCAAATAAGCCAGTGCCCATAAGTTAGTGCTTTAAGGCAGGAGAGTGAATTTTTCTCCTAAATTCTGGGACCAACCCTCCATGCAGAGAAAGCTGTTTGTATGTCCAATGCTTACTGATGATCAGGTAAGCTCGAATGTCTTTCACCCACTCTCCCACATACCATAGTGCTTTATTATTATTATTATTTTTAACCCAATGAGTCATGAGGAGCTTTTTTGAAAAACCAAGATTCCTTTAAACTTTGGCAGTGCCACGGTGCAACCAGAGAAGGCTGACCAGTACTAAGCCATTCCACTGAGCTTGGCCAGGCAATCAACCCACAGAAATGATCTGCTCTTCATTTCTCAGTGGGGGATAAAGGTGGAAATCATCACACATATAAACATCCCTACAAGAAAAATGCTTAAAACGTCACTTCTACCTAGCCAGCAAGAGTGTCTGTTCTGAGGGTAAATTAAACCAGTTAAAGATTAAAAATTACAACACGGGCACAGCTGGGCCTGAAAACATGAGGATTCAAGCAATAACAATTGGTAACTGTCAAAGATATAGCTAAATAGAAAGAAGCTGACTCTGATCTGATGCAGTCTCAGGGCCACTTGGTCTACCTCAGGACCCCATTATAAGTCACATAAACAAATTCCATAGCTGGCTACTAGTCTTCTCCTTCCCAGGCTCTTGTGTCCCGCAGACCATCTTCCAGGTGCCATCAAAACTACTACCTGAGAGACTGTCCACTCAGAATCAGTAAGAATGTAAGGAATCACCAGATTCCATACATTTTATTTAAACTGCCCCAGCATTTCACCTCAGCCTACCTTTTTTAGGCTTATTGTTCCAGACTACTTCCCTCATGCTATGCTCTAGCCAAATTGAACTCCCACTGTTCTCTCCTATATGCCCTGTGTTTTCCTGCCTTTGTATCTTTGCATAAGCTATCTACTTTGTCTAGAATGTGTAAACACAAAAATCCTCTCAAAACTTTGGTTGCTTAACTATTGACTTGCTGGCATATATTCTTCAAGGTGCATCTCATCTGCTGCCTGTTCTGAGGGGCCATTTTTCCATACTTTATTATTGATAACAATAATTGGGAACATTGACTGAATGACTGAATGCTGAGACTATTCCGAGCACTCTGCTAAAGGTTTCATAGACTTATCTCACAAAATGATAAAAGTATAACATAATGTTGTAGAGTACAGAATGCCAGGGTTCAAATCCTGGCTCTACTTCTTGTTGGCTGTATGAGCTTGGATGTTTATTGACATTCTGTGTCTTCACGTGTGAAATGTGGATAATGATAATACAGCTAATACCAAATAGAGTTACTATGAGGAATATGTGAAATAATATATATATATAAATCCCACAGAACAGTTTCTGGCCAATTCTAATTATAAATACCTGATGCTGTTATTATAGTACCTCACAATATGCTACAAGGTAGATGTCATCATTATTCCTGATACAGGAGGTAGAAGGAAATTATTTAGGTAGATAGCGAGGGTAAAAGAATCCTCGGCAGAATTTCCCTTTTAACAAAAAGCAGCCCCAAATCATTTCTTTTCTAACAAAGAGCAGCTTGAAAAATTGAGCTGCAGACATAGATAAGCAAGCTGGAAGTTTGCACAGATGAATACTGGCAGCTGTGCCAATAGAAAAGGGCTACCCGAGGGCCAGGTATGTTCAACATGGAGATGCTGTCTTTCCTTTTCTTTGTCACCACATGTACAATAAAGAAACAGGCAACCTGGCACTGGCCAGGTAGAGAACCCATCTGCAAAATAAAAGCTTAGGGTGGGGGTGGCCATGCAAATGGCACACCTAGCCCTAACCAGTTTTTCATACCTTATGCAAATAGCACACTTGGTCTGACCAATCTTTTGTGCCCTATCTAAATCAGACACCACCTCCCCAAGCTCATCCATAAAACCCCTTGCATTTCACTGTGAACCAGAAGACCTGCTTGGGACTCCTCTCTCTGGAAGACAGAGGTTTTCTCTTTCTTTTGCCTATTAAACCTCCACTCTTAACCTCACTCTTCGTGTGTCTGCATTGTTGGTTTCCTTGGCATGAGACAACGAACCTCGGTTATTACCTCAGATGAATGATGCCGCTTCATTCCCACTTAAGAGATGAGAAAATTGAAGCTCAAAAAGGTTGAAAACATGTCCTAAGTTACATGGCTGATAAGTGACATCTAGAACACACATATAAATTTGTCAATTTGAAGCCTCTTATTTTCTGCAATATAGACAAACTGGTTGTCTTTTTGATCTAGGAATTTTCCTTAGGGCTAAACAATAACAGCAAAAAAAAAAAATTCACTAACATTTATTGAATATTTACTATGTGCCAGGCATAGTACTCAACACTACTCATGCATTATCCTACTTGATTCTTACAGCAGAATGAGCAAAAGGAACCCTTTTTAATCCTTATTTTATAGAGGAAGAAACTTTGCTTTAGAGAAACTTGTTCAGTCACACAGCTTACATGTGACAGAGCTAGAAGTCAAACCCTGGCTCTTACCTAAAACAACATCCTGCCTAGTGGAAGCTATTCCCTTACTCTTCTTTTCTTCCAGTTCTCTTAGTGGTAGCTACTTCTGTGTCACTTGACACTCTGTGAGTTGTGCATATATCACACACTCCTGCTAACCTGCCAGTCACCTGAAGAGTAGGACCCTGCCCTATACACCATCGCCTACCTAGAAATGTCTTCCAAGTAGTGGATGCCTAATAAATGTTGGACTGAATTCAATGTCACATTGGAAGTTGGATTATAAAGAATCAAATGGTGCATAAAAATATTTTGCATATATGCTAACACTTTAAATTATAATGGCAGGAGGCTTGAGTCCAGTTCCTTTATGGATGAACAATGAATGAGAAAAAACTGTTGCAATAGTTAAGAAGCTCAGCCCTGAAATTGGATTGAGCTGATTATCTTGCCCCATACTTATAAATGTTTTTGTTTGTTGGTTTGACTTATCCATTCCAAACCAGTTTCCCCATCTATAAATAGAAGATAAGAATAATATTTCCCTTTTAGGTTTGTTGATAGGATTAAAAGAATATTCATGAAAACTACTTGGGATCATGACTCATACATGGTTAGCACTCAGCAAGTTTGCTTCATAAATAAAAACTGATTTTTAAAAAGTCAAATAATTACAGAATAGCTCCTTATCATCCCAGCAATTACACGTCTAGATCTAATATCTTCCTCAGGAAAGATCACAACCATTGCGAAATAAACTTAAGTGAAGATGAGGGAAGAGAAAATAAAACACTCACTTGGGAAAGGTGCTCTGAAAGGGCCAAGCATGTGAGAAATGGCAGGAAGGAGGCCATTTTGTGGTAAACAGCTGCGTTCTTAACCCAAGGGACACAATCCTCATATGACGCCTTTGTGTTGTTAAGATGTGTGATAAAGGCCCCATGGGGAGGGTTTTCCTTTGTTCTCCAGTCTCATGGAGAGATCACATGTTATACTCACTTATTTAGAGACTCTCATCTCTAATTTGTTAAGAGCTGCAAGATTAAGACTGATGTAAAGTCTGAAGGCCAATAAGAAAAAATGAGTAAGCACACCCATTTCCCAAGGAAGATATCACTCATGGTGCCAGAAAATACACACACACACACACACACACACACACACACAAAAGAAACCTATATTACATGAAATTGCAGCATTTGAAGGTTTCTATTATGAACTGCACTGTGTTTTCCCAAAATTTATACGTTGAAGCCTTAACCCCGATCCCAACGTGGCTGTATTTGGAGATAAGAAGGTAATGAAGGTTAAGGAAGGTCTTGAGAGTGGGATTCTAGTCTGATAATATTGGTATCCTTATCAAGAGAGGAAGAAACACCAGAGATCTCTCTCCTAGTGCACAGAGAGGAGGCCATTGGCAAGCCAGCAAGAAAGGCCTCACCAGAAACCAACCCTGTAATTACCTCGACATCGGACTTCCAATCTACAGAACTGTTGAGAAAAAAATTCTGCTATTTAAGCCACCCAGTCTGTGGTTTTCTATTGCGGCAGCCCAAGTAGAATCATCCACTAACATTTGTATTAAATTCTTTCCCATCCACCTATACAAGTGATGGTTATATTTTCCCTGTTAAAAGTCAGAATGACTTTTTTTTTTTTTTTGAGACGGAGTCTCACCCTGTCGCCCAGGCTGGAGTGCAGTGGCATGATCTCCACTCACTACAAGCTCCGCCTACCGGATTCAAGTGATTCTCCTACCTCAGCCTCCCAAGCAGCTGGGATTATAGGCTCGTGCCGCCAGGCCCGGCTAAGTTGTTTTTTTGTTGTTGTTTTTTTTTTTTTTTGTATTTTTAGTGGAGATGGGGTTTCACCATGTTAGCCAGGATGGTCTCCATCTCCTGACCTCGTGATCCGCCCTCCTCCGCCTCCCAACGTGCTGGGATTTCAGGCGTGAGCCAGCATGCCCGACATGGATGACTTTTAAGAGAAAGGACTTTTGTATCTCTTTCAAGTCAAGTGGTGTGTTTGGGAGATGTAGTTTGGCTTTCCTACTTTAAACAAAAAGAAAAATTAATTACTCCCCCTCCCCCCACCCCCTTCACATAACCCTTGTTTTGTAAAGTGTCTTTATTAGGAGTCTCTTCCATAAGTACCTCCCTCTAGACATTAAGCAAGGGCACAGGGCCACAGGGAGACAAAGACCAGCTACACAGCCAAAAGCAGTGTGCGCTCAGCAATAACACAGGCTCTTTGTTAGAGGAATTTTACTCTTTTTCCTTCTGAAATTCTTTCTGGTCGAAAAAGTTTTTACAATTCCATCTCCTTAGGCCAGCCACACTTGGCACATTTGGGCAAGGAGGGTGGCATAAAGGTGTGGCCTGCCCTGATGGATGAGGTTCTGTAGGACTGCAGGCTTAAGTGGTGCTGTGGCTTACACTGATAGAGAGTACTCATCTGTTTATTCTCCCTTCCAAAAAGTATTTTTGAGGATCTGGGTTAGAGCAGTCAAGCAATAGCCAAAGTCTGCCGTCAGCTTATAAACTAGTATGAAAATACAGACTACCATATAAAAGCAACCAAATTAATAAATAAGAGACTTTCTGATGATGGGGAGTACTACAGAAAAGAACATAAAATAGAGGAATGGATGACTGTAAGTTGTCATTTGGAATGAGTCTGCATTGGGATCAGGAAGGCTTCTCTCAGGGATGACATCTGATACATAAGGAGGAATCAGTCATGCTGAGATGGGGAAGGCGAATTCCAGGCAATTAGTACAGAGGCCCTGTCAAGGGAATTACCTCGTTTTGTTTAAAAATCTGGATGAAGTATGGAGTGCCTGGGGCCAAAAGGGGTGCTGGATCAACTAGGCCATGCAGACCAAACTGAGTACTGTAAACTTAGTGCCTGAGAAATCATTGCAGGGGTTAGAGTTAAGTGAGTGACATGACCATATTTCATTTTAACAAGGATCACCCTGACTATAATACAATGACCCACAGGCCAAATCCAGCCTGCAGCCTACTTTTGTAAATAGTTTGACTGGGACACAGCTATGTCCAGTCATTTAAATATTGTCTATAGCTGCTTTTGTGCTACAACAGGAGAGTTAAGTGGTTGTGACAGAGACCTACCTTAAGGCCCACAAAACCTAAAATACTTGCTACTGGGCCTTTGGAGGAAAAGTTGGTTGCATGGCAGCAGGAGGCTGTGCAGTTATCCTTGGTGGAAGTGATGGTGGTGATGATGGCTTGGCCCATGGTGCGGGGTGGCACTATAGATATGGGGAGATGGAGAGATCTAGGACATGATTTGCAAGAAGAGACAACTAAATTTGCTGGTGAATTAAACATCAAGGGAGATAGAGGAGAGGATTGAGAGGACTCAAAATATTTCTAGCTTTTTGGCTAGAACAACTGAGTGGATAAGAAGGCCATCTGCTGAGATGGGGAGTTCTGGGGGAGGGGCAGCTTTGTGGGAAGAGTGAAAATGAAGGACTGCTGGAGAATGTTCAGTTTAAAATGCCTTTTTATAGGGCCTCTCTGTTGTTATTTTCTCAGTCCAGCACAAGAAATTGCAAAGCAACCCAATGACTTTTATCTCCTCCTCATTCTATAACACAAACAAAAGCCATGTGACCAATGGCATTATAGCTGGCACTTCCTTGGATGCTAAACCACAAACTCTCAAGGCAGGGACCATGCCTCTAATTGCTCAAAATTAGATTTCCGTCTCTACCCCAGCACCTGACTCATAGTAGAAGCTCAATAAATATTGGTTTTGAAGTGAAGAAATAGTAACCGGTTACTGAGAACTTACAATGGCATCAGGAACTGAGTAAGGCACTTAATACAAGTTACATTACTTAATCTTTTCAAGAGTTCCTCAAGCTAGTTGCTGCTATATTAATTCTACATACAGATTTAGAAACTGAGGCTTAGAGGAAAGGATGAAAAGCACAGATGCCTTTCCTACAGGGTTGAGTCAGGAAATATGAATGTGTGAAGGGGACCATGTACTGAATAATGGTGACTGGCAAGGCAATGACCTTCCTTAAGTGAGCAATGGCTCCTCAGCTGCCACCGAGCGTTGCTCTGTGCAAATGCAACCACACGATATGGTCAAGTCTGATTTTTCAAGAGAAATTGAAAATCCAGTTTATTTGATAAATATGAAGTTTCTCCATTAAACATAAAATAAATTCTTTAATGCCTGCTCATTGTTCTAGATCAGGCATTAAAGAATTCGGTCTTAGCAACTACCACTCACACATTCCTCAGTGTACTAACCATCTTCCTTGTGGTAGAAAAGCTAATCTACCCCTTAGTAAATATTATTGGTGAGTCTGGTGTAACACATTGTGCCTATGTGCTCAGCAGAATGTATTTTTTTTTTTTTTTTGCTAAAGATGTTTCTTATAATAGCTAAAGGTTCCACTAGGCACTTACTTTTTGGTCTGGAACACTGTAGCCATTTTCAGATGATGACCAGAGTGAAACTCCAAATCATATTGTCTGAGTGGCTAATGAATTCCTGTAGTCCTCCTAACGCAATGATGCAACTACACTGACATCACTGACATCACTGTGCCAACAAACCATGTGATTTTAGAATTAAAGATATTAAATGCTTCTCCTCCCCCTTTTTAAAGATTCAATTCTTGTTACTACCTTTGGTTTATGGTGACAGGTTACTCTACTGATGGTTCCAACTTAAATAATTTCATAAAAGGGAGATTAAAATGCTATCGTTGGCTTATCTTTTCAATTTTCAGCACAACAACCTCTAATTTGTAACAAGGAGAAACATTTAAAGCAAGAGGATGTTTGAAGTGTCCAACAAATTCAATCTGGTGAACAATTAATGAATGACTATTATATGCCAGGATGTGTCCTGGGCCCCAGGATACAAAACAAATAAGCCATTGCCTCTGCCCAGGAGCACTATCTTTCCAGTGGAGGAGGAAGACCCATAAAAATAATATATCGAGACACATGCTATAATAGAAGGATTACAAAATACCCTGGGAACTAAGATAAAAGGATGATTAACAATGAGGACATGGTGGCAGAGCTGAGAGAAGTCTAGCTTAAGGAAAGCTACAGAGGAAAGGTTACAACTCAGCTCTCACTTTAAGGATGACTAGAGTTTCAGAATTCAAGTCATAAGAGTTGCATTTTGGGTGATACAAGCAAACAGCTACTAAAAGTTTACCGTGAGTGAGGTATTATTGCACTCATAACTCATTCCTCACAACCCAATTAAGATTGGGTTTTCAGTCTCCACTTTTCATATTAAGAAAGTGAGGCCCAGAAAGGTGAAGTAATTTATCCAGGGCCTCATAGCTAATTATTGTGAAAACTTATATTCTATTCCAAGTCTATATAACTTGAAAGCCTGGGCTTTTAAACAGTAAATGCTATCACAAGGTAGGGTGAGCAACATGTGGACATAAAATATTGTGGTTTGAGGACTACAGATTAGGCCACTATGAGTGGAAGAGAGCTTGCATCAAGGAGCTTTGGGGGTAGGTGTGCACATGAAGAGCAGCTGTGAATATTTCAGTGTAAGGCTTGCAAAGTAAACTGGGTACAGATTTTATGACTATAGAGTTGGAGCGTTATTCCATAGGTATCAAGGACTTTTGGGATGCTTGTAAGAATCAGAATAACAAGATCAAGAATGAACTCATTAGACAAATCCAAGAGTTTTGAACAAAGCTTTGGAGAAATTAAATGCTGGCAAATCTACTAGGAGGTTATTGAAACAATCCAGACAAAAGACAACAGTCTTAAATAAGGATACTGGCAGTGAGGACAAAGAAGATTAGGATGTCCCCCCTTTTGGGACTGAACCAATGTATATCTTATACATATTGATTGATGTCTCATGTCTCCCTAAAATGTATAAAATGATGTCTCCTGTCTCCCTAAAATGAATAAAACCAAGCCGTACCCCAACTACTTTGGGCGCACTTCATCAGGACCTCCTGAGGCTGTGTCACGGGCTCATCCTTAATCTCAGCAAAATAAACTTTCTAAATTGATTGATGCCTGTCTCAGATACTTTTGCGTTCAGACATAATAGCAACACCCACAATAGTGATACACGGATGTTAAAAATAACGTTTAATTTGATGTTAGGCACCATTCTTCCAAGTACCTCTGTAATTTGTATTTGTTAATTGGTGAAAACTAACCAAGGCAGATTAACTTTTATTTTTAATTTTTTTTAGAGATAGGATCTCGTTATGTTGCCTAGGCTGGAGTGCAGTTGCTACTCACAGGAGCAATCATAGTGCATTTCATAGTGAACTCCTGACCTCAAGCAATCCTCCCACCTCAGCCACCGGCATAGTTGGGACTATTGGTCCATGCCAATGACCCAAGCTCTTTTTTGAAAGTAACTAGTCCATACACAAATAATGAATGACTAGGGGTTTCTGAGCATTCCATGATACTAGGATATAAGTCAATTAAACACACACCCTTTGAAGAGCCACAATGAAAATTGAAATCATTTAATTTATTCTGCATATATATGTATATCCTGTATTGCTCTAACAAAAAGAAACACAGGTTATTTGCAAATATCCATGTGAAAGCATGAGAAATAAATGAGCATATCAGTGCAAAGGGAAGGGACCAATAGGAATATTTACATTCTTTTCAAAAAGGAATATTCTCTTTGATTACTAATAGTTTGACTATAATGAATTAAATGGAAGTACAATTATTTGAAAGAATTATTATTCCTTTCAAAGCACCTTATAGATTCATGTCGTGACTGAAGCATCAGAGAGAAGAATTCTATCAAAGACAACTTGTATTTGTGTTGTCTTTACAGGAGAAATCATTTAAGTCAGTAAAGGTCAGTTTTAAAAAAATGATAGGGAGGCACCTGCCCTCACTCCTTACTCTGGTACACACACAAATTAGAGCATTCTAACCACCCAGCCTTAGAATTATTGCAGACGTTACCTTCTGAGCTATTCAAAAAGCCTTTGTTCATGAAAAGTTCTCATGGTTATAAGACATTAAAACAGGAAAGACCTTGCTCGGCATGATGTGTTGTATTTATATTTCTTTTTGTTTGAGGAATTCAAAAAGCTTTACAAACAACATCCAGTAAATCTCTTTAAGACTGTTGCTCATGGGAATTCTTTTCCACTCAATGCAGACTGGGACAGGTAAAGGGAGAACAAACACTGAGAGAAGAAAAGGAGGGTGGATGGGTAGCTGCAGATCTCTAAAGTCACCAAGAAGGTGCAGGGCTACTCACATTTATCCTCCTACAGGGCCTGCCAATATAAACAGCCTGTGCTCTACCCTTCCCATGTGGTAGCTGCTGTTTCCAGATTTACCATCTGTTAACACAGGTGCACAACAGAGAACAAAACAGCAGAAGTGCAGAGTAGGGAGGTAAAGAACAGAGGACATGAAAAATCAACAATTACAAAGTACTGTCTGTGTTCTGTAAACTGTGCTAGATGCTGTCATATTTTATAGTAGGTGCTCAATAAATGCTTATTTTCTTCCCCTTCACACAATTTATGCTATCTGATTAAAAGAAACTAGTTTTTTTGGTAGAGAAAAGGAAGAGAGTCCCTGTGAATTAATGTTGCTGATCATGAAATAAATGAATGTATGCATGCATGGAGGCATAAAGGGAAAGGGAGGCATGGTGTGGGGTCATGATCTGTTTACATGGTCCATACAGTGATTACACCCAGGTAGGACCCATTCCATTTGTAGGAAATATGACTATGAAAAATAACCCAAAGGATAGAGGTAGCCACTGGGACCAAAAATGCAACCTTCCTGTAAACTTTTTTTCTAGTAAAGTGGACTATCAAGGGCGAGGGAGAACCCTTCACAGGTGAAGTCACTATCTTAGTTCTTGATGATGGTAGCAGAGCTGAGACTGTGATGTGGCATTAGGGAAACTCTTCTTACTCTCTCCATCCACATGATTAAATGTGGTCCTTAAATTTTTATAAATATCTATAAAAAGACCTTCGAGAAGTAATAGCTTTCATGAAACAAGAGAGCTACTCAAATCAACTGAGTCAGGGATGGGATCCCACTGGTTCTGGAGTCTAATCGTCCTTGGTGAGAATCCAGCCTCTGTTCTTTAACCTGGGCCCAGTGATGTTATCTCTGGACCCTAGTTTCCTTATTTCTGAAAGGAGTGATCATAATGATATGTAGAATAACTGACTTTCAGAGCCGCTGTGATAATTATTAAATGAGATAATGCGTGTGGACATTTAGCACAGTATCAGACATGGTAAGAATTTAACACATATTAATTGATGTTGGTAGCAATTTTTTAAAAATCCTGAAATGATAATGCAGTTGCACCTGAGGCTCCGCATCAATCCACAAATTTTTAAAGTATTATGATAATATTTGATAGAAATATGATGAAAAATTTGACATATATGGAATCAACTTCAATCCACAGGTTCTGTTTCTTCTTTTTTGTCTCTTCGGAATGTGTCAAGTACTAATATTGATTAACCTGATTTTGACTTCAAAATATGAGCCATGACATTTTTTAAACTCATGCATAAGCTGTATCATGTGCTATTTAACTTACAAAGGATAAATTTGTCTATTAAAAGTTTATTCATCATGGATTTTATTTTAGGTAAAATAGTCAAATGTAGTAACACACGGTTTAGTAAAGATTCAGAAAAATAATGAAGGTCTCTGAGGTTTAATTCCTCTAATGAGAACATGTAAATACTACAGTAATCAGAATATTGTCCACTAGTTTCAAATTTTACAACTTTATGTAAACAGTTACAGAAAAGTCTGTGGCAATGTTGCAACTAAAAAATTTAAATAATTTCTGTTGGTAACGAAAAGGCATAGTGAGCAATAGCTAAATGCAAATGAAGGCTAATTTTTAGGAGAGGTAAAAATAACTTCTTTTAAAATACAAATCGAATGTTACATAGAACAAAGAAAAATAATTTGGAAAAACTTACATAATCTGTAGTTTATACCATATAACAAAACAAGCTTCAGGCTGTTTAATGAGTTAACTATGACCTTCAAATCATAGAACAAAACTAACTGAAAATGGACTATCAGATCTTTAAAGAGGCAATAATTCCAAATGTTTGAAAATAAAACAGTAAATCACAAAGAAAAAGTTCAACATAATTGAATATAAAAGTGTTTTGTTTTGTTTTTTGACATGGAGTTTCACTATATTGCCCACTGTGGCCTTGAACTCCTGGGCTCCAGGGAACTTCCTGCTTCAGCTTCCTGAGTGGCTGAGACTACAGGTGTGCATATCATCATGACCAGCTAAAAGAGTTTTATACAATGAAATCCCCACTAGAACATACATAAACGTATCATATATGCATGCAAAACTAAGTCAGAAAACAGCAAATAAAAAGTCCCAAGAATGCAATTTATTGAACTATGTATAGTGCAGGTGCATTGTTTAGGGTGCACTAGTGCCTCTACCACTGACCCATACACTAAGGGACATTAGTCCCTCTATTACTGGAAAGTGTCTGCTCTTACTCTTAGAAACCTCTCTTGTGACCTTCTTTTATTTTTGATGATAAAGACTTTAAGAGGTGGAAAGAGAGGCAACAAATTTTAAGGGTTATGTCTTATCTTTTGATCCTATTTCCATGGCTGGGTAAATTGTTTCCAGAAAATAATTAAGAGGAAGAGTAAAAATACATGCCCATACCAGAAGATGTTCTTATCAGTGTTATCTAATAATGAAAACAAAAGAAAATAAACAGAGGCAGGTAGAAGTTGGAAAACAGAAAAGAAAAAAAGGAGGGAAGAAAAAGAGAAAGGAGAAGGGGAGCAGAGAGAAAAAAGAAAAAAGAAAAGAAAATGAACTGAATGTCTAAAAAATGAGATGGCATATCAATTCGACTAATTATCATTTTTTAAAGATAGTTTTGTGGACCATGCAGTCACAAGAAGAAATGTTTATGTGAACTCTGATCTAGAGCATTTATGCACAAATTTGAGCATCTACTCTTCAGGCACTGTTCTAGGCTTCAGGGATATGAAAATGAACAAAGAGAGTGCTAGTGGTGGACAAGAAACAAACCAACAACTGAATAAAATACCAATCAATGATAAGTGTAATATAGGTCATTAAGATGGTGTGAGGTGCTGGAGAGCACCTGGTGGCTCCTCTAGACTGGATGGTGAGAGAGCCTCCCTTAAAACAGGACACTTAAGCTGCAATTTGAATGACAAGAAGCAGCTAACCTAATAAGGTAAGGAGAAGTGCAAGTCAAGAAAAGTGTGTCTGATTAACAGGAAGAGGAAGACATGAGGAAGAGATCAGGAGAGGAGTCTGCAAAGTCAATTCGTAGGATTTGGTAATTTTGACAATATTTAAAAGGGTCATTGTGTTCTCTGTGAGGAGAATTTACCATACAGGGGAGAGAAGCAGGTAGTCCCAGTCGTGGGTTACTGAGGTAGTTCAGGCAGGGGAAGATGGCAGCCCTACATGGGAAGGTGGCAATAGAGATGGAAAAGTAAACAGATTTAGGGAATGTTTTGAGGTAAAAGCAACAGGATTGTTAACAGATTGAATGAGAGTTATAAAGGAAAGAAAGAAATCAAGGACAGCTCTTCAAATTGGCTTTAAAACCTAATGCCATTTACTAAAATGGAGAGAAAGAAGGACACGTTTGTGCTGGGGTGGAGCATGCATATGAGTAAAGAAGTCTACTTTGCCCCTGTGAAGATCGAAAGACTTGTAAACACATTAGTGGAAATGTTAAGTCAACAACTGAGTGTGAGCCTGGACTTCTGAGGGGAAGTCAGGACTGCAGACTGGTGTTATCCTAGAGATGCAGATGCATGAGATTACCTGGGGAGAATGTAGCCAGAAAACAAGGAAGTCAAGCACTGAGCCTTGGTAAACCCAAATGTTTAGAGATGGAAAGCAGAAGAGGGACAAGAGAAGAGGCAGTCAGTGAAAAAAAAAAAAAAAATCACTCAGTGTGTAGTTATCAAAACCATGAAGGGAAAGCCATTAATAAGAAAAGTGTGGTCAACAGTTTTATCTGAGAGGTCAATATAAGAAAAAGAAAGAGAAAAAAATGACTTTAGAATTAAGCATCAAGGGACATAGTTTGTTAAGGATTTGACAGATGCAGTATCATTAGAATGATGACAATGGAAGCCCAACTAGGGCAGCTGTGGATAAAGTGTGTGGTGAGTAGGTGTAGACAGCTTTGAGAGAAGACTTTTTCAACACACATTGCTGTAAAGGGTAGAATATAAATGGAATAATGATTGAAAGGGATGTTAAGCTCAAATAATTTCTTTTAAGATGTGAGGTATGACAGCCTATTTATATGCTGATGTGAGTGATACAGTTGAGAGGAAGAAATGGATGATTCTGGAGAATGAGCAAATAATTGCAGGAGGAAAGACCTTGAGAGGTGAGAGGGGTGGGATCCATAGCCCCTAGGTTTCTCACTGGTCTGGAAAGGTACAGGGACACTCTCCCATTGGGAAAAGTATGAGGTTCCTATACCAAGACACATTAATTCTATGACCTCATATTTGTATTAGATAGACTGGGAAGAAATGCAAGTAATTAAAAACAGTTAAATAAAGACACAGGGTGAATCTTCTTTCTTTAATATCTCTTAGTGTCTGCTTTTATACTAAATAGAGTTTTTGTAAAGTAACGGATTCTCAAAAATGCTTCTAAATCAAGGTGTTCCCAGCAGTTGTACAAGAAAAGCACTGAAAATATACAAAACCCCTGAGCTATTATATTTTGACAATGTAGTTCTTCTGATGGTAATCCAGCTCCTGTATTAATTCTTCATATAGTTAATAAATATCTACATAGTCTTCCTATGTGCCAAAATTGTTATAAGAATTTTATAAATAATGTATTTAATACTGAAAATAATATTGACTATGTAGGGAGCATCACCTTTTCCATTTTACACATGAGGAGTCTGGGGCACAGAGAGGTTAGGTACCTTAAGTCCACAGCCATACAGCAAGTCAGTTACCTGAGATTCAAACCCAGGCACTCTAATGGCAGACTCCTTGCCCTTAACCTCTCCACTGTGTTTTGGATTTATTATCTAACTTTATCTTACAACAAACTTACAAGAAAATATAATTATTCTATATTTAACAGCTGAGAAAAGTGGCACTTAGAAAAGTTAGGTGACTTTCTCAAGGTCATGCTAAGTGGCTGGGCAAATATTCAAATCTGGATCTTTCTGTAAGTGTGTATTATTGGCACTTAACACTAGACTAAGTGTCAGAAGCGGAGAGTAAAAATGTTACATGTTTCATCACTCAAAAATGCTAAATAAATATGACAAATGGTATAAAAATGGAACTTTTAGTCATGGGAAAGAAAATAGTTAAATTATCATAATAATAAAAGTAATTAAACATTTAATGATATTATAAGCATGGATTTATAGGATATTGGTAGTTACTAAGCTCAAGAATTTTACAATCTGAATAAGTTTATTACATTTGAAAGGCACTTTTAAAACATGGGATAAAAATACATATGTCTTATGAATATTTCCAAAAATAACTCATGTTCATTGGGAAAAAATAGGCTTCACAGACAAGTGAAAAAAGAAAGGAAGGAAAGGAGGGAAAGTGAGAAGAAAGAAGAAAACTATATTTAGGAAGGATTTGAGGGTTTGTTTGATGTAATTCTTTGACACTTACATATATGCACACATGCACAGATAAATATATTTGTATACAAACAGGATCATTCTAGTATATTTTTTAGTTACCTCCTTTTCTAACTAAAATCATATTGAGAGCATTTTCTATAGCAATAAACATGATGCAAACCCTTATTTTTTTATAGTTACATTATATACTAATGTTAGATTGTACTCTTATTCGTGTAATTTTCTCCTATTATTTAATGATTGGGCTGTGTATTAGTTTGCCAGGGCTACCATAACAAAATACCATCAACCAGGTGGCTTAAGCGACATAAATTTATCTTCTCACAGTTCTAGGGGCTTGAAGTGCAAGCCAAAGTGTTGGAAGGTTTAGATTCCCCTGATGTCTTTCTCCTTGCCTTTCAGACAGCAGCTACCTTCTTGCTGTGTCCTCACATGGCCTTTTCTCTGTGGTGCACAATCTGGGTGTCCCTTTCTCTTGTTATAAGGACACATGTCGTATTGGATTAGGACTCAACCCTTATGACCTCATTTAACCTTAATTAGCTCCCTAAAGGGCCTATCTCCAAATGCAGTCACATTGAAGATTAGGGCTTCAACATATGAATTTGGGGGTAAAGGGACATAATTTAGTCCATAACAGGTTGTTTCCCAATTTCTGTTGGTATAGATCATTTGATGATAAATTATAAAGTGATTTTTATTCAATTATTTCCCAATGATATAATCCTAACAGTGTGATGTGATTGCTAGGTCAAAGGGTGTGTCATTTTAAGGCTTTTGATATGAATTGACAAGTTCATATCAAAAATCTTCTGGAAAGTTTTTTCCCTTTAAACTTCTGCCAGGAGAGTTTGAGAATGAAAACACAAGCATTCTAAGGAACAATATACATGTGGTGTAGAATTCTCTAACCCGGAGCTAAATCTTTGGTCAAGCCATCACCTCTTGACTGCCTATGACAAAGGGTGAGTAGCCTGAGACTACTCCAGTTCCAAACACCAGACCACAGGCAGCCAGTTTGTTCACTCCTGAGTTCCATATGAATTTTGGGGGAGTAGAGGAGAAATTGGTAAGGGGTGAAGAGTTAGAATAGCCTGGATAGATGAGTTCAGACTGTTCAGACAGTCTTTGTTTTCTATATTCTAAATTACCCCCTTTCAGTTCTTCACATGGCATTAATGGATAGATAAAACTCCCAGTTCATCCCATTGACAAAGAGAAACACAGACAGAAGACAGGGAACGTTCTGGTTCATTTGGGGGCAGCTATAGGCTGTCTTTTTCTTCTGGCTACACGCACACTGTTGAAGGAGAGCCTTTTCCTACTCAGCATTCTTTTCATAAATAACTCTGTTCTGCTGTCTCTTGTTGGGGTCAGGTTACTACAGGCTTTCGAATATCCTAGATGCATTGCAGGAAATTAAATATGGAATCATTGCTTCTTCTTCTTTGCATTTTGTCTCTGGAGACTGGTACTTCCACAATTGGGTAAATATTTTAATTTAGAGGTGGAGAGGAATCTGAAACTGAAATATAGAGAAGGTAGGTTCTTTCACCCAGGTAATGGAGAGGGCTTAACAATAGTTCCTGGTAAACAGGAGTAGTTTAATGAATTAGGCACTTTGAGCTTTAATGTAGTTTTATCTTCGGGAAGATACCAAGAGAAGAATGAAAACTTGGCATGAACAGGGAAGGCCATTTAAAAGCAAATAATCAAGAGTTGGTTATATTTGATGTTTGCTACCACAAAAATTTACCTCAATTATGTTAAACCAAGCAAGAATAGACAAAATTAAATAACGTTGTAAATGAGCTGCCACATTAAAGTCACCTAAGGATCACCCAGCCAGACACCATGGGGGAATGGAAAATACTTAGAGACCAAGAGACAGATAGCTCTGTGAGTAACCAGCTGCATAGCTTCAGGAAAATACACAATCTCTCTGTTTCATTCTCCTCTCATGATATATGAAGGTATTAATACCAACTTAACAGAGTAATTGTCAGGCTTAAATGAGAGAATACACAAAACACCTAGCATAGTACATGGCACACAGAATTTGTTCCTCAAACAGAGGTGTCCTTGCACTTCTGGGAGCAGAAGGAGGATTGCAGATATTTCAAGGGCCTTTCAATCTTGATGTGGAATCTCGATGTTCCAATGAGAACATGTGAAACAAGGAGAACAATTATGCACTGAACAGTACCATAGTGACCACAAGTATGACAGGAATTCAGACAAGGGAGGTCTGAATGTGCTGGGCTACTCTGCCAGTGAAAGATTCGTCTAAATGTTGGGTCATAGATACTAGGGTTCCAGGAAAAGCAACATTAAAGAAGCAAATTGTGCAAAGAGGATATTGAAAATGGGCGGGGTGGGGTGGGATGCTGGAGCAAAGACACAAAAAATGGTAGGGATATTGAGTTAAGTAAAAGAGATTTAAAAAGCTTTTCAAGTGATCCATAATCTATAGAAAGAGCAATTCGGCTAGGGGCAGTGGCTCACGACCCTGTAATCCCAGCAATTTGGGAGGCCAAGGCGAGAGGATCACAAGGTCAACAGATCAAGACCATCCTAGCCAACATGGTGAAACCCTGTCTCTACTAAAACTGCAAAAATTAGCTGGGCATGGTGGCACACACCTGTAGTCTCAGCTATTCAGGAGGCTGAGGCAGGAGAATTGCTTGAACCCAGGAGGCAGAGGTTGCAGTGAGCCAAGATCATGCCACTGCACTCCAGGCTGGTGACAGAGTGAGACTCTGTCTAAAAGGGAAAGAAAGAAAGAAAGAAAGAAAGAAAGAAAGAGAGAGAGAGAGAGAGAGAGAGAGGGAGAGAGAGAGAGAGAGAGGGGGAGAGAGAGAGAGAGAGAGAGGGAGAGAGAGAGAGAGAGAGAAAGGGAGACAGAGAGAGAGAGAAAGAAAGAAAGAGAGAAGAGAGAAGGAAGGAAGGAAGGAAAGAAAGAAAGAAAAAAGCAATTCATGCTCATAATAGATACATTAAAAAAAATAATTGGAATGACCAAGGAGGATTACGGTATGAGCATGTACTGAATAAATACTAATAGATGAAAATAATGGTTTATCACAATTCATTTTGGAAATAAGAAAAAGATCTGGGAATATAAACCAATTGGTCACACACTTTCCAAAAAAGAAATGACCCCAGTATTAATTTGTATAATGATTAGTAGATAGGACATGAAGAAAGCTCTTTTTTCCAACTGATGGTGATGATGTAATTACTTTGGTCCACTTGACGTGACACCATGGCTTTCCCTTCAGTATCATTACAGTTTTAATCACAGCAGGACAGCCCTGCTGGTCTTCACTTGGCTTGTCTAAATCCTAGGGTTTTCATTTCCTGCATATCTTTATAGTGAATTCCTTTAATTCACTCATATTAAAATAAAAAAGACCAAGAGAACAAAGGAATCACTTGCTTTAAAGGTGGAAAAAATATGAGGCTCACTTTCCCCTACCTAATATCCATCAGGGACTTCCTAATGTTCAGGTAAAGACAACTTCTTGAAATTCTTTTTGGTTTGTCCCTTTTCACATTAACCAAGTAGTATGTGTTCATTGGCAAAATCTTGGGAAATGCAAGTCAACAAAAAGAAAAAAAAATTCACCTGTAATTCTACCACCTGAACACTTTTTATATTTTTATATTTCCTTCAGGTCTTTTTTTCTATGCACATACAAACAAATTTTAATAGACACAGTGTTTTCAAATCTACATTTTCATTGAATATATTCTAAACATCTTTGAGTTCATTGCCATTTTTTAATCTGTGATACTTGTTTAAACATTTATAACATGTCCATCTTGTGATACTCTTTATATCTTCATTACATTCCAACCAGTCAAGGCAATTTTATGCAGTTTTATACTTTGTAGCTAGATATTAAAAACTTAGAGGTTAAATGACTATGCATTTTTAAGGCATCTGCTATTCCCTCACCCAACCTTGGGTTATGATCTACTCCTTAGGGTTGTGTTTCCCCCCATCTTTTCTCCTTCTCCCTCTCGGCCTCACTTCCCTCAAAGAGACACTGTAGGCCAATGGGAGAATAAGTGAAGTCCATAAATAATTGTAATCACTACCACTGGCAAATAAAAAGACTTTGGATTCAGAAGAGGATTTCTTCAATCAGCTTGCAAACATGCCTACATATCTGAAGGCAAAGGAATTAAGAGACTTTTCTGTAGAATTTTTTTTTGCTTGTTTTCCTTTTGAAAGGAGGAAAAAAATAAGTGATGTTTTTTATCTCTCTCTTTTAACAATTAACAAAACAAAAATCCAGAATGGACAGGATGCATGCTTATGTCATACAATCAGCTGGTAGCTGAACAAATATTAAACTCTGACTTCTGATTCCCAAATTTGTGCCTTTCCACTGTGTCACATTGCTTTACTCTAAACAAATCAGAGCTGGGATAAGTGAACTTGGTACCAAAATAACAACTGTGGGAAAAGAACACTTGTCAAGTCAAGGGATTCTCTGTTTATGAGATATTCTTCTGACTCCATATACAACAGCAGTACATGCCCTGAGAGATGGGAGAGAAGGAAAAAGATAATCTTTTATTTTTTTTCATTTGATTTTTCCTTCTAAGGAGAGCTATATTCATACTTTGATTAAAATATCACACATATGGGTAAGCTGGCTTCCAACATGGCCTCTAAAAAGGGAAAGCTAGACAGTGGCTTCCTGAATGTGCAAGTGCAAATATTTTGCAGAGCAGAGAATGCTCTTACCTTGGGGGTCCACTTAACACAGATTCATAATGCTGAGTGGAAAGTGGCCGTAATATAAACTGATAAAAGCCCTTAAATAAACCAAAAACCTCTCAATGAGATCGGCCAGTCAATCACTCATTTTCTGCTTGCACATTGGCCTTAAGGATGCAGTATCTGGGCTGCAGCAGAGAAAACAGTAGTCAATTCCTTTATGCATTGGATTGAATAGTTAGCCTGGCAGCATACCACATTATATGCACTGTTTGATGTACAGCTTGAATTTAATGACCTGTTGGCTAAACTGAATGGCAACATTGTGTGTGCACACGCGTGCACGCACACACACATATACACAGAGTGAAAGAGAAAAATGACAATAAGCTGATATTGCCTTATTACCTTGAGAAGCATTTACTATGACAAAGAACTGACGGAAAATGTGATGGACAGTCACAAAGTCATAAACACATTGGCTTATAGCTGGATGAGTCCTTGTAGAGAATCCATCTCAACACTTCCTTTTCACTTAAAGGAAAATAAACAGTTTAAGGGATTTGCAATAGTTGTACAGGTTTCTGGCTCAGTGGCATTTGACTACACACCAAGAGAGAATTTACAGATTACTTAATACCAAGGTTGGAGTACTGATAATCATAGCTCAAAGAAGAAAAATCCAAAGTGAAGGCAGGCAAATCAGAATCAATACTCTCATTAAGTACTCAGTGACCTTTTTCCCTCCAGGTTTATATTTTTCTCACTTTCTGGGTTGATTTTTATGTATTAAATACAGAAAAAATAATAATGAAAGAGTCCCTTGACTGTAACTGAAATCAATGTATCTAATGTGTTTTCCAATATTTCTCATGCATATGCCCTCATTAGATTCACATGCAAGAAACGGTTCAAATTGGAAAAAAATCTTTAAAAAGCCATTCATAATTTTCCTCGTAGGATTTAATAGTCATTTCTTACTTCAGTCTTATACTCTGTTTTCTAATAGTTACTAAGTGATGAAGTTTCAAGCATGCTGAAATTGAGCACAGCAAACCATTCAGTCTGCAAAGTGATCTGTTTGTGTTGTTTTGTTTGCTTTATTTTAAAAATCCATTTTCTTGCATTACTCCCTGAATCATGGCCATTCATGGCTTGATTCCATGTAACTAACATTCTTTTTTAACTTTAAGGCAAGACAGGTTACAAAACCCCTACAC
Organism: Homo sapiens; assembly: GCF_000001405.40. Classification (NCBI taxonomy): domain Eukaryota; kingdom Metazoa; phylum Chordata; class Mammalia; order Primates; family Hominidae; genus Homo; species Homo sapiens. Next base: position 147,768,071 of record NC_000005.10, read on the forward strand.
ACACACACACTTTCAGGTTTGTAAACTCAATTTTCATGCATTTACTGTTTTTCTTCATTCATGTGCCTTGATTGATGTTCTTAAGTTTTCTTGTATAGATTTTTACATATTTGATACTCAATTTGTAAATGTTCTTATGTTCTGATAAAGGCCTCTGGGTCTCTCAGCAAAATTTTAGTGCCTCAAGGCTTACAGCTTACCGTGCTTTTAGGATTAAGTTTTATTCATCTTTGTAGGTTCCCTACTCACTACTTACTCCCCTACACATACGCCTAACTTAGAAGAACCCATCGTAGCTGTTAGAATTATTTCTAAACTTAATTCTTCATTGTATTACAATCAAGACCACAAATTTCACAAATACCTTTTTGCATTCAGCTTAAAATATATTTTTCAGTTCTGTTCCCATTCAAAATGTTCAAATATGCCTCTAGTTCCTAATTGAACAGGTTTATTAGGTGACATCATTTTAAAAAACAGATACTCTTTGGTAGTAATTTACATAAAAATAAGTCATGTGAGTTATTTTAACATTCATTACTGAGATGGGTTTGGTCAGACAGTATTAAAATATACTATCTAATGGACAGCATTACAATGCGTAATAAACAGCATCAGGAAGTAGGCACTATAAAATAATTCACACTCTGCTTTTACTTCCCCAATAAAGAACAAATATGATTTCGCTTAAATAAGACTTTATATCTTTATGGCAAATGTTAAAGTATTAAAATTTTGTTTGAGGCCTGGTCCTTTTGTGGCTGAATGGGAGACACATACTGTCACAATGTTTGTAATGTTTTATTGTTAACTTTTTTGTTTATAGACTTGTCTTCCTACATAAGCCTTTTGAGAATAGGATCCTGATCTTTATCCCATACACCTAGTATGAAAACAAGCATGAAGAAGCCATTTGGCTAACCATTTATTAGCTGGTTGAATTTGGGCATGTTCCTTAACATTTCTCTGTCTTAGTTTCCTCAAATACAGAAGTTAAAGGGGAGTAGAGTAGTTCCTGCCTCAATGATATCACGGTTGTCAAATGATCAGAACTCCGCCTGGCACACAGCAGGTGCTCATTCAGTACTCCTCCTTTGTACAACTCAGGGAGGTGCCACTCACACAGTCCTCCCCGGAGTTGTGCCCCTCTGGAACCCACCCTCAAAGTGTGAGATGTCATAATCATCTTCCTCATCATCATGATTATTAGGCCCAAGAAGAGAAAGATTTCATTTCATCTAAACTACGGAGAGGGCGGCAAAAGTGTAAGCAGATCCTTCATGATAAGGATGACTGTGCCTACCTCCTAAAGGGAAAAAGCTCAGAATTCTGCAGAATGTGTATGGATTTTTGTCCTGTCATGTAATAATCCTTGTTAGAGCTTTTCAATAAAAATGGATTATGACTGAGCCACATAGTATTAAACTTGGATTTTTGTCTTATTACCATGTATTCTAATAATTACTATGAACTAAACCCACTATAGACTAATGAAAATAGGATGCTGAATATCCCAGTGACAATTGAAATTTTTAGTTTTTAAAGAAATTAGGTATACAGAATGTCAATTGCATTAATTATATCATTGGGTTTCAAACTATTTTGAGACAAGATCTTTTTTTTTTTTTTTTCAAAATATTAGGACATCAATGGGTATTTTGTGTAGAGCGCCTGGATCCTATCCTCCTTGCCTTTTCCTTCTGTCTAGGGCTCAGCAGAAACACTGTGTTTGTCTCTGTAAACCAGATGGAACTGCTGACCCAGGTGGAGCAAAACTGGATAGTCAAATATTTGGGTTTGTAGATGATTTAAACATTTTGATATCAACATCTTTCCTTAAAAATATTTACCACATTTTGTTAAAGATGTAAAATGCATTTTAGTAAATCTGGAAATCAGAGAACTCAAAGAAAAATTTCTCATAAACTTACCACCTACAACGAATTCCTTTTAATATTTTCATTTGCACTATTTTGGCCCTTTAAAACGTATGTATATATGTTTGTGTAATTTTCTTTTCACAGAATTGGGATTAAATTCTATCTTTTGATTTTTGACTTTTTTTTTAACTTAGACAAATCTTACATATTTTTTCTATATCACTAAACATTTTTCTACAACATACTGTTTAAAGGGCTTCATTGCATTCCACATTTGGGATAGGTCACAATTAACTTATCATATATATGTGATCCATATATCTGTATATTTGACTATCTACAGTGACTCCAAAGGACTTCTGAAAAATTGCTCCACCTGGGTCAGAGGTTCTAAATGGGTTTACATAGACAAACACAATTTCTGGTGAGCCATAGCAAAAAGGAAAAGAAAGGACAATAGGATCCAGGCTGTCTACACAAAATACCCGTTGGGTGTACAGACAGACAACCAAATCAAAATTTCAGTCTCTCATCCAAACCTATTCTTGTTATAATTCCTATTTACTGTAAACAAAAAATTTAAACAAAAAAGCCTCGAGTTGCGTGAATTTACACCACGTAAATGATAAGACCACAGAAACTATATTGTTCATAGCGTTAAATTCTGAAATATGTACTGCCCAGTCTATTTTGCAGTTGGGGATTTATCCAGAGGTGAAATTCCTGTGAAACTGCTCTCTGGATCTGGAGGAAAAGAAAATGTTTACAGTTTAAAGAACTGTCAAAAATACAGAACAAAATTTTTGTCTTTCTTATTTATTGCTTGAAAAAAGTAGGAAGGAAAACTAGATAATTTTCTTTTTAAAAATATATTTAATGCCTATTTACATTTTTGTTTTAAAAAGTGAATCCTGGATTACACTGTAGAAATACACAGAACTCACACAAAATCTCTTAATAGTTATTTAAACACAAAATCTCTGAATGGTTTATTTTAGGACTGGGATTCATTCTCCCCTTATTTTCTTTTTTTCACTGAGGAAAGTGTGTTTATGTGGGCTTTGTTCTTGAATGTAGATTTAAGCAGAGCGTTGCTGTCCTTTTTAGCAAGAATTGTGTCTTGATGAATATGTAACAATAACATTCAAATATATTTGCCTTTTTCTTCATTTACTTTAATTTTCAGAATCACAATCATGTTTTCATTAAAAGGGGAAAGTAGTTTAGCTTATTTGTTAAGAGCAACTTTGCAGTCAGACAGAATTAAGGTCAGAATCTCGTTCCATCAGTCATTAGTTGGATGATCTAGAGTAAGTATTAAGTTGCTTGACCTCAATATGCCTTAGTTTAATTATGAATAAAATAAGAATAGAATCACTTTTTTCAAAGTGTGATGGTAAAAGGTATGCAACAAATTTAGTGCAATGCTAGTATCTAGTAAGAGTAGTAAAGCAAAATAAAAACCAACATAAAACAAAAACTAGCATTAATATCAAATATGTTTTGAAAGAAACCCTTAGATATATTTTAACCTGGATTTAGTCCAAAAAGTAAACTGACACATCTCAATAGTTCCTATTTGCTAATATAAACATTATTATATTTGATTCATCAAATGAAAGATACCTGTTGAGAAGAAAGGGAGGATTAAATACTGATTCAAAGCATTCTCATCACCGTATGCATTCATAGTTTAGGGCCATTAGTTACAAGCCACAGAGATCAGTTCACACAAATAAAGACTTGGACAGGGAACTGTAGTGCTACTTATGTTTCTCCTGTAATTGTTACATGCATTAATATTCCATTTATATTTGGCCCTTTATCCTTTTAAAAACAAAAGTTCCTTTTGGACAGGGACCAGGGCTAACAATTGGAAGCCTATAAATATTTTCTATTTTGAGGGTCTTCAGTGAAGCTTTTGTGGTATTGCTGCTGCTGATAATAATATACTTGCAGGAACTATCTATTCATATTCTTCCCCCTACCACCAAAAAGAAAAATCTCTTGGTTTATTTTGCTGTTTCCACATACAGGAACCATAGATTTGCTGGCACAAATTACATGTGAATGGAAAGATCTGATGAGGATAATTAAATGACCTAAGATATACATATTAATATATAATATCTGCCCTGTCTTTATTCTTGTGAGAATGTGAAGTATTAAAAGTTTTTTTATAACTTGAAAAATAAAGTATTAAACATATGTAAATTGTGAAAAAAACGCCTTAGTCTACTAATTATGAAAGACGTAAATAATTGCTGGGACATAAGGGAAACATTTGAAGCTGCAAATCATACTGTTGAAATGTCATTGGGATTGCCCACAAACCAGATCTAAAGCATTAAATTTCATACAGATAATTCATTTTTAGCAAATGTTTGTCTGCAGGATTATTTCCTGTATTCATGATTTTCAGCTTCTATATGAATGAAAACTGAATGTGTAACTGAAGAACAATAAATATCAATTATGAGGGGGTGGTGGGGGGCAGGCTAGGGATTTGAAGTAGCACAATACCCATCCAGAATACCCACAGTTCAACTCCAGATGCCATGAAGAAAGGTGGCCCTGGTGTTGCCAGATTTTCTTTTTTTTTTTTCCTAAGAGGAGAAGATATTTTAATATCTCCTGAAATGTCAAAATTATAAAATTTGGATAAAAGTGTGTTTTAAAAAATATTGTGTTAGGAGCATATATTGCTTTGTACTAACATTTCACTCAGGTTTACAAACACTTTTCTTGAGCTGGGTCCAGTCCACAAGGCTCCAGTTTGTAACCACTGTGCTACATAATCAGACAGACTTTATTTCCATCTCAGTTAAAAAAATCGCTAATTGAATGGCTTTGGGTATAACATTTAACCTATCAAAGCTTCATCTTTATTGGCAAAATGGGAAGAAAAATGCCTACTTCACCAGCCTGCTGTGAGAACTGCAAAAACAGGCATGGATGAAAATACTCAGCGTACTAGATGCATAATAGATGCTCAAAGAATTTAGGTCTTTTTCTCATTTTCTGGATAACTTTAAAAAGGAAGTTGTTCTGTTTTGTTCCTTTCATACTTGCTATATTCAGAGCATATCAGATATCCTTGTTATTAGGAAGGTCAGCGCTAACGCATTAACTACTGGAATAAATAGTTTTACTTGAATTATAAAGAAAATTCTAAACTATGGGTCTCTCCACATCTTCTAAAGAGTAAAGATGAGTCAGCATCAACTCTGAAAAAATTTTCAAATTTACCTAGGGGGAAGTGCATCTTTGGCAAAAGTCTGCCTTGAACGAAATGCTCTTCCACTGCTTCATCGGCTACTCTCTGTCATAAGGATCCTTTCGTTGGTCAAACAGCACTTAAGCACCACAAGGCTATGATTAGTGATGGCACCACGTGAACTGAGAACTGATCAATTCTGCTTAGATTACAGTTGACTACACGGCCAAAGATCAATGTTTCAAAGCAAGAGGATTATACAAAATAAATGTAGACAGTTCATGTTTTCAAACTACACATGTTAGTGAAAGTTCAGCAAGCAAATGACCAGCGAGTGGCTAGAAATATTAATTCTTGTCTCTTTACTACATTTCAGGGGCCTCGACTAAACCATGTAGGCTTGATTTCAATAACCGTACGTAGGATGAAAGGAGAAAAACATAAAGTCACATACCATAGTTAAAAGAGATTAAACAGTATATATGTAGTCAAATCTGCCCATGTAAGAGTGTTAGTATGAATCAGGCATGTTTAAGTGTGCATTTGGATACTGGACTCTTAAACCTGTAGAGAGCAAAAACCCAAAGGTCACACTCAGATGCAACAATCGATTTCCCTTGTCGTAGGCTAATATTTTCCTTTCTCTTGTTTCAGAGTGTGGCATTGCACCCTGTAGGTCAAAAATGTGGACAATCTGGCTAAGAAGAGAGCAAGACAGGTAAAGCATTCCTTCTATGTGAAATTGATTGGGGGAAGGCATTCCTTTCTACTTCATTTTTAAAAAGCTGAGACTTATTTTTCATTATTGCTAAACATTTTAAGCATCTGGCTCAAAATACTCTGTATTCTAAATTTTATAGATGATTTTATTTAATGAAGTCCTTTAAAAAGAAGTCAAAATTCAAATGTTTTCCATAATATAGCTAAAAATAATATATTCTCTAAAATACAAAACCTGTTTTATAGTTAATTAACTACAACTTAAATTACTCCTTAAAAGACAACAGGAAACAGAGACTGACCCAGTGGTCAAAATAATTCCTTCCTTTGGGTTTAGGAAACTAGAACTGAGAAGATGATGGAGAAACCCCTGTAATTCCAGAGTACCCATTTTCATAATCTGAATTACCTAGCAAATCCATAAGAAAGCAAGTTGAGGGCCTATAATATCTTCAAAACATCTAAGTCCTTCTCTCTCTGTTGCCAATGTCAATTAGCAGAATTAGCAGCTTGTGAATTCTCAGCATGGATTTTTTAATATAAATTCTCCAAATTGGTTATCATCATATAAAAATTTGTTGACTGTTTTGCTCTTCATTTAATGGCTTATTGGTAGAATGAGACAATAGCCTAGATTTTACAGAATGGTACTTATTTAAAATATTGTCAAGTTGTTTTCATGAGTATTCTTGCACTTAAAATACCTAATAATTTCATTTTGGAAAATAGGTTCAAATTAGGTATGCTTGACCTATGAGTAGGTTAAGGGCCTTAAATATACGTCAGTGATGACTACGGAGTAAGAGCTCAGTTTATTTTTGGAATGTACCTCTCTCCATGAAGTGCTACATAAGAAAGAGCCAGGTAAGAAATGCGGGTAAAAAACAATTGCCTGGTTTTTACTGTGGTTATAAGCATTTTTCAGGGGAACATTTCCAGTTTGGAAAAGATGGCATGATGAAAATATCACCCTCTTCTCCTAAGCACATGCTCAGAGGCTTTTTTAGAGTCATAATAATCTCAGCAAATTTCCCTTCTTGAAAATAATACCGAGTGGTTTTCTGGCCACATAGTGTCAGCTAAAATTTGTCAGATTTAGTTTTCCATGCATATTCTAACTGAAACTGGACTCCAGAAATTCAAGAATTGCAGTAAGTGCCATGATCTTGATTTAGGTGCCAAACAAAGAAAGGCAACAAAGGCTTTTTCCTCATACTTAAGTTACAGCGTATCAGCAGGTTAGACACCCGTAGAAATCACTGTCCTCAGTGGTTCAAAGGCATGTCCGTGTGTCTGTCAAGCTAACCCTCTTGTACAAGTCACTCTTTTTATATTTGATTTCAAAACTCTCATGAAAGCAGGATGCTGCCTTAATTTATCTTTGGAGTGAGATGCATTTCTGATTCAACTTAATTTTTGAATGGAGATAGGATGGAATGATTTGTTTATGATTAGTGAATTTGGTAGAGTAGCTTTCTAAAATAGCACAATAGCTGTGAGTGTGTATCATATAACTTGCTGCTTATAATAATTAAATTACTAACTTATTTTAATAAATTAGTGAATTAAAAGGTATTCATTAATGATGTTACTATTTCTGACTTGCAATTCAATTTTTAAAAGAAAATAAAAAGATCCACGGAAGTGTTCATAATCTTTCTTACTTATATTGTAGCATGTAGTGAGCAGTCTTTAATGATGGATTGTTAAGTGTTATGATATATTACCTTTAAGAATATGATTTTGCCTTATCAAAATCATAACATCCTGAGGATGTGAATGCAATTCATTTTGTTTTTACAGTCAAATTAAAAGAATGAGAATCACAGTTGAAAGAGCTACTAGTTGAAGTCTTCTACAGTCTTAGGCCAGGAGCCCTTTAGGGGACTCTCATTCTTTCATTCATTCAGCCACTCAGTCAAACAGTCTTTATTGAGTATGCATTTTGTACCAAGGCATTCGTTACAATTGGTGAACAACACAGTTTCATTTTCTGCCCTCATGGAGCTTACATTCTAGTGAAGAGTAGGGAAAGCAAATAAATAGCTCTGTAATTACAACTTTTGATACGTATTATGAAGGAAACACACAGGTTGCAGAGAGTAAAACGGGATATATACCTAGGGAATTTTCTCCAAGGTATTATGTTTAAAGCTCAAAGTTTAAGAAGAGTCAACCATTCATATTTAAAAAAGAGGAAAGAGTCAGATGACTGGGGTTTTATTTGAAAACTATGATATACATGAATTCATTATGAAATAATGAATATAGTGAAAAAAATAGCAAAACTACATCTTGGTGATATGGTTTGGCTGTGTTCCCACCCAAATCTCATCCTGAATTGTAGTTCCCATAATCCCCACATGTCGTGGGAGGGACCCAGAGGGAGGTAATTGGACCTTGGGGGTGGCTTTCCCCATTCTATTGTCATGGTATTGAGTAAGTTCTCACGAGAGCTGATGGTTTTATAAGGGGCTTCCCCCTTCACTCAGCTCTCATTCTTTTCCCTCCTGCCACCATGTGAAGAAGGACATGCTTGCTTTCTCTTCTGCCATGATTGTAAGTTTCCTGAGGCCTCCCCAGCCCTGCAGAACAGTAAGTCAATTAAACCTCTTTCCTTTATACATTACCCGGTCTTGGGTATGTCCTTATAGTAGTGTGAGAACGGACTAATACACTTGGTTTATTCTGAGAAGTCGTTTAAATATCTTCCCATAATGGATTTGAGTTGCTTAACCAAGGTTAAAACTACAGGACAGGCTGGGCATGGTGGCTCATGCCTGTAATCCCAGCACTTTGGGAGGTCCAGGCAGGCAGATCACTTGAGGTCAGGAGTTTAAGACCAGCCTTACCAACATGGTAAAACCTCGTCTCTACTAAAAATACAAAAATTTGCCAGGCACGGTGGTGAGCACCTGTAGTTCCAGCTACTCAGGAGACTAAGGCACAAGAATCACTTGAATCCAGCAGGGGGAGGTTGCAGTGAGCCAAGACCATGCCACTGCATTCCAGCCAGGGCAACAGAGTGAGACCCTATCTCAAAAATCATAATAATAATAAATTAAAAATTAAAAAATAAAACTACACGACATACCACTACAACACTGGGGAAAACTAACATGAATCTGAAACAGATGTGTTTTTGTTTTTGTTTTCTAATTGTTGCTGATATATGCACCTGGTGAAACTCCTAGTGACTCAAACAGGGATTTCACTGCCTTGGATTCAGACCTCATTCATTATCAGCAGACAAAGAATGACCAAGGTTAATTTAATACCCATTGTAAGATGCAGTGGCAGGTCAGGTTAACAGAGTTCATATTTCCTGAATATAATGCCTGACTCACGACTGCTTTAAATCAAGCAGGATCTATCTGTATCATAAGAAGTATTTAAAAGTAAAGTGTGAACACTCTCAAGTGGGGGAAAAACAGCTTGAATCGTCAAGAAAAATGCATGCGGAAATTTAAAATTCAGTAGAGACACATTTGTTGACACGGATAGATGGCCACTATACATAAAGCAGAAGCAATATAAAACAATGCATACAGTATGGTCCATGTATGAAACTGTGTCTGCATGTGTCTCTATGTGCATATACAAAAAGATCTAAAAGGAAATATTCCAAAATGCTAACAGTAATGATTTCTTGATGGTAGGCTTATGAGCGGTTCTCATCTTCCTTTTACACATTTCTGTATTATCATTTTTCCATAATGAGGATGTGTTATTTTTAAATATAAAAAAAACTTTAAGCAACAAAATTTACTTGTAGTAATGAATAATGATTTAAAGAATAATTTTTTTAGTGTGACAGGTCCCATTTTTACTGCAAGCTAATTAATTATAAAGGACACTTTTTCCAAATGTAGAATACAGTTCAGACGCCATGATTTTCTATTTGGCCAGGGCTGAATTACCCAATACTTACACCAGTATGTGCCTAGGGCATTAATAAAGAAAAAGAGACACCAGAAAATTAGAATATTTGAAAAACAAATAAATATTTTTGATAGTTCAGAAAAATGTAGGAGAATTTGTTCAGAGAAAATATCAGAAAGTCGTTGAACTGATGCACACTTATTTTATGACAATATCATTTTTACTTTTAAGAATGTGTAGGTGGAGAGATAATTAGGACATATAGGTAGGAGGTGGCATAACTTTTTTCAAGATTCAGGACCTACAGGAATTTTAATCAGATCCTAAACACGGAAAAAAATGGTCACCTCCCAACCTCTATGTCATTAAAAACAAAAACAATATTTATCTATAAAATAAGTGCATATTAGCCCAACAAAGTTCTGATTTTCACCCAAACAAATGCTTCTACGTTTTTCTGATATATCAAGAAGCCTAGATTTTCTCTAAAATGCTTTTTGTGTGTGTGAGCCTTTTTTTGTTTTGTTTTGCTTTGTTTTTGTTTTTTGTTTTTTTGCCTGATACCCTAAGCACATAGTTAGTGTATTTGGCAATTAAATATGGCCAAAGAACAAATTTTGGTACCTGAAATATTCAAATAAAATGAGCCACACAACACAGATTAGTAAATTGAATTAAAATTATCTTACCAATTAAAATTCAAATTGGTAAGATAATTTGCTACCTTTCTACTGTTGTAGTTTGTGCTCATGAGACTAGGGATCCAGCCTGTTACACCACTCACCAAACACAAATTTGGACAAGTCTAACCTCCCTGAATCTGTTTCCACTTATTTTAAATAATTATTACGACACTAGCTTTGCTGATAATGATAGAATTGAAATGATAGAATATAAACTGAAATTGATAGAATATAAAATGAAAAAGAATGGAAAAATGACAGAATCATAAAAACTTGTAATAATATAAGGTGAAGTGATGGTACTAATTACAACTATATTGTTTTCAACATTAACTGTTTCATGGATGTATATCTTATATTCTCCAAGGAAATTCTTTCTTGCTAGCATACGCAAATGCTGCTAGTCATATAAAACCTCTACAAATAGTTGTTAGTCAATTTATTAATTTATCCTGCTTGAAAGCACATTTTCCCTTGATAGAATAATAGTGGAATGTGTAAACAGGGAATTGCAACACACTTCACAGAGTAACAACCAAGTATAAACCTAATTTATGTCTTTCAGTAAAAGACCATCATTGCGTTATTTATGTTAAAACTTCCACAGTAAGCTCCAACCATGAGAAACAAAGCATTGACTTTTCATGAACCAAAAAGAAATGTAGAAAACTGTTAGACTCTCCAAATATTGCCTAAGTCATCCTGAAGCGGACTTGTAGCAGGCACATAAAATCAAAATATGTTCTGATGTCACTTGAAATAAGAAACATCCTATTACAAAGTGAGAAATTAATTAGTGTGTCTTAATTAAAACAAGTTTTACTAAAGACTTACATACCAATCAAAATATTTAACTTTAATATTCTAACATGAATGACATTTTTAAGATAGCATTTGAGTGGAAGATTAGTTTGTTAAACAGCACATTTAAACATTAATTTGTATATACCTTTCATATAATTTGTTTTTTTAAAAAAAACAACTTGATGGCCCTTGAATTACTTTGTACAAAGACCCCATTAAATAACACAGTACATTTTTCAAAATTAACTATACAATATGAAATAATTTTAATATAGGTATTTGACATCATACTCCATAAAGCTGCTGAGAAAGAAGGGCTCTTATGAACAGGTAAATGTTCAGTTTCCTGAATTCTGGCAGGATTACATGTAAATTTCTCTAAGAAGATGATCAGCTGATTTCTTTACAAATACCTAGAACCTGTAATTTAGAAGTCAACTACAAAATGGAGTCTTACTGTTATAACCTAGAAGTGTCTTATCTTAAACAACTAATGTACTCTCTCAAATAAATGACTCACTCTAGAAAAAGCAAGAGAAGTTCTTGAGAAGGAAATCTAGTACATCCTAGACAAATGCATATCTAGGTCATACTTTTGGAGGTTTTGATGAGAGAAGAATTCATTGCTTTATCTGATTAGCCAGTTGACTACTCACACTTACTATGAGGAACTTCTACATTTGCATATTTCTCATCTTCATAATTCCTCATAAAGTTGAAGCCCATTGACTACATTTGAGGTTCCAAAAAATAGCAATAAGCAATGTCCTGTGCTTATGCCCCATGCTTAGCTTATCTGAAACAAACGATTGCCATATTTCATTTTTCTCTTCTCTAAATGAAATGATCCTAGCTTTTAAAAATCTTTCCTCAGAGAGTTCAACTTCTAGTGCTTGAAACACACTTCACTTTTCTATGGCCCCTTAGCAAAGGCCATATAATTGTCTTAAATAGTGGGGTCAAAAGCTAGACCTGTATTTCTATCAGGGTAATAGCTGACACATAGCTGAAACAGGCTATCTACAAGGAGTTTTAAGCACATGGCCTAAGGGATTTGCCTCTGTTCAAACTGTACCAACTTTGCCTATAAAACCACCTCCAAATGAAAACTCAAAAAAAAGAAACAAAAACAAAGCCCCAGGATATCTGCTTTCATTGCATGAAATGGGGTCAACTAGTACAAATCTTAATTTTTTAAGTGTGCTATAGGCATATCTAACATTTTAATTTTTGGAAGTCAAGTGTTATCACTAAAAGATTCAGGATGCAATGTGTTATACAATTTGTTATAACATACAAGCCCAGTACCTCTTTCCTTGCCCTACTTCATATAGTTGTTAAAATTAGGCACAAAGTAGCATGAGTTTACAAAGCTATGGATCTATAATATATAACATGCTATGAGCACATGCACAATTGAGTCACCAAGGGCCCTTCTCATGTATAAACCAAATAGAACAATTATTCTCAGCAAAATTAAACTATAAACCTGGTTCAAATACATGTGAAAATTATAAATGTGGGGGGTGTATGTAGAATCAGATGCAAGACTAAAGACCCAAACAATTGTTATTTTACATTGTAAAAAATGTCTGTACTGACAATGATATTGTTAGAGAAGAGAATAATGGATAAAACTATAATAGCCCATGTGGTAAATGTAATATTACTAATACACTTTACCTACATAATTTTTTCTGGCTTTAATTCAATGAAATCCATTATCCTGGGCGGGAATGGAACCTCCTCATCTCACGCATCTTTAGTCTCCTGAACTGCCTTAAAGCCTTGACATAATAAAAGGTCAAGCAGATCCCAGTAAGCATTTGTAAATTACAATAGACCCCCATTTCAGCTACAAGCCACACATTCTCCTGCTCGCTTTGCTCACTCTCTGGTTTCATTTCATTGTATAAGCAGACTAATTTGGAAACGGCTGGGCTAGGGTGCTTGGGAATACCTAGATTTTCAAAACAATCCTACTTTCCTACTTAATTATTTACAGAAGGAGACCCTTAATACAACATCTGAGAGAACTGTGAAATGGTTCCTGGATACTGAAGGAATGAACATCAGATAGCAGCACTATTAAATAAAATGAATACATTTCACCTTCCAGCTTAGCTGTGCTTCCTGGGACACAAGGCACAAACATGAAAAGGTTGGGGTGGCATTTCAAGAAAACTGATTTGCTTCAACATTGATTTGGTAAGATGCTAGACACAAAATAATACCACAAACCGCCTCCCATTCCCATCATTGTAAATTCAGAGTCCTCAATATCATCCCCCACAAACCCAATTAAAAATAAAGAGGCAGGCTACAAATTTGCATCTAGTTCTATGACACAGATCAAACGATAGGCATCTGTTCCAATCGGTCACAATGAAACTAAGGGACAATAACCAGAGTAAATTTCACATTAATCCAAATAAAGCCAATGAATAATAATATAAACCAGAAGCATAGTTTCAAAAACATGCAATTACTTCCAGGCATGCAAGGACATATGTAACCCATAAAAATGGTTGCAAAGCACACCCTACATATAAATATGCTTCATAAATGCAATATAAATGCTAAGTGACATGTGTATATATGATCTGTATATCCATAAGATATACATGTGTAAGTTCACAGTCAAATCTACGTATAAAATAAAACTGGGTCTTGCAAATGATTTCTCAACAAGAGTATATTAGAATATAAAATAAAATGTCAAATTCTGGGGCCACTTTTTCTAAGCAATCAATAAAATAAGCAAAACCACCTTATAATGAGTCTGGTAAGCTTATGAGACACCAAATGTATTTCTGAAGAAGGCCCAACCCTGTATGTGAGAGCTGCAAATGAAATGATTCCTTTCAATAACACCCTCTTCTTGTTGTTAGCTCTTTTTCCAACCCCTGATGCTGTTGCTAAGCTTAGGAAAAAAGGCACCAAGTGGCTCAGTCTGCATTCTGAGCCAGTTAGAGATAAAATCAGAACACCATTTTTTTTTTTTAAACACAAGAGGTTGTCTTCTCACTTCTCTCTTCCTGGCAAGCTTCCTCTCCCTCCATCCTCATCTCTGTCTCCACATCTCCCCCTTCTAGTCTGAGGCACGGGAGTCATTGTTCAAGTTCAGGCCAGAAATGTATACACAGGTCAAATAAGAACACTCTAAACCAAGAAGGGAGCCCTACTGTTTCCTACTCACCATGCTGAGACCCGGAGAAGCTGTTTAAAGGAGGGAGAGATGCAAACTGAATCCATTTTCCTTGTGACCGAGTCGGATGCAGCCTCCGAACCCAACATCAGCAGTGGCTGCCGGTTTTTTTTTTCCCTCTGTCTCTGGTTGGCGATGGTGCGAATAGGAACCACCCTTCCAGCCCCACTAGAGTATCAGCAATAGAGGCGGCGGCGGCGGCAGCAGCAGCAGCAGCAGCATCACCAGTTGGGCCTCCTCCCTCTCGGAGGATGGGGTGAGCTCGGAAGCAGCCAGGAACTTGCAGCAGACACCTCCTCTGGCTCCTCCTCTCTCTCTCCCCCTCCCCCAGTGCCCCACCCCTGCTGCGGTAGAGGCTGCTGGCCCGGCAGCTGCTGGTTGCCATGGCAATGACCAATGATAAGCGACCAAGCTCAGGGGGAGGGGAGATGGGCGAAGCAAGCTGCAGGGTCTGGAGGGGAGTGAATTTGTGCTGCTGCCCTCTAGGATGCTCTTGATGTCTCCTACCCTGAACTCCAGGTCTTTTTAAAAATGGGGCAAGGGGGGCTAGGCACGGGGAGAGAATAATTAAAATTTAATTGAAATCTAGATAGAAACATACCAACGGCTTAGCTATTTTTTGCATTTTCTGTGGTTTTCCAATAAAAAGTATGAAATTTATTATCAGAAAAATAACAACAAATGTGGAGAAAATTATGTCGCATAATAGCAGATTATTATTACTTCCAAACGTGTTCGTCCTTTATAGCATCTTTTACTCAATACCAGGCAACAAGGTTTTTAGAAAGCAAACGGAGTGGCTGGACTTTGTAATAAATTAAGAGTCTGGTTGATTCCTTTGCACTACTCCCGGCTTGTTCTCAGGTGAGTTACTTGGTTTCACTGTTTTTCCAGCTACCCTTCTGAACAGGACTTGGAGGTAATTGACACATCCCTGAGGAAAAGTAAGTTTGGATAGAGACCGAAATTCCTTTCAACAACCACTATTCTCGGTAGCACAAGTTGGTGGACAGTTCCCAATCTTTTTAGTGTCAAACTCCTGGAGCATTCAATTTCCTGCAGGCAATTCCTGTCGTTTTCATGGATGCCTTTTTGGAGTTCCGAAGTCAGTTGGCAGTCAGGGTGGTGGGCAGGAAAAGGGGGAAGTGAAATCAGCAATGTCCAGTTCTAGGCGAGTTCTGTTTCTAACTATAAATTATAGATGACACCAGTATTTATCTCGTGGAGGGGTTGTAAAGATTGAATGAGATAATGCACTAAAAGCACTTGGCATATAGTAAGTGTACAATAAATATTTACTATTAGCAGCATAGTAGTACATTGCAGCCATCTCTTAATCTAAGGGTTTAAGGGGAATAACATGGCAATTTCAGGTAGGAGAAAAAATTAAGATGAGAAAATCCAAAGTACGTAATAACCATGATGATGATGGCAAAGACAGAGAGGCCCTAAGAGATTAAGTGTTCTCTACATCTTGATATTTGAGGACATTGTAAATCTCAGAGGAGTTAGATACATTTCCCAAATTCACAACTGATAAACGACAGAACCGGAATCAAAATGGACTCTTCTAACACTTACATTTGCTCTCCTAACCACCACACTTTTCTGCCACTCCTCCATAAAATGGAAATAATCTTTGTTCTTAATCCACAGAGTTATTTACAGGTTCAAATGGGTTTAACACAAGTTCCAGAGTCAGACGATCTAGGCTCCATTCCTAGCGCCAGTATTTACTATAGGTATAATCTGGAACATATTTATTAACTTCCTCAAATCTATGTTTCTTCATCTGTAAAAAGAAATAATCACAGAACCTCATGAGTCATTACAAAAATTAAACTAGATGACGTGTGTAAAATGTACGGTCTTTAGCAGATAGGAAATGTTCAATAAATGTAGCTACAGTTACTTGTTACTCATTTGTAAGTAACTAATATTAAAACATGAGAAGACTTTTTCCTGCATGGTGTCACTCTTAATGTCAGGGGCTTCTTCTAATAAAACTGGCTTGAAGATAACTAGGTGATGAGGAAAGAGTTGCAGCAGTTCCCCAGCACGTGACACTGGCTTTCCATCCACTTGGTGGGAAAGCCTGCAACCTCCTTTGTGCAGCTAGTGTCCCCTGCCTTCTGTCAAAGTCTCAGCAGCCACACAACCTGCACACACTTCCAAGTCAGCATCACCTATGTGTAATGTGTAACATAAAGGAATGGGATGTGATCATCTCGCTTCTTTTTGTATTCCTGTATTTTATCTTCTGCTTTCTCTGCAGAGATGTTCTTGTAAGTAAGCAGACCAGGAAGCTGCAGGCTGTAGAAGTTATGACACACTAGATGACAGAACCCTCCACACTGTCCTCGGGACAGCATTTCATCCTTAGCGCTAGGAGCCAAATGTCTAGGGGTGGGTGATTCTAGTTTTTCCTCTCCTCCCATCAACATAAAACAGCTGGTCAAGAGTCAATTGGTAAGAGAAAAGTTTGGTGTTTCCTATCTGAAGAAGTATCCAGTTTAACCATTCAAATACAACTTACTCATTTGTTTTTGGTCACGTCCAGGCAGCACTGTTATCATTATTTAATAATAGTTTTCCCTTATTTGCTTTAATTATTTATGATTTACTTGATTTGCTATTTATTCATTTTTTAATGAAATGTTTCTCTGACTTCAGCAAAACATAAATGAAAATTGACATGGTAAAGATAATGGACCCATATGAAGGAAACGAAAACAAATTCTTAATTTTTTTAGTAAAACAAAGACTTCAACTTTATTTATAATAATTTTTAATTTAAAAAGAAACATTAAAACTCTCACCTCTCTATTACCATCCCCTCTCATACCATGTTCTATTTTTCTATATACTATATATAAAATTAATATGAATAATATACTATGGGATAATATAACATTGCTTAATGTGGCATGCTATACTATAATGTGTACTGTATTGTATATTAGTAATATACTGTATTATTCCCTATTAGAATGTAAACTACGAGAGGGTAGGGATTTTTATTTCTGTGTTTTTTTGTGAATGGTGTCTGGGCCATATTAGGTGCTCAATAAATATTTGTTGAAGAATAGACCAGTAAATAAATAAAAGAATAACTATCTGCATTGAATCATGGCTCTGTAATTTATATATATATAAAAAAATAAAATAATACATATAGTATCATTTGTTCAGATATATTGTTGATATTTCTCATAATTACTTAGATAATTATACTAATTACCTCATCTAGCACACATGCATATTAACGTAATGTTTATCTGACACAGATTTTAAAAATACACAGTTATGAAAGTAAACATGTTTGCTCACGTATGTTCGAAGTCATCTAACATGTCCTCAGTGGGTAGGCATGGTGTTCTTTGGGAAACCCTGATTTTCTTCTAAGAGCTTCTTGGCCAATAGTACTAATTATGACCAAACTGTCTGCCTCTCCTGGGACTTTTACAACTTTGACTTCTGAATTCTGTGGGATGTCTGAAAAAGTACAGGGTATGGGTCTTGGCTCCAAAAGTGGCATTAAAATTTCAGGAGATACCACAGCATAATGGGAGGAAGCTGCAAAGTGTGGGCTCTGGAGACAGACTACCTGGATTGGGTCCAGGCTTTACCATTTCTTTTCTGAGTGACCTTGGACAAGTTGCTTTATTCCTCTGTGGCTCAGTTTCTTTATCTGTGTGACATGATAGCAGTACCTACCCCACTGAATTATTGTTCTGAGGGATTTGTTTGCACCTTGAAACATCATTTATTATCTCATAGTGTTTGTGGGGCAGAAATCTGGGAGTGGCTTAGCTCAGAGCTTCTGGCTCAAAGCCTCTCATGAGGTTGTAGTTTAACAGTTGGCTGTGGTTGCCATCTCATATGAAGGCTTGGCTGAGTTAAGTGAGTCCAAACTCACTCCTAGGGTTGTTGGAAGTCTTTGGTCCCATTGAGTCGTTTTTGAAGTTTTTGTGTGCAAAATGTTAAGGAGTACCTGGCACGTAATAAATGACAAGTCATATCAATATGGTTATAAACACAATTTTATTAACTATGGTTATGCCTAGCACATTTTTCTGGATGTTTCCAAAGCACTCAGATCACTTGGGGTTATTCTACAAGCTTGCTGTTAATGGCTGCAGACCAGCTGTCAACAGATAATGAGGAATTCTGGAGACGCTTATGTCACACTTAGTCAAAAGCCTGATTTCCCCCAAAAAGGGGGCAAAAACAAAGGCATTCATAAGTGACTGTTGTTTATCCCCTGCCTCCTTTATAAAGGATTATTAATATAGTATACATTTATATTAATATAGTAATACATTTACAGAGAACATTAAATGTAAGCAGTAAGGGTCTTCTTGAGTTTGCTAAGAATAAAGGATCTCATTCTGACCTCACTGTATGTCCTTTATCAATAGTATCAGTAAGCAAATATATTAGAAGAACTCTGCTATGAACTCTACACTCTTATGGCCAATGATCTTACAGATGACTCCTTGCATAACAAGTAGACACTTCTGTGTTTGCTCAGTCCATTTCCTCTTGAGGTTCCTTTGTTGCCTCAATTCTTCAACCTTTAAAATGTATCCATCAACTCCTTCAGGGGATCTTCACTGATACCAGGGTTAGCATTGTACTGTGACACATCCTAACTACACTTAACACGGTGAATGGTAAATATTCTTTCCTTTGTCTTTCTTATTTTAGTGCAAGCCTTTGAGGTCAAGGTTAAAGTTCATCCATTCATTTAATGTTACTTAATCTAAGAAATGTTTATTGCTAGTTTCTATTGTGTGCTGTTACTAGGTACCAGAGATGTAGCTGTGAGTCAGGTAGCATGAGAACTCCCCTCATGGAGCTTATAGTCTAAGAGGAAAGAGAGATTACATAATTACTTAAAATAAATTATGTTGAGCACTACAATAGAGAAAATCAGGCAGCTCTGACAGCAGATAAAAGAAAAGTATAATGTAGTTTGGAATCCCAGGGAAGATATTACTGGAGAGATTGTGGGGTGAAATGGAAGCAGGTGATATGGAATACGCATGTAGGTCCTGATATATGAAAGAATATGGCATGCTGCTTAAATGTTGTTTAATCCTAATACCTAGCACAGAACATGGCACCCATTATGTGCCACCTACATGTTTGTCAAAATAATCTGGCTTCTCCATCTCCCAACACACGTAAACACAGAACTTCTTTCTTCCATTTTTCTTCTGTTAATTTACTAAGGGGATTAGGGCTTGTCAATAGCTATGGAGCTGACAAGCTGTATGAGATAAGAATGAATGAAAACAGGCTGAAGGATTAATTCTTCTAACAGTAGAAAAAGAGGTATGATGCTCACAGTAACTACTGCTGCATTACAGATTTATTAAGTAAGATTTACATGATAATACAAACTTTTGCTCTGAGGCTGAAATGAGAAGCAGTTTTTCCCTTTCAGGTCCTGGACAGTTGTATATTACCATGGGAGATAACACATGGGCTTAGGTTACAAAAAAATCAGGGACACCAAAGAAATGAGAAAACTTCTGTTTCAATGACCTTTTCCAAGATTTTACAATCAGAAATTCTACAAATAAAAGCCAGTTTAATTTCAGTGTATGTATAAGTTTTATTGTAACTTTAGTTTTTATTTTTAGTCATTTATGGGAAGCACCATAATTTTCATAATTTTTACAATGCTTAAGGACTCAAAATGTCTTATTACATCACTGGGAGTAGAGAACATGAGCCAGAGAGTACAATAAACACATCATTGCACAGAGAAAAAACAGACATAGCTTTTCCCCTGTGGAGCTCAGAGTCAAATGTGTGGGATAGCCAAAGAACAAAAATCAAATCACTAAAATAGTAGCAAATTTTCACAAGTACTATGAAGCAAGGAAAGAAAGGATGAAGAAGGACTGAGGGTAGGGAAAATGAGAGTGACTCACTGAGGAGTGACATTCAAACTGAGAAATGACATTTGAATTATGCCAATCACGTAAGAGCTGAGAAAAGAGAGTTTCATGTGGATGGATGAGCTCTGAAGAGAAAGTTAGGAATGAGAAATACTTTTGAAGGCTGAAATATGGGAGCAAGGGTGAAATTGGCATGAGGGGAAGTTTGGAAGGTGGGCAGGGGTCAAATCATTCAGCACCTTGTAGCCCACTGTAAGTTAATTGGAGTTTCTTAATTGCAATGAATAGCCATTGCAGAATTTAAATTTGGTTTAAAGCATTGTGGAATGAACTGGTGGTGGGTGAAAGTGGATGCAGTTAGCATGCTACAATAATCTAGGCCAGAGATGATACCTGTTAGATTAGGGTGGATATGGAGAAAATTGGACTGTTTCAAATGCATTTTAGAGGTAGAATTCTGGGGATTGCTGAGGGATTGGCTGTTAAGGTTGAGGGAGAGGGAGGTGTCAAGGATTACTTCTAAGTAGACAACTAACTTCTTTCATTTGGAAGGATACGCTGTCAAGGTTCAGTTATTACCTTCTGTAATGAGTAAAGGCCTCAGAGCACTGGCTCTGGGAAAATGTGGGGAAACTTAAGGGTGTTCTAAATGCTCAACTTGTGGGACTCCTTTTTGTGCCTCCCCAGGTTTAGTGCTTTTGAGAATCAGGCATGAACAATTTGTCAGTGGATCAGGCAAACCATCACTGAGCTTATGCTACTGCAATGAAAGCAACTTGGCTAAAAAGGGCAGGTGAGGCCCTGGATTTTCGTTCAGAAAATTCCCAAGGACCTTAGAAGTGGGTTGCCATAGGAAACGGCCTTCCTCTATCCACTCAGAATGCATTTTCTCCCACAGCTAGCTTGGCCTCTTCCTCGATCACACTCCTGATCCTGTTACCTTCTAACCATGAGACCTCGTAACTATATCTTCTGTGCCTCATTGTCCTCATCTATGAGGCCAGGATAATAATTGCCTTTGCTATTAAGCGGAGATGTAAATGAACTATGTTTGTAAAGACCTGAGCACAAGTCTGGCATGTAGAAGGGTCTCTTTAGTGCCAGCTATTCTATTACATAATGCCCTTCCCTGGATCTGAATATTTCTTATGAAAGCCTTGAGGGCCTTAGTCTTTTCCTTCAGGACCCCAGGTGTTCGAACATTTTTCTTAATACCTCCCACCTCAAGACCCCCAAATAATCTTTTAGGTACCTCAAACAGCTAAGTACTTATTTTCCTTTGAAAGACATGCCAGGTACAGAGAGACTGATGGACAAAAGGGTTGCCGGAATGTGGCATTTACAGATTTCATGATCTGTCTCACATGTTTATGAGCCAGCTTTCTGGCTGATAAACTCATATCCTGTATTTACATTTTATTACTATTTGATTTCTTTCTTACAGTTGATCCAAAGTGTGAAATTGGGAGCCTGGAGCTTGCCAACACTTCCATGTTAGAAAAAATGTACAATGAAAGAGTTTGAGTTTTGTGTTTTGTGTTTTGTGTGGTTTTTTGTTTTGTTTTGTTTTGTTTTCCCTGCCAAGGACACAAAACCTTGTGAGCTAATCTCTGAGATCTCTGTGTCCGCTCGCTGCCCCACTGCCTCCTCATGGGACATTTTGCTTAACATGTCCTTGGCTTTAGCTACTGCTACAAGCTGAAGGTCTTTCTCATGAGATGCCTGAAACTAGTGGGTTTATTCCTGAATTAAGGCTTTGGAAGAAAGGCAGGGCCAAGCCAAGAGAGAAGGATTTAGACTTCAGGGCAGCAGATTTCCTCATATTAACTCTTTTAAACCTCTTTTACCCTAAGTCCAAATTCCTTCTTGTTTCTCATCATCCATTTCTCTTTCTAATACATTTCTGAATTCTTAATAAAACTCCAATCCATTTCTCAAATAAATCTATTAAACTCTTAACTCTGGCTGAAGTATAATTCTCAAAATGGCACTACCAGGATCCTTAGGCAAATGCAAAATGAACTCATGTCAATTATTTTAATTAATTAATTAATTAATGAGGTGTTAAAACTGACCCAAAGTACATTTGAGAAATTAGATTTTTATAGAAAATGTACAAATAAGAGGACAAGAGCAAGTTTACTTGTACAACTCACTTGTGCTTCAAGCTTGAGATAAAATTTTATACGTATGATTGATCTAATTTACGACTTTGAATAAACTAAGCCAGTGATTGACTTTTTGAGGTCATGATAGCCAGCCTTTGCATCACCTGAATCAACAGATTAATGAATATTCATCTCTTTTCTTATATCTGTGAGAAACCTCACACTGGATGTTAAGGACACTATTATCTGATCCTGAAGTCGGAGAAATACAATTTCATACCCTTTCTTCTAACTTTCTTTGGACTTGCCAGATTGGGTTTTAAACCCATCTGCTGAAACACAATATGGCCAAAGTTAGATATTGGAGTTCTTGTTTCAGCAATGTTCATCTCTCACAATATCCTCCCATCTTACAGCTATATATTTATGACAAAGAGATACATAACCAAAATATAGAGGGCAAAAAAGGATAATGGATGTAAACAATGCTTTCAGGTAGACTATGCACTGGACCCTGAGCCTCTCTTGACCCAGTGACACTGGGGGGTGTGAGGCATGCTGTACTCTGTGTGGAAACTGAAAGATCCCTTCTATTCAACGCATTCACACACTAGGGCCCAAGAGATCCTGCTTTGACAACTCTTCCAGAAGAAGGTGAAGAGGATTGTTCCTACCTCACTCACAAAGGTTAACATACAGAGGAAAGAGCTTTCTCCTTCTCTAAAAGAGCATAAAGTAGAGGTGAGAGTGAATTCTTTTTACCTTGAAAGAGACTGCTAAGCATTTTGATCTGACAAGGACTGGGGACATTGGTGGCCAGGGTGAATGGGCCGACCACTGTGACATGGAGGAGATGAGGACTCCTGCAGGGTGACAGACCATGTGTGAGGTGCTTGAGAAGCAACAGCAGCTGCGTGCTTAGTGGCGCCGAAGAAGGGCAGGTCCTTACACGCAGAGGCCAGAGGCTGCTGCACTGATTCTTAAGCTCATATAATAAACTTCTTGGGGACTTTAAGAGAGATATCGAAGTGGAAGATGTGGAGGGCAGTTAGGGAATATATGCTGCAGGAATGTGGTCTTTCAGTGTGAATATCTCCTTCATTCATCCAGATGAATCAGGGTTTGAGATATGAGGTTATATAGCAAATAGTTGGGTTTTTGTTTTTTGTTTTTATAGACAGGGTCATTCTCTGTCACCCAGGCTGGAATGCAGTGGCACAATCATAACTCACTGAGGCCTTGAACTCCTGGACTCAAGCAATCCTCCTGCCTTAGCCTCCCAAGTAACTGGGACTACAGGCATGCACCACTGTGCCTGGCTAGTTTTTAAACAATTTGCAGAGATGGAGTCTGACTATGTTGGTTAGGCTGGTCTCAAACTCTTGGCCTTAAGTCATCCTCCCATCTTGGCCTCCCAAAGTGCTGGGATTATAAGCATGAGCCACTCAAATAATTCTTGGTTAAATTCCTTATCCAATCTTTTATATCTTCCTTGCCAACAGGTAAGCCAAGTGTGCTGTAGAAACAGCGCAGCGCCGTGCTACATCCCTATCATTTTACTTTTCGTGCTTCATTGCCTCTATGTTAGAGCGCATTGGGACAGTGGCAGAAAATACAGACGGTTTTATTTGTACAATTTGCTCATGCCTATATTTCCTGTTAATCCTATGGTTTGTCTTCATAAAAGAGAATTTCTTGAAACAGGAAGAAAAAGGAATTTTTGCTTCATAAATTCCCCTTGATTTGTCTAGAGTTGTCTGGCAGAGGTCTTCACAGCTCAGTGCTCAGAACTTCATGCTTCTCCTCTGTTCAACAGAACTGTAAACTCTGCAGACCCTGCTTCTCTAGGGTCCCTTCCAGTGGAAGCTCCTCTTGCAAAGCCTAACACTATGTAGTCATTTTTCTCCACAGAGTTATGGTGATTGTGCTTTTGGGCAACGCAGAGAATCAGCAGACTTTACACTACAGAGAAACTCTTGGAGTCACTTACATCATCCCAACTCCATGCATATGGAGATTTTATATTATGATGTAAGAAATTGGGCCAGAGCCTTTTCCAGAGTTTGGAATACTTGGCTTTCAATATGGGAGCAGAGTATCAGTGGTAAAATTCAAGACTCTTTGGTTATTTTTATTTATTTATTTTTGAGACATTGTCTCTCTCTGTTGCCCAGGCTGGAGTGCAGTGGCGCAATCTTGGCTCACTGCAACCTCTACTTCCCGGGTTTAAGCGATTCTCCTGCCTCAGCCTCCTGAGTAGCTGGGACTGCAGGCGTGCGCCACCACACCCGGCTAATTTTCTTGGTATTTTTAGTAGAGACGGGTTTCACTGTGTTAGCCAGGATGGTCTCAATCTCCTGACCTCATGATCCGCCCGCCTCGGCCTCCCAAAGTACTGGGATTACAGGCTTGAGCCAACGCATCAGGTTGACTGTTCTGTTATTACACCATCTTCTTATCTCCTGAAAGGCCTCGTGTGTAATAATGCTATGAATAGTGAATTTACCCTTCCTTTTCAGCCTACCATATTATTCTAGGTGAGGCTTTCAAAGTCACTATATTAGGTGCAAATTAACACTGAGTGAGAAAAATGTCACTGCTTTCTGCATTTCCAAACAGCTCAATTTCCAATCCTTCCTTATTTTACATATAGTCACTGAGTAAGTGGAGACCCAGAAAGGAGGAATAGGTTACATGGCTTCATTACTATTTTCCCCAGATTCCCAGAAGCTGTGATCTGCCTTTGTAACATGGAACAATTTTTTTTTAGCATTTTTATTTTATTTTATTTTATTTTTTCTTTTTTTTATTATTATTATACTTTAAGTTTTAGGGTACATGTGCACAATGTGCAGGTTAGTTACATATGTATACATGTGGCATGCTGGTGTGCTGCACCCATTAACTCGTCATTTAGCATTAGGTATATCTCCTAATGCTATCCCTCCCCACTCCTCCCACCCCATAACATTCCCCAGAGCGTGATGTTCCCCTTCCTGTGTCCATGTGTTCTCATTGTTCAATTCCCATCTATGAGTGAGAACATGCGGTGTTTGGTTTTTTGTCCTTGCGATAGTTTACTGAGAATGATGATTTCCAATTTCATCCATGTCCCTGCAAAGGACATGAACTCATCATTTTTATGGCTGCATAGTATTCCATGGTGTATATGTGCCACATTTTCTTAATCCAGTCTATCACTGTTGGACATTTAGGTTGGTTCCAAGTCTTTGCTATTGTGAATAGTGCCACAATAAACATACATGTGCATGTGTCTTTATAGCAGCATGATTTATAGTCCTTTGGGTATATACCCAGTAATGGGATGGCTGGGTCAAATGGTATTTCTAGTTCTTGATCCCTGAGGAATCGCCACACTGACTTCCACAATGGTTGAACTAGTTTACAGTCCCACCAACAGTGTAAAAGTGTTCCTATATCTCCACATCCTCTCCAGCACCTGTTGTTTCCTGACTTTTTAATGATTGCCATTCTAACTGGTGTGAGATGGTATCTCATTGTGGTTTTGATTTGCATTTCTCTGATGGCCAGTGATGATGAGCATTTTTTCATGTGTCTTTTGGCTGCATAAATGTCTTCTTTTGAGAAGTGTCTGTTCATATCCTTTGCCCACTTTTTGATGGGGTTGTTTGTTTTTTTTCTTGTAAATTTGTTTGAGTTCATTGTAGATTCTGGATATTAGCCATTTGTCAGATGAGTAGGTTTTTTAAATATAAGAGCAAAAGAAGATATAGCATACTGAGAGTCATGCAAATTCCACTGTAATTCTAGAGATTTGCTAGCCTTCACAATCAGGCGTATATTTTTATTCTTCCTTTTGATACAGTGGTGTGTCTAATGACTATCTGGTTCAAACACCTAATTATTGGAGTTAAAACAGTGTGAATCAGACGCAATGGATCTAATATTTTCTCCATTTTTCCAACCATTTCTGTCTTGGCCCTGGGATATTATAGCATAGAGAAGTCACAGAAGAGAAAAGTGCTTTGCATTATACAATGCCCTAATTTCCCAGAATTTTCTGGAAAATGGCCTGGGTCTGACTTTATGCAAAGATCATAAGTACGGAGACAAGAGTATATTTGCTTTATGTACCTTCCCTGAAGGAGAAATCTTCATGTCCTAGATCTAAGTATGAGATATCAGACTTAGAAAGAATAATTTATACCTAATTACAGCCTCTGTGACTGAATTAGACCAAGTCAAAGGCCTGGTCTTTTATAGATCATAATAACAATGTCTCCTATTTCTTGAATCAAAGGTTGTAATAAATATTAAATTCTGTTTTTTGAGCTCTGTCCCACAGATTATCCTGAGTAAGGTGCTATAAATGAGATTTTAGAAGCAGATTGTATGAGACCAAGATAAAGCAGCTTCAGGCTTAGGCTACTAACATCTCTTGTGCTTCCCATTTTTAAAAAAATCTAAGCCTTAACTAATCTATTACAAACTAATTCTGTGCTTCATTCAGTGTCCTCAACCTTCATACTTTCCTCCACTTGACACCCTATTTTCAGATCAGAGAAACCCCTGTATAAAACAGAGGATGAGAAAATGAAGATGATTGAGACTAACAATTCCAAGTACATGATAATTCTTAGTAATGTCTTACTAAGATAATTCATAGTAATTTCTTAATCCAGGGACTAGTTTGAGGGACCAAACTTAAAGGGGAATCCTAATGCTATTCCTCTCCTTTTCCTTTAACATGTATGTGAGTAATGTGTCACTGATATTCCTACCGTCCCCTCCTCCATCCACACCTTCAGTAGAGAAGTGGCTCCATGACTGTCATCAGGATTTCCGTAAAACCCTCAGTTTTGGGGAACTGCAGTTGGATGTGGATGAGAACTGCAACTGGAAACTAGAACTGCACCTTTCTTCCCCAATGAAAAGGCTTTAGAAGACATCTCATTTAAATCTTTTCTCCAGTTTTGCTTCAATTAAAAGTTCATCAATGAAATGCTCAGTCTCACCTCTCCCAACACTGTCCCCAGAACTTTATAAGTCTAACCATCAAGGCCAGGATCTTTTCAGATCATGCCTTCTCACAGGACCTTTACTGTAGTCAAGAATCATCTCACTGAAGACAGGCCACAGAGGAATAATAGAACCATTTGCTTTTATCATATACATTTTCATCTCTCCAAGATCCATTCCCACTCTAAATTTTCTTTGTGGCAAAATTTTAAGATGCAGTCTTTAAAGGGAGATTTTTTTTTTCATTGAGCCACCTTTGAGTACCCTAGATGTGCTTAGAAGAAGTGTCAATAATCCAAAGCTTATTATCAGGGACCAGTCTTTGAGACAAGGCTTCATGTCTGTCTTAGAATTTGTAATCTGATTTGCGCTGACCCTTCTTTTTATGTCTCCCATATACATTTGGGCAGATGGACAAAGTTTACTGGGAAACACTTAGCCTGCCTTCTCTTAAAAGCTACAGGCGGAACTTCACTCATAGGTTGCCACACTGAGGGGAGCCCTTTGGTGACATCTAGTCACCCTGTGCCTCCACTTTTATGTGGCGCAGTGAATGCTGTCTCTTCCTAGATCCATGTGAGTCTGGTCTTCATGACTAGAACAGATCATTGGGAATTGTCTTATAAGATCAGATTATTATAAAAATAGCTTCTGTTGATGAGGTTGTGGAGGAACAGATACTCATAGGTTGCATGTGTGAACAAAAGTTGGTAGTGAGATGGGGGGGTGCAGGAGGAAGAGAGAAAGCGAGCGAGAGAGAGTGAGATTGCTGACATGTATATGCCAGATCTGTCTGCTCAGAGGGCCTGGTAGCAATGACACAACAATATCCAGAGCATGAATTCTAAAGGTCATACTTCATTAAAAGAAAATAAATCAGGACTCATTGGACAAAATGGCTGATTCCAGATCTGTGGCAATAAAGATAAAATGAGCCTGGAACATCTTGCTGTTGTAGAAAGTAAAGAAGTACTTAAAGAAAGATGGAAATACTTCAAAAGTCAAAGGAACCAGCTTGAAAGGAGTGGCATTCACAAAATCTGAAAGAGTTTGGGCATCAAAAGATTAATAATAGTAGTGGAATGTAATTCATATAATAAAATTAGAATCCATGATTCCATTCTTTTATAAATAAATAAAATGAAATAAACAGGGAGGAAAGCTTTTTCTTACAGCAGAATGCCAACTCATAACTATAAAAGGAATGATCCATCATTTGGGAAATCAGCATTTAGCAAACATCATAGTAATATTCTAAGGATGAATCATCAATGCTAAAACTAATGGGTAAATGTTTGATGAGGAAGAGGATATTTATGGAGTGTCAGACTATATCTCTACAAGGTCCCCCTCCCATTCTTTACAAGGGGAAAAGGAATAACTTTACAGTGAAGAAACCTAGTTGGTACCAGAATTCCCCCTTATCCTTAGTTTTGCTTCACACAGTTTCTATTACTTGCAATCAATTGCAGTTTAAAAATATCAAGTTAGAAATTACAGAAATAAATAATTCCTAAGTTTTAAATTGTGCACCATTCTGAGTGCGATGATGAAATCTCTCATGTTCCTACTCTGTTCCACCTGAGACATGAATCATCCCTTTGTCCAGCATGTTCACGCTGTATACACTACCTGCCTGTTAGTAACGTAGTAGCTCTCTCAGTTATTAGATCAACTGTGACGGTATTGCAGTCTTTGTGTTCAAGTAACTTGTTCTACTTAAGCGATTAAACGTAGTGAGCAAGGCATGTCAAAAGCCAAGATAGACTTAAAGCTAGTTCTCTTATGCCAAACAGTTAGCCAAGTTGTGAATTCAAAGGAAAAGTGCTTGAGGAAAATTCAAATGATAAGAAAGTGAAACAGCCTTATTACTGTTATGTTATTATGAAGAAAGTTTGAGTGGTCTGGATAGAAGATAAAACCAGCCACAATATTCCCTTAAGCCAAAGCCTAATCTAGAGTAAGGCCCTAACTGTCTTCAATTCTACAAGGCTGAAAGAGGTGAGAAAGCTACAGAAGAAAAGTTGGAAGCTAGCAGAAGTTAGTTCATGAGGTTTAAGGAAAGAAGCCATCTCCATAACAGAAAAGTGCAAAGTGAAACAGCAAGGGCTTATGTAGAAGCTGCAGGAAACCACTCAGAAGATCTAACTAGCTAAGATCATTGATGAAGGTGGCCATATTATACTACAGATTTTCATTGCAGACAAAAGAGCCTTCTATTAGAAGACGTTACCATCTAGAACATCCTAAAGAGGAAAAGTCAGTGCCTGGCTTCCGAGCTTCAGAGGACAAACTGACTTGTTAGGGGACAGCAGCTGTGACCTGAAATTGAAGCCAGGGTTCATTTACCACTCTGAAAATGCTGGAGCACTTAAAGAATGATGCCAAATCTACTCTGCCTATGCTCTGCAAATGAAACAACAAAGCCTGAATGACAGCACTTCTGTCTACAGCATGGTTTATTGAATATTTTAAACCCAATATTGAGAATTACTGCTCAAAAAAGTGATCCCTTTCAAAATATTTCTACTCACTAATAAGGTACCCAGTTACCCAAGAGCTCTGATGAAGATGTACAAGGAGATTAACGTTGTTTTTCATGATTGTTAACATAATGTTCATTTTCAACCTATGGTTCAGGGAGTCATTTTGACTTTCAAGTCTTATTATTTAATTCATTTCACAAGGCTATAGCTATCATAGATAGTGATTCTTGGGAAGGATCTGTGTAAAGTGAAAGTCTCCTGGAAAGGATTCATTATTCTGGATGCCATGAAGATCATTCGACATTCATGGAAGGAAGTCAAAAGATCAACATTAGTAGGAGTTTTGAAGAACTTGATTCTACCCTTATGAATGATTTTGAGGATTCAAGACTTCAATGGAGGAAATAACTGCAGTTATGGTGGAAATAGCAAGAGCACTGGAATTAGAAGTAGACTCTGAAGATGTGCCTGTATTCCTGCTATCTCATGATACAACTTTCACAGATGAGGACGAGGAGTTGCATCTTATCGATGACCAAAGAAAAGTGGTTTCTTGAAATGAAAACTACCCCTGGTGAAGATGCTGTGAACCTTGTTGAAATAGCAGCAAGGCATTTATAGTATTACATCAATTTAGTTGATAAAGCAGTGGCAGGGTTTGAGAGGATTGGCTACAATTTTGAAAGAAGTTCCATTGTGAGTAAAATGCTTTCAAACAACATTGGTGGCTATAAAGAAATCTTTCATAAAAGGAAGAGTCGATTGTTGTGGCAGACTCCACTGTTGTCTTACTTTAAAATATTGCCACACCACTCCAGCCTTCAACAACTCCCACCCTGGTCAGTCAGCAGCATCAGTATCGAGGCAAGCAAACAATTATGACTTCCTGAATGCTCAGATGATCATTAGCATTTTTTAGCAACAAAATATTTTAAATTAAGCTATGCGCATTGTTTTTTTAAGGCATAATGCTATTGCACACTTAATAGACTGCAGTACAATGTAAACATAACTTTTATACGCACTGGGAAACAAAAAAAATTCCTGTGACTTGCTTTATTCTGATATTCACTTTATTGTGGTCTGGACCAAACCTGTAACTTCACTAAAGTATGCCCATATATAGGGTTCAGTACTTTCTGCAGCATTAGGCATCCACTGAGGCTGTTGGAACATATCCCCCAGATTAGGGGATAGAGGGGGCTACTGTATCTCTCTAATCAAGTGATCAAAGTTAACATCACCAAGAGTAGAATGAACAGACATCCTATATATCTCTCTCTCTTTGTTTTTTTGTTTTTGTTTGTTTGTTTGTTTGTTTGTTTTGACAGAATCTAACTCTGTCGCCCAGGCTGGAGTGCAGTGGCATGAACTTGGCTCACTGCAATCTCTGCCTCCTGGGTTCAAGTGATAAGTGATTTTCCTGCCTTAGCCTCCTGAGTAGCTGGGACTACAGGTGCATGCCACCACACTAGGCTAATTTTTGTATTTTTAGTAAAGACGGGGTCTCCCCATGTTGGCCCGGATGGCCTTGAACTCCCGACCTCAGGTGATCTGCCTGCCTCAGCCTCCCAAAGTGCTGAGATTACAGGCGTGAGCCACCACGCCTGGCCCTGTGTCTCCTTAACATCATGCACTCAAAAGGACACAGCATCACTTCTGAGGTATTTCTACCAAAATGCATAATCTGATTCTAATCAGATAAAATAAAAGTTTTGTTTCTGTAATTGGTTAACTCCCCCAAGAGGATAAAGCCAACCAATAAATGACTGAATAAAGAAAATGCACACAGTTAAGAGTAAATAAGTAAAGCAGACACTAGAAGAGATAGGAGATGAGATGTATGTTTTCTCCCTTTGACTCTGCAGGTCCTTCTTCATGGTTCATATGTGACAGGAGTACTCAGCTGAGTTTTTGAATGCCTGGGGTATCATCTTAGCCCTGGCCCTGGTCCAGCAACAATTTGCATTGTTGACCAAATTTTGATGTAATTATTTTCAGTAAAGTATAGTTCAAATGTCTTGTAGAGCCTACTTACATAAAAGAATTTAAAAAGAGCCAAACTCTGCATTTTCCATCCTCTTATAAATCTTACTGCATTGGCACTGATATAATTTTTAGACCAGTCCATGCTAAAAGGAGCATTCTTCAAGTATAGTGCAGTAAAGAGCATTTAGAATATGTTGTCTGAAATGGAGAAGAGTTTCCTACAAATAAGCACATAGGAAGAAAAATCCCAGTGAAAATGGCAGGGAGAGCAGGACTAACCAGTAGGTCAAGGCAAGCAAACACGGTGGGAACAAGTTAAAGGTAGGGGCAGATTGCAGGATCCAGGTTCTGCAATACCATCCAGACAACATTATGCAAATCTTTAAAAAGAAGCCTTTTAGTCAAAGTCTCCCATTGATATTTAAAGTAATCTCAAAGGCCTGAGAACCAGTATTTTTGACAAAAAGAAAATTCTCATATGCTTTAGTATAGATGCATCATCCCTGGTTTAAGCACTGAAAATTGGTAATTTTGTATTTACGTAATGGCTTTAGAAATACTAGATTTTATATCAAAGACTAGATTGATTTATGATCTAACATAAATAGTAACATAAAAGAGGTAACTTAAATAGCTCCCTCTTGTTCTAATGAAATATATTTTCCGTTGACTACAGACTGAGAGACATAGCAACAAGGAATGCAAACTCCTTTGATTCCATATGGTGAAATGAAAACCTTGGCTCATCCATCATTCTTTACCAGTTGCTTTGAGCAAATAAATGCAGAGTTCTATCCTAGGAGAAGTGACTCCAGTTTTCCTCGATTATCAATTCAAAATCCTCTTGTGTGTAGCAAGGAGGACATACCCATTTAAATTAAGTTGATCTGGGAGACCAATGTACATGTCTTAAACTTGGTCTGCCTGGGACAGCAGATACATCCAGCCACAACTACTGAGAAAACAGCAAGATAAACAGGTAAAGATAAGGATTTAGAAGCGGCATCAAGTGCATGCCTAAATGAACCTGGGACTTGGCAGTGAGAATTACAGACCTTAGCTGAGATGAAGGGAAGGGAACACTAAAAATAGCCTTGACCTTGATGTGAGTATGATGTGAGCCCGGGAAATCCTACCTGAATGCGTCTTTGTTTTACTGTGGCCCTTACCTTACATTTTCTGGCCAATGTTGTCCTTGATGGCCCTATATATGTGCTTTTCATTCTCTTACACATAAATTGATCTCTTCAAGTTCAGGGGGAGCAACTGATCCTAGGAATCCTTACGTATCCAAAGGCAATTGCTGATGATTGTCCTGGGGATGTTTAACCGGTTCCTATAAGGTGGAGGCATCATGCCGAAGAAACTTAAGTGTATACCCCTCTCTACTTTTTCATTTCCAAGGGGAATTAGACAGCTTGGGATTTCATGGATGTCCAAGGGTAGACATCAGAAGTCAGGAAGGACAGAGGCTGATGTTTCTATTGATGCTCAATTTTCTGTTTTCCTTTTCAAAGAAAGAAAAAGGAGTGGTCCCTAAAATTCTCTTATTCTGGTTAGCTGGTGTCAAGGCCACAGTGGGCATCATAAACACCACCAGGTCTTCCTGCCTAGGTCTTCTATGTTCTAAGAGTAACTTTGTGTTGGGCAATACAGGGCTGTCCAGGTTACATGGGTCATAGTGGAAAGGGCAGTGTTATCTGCTGGGTAAACTTCACCCCATCTAGGTAAATTTACAGGAAAGGGCAGAGTTATCTGCTGGGTAAAACTTCACCCTTTCTAGGTAAATTCACAATTTCCTCTCTTGAGACCAAAACGTAGACCTTCCCACTGCTAAACTAATTCTGCCATAGTGGCAAACTCTTCCTTAACTTTTTGCCTCCCACCTGAAACTGATCCCCAGATAATGCTATCTCAAGAAAGCAAGTGCTGCTCAGGGGTTTGGAGGCCTAACTCTCTGTCCTAGCCTGGCTTGGTGACACTCCAAGGGAGTATTTCACACATGTTCCTTAGAAGATGTTGAATTATTTCTCTTTTATCATTCATAACTTAATGTCATTGATACAAGTCTGTCTCCAGTATGTTTAATTGAAAGTACTTTACATCAGGTAAGTAACTTCTGGCCTTTGACTCTGAATGTTTGAGAGAAAAATTCTATCTAGATTTATAAAACTATCACTTGATAAGCCTCCTCCTTCCTAGTCAGATGGGTGAAATACTTATGTTAGTTCTTAAAGACACAATCTGTAGAGATGTGCTTCCCTCTCTTGCAATAGAACTGTAGCTTTACGTGGTAAGACTCGATAGGGAAAAGCAGGACTTACGCAGAGAAGTAACTGCATATGTTACACTGGGGCAGTCTTTGGAAGTGTGTTGGGAATAGAGATGTGAAATGAATGAGAACTGTACCACAGGAATGATATCTTTGAGAACAATATCTTCCTTGAAGATGACTTGCCCCAGTGCTTAAGCTTGCTTCCCCATGCCTTACGTGTTCCTCTGTTCCGGCCCTTGAGAAGCTCTGTTATATCACCATTCTATGGTATAAGCAGGAGATGCCAATAGACATCAGTTCCCAGTACCACATCCTTGCCTCTGTTGATGGCTGTGCTTTCTTTTTTAATGGGCAGTGGCCCTTTCTCCCATTCCACTGTATGTAGAATTTTATCTGTTGAACATAAGGAGCAGTTCATCCAGGGATCCCCTATGATTGGGACATTTTGCTGAGTTATGCTTATGATCAGCAGTAGTCCCATAGAGGAGGCTGCTGCAGGGTTGAATATCTTGGCACTCTATGCCTTTGGAGTCACAAAGGACAACCCATTAGCAGTAACAGCCAGGGTTAGGGAGTCTCTGGATGAGGAGAAGGCATCATTGGCATTCTTCTTCCTTCTCCAGACTTAGCATCCCCTCTTTGTACTATCTCACAGTTCCACCACATTCTTTAATTTTTCAACCTTTTTTTTCTTTCCTTAAGAGGATTCTGATTCAGCAGAGCAAAGAAGGGGAGTGGTGCTCCTTTTCTAGGATCCGTCAACACAGTAGCTTCATCTTCAGATAGGATTCTGACCCCTCACCCTCAGCTTGGACCAATAACTTGCCTAACCATCCCCTTCAGAGCTTCCCAGATTTGTATTTAAGTACCTATCCCTGGTACTTAAATTCCCAGATAACTAAATGATATGTGATAATTCCAAGTTAATTGAATTACATTTGAATTGCAGTTCTATAGACTTTGGAACTTCTATTCTTTCCATGGCAGGGGAATGTGCACAGATAATGATATGGTTTGGCTGTGTCCTCACCGAAACCAAATTGAATTGTATCTCACAGAATTCCCACGTGTTGTGGGAGGGACTCAGGGGAAGGTAATTGAATCACGGGGGCCAGTATTTCCTGTGCTATTCTCATGATAGTGAATAAGTCTCACAAGATCTGATGGGTTTACCAGAGGTTTCCACTTTTCTTCTTCCTCATTTTTCTCTTGCCACTGGCATGTAAGAAGGGCCTTTCACCTCCTGCCATGATTCTGAGGCCTCCCTAGCCATGTGGAACTGTAAATCCAATTAAACCTCTTTTTCTTCCCAGTCTTCTGTATGTTTTTGTCAGCAGTCTGAAAACAGACTAATACAGATCATGCTTATAATGTCTGGTAAACTAAGTTTTAGTTGTAGATTCAGATGTTGGGATAATGGGACTACATTGTCAGTGACCTTGACCATGGGAGGGAGATACTGAACTATGTCTCTCTGGGAATGGAGCCATAATACAGGGAGGGAGAATGAGTAGAAAAAAAGGTGCAAAATACTCTAGAATAATAGAGGTCTCATTAGAGAGTAGGGGAGGGAGAATGAGAAAGTGAATGAGAGAGAGAGAAAGAGAGATGTTAGAGAAGAGGGACAAAAGAAGAGAATAGATAGAAACATCCAATCCCTTATAGCAGTCAGACAGCCTCACTTCTATTGATTCTTTTTTTCTTAAACCATTTAATTTCATAAGCAAATAATTTGCATACTTCAGTTTACATAATTATTTTAATTCTTTGGACAAGCTTATATTCATTATTTCACTTTTAAGGACACTTACCCTGAAGGGTAATTTTAACTTGCCTAAGATCACATGACTGCTTTTTCATTGTGAATCACTGTTTCTCTGGGTGAGATGGTCAGCCCAATTTCCCAAACAATATTCCAGTCTAGCGTGGAAAATTGTGACTAGAAAGAGCAAACAACCTTGGAAAATAGTTTTATTACACATTATATAAATGAGAGATTCATATCTATGTCAGTTAGTGCCAAGCCCAGAAATCAGAGGTCATTCTAAATATTTCAAGCAAAGAGGGATTTAATGCAGACAATTGGTTACAGTGCTCTTAGAAACACAGAAAGAACACAAAAAAGAAGAGTGTTATAAAGACACTGGAAGCTGCGATTGAACCTGGACTGAAGCCTAGCTGCCCTTGCCCTCTGTCTGCTGGAGGTGCTGCCATTGATGCTGAAACTGCATCCGGGCAACTGAGCAGGAAAGTTAGGAGTTTATCTTCCTGCTGCTGCGGCTGAATGCATGACTGCTGCTTTTACAGCTGGATCCACACCACTGCAGCTGAGCAGGAAATGCAGGAGTTTATGATCCTGCTGTTGCTGCTGAATGCATTGCTGCTACTTCTTCAGTTGGATTCATACCATTGCAGCTGAGCAGAAAGTCAGGAGATTACACTTCTACTGATGTTGCTGCCACATCTTGATGTACCATTAATAATAGAAAATAAAATGGTTTCCCTCTTCTTTTATACTATATTCTCTCAGACTCCACTGTCAATGAAACCTGGAAAAAATGGTTTTCAGGCTCCCATTTCTGCCAGTTATTCAGAAAAGAGCATTACAGAGTAGGGGTAGAGCTGGCAATTAATAGACATAGAGTCAACATAGTTCACCTGCTGCTTATACAGTGTCCATTTGCCTCCCTTGTACCCTTATTTAAATTTCATTCAACAACAATCACAACAATATGGTGCTTTTACCTAACATAATTAACAATTTTGCATACAAACAGAAAAGCTGTCACTCTGGATATTCTGTAATTTAAACACTAAATTGCACAATAGCCATCATCCCACTTTATATGTAAAATAGGATAAGAAAGGGAAAGACGAAAAAGGAAACAGCTGATTAACATACACAAATATTGCATAACAGACGAGGAATAAATCATGTGTAACTGCAGTCATCATTTCTATGACTGGTTGTTAACAGATCATCAGCTTCTGGTGATAGTTGCAATTTCCTCTTCTGCTTTTCTATGCTTCCTTTTTTTTTTTTTTTTAACGATAGAGTCTCACTCTGTGGCCCAGGCTAGAGTGCAGTGGTGTGAACAACACAGCTCACTGTAACCGCAACCTGCTGGTTTCAAGCGATCCTCCCCCCCAGTCCCTCGAGTTGCTGACACCACAAGCATGCACCACCATGCCTGGCTATATTTTTAAATTTCTGTAGAGACAGGGGTCTTGCCATGTTGCCCAGGCTTGTCTTGAACTCATGTGT
The DNA here is from genome assembly GCF_000001405.40 of Homo sapiens. NCBI lineage: Eukaryota > Metazoa > Chordata > Mammalia > Primates > Hominidae > Homo > Homo sapiens. Next base: position 147,805,501 of record NC_000005.10, read on the forward strand.
TCAAGCCATCTTCCTGCCTTGGCCTCCCAATGTCTGGGATTACAGGCATGAGTCAATGCACCCAGCCTCATGTTTCCTTTAATCTCAAGCAGGTCCTCCTCAGGTTGATATTATTTACTTAGTGGTGTAATTCAAACTTTAGTTCTTGAAGAGTCTGAGCCCCTAGTAGTCCTTTTGGTTGAGTTGCTATAGTTTTACATTAACTTTTATTACTGGAAGCACTTCAGAGAATCTCTTGGGTTCTATATGTTGTCAACATGTCCCATTGTGGAGAACATTGTATTTTCCCTTAATAGAGATCAGTTACCTCACCTTGGCTGTTGCTTCAGTGACATGAGGATTCCTCAAAAGGCCAGGTGATGGTCTTATCTTTTAGATCGATGAAACCATCATGTCATGTGGTAGAAGTGCTCTCCTTTCAGAATTAAGACCTTAAAAGAAGCAGAGTTTAAATTTATAGGGCCAGGAAATTGAAATTTTTCAAGCTGGTCATTGAGTATACTTCTAACCCCTGATTCCTGTAACTGTGAAATCTGGCAATTATTAAAAAAAATAGCATCATATTTTGACTGGTGGTTCAAAGAATATACCACATTCTTTGGGACAGCATCACATCTTTGAAGGATGTCTTTGTTTGTTTATTTGTTTGTTTGTTTTGAGATAGGGTCTTGCCCTGTCACCCAGGCTGGAGTGCAGTGGAACACACATGGCTCACTGTAGCCTCAACCTCCTGGGTTAAAGTGATCCTCTCGCCCAGCCTCCCAAGTAGTTGGGGCTACAGGCATGCACCACCATGCCCGACTATGTTTTTTCATTTTTGTAGAGACAGGGGCCCCACTATGTTTTCCAGGCTGGTTGGGGGATGTTTTCGGTCAGAAAGTAGTATGACTACATCTTCAGTAGGCCATTCTAATGCTCCGCAGAGCTGAGTGTTTCTGGATAATGGAGCACATGGCAAGATCAGTAAATTTAATGAGTGTCAGCCCATTGACCCACTTTATTTTCTATGGAATACATTCATTGGTCACTAGCTGTGGTAGGCTGAACAATGATGCCCCAATATGTCTACCTAGTAATCCCTGAAACCTGTAAATGTACTATATTATATAGCAAAAGGGATTTTGCATATGCAGTTAAGAATCTTGAGATGAGGAGAATATACTGGATTGTCTGTGTGGTCCCAATGATACAAGTGTTCTTATTTTTTTTATTTTTATTTTTTTGAGACAGGGTCTTGCTCTGTCACCCAGGCTGGAGTGCAGTGGCACTATCTCGGCTCACTGCAGCCTCCACCTTCTGGCCTCCAGCGATCCTCCGATCTTAGTTTCCTGAGTAGCCGAGACTACAGGCACACGCTGCCACGCCCGGCTAATTTTCATATTTTTCATAGAGATAGGGTTTCACCATGTTGCCCAGGCTGGTCTTGAACTCCTGGGCTCACACAATCTGCCTGCTTTAGCCTCCCAAAGTGCTGGGATTACAGGCGTGAGCCACTGCGCCTGGTCACAAGTGTTCTTATAAGAGGGGGTCAGAGGGAGGTACCACTACGGGAGAGGAGAAGGTGACATGATGACAGAAGTAGAGGCTGGAATGATGAACTTGAAGATGGAAACAGGGGTAGCAAGCCAAAGAACATTGATGGGCCACTAGAAACTGAAACAGGCAAGGTGACAGATTCTCCCCTCAGCTCCAGTAGAAACTAGAAACCAGTACTGCTGACATTGACTTTAGTTCAATGAAATAATTTTAGACTTCTGACCTCCAGAACTGTAACTGAATAAAATAGTATTGTTTAATGCCCTTAAGTGTGTGGTAATTTTTTACAGCAACAATAAGAAACTAATAAAGCATCAATGTTCTGTGGAATATGAAGATTCCAAATAAGTCCTTTGCAAGAGTATCTGTGAAGGCACTGTGTGCAGGAAAGGGGAAATCCATTTTCAAAATAACTATGTTTTTTAGTGATGATAAGTTACTTATCCTACCATTAGGAAAGGGGTCTAGTAAAATCAACCTAACACCAAGTAGCTGCCTAGTCCCCTGAGGAATGATGCTACTATTAGTAGAAGGACTCAGCATCAGCTATGGTCAGGTGGATATTCAGCAGTGGTGGTAGCCAGGTCAGCCCTGGTGAAATCCATGTTGTTGAGCCAATGCATAGCTTTCATCCCTACTGCCATGAACATTTTTAACCTCATCAGATTGAGTGACTGCTAGAGTGCTTGGGGAAAGAGACTGGCTGACATCTGCAGAGCATAGCATTTTCCATGTGATTACTGAGAACATCCTCTTCAGTGGGTACTCTTGAGTGAGTATTCACATGGAACACAAATATCCTTATATCCTATACTCATTCTGAGAAAGTTGATATACTTTCTCCCCAGATCTCCTTGTTACTAAATCTTCAGTTGTGTTCTTTCCAAGTGTCTGATGATCTGGCTAGCCCATGAAGTAGTATATATTAGTAACTTGAGCCAACTCTATCCAGAAAAAATTACAAAAAACAATCAAACTTCTAGAAGATATTCTAAAGGGGAGGCTCTCTTTTCTTCATTTTATAACACAAAAGCTTTTAATAGGGCTGTAATTCTGCATCATGCATTTCTAGCCTTACACCAGCACAATATGCAAAGCCATTTGTAATCACAACCCATTTATTTTTTTCTCTGTCAACTGAAATTAAAGAATTTCAGGTGAGGCCACAGGTGTATGCTTGAGGGAGGAGCATCAGAGCAAGAGGAGTAGGTGCTGTTGGAGTCCCAGCCATCTGCTCAGGTAGCATCCACTGCTTCAGCGCATGCTCACAGTGTCACTTCCAAAAGCTTTTTTATAAAAAAAAAAAAAAAAAATAACATGAGGCTGGGCATGGTGGCTCATGCCTATAATCTCAGCACTTTGGGAGGCCAAGGCGGGTGGATCACCTGAGGTTAGGAGTTTGAGACCAGCCTGGCCAACATGGTGAAACCCTGTCTCTACTAAAAAACAAAAATTGGCTGGGTGTGGTGGATGGGGGCCTGTAATCTCAGCTACTCAGGAGGCTGAGGCAGCAGAATCTCTTGAACCTGGGAGGTGGAGGTTACACTGAGCCATGATTGCACCATTGCACTCCAGTCTGGGCAACAGATTGAGACTGTCTAAAAAAAACAAAAACAAAAACAAAAACAAAAAACTAAAAACAAAAAACAAAAAACGAACAACAACAAAAAGTAATGTGAAACCTTTTCTAGGGAGATTAAACTTTCCAGTCATCAAACCTGGTCATATTACATCTACAATTATCCCCTACCTTCTTGCATCATCAATTTCTCCATCTTTGCCCAATATGAGTTCAAAAACATGCTTTGGAAAGTTCCAAAGTCCTCCATTGACTCCACATTTCCCTGGAGATGCAGATCCATTTCTCCACTCCCTGTCACAGTAGATTTCTTGAAATAGTTATCTTTACTCACTGTCTCTACCCCTTCACCTTCCATTCACTCTTCAGCTCATGCCATTCTAGCTTTTTGGTTTGATTTCTCCAAAATTGCTCTTGTCTCTGTCATTAATACTTTACTTGCTGAAACATCCCTCAGGTCTATATATATATACTATATATATATATAGTATTTCACAACTTCATATTCTCTTTATTTTCCTCACATTAAACTGGTGACTCTTTTTACATCAGTACAATGTATTTTCCTTGTCTATAGGACCGAGGCTCTCATCTTTACCTAAACTCGCTGCAGAGATCATGTTCTTCCATGGCTTTCAATACCATCTATATGCTAAAGATTCCTAAATGTATATCTCTAGTTGTGTTCTCTCCCCTGAGTCTCAAGCAAAAAGCCGATTAACTACTATTAACTGCTATGCATCACCACTCAAAATAACACACTTTAATAAAAATTAAATATTCATTGCCTCTCTTGTACCCTCAATTTATTCCTTAATTGATATGATCTAGCCAAAAACCTAGCAATAATTCTCCATTCTTGTCTTCCTCTTAGCTACCCACTACATCCAAATCAACAGTCCTACCATTTTTATGTTCAACACACATTTTTAACCTATTTTCTCCCCTCTATCTTCACAATCATTATCCTAGTCAAAGCCATGATCTATCAGTTAAACTAACTCAACAGCCTTTCAGTTGGTCTTCCTGTTCCACCATTCTATTATCCATTCTTCACAAAGTATCCAGGATAATATGTAAACATGTAGAAAGATCATATCAGTTTTCTTTTGAAAACCTGCTATAACTTCTCATTTTGTCTAGAATAAAATCAAAACCTGGTTCCACAATCTACAAGGCTCTACCTGATAAGGCCTCCCTTACCTCTGTTCCTTCATCTCCTATTACAGTGCTACTTTTCCCATTGTTTATCACACTCCAGCCACATGTTCTTCTTTCGGTTTCTCTTGCACATCTTCCTGCCTTAGGTCCCTTGCACTTGCATTTGCCTCTACCTGGAATCATGTCTCACGAACCTCTGCAGGGCTGGCTTCTTCCTGTTTAAACTTCTGCTCAAATGCTACCCACTCATGCATGTTCTCCTTCACCATCTCATCTAAAGTAGCTTTACCACCTCGGTCTCAGCTTCAGTTATCTATTGCCATGTAACAATTCACCAAAAGCATTGTGATTTAAAACAACTATTTATTTAGTCATGACTCAAGGGCCAGCTATTTGGTCAGGGTTTTGCTGGGATAGTTTGTCTTTGCTTCACATTTTGTTATCTGAGATCACCCATGCATTTGTGGTCAGTTGGAAGGAGCCCTGGAGCTGGCTCTCAAACGCCCTCATTCACCTGCCTGGAAGTTGATGGAATCTATCAGCTGGAGGGCCTTGATTTTTCTCCACATGGCCTCTCTAGCAGGCTAGTTTGGCCTTTCTTACAAAACACCTGGGCTTCCAGAGAATGAGAGCATAAACTAAAAGGCCTCTCGAGGTATTGCTTGAAAGTTGCACCATATCACCTTGGCCACAGTGTATTGGCCAAAGTATATCATGAGGTTAGCCAAGATTAATGGGTGAGAAATAGACTCTACATCCTGATAAGCACTGCTGCATATAATTTTTGGTGATTTCAAATCTAACCTGCCTCCTTTCCTGTGTCCTCCCATCAGTCTTTATCATATCTTCTTATTTATTTATTTCAGAGTTCTTAACATTATCTAAAGTTATCTTGTTTATGTATTTGTTTTCTTTTGATAATGAGTCCTGCTCCTTCCATTTCATATTTCTTTATTTTATAGTTCTTAACATTATCTAAAGTTATCTTGTTTGTGTATTTGTTTTCTTTTGGTAATGAGTCCTACTCCTTCCATTTCAGTGTGAGCTCTATGACAAGAGGCATCTTTTCTGACTTGGATATTATTGAAGCTCCAGGGATTAGAACAGCAAACAGTCCTTATTTAGCATATGAAAAATGGTCAAGGTTTGATGGTCAAGTGAATTAATGTATGAATGAATTCATGAATTCAGAATACCTGGTTCAACAGAAGACTAGTACTTACAGTGATTTGGAATTATTTCCCTTGAATACTCTCTGGGAGCTGAATGGACAGGCTGACTGAAGATAAAAGGTGAGAAGTCCTGTGAATGATGAACAGGATTTCGTGGCCTGTTTGTGTTCTGAGTAGGTTTTAGAACAAAATTAAAATGCTGCTTTATTTTCTTGTTCAAATTCTGAATAAATAATCACAGACAGCCCTTGCTATGCATTATCTTACTATCTTCCAATAACTGAGAATTAACTTATCATATGAAGTCCCATTGTAGCCTGCTTTCTGTGGAAGGTCCTATGTAAAGCTGAAGAAGGTCAACTAGGAATAGCCCCACATGATTTTAAGACAGCACCGAGAAAAAGAAAATATATCAAAATATTTTTTCAATTAAGATTATTTTTAAACTTCTATTTTATCACTACATTATATTTGGAAAAAATAGAATCTCTCTCTCCCTCCCATCTAACTGGAATTTGTTTTAAATTAGTCTGAAAGATAAAATTTCATTTTAATTTATGGATTTGTAGTTTTGGAGGACAGTAGTAGTATGGATGGATAATAGTAGTATATTTGGGGGACAGTATAGTAGTAAACTCAAAGTTATTCAGGAAAATGTAGGTCAATAGGCACTTATTGAGCATCCTGAAGACAAAGGCATGGATTAGACATATCTTCTACATTTAAGGAATTTTATTATAATGAGGGATAAAGATTACACAAGTGGATAATGAAAACATGAGGCATGCTGTGGTAGTGGTGTGCACACAGGGCCAGCAAGGCCATGGGAATTGTATGGCCCACCTTGTTCATCAGTGCTAGAAGATGGTGACAGAGAAGGAAAGAAATGTAGTAAATGAGCAAAAGCAAAGCGTGTTCCAAGCAATTAGAAGTAAGTCTAACCTGTGACAGGGAAAGAGTAGGGATAACTGGAGTTTAAATTAGCACCTATGCAAAAGCTGAATTCCAGCAGCTATGTCCTGTAACAGAGCTCACATTCTGGCCGGGCGCAGTGGCTCATGCCTATAATCCTAGCACTTTGGGAGGCCGAGGCGGGTGGATCACCTGAGGTCAGGAGTTTGAGACAAGCCTGGCCAACATGGTTAAACCAAGTCTCCACTAAAAATACAAAAATTAACAGGGCGTGGTGGCACACGCCTATGGTCCCAGCTATTAGGGAGGCTGAGGCAGGAGAATCGCTCAAACTCGGGAAGTAGAGGTTGCAGTGAGCCAAGATCATGCCATTGTACTCCAGCCTGGGAGACAGAGCAAGACTCTGTCTCAAAAAAAAAAAAAAAAAAAAAAAAGTTCGCATTACATCCTGAAGGCCACTGGTTTCCAACTTCTTTGCATATGCGGAACTCCCTAATGCCAAAAAATAAAACGTTTATTATCCATTAGTTAAGAAAGTGCACAAAGACAAAAACTTTAGTATTTTTTTAAATGAACAAATTAATATTGCCTTTAAATTTTTTTTTATGAATCAAACCCTCAAATATATTTGAACAATTTTGTTACCTATTTATAGGAGTAGTTTCCTTTGTCCACAAACAATGCATAGTCCATGTAGAGGTTAACTGAGCTCTTGTATTAAATTCACATCCAGAGACACTGCTTAAGACATAGAGGAAGCAGCATGGCACAATGAGAAGCACATAGCTAGGCATTCCCATCCTGCCTTTCCATTTACTTAGTCTTCAGTAGCAGACAATTACTAAACCTGTTGAGGTTCAGTGTCCTCATCTGCAAAATGAGAATAAAGACTTTCTTATGTGTATTTTTAAGGAAGTAAATATAAATGATCTTGTGATAGAGAGCAAGAGGGAGATTAGAAGCAAGGAGCTAAGTGTAAATTTCAGGTTATAGTTTGGGTGACTAGGTGAATGGTTGAGTCATTAACAGAGAGAAAGAGAGAGAGAGAGACAGACACAGAGGCAGGCAGGGGCACACACACACACATACATACACACACACACATACACACCCACACACACACAGAAAGAGAATGCAGAATGAATGGCCTGGATGATGAGAGTTCAATGGAGAGACAGGGAAAAGTTAGTTAGTAGTATGAGGACAGTGGGTACCCAATCATTACTGACGACAAACCTACTTCACCTACTTACATGTTCTGGCATAGTGAGAAGAGAGATATGAGAAGAGAGGGGACTATTTTCTAAGTTCCAGAAGTGGAAGGATGAGGGAAGACAGACAATGTAAAAACAGTGCCTAATTTATTACTGTCTACATCAAATGTTCAATAAAAAACAAATTAGAACATTGAAAACATTCGTAGGTTTATTGGTATTACAAGTCTCATGCCATTATAAGAAACAAATAAATGGGTTCAATTTGAAGTTCCATTCTCTAATCAACATCTACCAACAGTTATGGAGGTTAAGTCAAGTTATTCTACCAACTACCATAATCTCTTTTTCTATATACTACCCTCTTGTCTTTTTTCTCTCTTCTCTTTTCTCTATCAACAGCTGAGGCAAAGACAAGTGAGTTATTCATCACAGACTACTGAAAGTGAGAGGTGTTGAAAGGAGAGTACTAGATTTCTTGAGCCACATTCAATTTAAGGAAATGAACTGGGGAAAATATTATGTTGGTACCCAATGATGACATTATAATAATTAACATTCTTTATTTTACATGCAAGTATCCAAAAAAAGTTTCCAGTTGATCTTCTCTTCTGAAAATGTCTAAGGAGTAACTCTATGACCAGATTATCCTTGGCAAATTGAAGTATAGATTTGAGGCAGGTGGAATTCAGGACGTGCTACCAGAAAATATGGCACATTGGCATTTGAGAAAACCACAGAAAAAGGAAGGTCTCTCTTACCTTCTTCTCTCTCTTCTCCCCTGAAGAAGGTCATTAAACCCTCATTGGAGAGATGCCCTCTACATACCCAGGGAAAGCAAACATTCTTATATCTGAAGTCATAGACACAGATAAGAATCTGAATAAACAGGCCTTGCTAAATTCCCCCCATCATATTGCCATTAAATCAGACCTTCATTATCCAATTATACTTCTCACTGACTGACCACATTTTCCTCAAACCTAAGATTAAAAAGCACAAGTTTACCTGTTTCTTTGGGTTTTCATTTCTTTATGAAAGTTCCTTTGTCACAAAAACTTACATTAAATAAACTCGTATGCTTTTTTCTGTTAGTCTATCTTTTGTTACAGGTGCCACAGCCAAGAACCTTGCAACCGGTAAAGAAAACAATCTTTTCCTCCCCTACAAGGTGTATATCCTTGCTACATAGACACTTGCTTTTGAATGGACTGTTTGCAGCTACAGACTATCTTTAATCCTATGGCATCTGTAAAATTCAGCACAAAATATTGAGAGCCTTTTTCAACTAAATAGTTTATAGTTTTGTCTTGATCTGTTTTGGATTGAGATATTACCTATTTGGAGATTTTTCTTGAACCAATAGGTAGTAACTTCTTTGTATCTGTAGTCGTGGAAACAGAGCTTGACTTTAAAAACTATTAGAATAGAAAGCATAAAAATGTGGCTATTGATTCAGAGAAATGCTTGGATTTTTTCTTTTCTTCCTTGCTTTTCCCATTTTTTTTTAATTTTTCTTTTTCTTTCCTTTCTCCTGCTATCCTTCTCTACCTCTTTCTGTTCCTCATTTTTCTTTTCTTACTTCCTTATGCAATTAATACCATATCCTCTTTATCTAAGAACATTAAAATTACACTATTTTTTTTCTTTTATTCTTTCACCTTAAAATGGAGATATTAGCAAATAGTGCCAGAAAACAAAAATATGATGACATGGGAAAAAATGGATCTCAAATATTATAGAATAGTATACTATATGTATAGAAATGAACTCAAAAGAGTTCATAGGCCTAAAGATAAAACTATAGGCCAGGCGCAGTGCTCACGCCTGTAATCCCAGCACTTTGGGAGGCCGAGGTGGGCGGATCACAAGGTCGAGAGATTGAGACCATCCTGGCCAACATGGTGAAACCCTGTCTCTACTAAAAATACAAAAATTAGCGGGGTGTGGTGGCATGTGCCTGTAGTCCCAGCTACTCAGGAGGCTGAAGCAGGAGAATTGCTTGAACCCAGGAGGCGGAGGTTGCAGTGGGCCAAGATTGCGCCACTGCACTCCAGCCTGGTGACAGAGCGAGACTCTGTCAAAAAAAAAATAAAATTAAATTTAAAAAAGTACAAAGTTATATTAAGAAAGAAAGACCAAAATCTGTGTGACCTTGGAGTAGGCAATTTTTTTTAAATTTCTATTTTTAACTTAGATTCAGGGGTACATGTGCAGATTTGTTACAAGGAAAAATGTATGAAACATATATGTACAACTGATAAAATGAACTTCATTTTTATTAACATTTTTTGCTCTGTGAAAAACACCACTGACACAATAACAAACAAAATGACATACTGGGAGAAAATAAAGAACAGTCACAACTTAATTATATGACAAATAGACCAATTTAAAAATGGGCAAAAGATTTTAATACTTCACTGAAGAAATGCACAAAATGATTCTCAACATCATTAGTCATTAGAGAAATATAAATTAAAACTACAATGAAATATCACTATACATACTTGCTAAAATAGCTAAAGTTTAAAAGATTGACAATATCAAGTGTTGGTTGGGATGTGGAGTAACTAGAACTCCCATACATTGCTATGGGAATACAAAATAATACTACCACTTTGGAAAACAGTTGGCAGGATTTTTTTATCAAGTTAAAAATACACTTACAATATGCTTCAGCAATTGTACTATGTACTTACCTAAGATTAATAAAAATATATGCCCACACAAATATTTGTATGTGAATAATCATAGCAACTTTAATCATAATAGTTGAGAAATGTTAAAATAAAAAGTTGGAAACAACCCAATTACCCAACAAGAGATGAATGGATAAACAAATTGTGGTATCTTCAAAAATAGAATACTACTGAGGAAGAAAATAAGAATAAATTATTGATATATACAACAATGCAGATGAATTCCAAAAAATGATACATAAAAGAAGGTGAACACAAAAGAATACATAATGTTTACCCCATCCGTGTAACATCCTAGAAAAGGCAAACAATGTTTAGTGATAGAAAGCAGATTGGTGGTTGTCTGGAGTTGGAAGGAGCAGTGTTGACTACAAAGGAGCAAAGGGAACTTTTTGGGGTGATAGAAATATTTCATTTTTTCAAATTACGATGAGATTTCAAAAGCATATATCTTTGTAAAAACTCACTGAACTGTAGAATTATACAACATTTATATAAAGATTATTTCTTAAGAATGTATTATGGTGATATTTTCCAGCTGAAAAGGTGATTGCATTGTCATAATTATGAAAGTTTCTATAACTTATCATTCAGATCCTTGATAAAATTTAAGTTGTTTTCATTACAGATTATACACCCTATTTTTAAAGAGGGGTGTGATATATCTTCATAAATCTAAACAGTAGTCCTCTCCTGACCTTTATTTTAGAGTCTCTTGAGTTTTCAGACATGGAATTCAGCAGGTAACATAAGCAGAGTGGGGTTTATAGACAATTGGTTTATCTGCACTGGACCCTAAAAGAATTAATTCCAAAGCACTCATCATCTTGAATAGATGTGATATTCCGTACTATCAATAGCTTCTAATTAGCATTTTAAAAGCCTTCTAAATGAAATATAGCAGATTCCTTTTTCTTTTTGTTTTTTCTAATAGGTAAAGAAGAAAGATTTCTGATGCCTGATATTTGGGACACTAGAGAGAATATTATTTAACAGGAACAAAAACAAACTTAGTTAATTATTCTAGCACAGTAAAACTGTAGTTGCAAAGGTGAAATCTATGTTGGATATTATTTATGAAATTTTAAGAAATCTAATTTGGCTTTTGAAGATCATAAAAATACAGATACATAATACTCAGTGAAGTAAAAAATAAAAAATCAGCACTGAATTAGTAAAGACTTTTTTTCCCTCATGAACATGTTCCGATTCCTTTTCAGGGTTTTACTGTTCAAAATTTCATTACAACCTCATTAAATGAAAACATCTTGTTAAATTCTTTAAACATTTGCTCTGATCAATTTTCAAACAGGAATTTTCAGCTAATATGAAAGGTAAAACTTAACTCTTAAAAAATGTTCAATGCTTCAGTATTCTTGATACAGAATTAACTTTATTTATTGAGGCAGTATACTGATAATGTGCTGTGGTTGTATAATGCGGGATACAAAGATAATTATTTGGGAAACTAAAATAAACAAACAAATATGCACACACTTTCTTGTATTTCAGGTTGACTGCAATTACTACTAGAGAAGAAGCATCAAATTATTATGGGAATATGGAAGAGATTAGTTTGAGAAAGCAAGAAAAATTCATGGAGCACCCCACAGCTGAGTTAGGTGACAAATCAGTGAGCCTCACCTCAAGTCAACTGATCCAGAGTATCTGGAGGTTGTAGCCTATTCATCCAAATTGTAAAGAGGCTCTTCGGGTGATTCTCATGCATTCTAAAGTTTGAGGACCACTACTGTAAGTGACAGCACTTGTGCGTGTGATATTTATTGAGTAGGTAAAATTTTGATAGGTGAAAAAAGAGTGCATAAAGATGATTTAGCAGGAAAAATGCCTAAAGACTGGAACACTTGAGGTTTAATATTATTGAGGGCCTATATCACCAGAAGAGATTAGGACTTTCTTTAGTAGACAGTGTGTAGCCGTGACAGGTTTTTCATGACAGCACTACTGTAATTATTTTGTAGTTTAGAAGCATTCTGTGGTTCGGGATGAATTGGGATTGTTCAGTGGGGCGTGTAGGAGGATGCGTTAGAGGGAAGATGGGCTGAGTAAACTCGGGCAGGTAGAACCCCTGGTCTGTTACATTAAACCATGTCAGAAGAGGGTGAAGAAAAGAGATTGGATTGGAAAGACAGTATGTTTTAGAAATAGAGTCCATTGTCTAGATTCCATGGAAAATTTTGTTGGTCCTTGATTTTTATCTGCTAGATACCAGTTGATTTTCTCGTGAGCATGGGGTGGGGAAAGGGATTATAGTATTTGGATATATTTGGCTAAGAAGCAAATTTATTGACTCCATCCCAATACCACCCTTAGGATACTTAAAAAACTAAGAGAAGGGAAAAAGTTAGAAAAATTTGGGGAGTCCAGGTCTTCTGCAGTAGCAGAGATCTTAAAAAGACATTTCAGAAATTGGCAAACACAGAGACAGAGTAAAAAGTGGAAGGCACTTGACTCAGATGTAGAGAATTAATAAAGGGTCCCAGAGGAGGTTGTACCTGTGTTCTGCTAGCCAAGAAAAAGTTAGACAGATGGATCTGGTGTATGTGTTGGGGAATGCATGTGTTTCCCTGTGTGTGTTTGTATTGTGAGGAAGTAAAACAAAAAGGATGATTCAATCAGAGAAGTAGGACAGAGGCTAGAGAGCATGACATGTTCAGGGAACTTGGAGCAATTATTTTTCAAAGAAAGGGAGGTCATCAGTGCTAACTGTTACAGAAAGCAGAGGCAACAGCAGCAGTAAAGGAGCTTGACAGACAGTGTAACATCACGGAAGGGCCAAGGAGCTCTGCAGTTTGAGTGGTTCAACCCTTGAGGGAGTTAAAACCTCAGTTTTCTCATTCCTAAATGAGGATCCCAGGACTCCTTGTGAGGATGCATGGGAAATATTTAATACAGGATCTGGCACATAGAATTTTATCTAGAGGTTAGCTCCTATAATTTTTATTATTCTTTATTAACTTTCACTTTGTACTAATTTGCATCTTTAAGGTTTGAAAGTTAATCTTTATTAAGTCATTCTTTTAAGTATTTTAAAGGTCCCTAGAATATAAAAAAATTTCAAAAATGTAGATGTAAGCTTTCAAGAAAAGCACATAGAATTCTTTCTGTAAAAAAAGTGTTGTTTTTTTTTAAAAAAACCCTGAAATTTAGCACAAACATTCAAAATATAACTTATTGTGCATCTGTGCTTCCACAACCATATTTACTATAAATCTTACCAAAATTTCACGGTCTTTCTCTCTACTTCTCATTCTTTGTCTGTTCAGGTGTTTATGTCTACATTTTGTTTAATTTAATAATATGCATGGCTCTTTCTGCCTTTTTCCTTCTAATTTCCACAGTTACACATTTAAAGATTTTCTTTATTTCTAACACAACTTTTCCTCTGGTGACTTCTAATTCCTAGTTTTCTCTTATTTCTTCTTCTCTTCTTTTAACACGGACTATATGGAGCCAAAAAAGTACTATTTATTTTGTATTACACCTTTTATTCATGAATACAAATTAAATGAGTTGAATGAATTATCCATTATCTGTCAAAAATAAAGTTAAATCACAAAGAATTTTAAGAGTTTATTGTGAGTACAAAAGAATAGTTCATGAACTGGGAAACCTCAAGTTGAAGAATGCATGAAATCTCCATTTAACAGCAGTTCCAGCACAACTTATAGAGCCTGGAGGAGGAAGTATTTTGGCCTTTTTCATGATTAGCTGTCATATATTTGTTTTTAAGGCAACAGAGCCTGTTTAAGCTGATTTATCTGTAGCTACTGGTTTAATTTCATTGAACCATGCAGAAAAGGACAAAATGCTAATGTCTATGCTTTGTTTATGTTCAAGGTTAAGATTTCAGGCAAATCAGGATGATTAAAATTTTGGTTACATGGCTGTGGGCAGTTGACCACGTGGTAATCTAAATTGTAGCCTCCATTTTTATTTATTTATTTTGAACACATCTAAAAGGCACCTAGCCACAAATAGCATCCCAACCAAGTAACAAGGTTTTGACTTGATCTCCAGTCTATTTTGTTTGTTTTCACTATTTCTTGGCTTTTTAGTGACTTTTGATTTGTTTAAAAGGAAAAGATCTGCGTTATTCCGTTTTTGTGAACGTCATTTTGTTATATACATATTCCATATTTTTAGCTAAAAGTTAGCTTTTGTTTAAACAATGAAAGAAAACAAAGGATCTCTCTGCACTGGATTGTGAGAGTAAAAAAAAGCAAAATTGTTGGCAGTGCTAGGGCTTGGAAAAGTAAAAGCTTTGCATGTTTTTTAATTTAATAGCTTCCCTTGTTATGCAACTAAACTGTATTTGTACATAGGTGGAATAAACTAAAGTTTTTAAGGGATAAATTGGGTCAGAGAAATGGAAATAAAAGGACAATATTTTTCAAGTTCTTATTTTTCAAGAGGCTTAGTATAAATTATATTTTAAAATGTTTAATTTCAAACACATTTTCTTCTCCAATAGGACAATTTTTTTTGCTTGTTTTCAATACACTGTTCCTACCAGATAGCTTCATATTTCAAATGTTCTGAAACCAATAGAGGAAACTGTACAGAAATGTATTGGCCCTGTGACTATGCCCTCTTGGAGTTTACTTGCAGTTCTGTGGTCCTGTATTTAATGAGGATTATAGTTCTTTTTTTATCCAGGGATGGGGAATCTAATAGTGTGAGCTGGGTTTATTACCCTATTCCCTCACAGGGCTACAAAACCCTTCTTAGTCCACAAAATTCATCTTCAGCCATTACTCTCGAATTTCTATTTTGGAGGCATGGTTTGTAATTCTGGAATTTTTTAAAATTAAAAGCAGAGAGACTTTAGTCCAATCTTGTACCCATTTGAGGAATGTTTTCTACAAAATTATGCAACACATTATTACCTGAAGAAGTAAATAATGCAACAAATTATTACCTGAAGAAGTAAATAATGCAACAAATTATTACCCGAAGAAATAAATAATGCAACAAATTATTACCTGAGGAAGTAAAGTTTCTGTCATAGAAATGCTTATATACCAGGAGACAATTGGTCACTGTTTTAGTGAGCCCAAAGTATTATAAGATGAATAATAACAATAACAATAACTAATTATTCTTGAGCACATACTATATGGCAGGCATTGTGCTATTTGCTCTATGAGGGAATTGTTATTATTAACCCCTATTGGAGATGAGGAAACTGAGACTTTGAGAAATTCTCCAACTTCTCCCAGGACACAGGGCTTGATGGAGGCAGAGCCAGATTCAAACTCAGCCTCTCTAAATCAGAGCCTCTGATCTTAACCATTATAGGGTACATTTTCCCACCGAATGAAAATTAGTATCTCTTTAATCTCTACCCAATTAGTCTAAATTCTACCTTTTGGGGCCAACCAGATCATGTTCATTCCTCTTCCCCATTCACTTATGTACCAAAAAGAATATTAATTAAGTACCTCCTAGGTGTTTGATATTGTTTTGAGCCTGTAATACAGCAGTGAAAAAAAGGATAAAATTTCTGCTTTCACGGTGTTAACATTTTAATCCCTTAAATCTTTTGAAAAGACCCACCAACTTCTAAGGGTTTTCCTTTCCTTAGCCCAAATATTCCTGCTTCTTCCAACCACTCATCATGGAGAAAAATTTCAAATTCTTATCAATATTGGTAGTTTCCTTCCTCTAAACATATTCTGGTTTGTAAATCATCTCTTTTAAAACACAACTACCTGATACAGTTTGGCTCGGTGTCCCCATCCAAATCTCATGTCAAAATCTCCAGTGTTGGAAGTGGGGCCCGGTGGGAGGTAATTTGGATCATGTGGGTGCTAAATCTCTCATGAATCATTTAGCACCCATCCCTTTGGTGCTGTTCCTGTGATACTGTTACACGACTTCCTCCTCAGCTCTTCTAAAAACTGGGTTCTTGTCACACAACCAGGAAAGATCAGGCTTGTGGACACATAGAAGGGTGAGAAAAACGGAATTTATCGGGCAAAAAAGGAAAAAGAGAAAAATTTTCAAACTTTCAGTAGAGTGAGAAGGAAGCCTGTTATCCAGCTTCTGCCCCACCACACAGGAACTCAAGAGGTCGGGTTCCTCCCCTCTGCAAAGGGCATGAACTTCTGTGGCTCCACGTCATTCTCCCAGTTCAGGCTGGTCGGAGGTTCTCCAGGGAGCCCTTTTTACTTGACTGTCTCAGTAGTGAGTGAGTCCTCCTGAGATCTGATTGTTTGAAAGTGTGTAGCACCTCCCCTCTCTCTTGCTCTTGTTTGGCCTATGTGACCTGACTGCTCCCCCTTCACCTTCCACCATGATTATAGGCCTCCCCAGAAGCTGAGCAGATGCCGCATCATCATGCTTCCTGTATAGCCTGTGGAACCATGAGCCAATTAAACCTCTTTTCTTTATAAACTACCCAGTCTCAGGTATCTCTTTTTTTTTTGAGTTGGAGTTTCACTCTTATCACCCGGGCAGGAGTGCAATGGTGCAATCTTTGCCCACTGCATTCTCCACATCCTGGGTTCAAGCGATTCTCCTGTCTCAGCCTCCCAAGTAGCTGGGATTACATGTGCCCACCATCATGCCTGGGTAATTTTGGTATTTTTAGTAAAGATGGAGTTTCACCATGTTGGCCAGGCTAGTTTTGAACTCCTGACCTCAGGTGATCCACCCTCCTTGGCCTCCCAAAGTGCTGGGATTACAGGCATGAGTTACCATGCCAGGCCACAGGTATTTCTTTAGAGCAACGGGAGAATGGCCTGATAAACTACCATACATGAACATAGCAATCCACATGCTTTCTGATGGGTCAGAGAGAGAACAGAACCATTAAAGATAGACAATTTGGGTTAATGGGTTGCTTCTGCTTATAATCTCCAAGTCTTGTCTCTCCAGACTTGTAGACTGGTTCAATTGGACATGAAAATTTGTAGCATTCAATTATTTAATTTCTGTTTATCATGGCAAAGGTCCTTAATATTAGGGATGTCCTTCGAGTGTCCTCTAGCATCACAGACAAGTTGTTGGAAGCCATCTTGCATCCATAACTGCTGTTAGAGTGATATTTAATGAGAGCTGTTAGACGGCGGTTTGGCTGAGGCACTTGGCAGACTACAGCATCCTCTAGTGGTCAGATTTAAACCTCAAGACGTGTATATTCTGAATATCACAAGAAATTAACCTAAACCTTAGAGTGTCAGGCAACTGTGTTTGGCAAGTGTGCAATAGCTTTTGACTGATTATTTCTGATTCAATGGGTGATCTATTTCCTGCTGTATATTAGAAAACCTGCTGTTATCTCAGGCTCTGTTAGCTCTCTACCCAGTTTTCCATTCTAGGCTAGTTCTTCATGAGTTTGGGAATTCAAGCTGCTTTTTCATCTTCTTCCTCCACCTCCCCCTCCTCTTCCTCCCCCTGCCCCTCCTTCTCCTTTCCCCCTCCTCCTCCTCCTCTCTCTTCTCTCCTCCTCCTCTTTCTTCTTTCCTCCTCCTTTTCCTTCTCCTTCTTCTCCTCCTCTACCTCCTCTTCCTCCTCCTCTACCTCCTCTTCCTCCTCCTCCTCCTCCTTATTCTTCTTTTAATAGCTGTACATACCTTTTTTTTCTTTTGGGGAACTTCTTTAGTTTTATCTGATTTGCTTCCCTGAATATAAACACATAGTCCTTTTTAATAGGAAGGTGTTATCTGAAGTTTCTATAGAAAAAATAGGCAATGAGTAACTCACGTGAGGTGATTGTGGCTTAATGGAAGAAGCATTAGATTTGAAGTCAGTCCTGTATTATAATAAAAACCTAAGCCTGTCGCTTTGTTTGCTTGCAATATTAGGCAGGTGATTTCACTTAGTTCTAAGTTTACTCATAAGATAAGGATAATCTTATAGGGTTGTTTTGGCCCACACATAAACCAAAGTGTGCTGCACAAAGGTCTCTTGATCAGTTCATCCAGTCTATAGTCACTTTTTTCCTTGTCAGATTATCTTTTGGGAATGGTTTGATAGTAGAAGAGACCATTCCCAAAGTTAATCCAGAATCAGGCCTCCCCACCTACCTGCCTCAGGTTAGCACAGCACAAACCCATCAGGCCCTATGAAGCAGATCTCCCAGGGAAGCACAAGAGGAAGTCCTCCATCCAAGCCCCGGGTTATCAGGGACAACCACAGGCTCTACGTTACCACCATTCACCTTAGTAACTAATGGGGAACTGGCCCTGCTGGGGAAGAACTAAGGCTAAGTCCAGAAGCTGCTCCATAGCCTTGTTAAGAAAATGTACTTTTTTTGTTTGTTTTCTCAATGATTCAAATCTTTTTGAGACAATTATGTCTGACCCAAAATCTACATTCTGAGATAAGTGGAAAATCTCAAAGACTAAACTCTATTCCACCATATAGGCAGCTCTATGCCCATGCACGTAGACCTGTGCCAGCCACAATAGATGCTCAATCAAATCCCAAGGAAACCTAAAGGAGTTATTGCAATCAGCAGACTGTGATGGGTAACATGTTTCTGGACTGGGTATTTTCCAATTGTTCCTTAAAATAGTAGTCCAGTCCTCAAAGAATTTCTTGTATTCATGATCATCTGTGCTCTGCCATTTAATATCTGCAATCACATTTTCTAAGGCAGTGACCTCAGGATGTGAGAAAGATGAGGAAAGAAAAGGAATTATGAGGGAAACCCTGTCTGAAATTACAGGATTCCTGATGTTTTTAAAACTTGGTCTATTCTCAGTCTTACCAAAGTCCCCTGACCCTGGTATAATCAAACATACCTTTGAGGAAAAAGCAAATGGAAACAACAGGGGATATTCAGATACATTTATTCAACAATAAGGCCAGTCAGGCCTCGCGGTGACCTGATGGGATTTCAAAACCTTGGTTCTCAGCAAGGCCCAGATTTTTGAATGAGGATAGAAGTCTGGCGTTTCCTGCAGTAGAGATTAAAAAAAATATATCAGCTTAAACTTCACTGATGAAAAAGTGACTATGGGAGAAAAACAGGGGGAAAAATAACAGCTTCATTTAAAGTTGGAGAGGTTTGAGATTTATAATCTTTTCTCTGTCTTTCATTCATTTATACATTCACTTAGTCATTAATTCATCAAATATTTATTGATTACTGTTGAATACACTAAGGATACAACAGAAAGGAAAAATATCTGTCCTTACAGTTTTTACAGATCTCGTGGGGTGTTACAGTGAACCCCTGAAATTAAACTCAAAACTATTGTTGCATCTTTTGCTCCTGATGCCTCTGCCTTCGCCACCAGGTTTCCATCTCAGCTGATGCCTGAGCTATTGTTGGACCTTCTAATTGATTGACCTTTCATCTTAGAGCTCTGGGGATTCGTATCTGTGAGGTCTCACAAAAGTAAATCACATATTTATTCCACATGATTCCTGCCAGTTCTAAACATCCTCCCCTCCAGATAAAACCTCTCTGTTCGCCCCACACTACCATTACCAAACTAGTTTTCTCTTCCCTAAACTAAATATCTCTAAATTTTATAATTGTTCCCTAGAAGACTGTTTCCAGGTCTTTAATTTTTCTAACCATTTTTTCTTTGAATGTACGGGCTTACAAAAATTCTTCTACTTCTCTATTACTGAAGGACATCTGACTTCCATATACTTTTTTTTCTTTTTTTTTTCTTTTCTTTTTTTCTTTTTTTTCTTTTTTTAAGACAGAGTCTCACTCTGTTGCCCAGGCTGGAGTGCAGTGGTGTGACCTTGGCTCACTGCAGCCTCCACCTCCCGGGTTCAAGTGATTCTCCTGCCTCAGCCTCCCAAGTAGCTGGGATTACAGGTGAATGCCACCATGCCTGGCTAATATTTGTATTTTTAGTAGAGACGGGGTTTTACCATGTTGGCCAGGCTGGTCTCAAACTCCTAACAAAAGTGATCCACCTGCCTGGGACTTCCAAAGTGCTGGGATTACAGGCATGAGCCACCATGCCCAGCCAAACTCTTTAAGATTTTTTAATGCTTTCTTGTCCCACAATCATTAACTGCTCATTAATACTGATTTCCAAATCAGTTAGCATACATAAGCACACACACCTAAACAGAATAAACAAGAGTTGCTATGCTGTTCACTCTAGTTTCATATATTCACTATCCACATATAGCTATGTAAATGTAAATTAGTTTAGATAATATTAAATATTCAGCTGATCAGTTTTACTAGCCACATTTAAGTTAGTGTTAGCCACATTAAGGCTACTGTTTTGTGGCTAGTGGCTATGTATTAGACAGCATAAACATAGAACATTTCCATCATTATAGAAGGTTCTATTGGAGATGCAGGTTTATGGAAAAGAATTTGCCGGTACAGATTCCCTTTGAAGACGTAGAAGGAATAGAAAAAGTGTTTATTGAATATATTTGCCAAGCACATAATCACCAAAAAGACTGATTTGCAAGCCCTTGTTTGGTATTATCTACTTGTCTCAAACTAGGGTCAGCGTCTGGCTTTAGTTACTAGGTAATAAGTTTGGGACTTTTAATCAACAGTGAAAAAGGCAATGTCATACATTAGGAAATATGTTGTATTTGAGAAAGCAACATTTTGTCTCTAGACCTAAATTTTCTTATCTGAGAAATATAGGAAGAGAGGTCATGTTTTCTAGCATACAAATGTGCCTCCCATATTTACATAGTTTTGAACAAATAGAAAGAATAAGCAGAAACTCGGAGGTTTCAGAGGCTAAGCAGATAGGGTGTTCCAGCCCTCTACTAATATTTTTCTAATGTTTCACTGTAAATGTTGAGCGGCACTTGGAAATTTCCCAAGTCTCAAAGCTGTTGTTCTCTTGCTTTCTCCTCCCATTGGATGGAAATATGATGTTTGAGCTTAATGTCAAGAACATGGGTCATGAGAAAACTAACAGGTGGCTTCAAATTCTTTTTACAAGTCTTAATTATGGAAACAGATTTATTACAAAGTAGAATACCTAATGTTTTGGGTCTAAAACTTCAGGATATTAGACCTCTCATCCAGAGGTCCTATTTCCACAATACTTGCTAAACTCTGAGAATTTTCCAAAATGGTTTAAAACAGCCCAAGAAGAAGGTTTGCATTACAGAAAAGGGAATTTATGCAGTAGAATATAATGGAAATTTACACAGTCATTTGAGCCTGAGTCAAAGTCTTTAATATCAAGTCAATCTCAGAAAAACTAAAGTCACTCGTGGAATCCCTTTTATTTGCTTTGTTCATTCCACACCTTTATTTAACCTGGCATGCTCTTTTGATATTGCCAAAATTCAGAACTCTATTTAAATGGCATTCTATTCTTTTTTTTTCCTTTTTTTTAAGATGGAGTCTCACTCTTGTCACCCAGGTTGGAGTGCAGTGGCACAATCTCAGCTCACTGCAACCTCTGCCTCCCAGATTGAAGCGATTCTTCTGCCTCAGCCTCCTGAGTAGCTGGTATTATAGGCGCCCGCCACCATGGGGTTTCACCATGTTGGCCAGGCTGGTCTCAGGTGATCCACCTGCATCGGCCTCCCAAAGTGCTGGGATTACAGGAGTGAGCCACTGCACCCGGCTGGCATTCTATTCTTTTCATGGATCCTTTCTTGGCCCCTTTTAATAAAAAATATGTATCTCTGCTTCACTCCTGTTGCACTTTATTTACACCTCATCTTCTGGCATTTGCCCCAAGTTATAAGAAGCCATCCTATACATGCTCATGATGTTTTCTTAGTCATAAGCACAAGTAAGACAGGGAATATTAGCATGATGCTTGAGACATGCTAAGGTTTCAGTTGCTGAGTGAGATAGGAAATCTGTGTTGAATCTATTTCTCTGTATCACATCACCTACTTATGGTCACTGAGGAAATGAAGCTTTACTGAAACTGGCTTTCATATCCATAAGTAAAAATATATTTTTGGTTATATAATCTATACAATTTATATTTGCATAACTGAGGGCTTTAAAAAACACAATCATTGCAACCACTAATAATTTTTTTAATTAAAGGTATTTTGTGTGTACTTTATAAAAATCCAAGCTATCGACTATTTTGCTGTAAAAAATATAGGCTTTTATCATACAAGTGACTTCTAAAAAATAATATTTAATGCTAAATATATAAAAGGGAGAATAAGAAAGAGATAACTGTTTTTGGAAAAAGTAAATAGTTTGCTTTTCTCGGGGTGAGATTCATATTATCAGTACACTTGAAGATAACTAACTTAAAATATATAGTTTAAAAGAAACTCAAGTTTGTACTCACCGATTTTCAAAACATAACACGCATTCATTGGGATAAGTATTTCCATCAGTCCCACAGACAGGGTCATATATCTTGGTGCATCCATTAAGTTCATTGTAACATTTGGCCTAAAAATGGAATTAAACAGAATCATTTCCCATTATTCTCCATTCTTGAGTTCATAGCAAAATCTCTGAAATGGTTTTATTTCTCTGGGGAATAACTGTGATTGGGAGAATGATACTGTGTGTTGTAAGAGAAATAACCTACTATCTGGAGACAGAAAACCTTGTTTTAAGTCATGCCTCTGCTATTTCTAAGCTGTGTGACATTAGTAAGTCCTATGGCCCTTCTGAAACTCAGTCAGTTCATCTGCAAAACAGTGATGATATTACCATTTCCCACCTATCTCATAGTGTTGTTGTGAGATTTACATGGATGGGTGAGATAATGTTCAAGTTTGCAATTACTGCGGGTGCTGGCATCTCTCAGGTTGGCCACATCTTGGGGCACGTTCTTCCTTGTACACTGTAGTCCACACACACTGGTCTTCTATTAGGCACTTAAAGGCACTAGGCATTGTCGGGTGTTGGAAGTCTTTGCATTCTACTCCAGTAAGAGTTTATAATCATCAAATGATTGTCATTGTCCTAGACATTGTTCTAGTGCTTTTTATATATTATTCTGTTTAAACCTCCTAACTATCCTGTGAACTAAGTATTATATTCTTCTTCAGGTGAAGATAATGAGGCACAAAGCAATAAAATTAGCCAAGGCCACCCAGCTAAGGAATTCCTAAATTCAGAATTCAAACCTAGTCAGAGTTCCTGAGCTTTAGCTCTTAAGTACTTTATTCTACTACATCTCCCCACCAGTTTTGTTTTACTAACACTCATTTTTTTTTTTTGGCTCAAAATAACCCCTCAGTTACTTCGGAGCACCCTCCCTGATTTTTCTAACTAGGCTAAGTTCCTAACGGCAGCAGAACTTTTTCATAACACTTATCACAAATGTAATATTGCATTCATTCATGAACTTTTGGTCTATCAGCTGTCTCTGACTAGATATAAATGTACTGAGAACAGGGACACTTCTTCCTCTGGTCTCCAAATTTACTGAAATTACCTCTTAAACAAAAAAATATGAAAAGGTTAGAGTTAGAATATTTTTCTAGAAGGAGAACCTAGTTTATTATTTTCTGTCATTCATTATAAATTAGAGCCACACCTTGGTGATTGGGAGAGCTGCATGCCAACATGGTCAAACTGGCTGTAAGGAGGAAGGGCTACTTGGAGTGAAGTTGAGAAGGCTTCCACCCCAAATACTTGTCTACAGCTATCACTAGTCTATATAAAAACCCCTTCACAGCAAGCACTGTAGGACTATATGGAACTTGCTTATACATCAGTGAAATTGTCCTTCAATATACGCCTGTGGGTTGGAACTACTACTACCATTTGCATTTCTCACGTTAACCCTCCCTAGCATTCATACTCCTCTTAACTTCAGGCTAAACTGAAAGGTGACAGCAAGGCTGCATTTTTGTTGGATCAAACTGTTCCAGTCTGAGAAATAAGAAATTACAAATATCTCTTTACCTCTCTTCCCAGGGAGTCAGCTCCAGTGTTACCTAGAAATAAATCAGATATGGTAAGTTGGGTCCTAAATGAAAGAAGTCAGATCTATTCTTCATCAGAATTCTCTGCTTTCATTGCAGACTGTGACTTCTTTACTAGGCTCTTTCATTCCCCACCCTTTCTGATTTCTCTAATCTTCCAAAAGTATCTGACTGATTTTCCTGTACCCCTTCCTTGGCAAAACCTTAAAAAGTTTGAGTAAAACTTTGATTATGACCAAAGTATCTCGATTTGATGTTTTAGGAAGTTGATCTATTTCCTTGAAAACAGAAATTATGCACTTACTGCTGGAAATGAATCAGGCACTGAGCAAATTATCTTTTGAATACTCACAAACATTCTCAAAACCAGTTACTAGATCTTTAATCTCACAATTAGTGAAGTATAATTTTTATCTCAGTTTACAGATGAAAGTATGGAGAGTTTTTATAACTAGCTGTGAAACAGTTATCATAAGCAGTAACCAGGTCTTCTGATGCAAAGTTAGCTTTTTCAATTACATTTAAATTCCCTTTTGTAAGTATTGTTGAAAAAATAGAGTTCTTTTGCCAACTCACTATCAGTTCCCAAAGAGCTATTTCCAACAATTGCATCATATGGACTATGGGTCTAACTCACATTTGTTGAATTTACAGGTAGTCAAAATAGCTAATCTCTATTCCCCCAGAAAATAGCAGAGGTTTTGCTGACAACATATAGGAAATGATAACTGTGGATAAGTTCATGGAAGGGAAAGGGAACTAATATGATAGCAATCAAATAAGGAAACATTCCTGAAAATTAATTTTAATATCATCAATCTTTGAGGTGATCTGAGCAAAGAGGTAGTTCTTTGTATCTAAATGTAATGAAAATTAGTGAGGCATCTATGAGCTTGGAGAATTTCCCCCGGGATAGTCAGAACTTGATGTTGTTGGGGGCCCACTGGCTTTTAGAATCTAGTTGAGTCTAAAAACTGAAGAGCAGGTGCTCATCACAGGCATCTATTTGTATTAATTAACATGCATGAGGAGGGGGAAAGGGAACACTGACTGTTGCCATAAATATTCAGCAAATAAAACAAACAATATTCTTCCTCTTCTTAGCAAAGTGCTGATTTGGCTCTCCACAGGATCCTTCACTACATGAGAGGTGAAGTTGAAAATGTTAACCATTTCCAGTGATAAAAAGGAAACTGATCTTGGCTCTGCGGGTTCAGAGTTGTCTGTCAACATTGTCAAGATGCAGTTGGAGGTATATGTGCACCATCTATTCAAGCAGAATATTTTCTTTCAAAACATTCAAAATGTGTAATGTAAATACACAAAATGCAATTTTTGTATTTCCAGATACTAATAAGAAATACCAGGAATTGAAAATAAAAAATTCCCTTTATATCACATATATTAGCTATTCAGGGATAAATCTGACAAACTATACATGATTCAAGTACACTGAAACCTATACAATAAAAAAATAAATTTTTAATCAGTCAAATTATGCCTTTTATACTGAATAACTGGAAGCCATTTATCTATTTTATGCAATCCCATGAGAATTTAAAATTTGTAATTTGGCCTTACACATTTACAGAATGAGAAGTATACTTAAAGTTAAAATATTTTTACCCTTTTTTCTCTACCATATCCCAACAAAGGGTCAGCCACATCAATAGAGGAAAACCATTTTATTTCTGGGAATTTCTTACTAGTAGAATTGTTTTCCTTATAGTAGGTTAAAAATTCCTCTTAAAAAATAATTCTTACCTGTTGATTTTATTTCATCTCATTAGGTCCAAAACATCTCTCGAAGACTAGACTACATCAAAAGTCTAGAAGATAATGTGCTTCACAAAGCAACAGGTCAAAACAGTTTTATTTAAATTTGAAAAATATGCAACACTTACCAGATAGACTCAACAGGGCCAAGGCACTGAGAAGAAAGATGCCTGTTACCTTCATGGCTGAAGTTCTGCGTCCAGAGGTCAGTTGAAAACTGCACCGCACTTACCACGTCTCTTCAGAAGCCTGGGACTGGAAGGGTCATATGGCAGATGGCAGCAAGGCCCCACCTACTGGGCTATATCACAGATCTCCCTGGTTATTGATTGACTCTGTGTCATAGCCTGGCCTCCAGGTTCTGGGAATGTCACCTGTGTAAGAAAGGTGAAAGGAGCCAGGTGGGCCTGAAACATGCAAGGCAAAGATTCTGTCAGGAAAATAGTTCTAGTGGTTAGTTTGATCCCTAACTCCCTCTGTGGTTGTGGGAAAGTCATTCCCTTCTCAAGCCTGTTTTCTCACCTGTAAGATGAACTCAAAGATCCCTTCTACTCTGTAGTTCTGGATAGATGAGCAGGTATGGATAGCTACTAGAAAGAATTTTATTCCAAGTAGGGTAAAACCTCTCCATTCTTTTTTCCTTTCCTCCACTCTTCCTTTCTTATTCTTCTTTCTCTTTTCTCTATTTTTCCCTCACTCATTCACAAAACCTAAAGTAGCTGATGGAGTGGCAGATGAGAGGGAAAGAGAAAGCAAGAGAGAGAGAGGACTCAGTTCCCTAAAGCGTGTATTCTGGAGCTAGAGGGTGCTTGTTGGAGCCACTTTTGCTGTGCTTCTGTGTATTCATCTGGAAATTAAAATAATAATAACACCTAATTCAAAGGGTTACTCTTTCATCTGAGAATATGTGCTGGGTAAAAGAGAATATGTGCTGGATATCTACCATGTGTTATTAGAAGAGAATTCTCCATCCTCTCTCATGTTTTGGTGTGTCTTATGAGTAGAGGTACTGATAACCTTTGTTTCAGACTATCTTTTTAAGGGTGTTTATATAACAAACGACCTTAGAAAATACGTAATGTCTCCCTCTGCACCAAAAGGCAGGTTTGTTTACTGTTTAGTGTAATAAAGTTAATATCTCCTTCTAGGGCAAAGACCATGTTAATTGCCCTTTACAAAAGATTTCGGGTTTTTAAAAGCTTGGCCTTTCTTTCCTTTAACACACTGTACTTTCCCTGCAACTATCACTTGATGCCCCTTAAATTGGCCTGTGGAAATTGGGGCTTGGGAAACCAGAACAAATTCCAATACTCTGGCTGTTGCTATGGAATAATTAAGTCCCTTTTCTCTGAGCCAGGAGTCTGTGCCTTCTGCCAGAAACCATTATAATGTGGCAGGCTAACTTCTTAGCTTCCAAGTAGGATAAAATCTCAAACCCTTCCCAAGTCATGACAAGAACTGTATTTATCTCTTAAGACAGATCAGTAAATAAAAATAACAATCTCTGTCTTCATGGAGCTTCCATTGCCTTTTTGTTGAGGGAGGCAAGTGACAAAAAATAATAAGTGATTATAAAATATATCAGATAAATATTATGGAGAAAAGGACAAGAAGGATAAGGGTGCTGGAGGGTTAAGGAGATATGTAT
This sequence comes from Homo sapiens, assembly GCF_000001405.40. NCBI lineage: Eukaryota > Metazoa > Chordata > Mammalia > Primates > Hominidae > Homo > Homo sapiens. The sequence continues at coordinate 147,833,043 of NC_000005.10, forward strand.
CATAGCGTAATCAGAGAAGGTCTTGCTTTTCAGGTGATATCACACAGAGACATGAAGGAAATGAGGATTTGAACTATGCATTTATTCCAAGGATGTGCATTCCAGACAGAGAGAATAGTAAGCGCAAAGGTTCTGAGGCTGACGCTGGTTTGACATGTTTGAGAAACATCCAGGAGGACACTCTGGCTTGAGCAAAGTGATAGAGGGCAAAATGGGAGATGAAATAATGGAAGCAGTGAGGGTCTAAATCTAGTGCAGTCTAGAGTAAGGACTTTGGTTTTTATCAAAGGGAAGCTTTGGAAGTGTTTAGTTCTTGAAATCACTATTTGGATGTTTTACAGCTACCTCAAATCTAATATGTTCCATACTACTATTTTGATCTTTCACCACAATATTTTTGTCTCTATTCTCCCTACAGCTTCTTTTCTTTCCAGTAGATCACTCAAGCCCAAACCTCGTTGTTCTCCCTGATATTTCCCTTTCCCCTTTCTATGCATCATCTTCCACACTTAATTTGCTACCAAGTTCTCTTCTTGGATTCATGTTCAAAATAACCTCAATCCTGGACACTTCTCATTAGCTTCCACTGTCATATCTAAGACAATGCCATCCTTTCCCCCTGGGTTTCTGCATTTCCTGCAAAGAGTTTCTCAATATTTGTTGTTATTTCTTCCTTAAAGCTGCTGCCCATAGAAAGGCCCATAGGGATCTTTATGGACTGCAAATTTGATCATGTATCTGTCCAGTTTCTCATTGTTCAGAATGCTCAGGAAGAATTTAGGTCCTGTATGACTTGGCTCCTTTCTATCTTTATTCCCCAAGAGATTCTTCCTTGCTCAATCTGGTCATTTCCTTGCTACGTTGGTCATTTCTCTGTTACCCTTTACTAGGACCAACAAAACAAAATAATACAAAACAGCTTTTCACCTTCTAAGGTTAAAAGGTTAAGTGGTATTTTCTCAAGAAGCCATTCTTTCTGGGTCTTCCTTTACTTCTTTCTGCATCTAGATTATTCCCTCCTATTGTACGATCTTCATAAAACCCTTCATTGCACTTAAAATAATTCCAACTCTATAGCTATTCATACGATTATTATGTAATATCTTTATTTTTAGGGAGTAAATACAGTTGCTTTATTTATTGTAGCACCTAACAAAGTGTCTGGAAAATAGTTGATACTAAATAAATATTTGCTAAAAACATAAATTAAGTGATAAATGTATATATTTCTGAAGACCAAGGTTTATGCCTTGTTCACTTCTGTGTCTCCGGTGCCTCCGGTTGAGTAGCCATTCATTGGTTCACCATTCGGCCTTTTATTCATTCAACTATTAATATATTCAAATATTCATCAAGTCCTTACTATACAAAAATTTTTGGCTGAGTGCTAGGGAAATGGATATGATGTCTGCCCTCATGGAGTTTAGTCTTAGCATTGATAGATGTTGGTTGGATCATATTTGATTTGATTTGAGATGAAAATATATTGGTTCTTTTCATCTCAAATCATTATTTAAATAGTAGTTTTGTGACCAGTAAGAAACTTCCAATAACCACTGTTAAGGAAGGTTCATATATGAGAAAAGGATTTTTTTCTTGGGTCTCACAAGCAGTGTGGGGAGAAGGGAATTGGCTGGGATCTGGTCACAGAAACTCATTAGATAATAATAGCAGCAGTAATAACTTTAGATTTAGGCCTGCCTGATGCCAAAGCCTGGACTTTTTTCACCAAACAGTGCTTTTTAAACATTTTGACTGTGAACCTAAAGTAAAAATTTTGAGTTATGGCCTAGCATATGCATTATATGTAGATATGTGAGCAGACAAATACAGTTGTTAAAAAATAAAACAGTCTTATTATATGTGAGGACTCTTGATAGATTTTTTTATTCTATTCCATCCCAGTTTGCCAATCCTAATCTGTGATTAGAAAAAACATTTCACTACAGAAACATATCCTATGGACCCTAGACAATCTTGTTTTTTAAATCACTACAATACTAAGATGAATTCTAGTTAAAAACTGGCCCTAAATTTGTGATAGGGAATGGCCCTTTGCAGACAACAAGTTAAAGAGGATAAAAAAAACCCATGGAGAAAGGGGCCTGTCTCCAATTATAAATCTGCCATTTCAACTGTGACATGAGTGGGCAAAACAGTTTTCTCAACTACAAAAATACACATCATACAGTGTTCATTTGGTGTGAGAATAAACCAAGAAACCATAAGTAAATATTGTGCAAAAATATTATTCCTCACATGTCCAGGAATTATAATTGCTAGCTAGTAATAATATCACCCTCCTTCCATGAATTAGAACAATAGAAAATATACTGAGGCCTCATACAATCAATTCTTGACAGAATAAATATTGTTTGCCCCGGGAGATGAGGAGTGCATTGACCAGAGAAATCCTGCCACCGTGCTAGACTATTAGTCATATTGAATGTGTTTACATTGCTCAACCTTGTGTACATTTTTTCCTTTTCTTCTTTACTGCTCTGAGTACATATTTATGCATGTCTATCTTTGGGAACTCAAGTAAACATATTATGACCTACTCCCCTCTGATTCAAGGACTAATTATTCACCTGAGTAAAGAGTGATGACAAAACTCAAGAGAACTGCTCTAATGGATGTTGATAATACATGTTGGAATGGGGATATTGGGCTGGCACCTGTTGATTTTCACATTCTGTGCCCAAAGTTTAACTAGTAAGAAAAAAATGACAGAAACTAGAGATATACAGCTTATTATATTTAGAGACCTCCTTGACATTTGGAGACCTCCTTGACATAGCTGCAACTTAATTCTTCAACTTTTATTTTTCATTATTTAGGGAACTTCATGGCTTTTCATAAATGACCTCTTGTTTTTATTCCACTGCTTGTTCTCCAAATAGGTTGCATGTGTACCTATTTGCTGTACCCATCCTCTACAGCTTGGGTAAAATGTCTGTGGTGCTTGATGCAATTAGGAAAGATTTACTCACTTTCCTTTGCCTCTCATAGCAGTTTGTAAAGCTATCACTTAATAATTACATTGATTACATCCTCCTCCTCATCATTATCATTATAGCCACTACTAATATTTTTCAAAAGCTTCTATTCATCAGTCACTGCAGTATTTTATTTTCATCATTTTAATCCTGATATCATTGTTATTTCTCTTTTATAAGAAAGGAAACTGAAGCACAGAGATTTCAGTTTTCTTGTTCCTGGTAACAGATTAACAGATATGGTATTTACTGATTTGTGTGTGTGTGTGTGTGTGTGTGTGTGTGTGTGTACAAACTTAATGTCATGGTTAGAACATTGGATTAAACTCCAAGAAACCAGGATTCTTAATTTAATACTGCCACAAAGAAAGGGTTGCCCCCTCGTCTATGTAAACCCTGCACTTAAGCGTCTCTGTTACAGCACTTTAAACTGGAAATTCTAATTTTTCATTTTTCTTATTTGTCTCCTTTACTAAACTCCTGGATGTCATGACCTTTTATCTACACAGTCAAGTACACTGTTAGATCCAGTGGCACCTGATAATATGTGCGAAATCCATGCCTTCTAAGCATTTGTGGGCATAGTAGACTTTAATAAGATTGCAAAGAATTGCATCACACACTAGGCAACAAAATATTTTAAAAACATGTCAGACTTTATAACTACTCTTAACTGGAAGTCTTTCTTGGTCATTTCCCGCCAAGCAGTAGCCAAACTTACAAATGTATGTTACTCCATCTTCATTCTCTTTTCTACTCTCTCCAGCCAGGAATGAAACAACCAGTTTCTTTCCTTGTCTAGAACAGAAACAGATGACACCTTGGCTCTGGAGATACCATATCTAACAAGTTCTTTTCAGGATATTTTCCCAAAAAAGACAGTTCTTTCCCTAAAATAAATTCTGGTGCCAGCTGTAAAGATAATAACATTTCCAGCATGTCATTTAATGATTGAAAGTCTAATCTTTGCAGAATGACAGACCTCAGTTCAAACCTATGTGTAACTTTGAGCTAAACTTCATATTTATGACCCTCAATTTTCATAATTTTTCCTCTAAATACCCTCAGGCTGGATGGGTTTTAAAATTCAAATTTTTTTTGTAAATTTTTGAAAAGTTATATGTGCAGTTCAGAAAGCCCAGTGGTGCCTGGCACAGCACCCTTTAATCAAATACACCAATAATTCTTCTGCAAAACGTATCATGTAGAGAAAATAATTATCCTTAAATCATCTCTTGACAGATTTTGCTGTCAAATGAGTTACAAAATGAAACAAAAGAAAAACTTCTGAAACAAAACAAAAACAAAACAAACCCCTCTGTGGGGTTTGAAATGATGAATTAGGGACTGTGGACCTGTAGATACTTCACAGAGTTGTTATGAGGAATTAAGAGGATAATGCCTTTGCATAAGGCTCATAGCTCACACCAGGACAACAAGGGGTTAATAAGTGCCTGTGCCTACTTCTACTATTGCTGCCATATGGTGGCTCATGTCAAATTTGGGATCAACTACGTGCCCTTTCTCTTTCCTTATATTGGTGTAATCTTTCCTTATTGTATGTTCAATTTATAGGAAATTTCTGAAACTGCTCTTACATTAACTTCTTTTCTTTCTTTCTTTCTTTCTTTCTTTCTTTCTTTCTTTCTTTCTTTCTTTCTTTCTTTCTTTCTTTTTTGGGATGGAGTCTCACTCTGTCACCTGGGCTGGAGTGCAGTGGCATGATCTCAGCTTACTGCAACCTCTGTCTTCCGGGTTCAAGTGATTCTCCTGCCTCAGCCTCCTGAGTAGCTGGGACTACAGGCAAGCACCGTGGCACCTGGCTAATTTTTGTATTTTTAGTGGAGAGGGGGTTTCACCATGTTGGCCAGGCTGGTCTCGAACTCCTGACCTCAGGTGATCCACCCGCCTCGGCCCCACAAAGTGCTGGGATTACAGGCATGAGCCACTGTGCCCAGCCACATTAACTTTTCTTACAGGGACAAGCCATCCGTGTTGGAGGCCACCTGTCTTGGACCCACAAGAGTTTTATGAATGCCTCCCATCAGCTCTTTTCACTGATAGACCTCTAAGTCTCGTTTTCCAGAAGCTTTGCTCTTCTCTCAATCTGGCACTGATCCCCTACAGCAATCATTAACTAAATGTTCAAACATAAGACAAGGAAGCATCCAGTTGAGAAACGTGTTTACTGGAAGAAAAAACAAATGTTTCTTGTAACCTATGAAAATCAAAGAAGAATTCTGTAGCTAAAGGTAGTAGTGTATATCTGGGGACAAAAGGTCAATTAATGAATAACCACATTTCAGATAAGGAAATATAGAATGCTGTGGAACAACTATAGCAAGAGGGAGAGTGTATGAAGATCATAAAAACAATTTCAGTAGATTCTGGCTTCTGGTCCCATACTCTTAACCAAACCTCTTATGTCTTATTAATGAATTTATTCTTGCCAATTCATATGATCTTTTTTACTTTTTCTCACTTTTCTAGATGTGTTGTATATGTCTCCAGACTCTAGTTGGCTTCACTGTACTGTGAAACATTTCCATATAATGCCCTGATATCATTTCAAACTTTTATACTTTATAAAATATATCTGATTATTTTTTAACAATTCTTCTTTCCCAAATTTCTCCAGTTCTCTTGAGAGCATAGCCATTATTTCAAATCTTTGGTTTAGAGTCTCCTGGGGTCTTGTTCTTTGCTTTTCCATGGCTCTTGATCTAATCCATCATCAACTTTCCTAATTCATCTTTCATCTACATTCATCTTTCTATTCATCTTCCATCACTCTAGGCCTACAGTATTCCCCCACGGTTCCCCATGGTCTCTCCTACTTGCTATAGGCTATCCATCTCATGGTCCTGAAGAGGGAGAGGACCTGGATTGATGACTTGATCTGCCTCTCACCAACACTGTGATCCCTGTCTCCTCTTTCCCTCACCAGCCTCCTATTTCCCCTAACATAGTCACTGGATTAGTCTGCTCTCATACTGCTAATAAAGACATACCCAAGACTGCGTACTTTATAAAGGAAAGAGGTTTAATTGACTCACAGTTCCACATGGCTGGGGAGGCCTCAGGAAACTTACAATCATGGCAGAAGGAGAAGCAAACACATCCTTCTTCACATGGCAGCAGCAAGGAGAAGTATTGAGCAAAAGGGAGAAAAGTCCCTTATAAAACTATCAGACCTTGTGAGAACTTACTCACTGTCACAAGAACAGCATGAGGGTAACCACACCCATGATTCAGTTACCTCCCCACTGGGTCCCTCCCATGACACATAGGGATTATGGGAACTACAATTCAAGATGAGACTTAGGTGGGGACACAGTCAAATCATATCAGTCATCAAACCACGTTAAACCTACTTGACTCTATCTCCATATTTGTTTTGCTGATTCTTCCTCCATTCAGATGATTATCAACTTGTTGAAGTTGCCTAACTGTTCATTGCATCCTGCTATTTTAAAAATATGAAAGTATTTTAGGATAGTTTTAGATTTGTCAAAAAATTGTAAAGTTTGTACAGAAAATGTATGGATATCCCTAACCCAGTTTTCCCTATTCTTAACATTTTACATTACCTGGGTACATTTTTCAAAACTACAAAACAAACACTGGCATATTACCATTAATTAAACACTATACTTCACTGTGATTTCAGTAGTTTTTCCACTAGTATTCTTTTCCTGTTCCAGGATCTCATCTAGGATATAACATCACATTTAGTGATTGTGTTTCCTTAGTCTCTCTGATCTGTGACAGAACAGACTAAGAAAACACAACCATTAAATGTGGGAAAAAATAACTGATTGTCCTTAGTCTCTTCTGTCACAGATTAGAAAATATTAAGGAAAATCAGTTATTCCTCGTTTTTCATTACCTGGACAAGTTTTGAGGAGTAGTCAGGTATTTTTTCAAATATCCCTCAATTTTTTAAAAATGTTTTTCTCATGAGTAGACTGGAGTTAGGGATTTGGGGAAAGAACCTCTAAATTAAAGAGATCAGATACCTTTCTCATCAGATATTATGGATACATGCTATTAATATGACATCACCCGTGATGCTAAACTTTATCATCTGGTCCAGGTGGTGTTTCTCAACTATAAAACTAATTTTGACCCCCTTTTCATAGCCCATTATTTGGAAGAAAGCCAGTAAGTGCAGCCCACATTGGGGAATGAGGAGTTAAGCTTCAACTCTTTGAGAACAGAGTATCTCCATAAACCATTTCAAATTCCTCTATAAGGAACATATGTCTCTTTCTCTTTATTGATATATTCATGTACTTAGAAAAGGATTTATATCAGTATAAATATTGAGATAGAGAAGTACAAAGTCTCGTGAATATGTATTTAATATTTTGGTTATAATTCAATAATACACTATTTATTTTGGTGGTCAAATTGTTCCAGGTTTGGTCATTCCATTGGGTGAGCTTTCAGACTGGCTCCTATAGCACTTTGACATACTTTTATTTTGTGTTTATTTTGTTTGTTGAAAATTTTGTTTTTGGGCACTACGAGATGCTCAACTCTCTCTCTCTCTCTCTCTCTCTCTCTCTCTCTCTCTATATATATATATATATATAATATATATGTTTTAAGAAAACATTTAAAAATTGTTATATATTTTAAGGTGTACAACATGTTTTTATATACATAGTTAAACGACTACTACAGTCAAGCTAATTAACACATTCATCATCTCACATTGTTACCTTTTTTAAAAAAATGATAAGAATGCTTAACATCTGTCTACTCTCTTAGAAAATTTCTGGTATACAATGAAATATTATTAATTATAGTCCTCATGCTGTATGTTAGATATTCAGACTTTTTTTTGTTGTTGTTGGAGACGGAGTTCTGCTCTGTCGCCCAGTCTGGAATGCACTGGTGCAACCTTGGCTTGCTGCAACCTCCGCCTCTTGGGTTCATGAGATTTTCCTGCCTTAACCTCCCGAGTAGCTGGGATTACAGGCACCCGCCACAATGCCCGGCTAATTTTTGTATTTTTAGTAGAGATGGGGCTTCACCATGTTGGCCAGACTGGTCTTAAACTCCTGACCTTGTGATCCACCTGCCTCGGCCTCCCAAAGTACTGGAATTACAGGCATGAGCCACCGTGCCTGGCCGATATCTAGACTTTTTCATCTGTATAACTTTGTACCCTTTGGCCTCCCTATTCCCAGTTTAATCCTGCAACTACCTTACTTAAAATTCCTTTTTGCAATTATGATAAAATGCAAATCCCTAGCATTGCATAAGAGATCCTTTGTGATTTACTCCTTACTTATGAACAAATTCATCTGTATCTCAGTTTAAATTTCAGCTATTCTGAGAAGACTTCTTTTATCAGCTGCCCCTTCCCATTAAAACATGGGTTTAGAAATCTTTCTATGTATTTCCGTAGTGTGCTGACCACATGGTAGCAGACTCTGAATAAACTATATTGAATGAATAATATTGTGATCTTCACAATGGCAATTAACCACAGTGTCTTCATTTGTAAAACAAATGTGATGGCTTTTTAGACATTAATAGTTTGGATGCAATGAAATAAGTTTTTGAAAATGCTATGTGAATTGTTATCAATTCACAGATATAAATTATGTTAGAAAATCGGGGTGAGAAAGGAAACAAATTACATTAATTTGAATCAACTCTCCCCCACGCCTCTCCAATGCAAAGCTCAAGACAAGTAGTTTACTTGGCAGCAAGCAGGAGTAGGAAACCAACTGTAAGTCAGGAAAAGGAGAAAAAGGGGTGCATCATTGTTCTGATTACATTGTGAGCAACTTGGGCTTCTTTTACACGGGAAACTTGCTATTTCTTTTACTGTTGTGAACAGTGGACTTAACATTCAATGCATGCAGGAGTGGATACGAGCAGTAAAGAAGACCTCAAGCTTATAGAAAACCTTTTTATATGTCTAACATCCCTTAAGTATCTACTTAGTATGAGGAGAATGTGAAAGTGAATGAGATATGGCCTTTCCCCAAGTTTTGGTGCTTAAATGAAGCATATGCAGTCAGAGAATAAGGAGGAAAACCAAATTCTACAAACCAGATTGGAAAGGGTCTTGCTTGAATACCAGGCTACAAAATTTGGGCTTCACTTATCATATAAAGGACACATAGCGAAGATACTTAAGCAGGAGAGTTACGAGTTACCTGATCAAAGCTGTATTTTAGGAATATTGTTTTGGTGGGGATTTGAATGGATTACAATTGGGAGGGAACATTGGTAGGTGAGAAATAATTTGATGTTAACTATTGGGAGCCTGAACTGGGAGGACAGAATGGAGCATTTCAGGGTATTTCAATGTAAATGAGAAAATAGCGTGGTCAGGGCTCAGAATCTCTGAAGCTGACTAAGGATGAATGATTTGGAGGCTATATGCCACCCAGTTGTCTCCTTTTATATTTGATAAGGAGCCAGAGGTCCTCGTTAACTTTAATTTTTTCCAGACATATTTTCATATAGCCCTTTAAATTAGATCTGCTGAACATCTGAGTCTTTTTCAAAGTTCCATCAAAGTTCACAGTGAAAGGGTTTTAGGATACATCTGTATGGTATTTCCTTGTGGAACAGTGGAGCTACTTTGTAGGCTCTAGCATGCAAAGATTTTGTTTTTTTTTTGAGTTGTGTATTTGTTTACGAGTTTATATCCCCCTAATAAATGTAATGCTTCTTTAGGGGGGCAATTTGGTTTTATATATCTTTATGGCTGCTACAGAAGCTAGCATAGTACTTATCACAAAGTACTTTAAAAAGGCTTATTTTCATTGAATGAATAGTATGTTCACTTAGGATTAAAAATGGGCAAATTCTGTTCTAGGAAATATGCAATGTGTAGGGTTTGCCAAATATCTTTCAGGAAAGAGACAGATTTTAGACAGTGAGAAAGACTTAATCATTCCCAAAGAGAGTGTTTACCCAGTAAGCTGCATTCGTTCTAGGGTCCTCAGTTCTGTTTTTGGAAACTCTTGGACACTTTGAGACCTAATCAATCAGGCTCTCCTTTGTGTTCCCAGTACCGCTGAATAGCTTCTATTATAGCTTTCCATGTGAACCAGGAGGTCCCTGGAATGCAGAGTCTGCAGCTTCCTTTTCCCAGTACCTAGTAGATCATAGGTCTTTAAAAAGTAAATGATGTGCCAAACACATAGTAGGTTCTTAAAAAGTAAATGACTGAACCAAGTAAAATTGTGTTTAAAAATTATTACCTTATTCTCAGATCTTTACCTGCTTACATTAAAGAGCCCCATGTTGTATTGTGAAATAAATAAGTTACAGGATGATCCCATTTATGTATAAAACATTGCAAATGGTTATTAACAGAAGGCTTGAATATAATTGGGTCAGAGTCAAGCAGTAATTTCACTGTGTAGTACAGTTTGGATTTTTTGAAGCAATAAGAATGTTTTCCTGTATTATTTTTTATCATGAAAGTAACATTTTAAAATATGAGAAAATTATCCTAAATGCAATTTTATTTTTGAAGTACGGCCCATAGCACTAATCATTTTGCAAAGCCTGCATTTGGAAAGAGTCTCCTATAATGGCTAATTAAGCCCTTGTAAAGTGAGAGGGAACAAGCTAATAGGAGGTATCGGGAACAAGCTAATAGGAGGTATCAGAAACAGTGAACTCAGCCTGGAGACCTCTGTCTCAAGAGAGAGGAATTATAATTGAGTTTAGTACAGCGCCAGAACCTTGAAAAGAGTGGGCAAAAGCAACTGAGTCAAACAATGATTTATCCAATATTAAGGCTGCTCTAAAATACTGCAGAGGTCCTCCAGTTGATCCTGTCACCTTTCAGATGAGGATGCTAAAGCTGAAATCAAGTAAGAAGCAAGAACACTTGCTTCCCACTTGAGGTAAAAGGAGCTGTAGAATAAAGTTGTGGGTAGAAGGTTGAGAAATTCATCAAATGCACAATCAAGACCAAAATAACAAAAAATTACTGCCTAAATCCAAGAAGTCAGTCCCCTAATTGCTTCCATTCTTGGCTGTTATGATGAACAGGTGACCTCTGCAATTTTTTCCATCCTCTCAGTTTTATCCAGTTTAGCCACATTATCTCCATCTCAACCCCAGTTGCCACATTTTATTATTACCTTTAGTGAGCTCCAATATATTATGGAGGATGGATACTCTCTTTGCTGCCATTCTCAGATATACCCAAACCCATATTGTTGATTCTTTCAGGACCCAATTTTGTCATTCCTCAACAGAATATCAAATCTTACTCTAGGAAGAGACCTTAGGCATTTATACAGTTTCCCTCTAACAAATTTAACATTGCCATTGCCACAGAAATCACTGTACTATGAGGCGAACATCATCGTTGATTACATTTAGTTGTTAGAAAGCCTTCCTTGTGTAAGCCCTCATGGATTATAACCTTTATCTCTTTCTCCTGGACTAGGCTTCTGGAGATATATGGAAAAAGCCCATTCTCTAGCTTTTATGATAGCTCATCATGTAACTGCAGGCAATGACCCATTCTTCTATGTCCTTGCCAATGTAAGTCTTCTCTTCTGCAGTCTAAACACGATAATAATAAAAATGCGTTGAACTGAGATTTTTGGCTTTAAAGAAACAGAGACTTAAAAGAAAGAGTCATTCAATAGGAGGGCTTCAAGTTGGCACTGGAAAGTCATCAGAAGCTGAGATTGCTTCTGGGATCAGCTCCTCTTTCTTCTCTCTTTTGTGGGCCACTGGCTTGCTGGTCTTTTAAGGTAACTCTGCATTATCCCTCCTCTGCTCTTTCTTTCCAGATATTAGCCTCTCTATATTATTTTTCTTATTTTTCTTAAAATTTCTACTTTCTTATGATTTCACCTTGCCATGTCCCCTGTTGGCTCAAGGCAGACTTTTATTTTTAGCTTCAACCACCTGCTGCTTCATTTTCTTGTATTAGCACTTTCATCGTCCTAAAATACAAACTCTGACCTAGTTCAGTGTGTGTGCATGCATGTGCATGTGTATATCAGGTTATGCCACAGTCCTACGGCTGTCTGTAGCTCGTCTACTCTGGAGCCATTGGAGTGGGGTTTTGTGGTGTGCCTCATGGTCTTCTAGTAATAGGGGCTGTTGGGGTAGTGGGCAGCTTCCCTCAGGTATCCTGAGACTCAGCCTGTCCAGTACAATAATCCCTTACACTGGCTTAAAGCCTTTTACAATTTTTTTATTTTAATTCACAAATAAAAATTGTATATATTTATCGCGTATAAAATTTTGTTTTAAATATATATACATTGTGGAATGGCTAAATAGATCCAATTAACATAAGCATTACTTCACATACTTATTTTGTTTGTGTGTGGTGAGAACACATACCTTGAAAGCTTTCTGTGTACAAAATGCTTTTGAATACACATGACTTATCTAATACTCACCAACACTGTAAGGTAGCTACTCTTAAGTTTTAAAAGACAGAGCAACTAATATGAAGTATCTGATCCAAAGCCACCCTGTTAACAAGAGTTGTCTAGAATCATGGTCTATTTCATCTTAAGACAAGCATTATTTCTTCTCTATCAGAGTTTCTCAAAATTAGGCATGTATCAGACTAACTTGGAGGGATAATTAAACCACAAATTGCTAAGCTCCACCCCCAGGATTTCTGATTTAGTTTGTCTACAAGGGAGCAAAAGAATTTGTTGACAAATTTCCAGGAGAGGACCTTGATGTTGGTCTGAGGACCATGCGCTGAGAACCACTGTTCGACGTAAGTGGCTTCATCTGAGGCTCTCACTGATAAGCAGTTGTAAGATGCAAATGTTTTTAGCAGCTGAGTAAGCTGGAACCAGGTGACCGGCAGATATAATTCTATTTCAGTTGCTCCTTGTTATTTGGGACCTCATGACCTTTTGTTTTTCCTGGAAGAGAATATAGACCCAGTCATTTACAAGGCTGGATCAGGGACATGGGGGCTTCCCTAAATAGCATTTTAATGTGATCAATCTAATCAATTACCTAGACCAGTATAGGTCACTTAGATTTGAGGATGGTCATAGGTTACTGGGAAATAGCCTGATGATGAGTTTGGTCTCGTGGGTATTGGGAAGAGCTATAAATTGAGATCCCAGTGATCTGGATTCTAATCCCAACTACTGACTCACTGTATGACATTGAGACCACTTCAAATAAACACCAAACCTGTTTCTTTGTCTGCATAATGGATATATTTATGCTGACCACATTCCTGTATTTTTGTGAATATTACATGAAATAATATATATATAAAAATAAACTTTGTAAAGTATAAAACTTAAATCCTAATAATGGTTATGATAATGGAATAATAATGTTGCTCCTTGAGCATTCCCATTCTGCTCTGCAAACAGGGATGTCAGAAAAAAGTTAGAGATCATAAAGGAAATTCAGATGTTAGGATAGCCATTACCACAAATCATAAAATAACAAGTATTGGAAAGGAATGGAACCCTTATGCATTGCTAGTTGGAATGTAAAATGGACAGCTACTATGAATAACAGTATGATGGTTCTTCAAAAAAAATTAAACACAGAATTACCATATGACCCAGCAATTTCACTTCTGGGTCTATACCCAAAGAATTGAAATCAGGAACTCAGAGTTTTTACACTCATATTCACAATAGCATTATTCACAATAAACAAATGTGGCAACACCCAAATGCCCATCAAAAGAAGAAATGATAAATGGAATATGGTATATACATGCAATGGAATATTATCCAGCCTTAAAAGAGAAGAAAATTCTGACACATGCTAAATATGGAAGAGTCTAGAAGACATTATGTTAAGTGAAAAAAAGCCAGTTACAAAAGACAAGTATTTTATTATTTCAATTATATGAGATAACTAGAATAGTCAAATTTATAGAGACAGAAAGTAGAATGTCGATTACTAAGGGGTGGGGGAAATGGGGAATTATTTTTTACTAGACAGGAGTTTTACTTTGGGAGGATGAAAATGTTCAGGTAATGGATGATGGTGATGGTTTCATAGCAATGTAAATGTACTTAATGCCATTGACCTGTATACTTAAACATGATTAAGATGGCCACTTGTATGTTATGTGTGTGCTACCAAAAGAAAATCTGAGAGTTGGTAAATTTGGGATAGTTATGAGAATCTAGGGAAACAGTCTGGCTGCTTTTGCCCAGTTCAGAATAACTTATCCTAGAAATGCTGTGTGCATGCCAGCTGTGTGCCAAGAGTTTTGTCTTGGGGCTCATGAAATAGCAAGTCCCATTGGGGAAGATTTGTTGGATCAGGGGAATTTGCTAGAAGAAAACTGACAGGAGCTTAGAAATTGGCAGTTGTCAGTCTCAGGGCATCTGTGGCTCTCCACATTCTTTGTCAGACACCAGTTACTTTTTTTTTTTTTTTTTGAGACCTCCAATTTTTTTGATCCCAAAGGAAAAGCTTAGAAGATTGAGTGTTGAGTCAGGGGAGACAGGGATCTGTAGATGTCTAGAATGTTAGAGCCATAAGGAAGCTTATGATTTATCGAACATGGGACCCTTCATTTGAAAACCCCTGCCCAGAAAAAATGTCTTGCCTAAGGTTAGTCAGCTACTCTTAAGGGGAACAGGGATTAGAAACAAATGGCCCTGTGTCCTAAATTCTTTCCACAACAGCAGGCTGCTTCATGGATCAACAACACATAATTCAATTCCTTTTCAAAGAAGAACCAAGATAGAAATTATAGATGTTTTTGTTATTGTTTGTCTCTTCTTACTCCTTCTCTACCCACCACCACTATTCACTCCTGCCCTGCCTCCCCGTAGTTCACATAGTTGCTAGAATAAGCTTCCCTGAACATGGTTCTCATCTCACCACTTAACACCCAAAAACTTCTCGTGGCTCCTTAGTGCCTTTAGGGAACACGTGTGTTCTTCTGATTAAGACATTAAAATCCAAAATCTTGTCCTTAGTAATGAAACTGCAATGTATCCCTACACTGGAAAAATATACAACTGAAACAGGGTTAATGAAGAAGTTCCCTGTGTATTAATCGGAAAGAGCTCCAGGTCATATTGTTAAGTGGGGGGAAAAGTAAGGTGCTGGAACGTTTATATAGTATGCCACCATTTGTGTATGAAAGAGGAGGAATAATACAATTTATTTTTTATTTACTTTTGTTTACATATAGAAATGATCCAAGGATAAATAAAAAAGGCTAAGAAAGTTTTTTGTATTATTCAAACCATGTAAATAAATGTGGTAATTTTGCAAAAATAGAATAAAATCTGACCTTGCCTAGCCCTCTTTCTCTCTCACCATTCCCTGCAAAAACCTAGAACTCCCACAGCTTTAGAATTTTCAGTTTCTCATAATCCCAAGTATCTCATGAAGCTAACTTTCACAACAATACTCTCTCTCTCTTTTACCTATCAATTTCCTATTTAATTTTTCATGTCTTGCTTAGACACATCTGCTCTGTGAAACTTTTCTTGCCTCCCCAGATGAAATTTAGTCCTACCTTCCTTGGTTTCTTAGCTTTTTGCTCTTTTCCCATTATTACTCTCTCCTGTTAGTTCCAGAAGTTGAACATTCATATACAGAAAAATGAGTCACTGAAGACAAAAGATCTGATTTCCAGCCCCTGGGACACTGCTAACCCAAAGTACAGGTAAAGCATCCATTTGTTTCCTTCGTTCACAGCACTGGCTTTAACTGAAAATTCTTTTGCAAAAAATATTTATTACTCAGCATTTATTTGTCACCATAAATGATGTTTTCCAACATTCATTGAAAGTGGCCTTCAATGTTGGTTATTTCATATAATATTTTTAGCTGTAACCCTTGTTGAGAACATATCTTAAAAAAATGCATTCGTCTTTGTTCCAAGTTACTATATAGAATGGAATGAGCTTCCTTTTCTCTTCCTTTGAGGACGAAACACTAGCTAATTACGAGGAACTGGTATGAGGGTGGGGTAAGTGAGATGGAGTTGTTCAAGCACAGGGTTGAATCCTGTCTTTATTTAAAATGTCACATTTTGTTTATCATGATGTGTTCGTATTAATTCTGACTACATTGAAGTTTTATTTATCCTGGTTGCTTGAGATTTTGGTGTCCTTTTAGATTTTGCACCTGAGGCAGGTGTCTTGCTAGCTGCTTCACCCCAGTATCTGCCCTGCTGTTGTTCTGATTACCAAATACCATTATCTTAGTTGCTTGGGTGTTTCTGGCACAAATTTAAATGAATATGAGATCCAACTGGTAGTTGTGCTTTTGACAACATTTCCATGGAAGCTACAGAGACGATGTGTAGGTGGAAATTCCTTGTGCCTTTCTTGCTTCTTCACTTAGACATTCCTAGGTTCTTCTTATCTCTCCAGGACTGGGCAAAATTCCTACTCTCCCTGAGGGCTTTCTCAGGCTTAGCCTGCATCCTTCATCTACCTACTCTCGGGGCCACTTATCCCACTTCCCATCCCAGCACTCACAATTGTTTTGCCAGGACCATGGCTGTGCTCTCCTTCCAACTTCTATTTCTTTTGTATTTAGTTCTGTCTCTGAAACTTTGACTTACAGATTTTCAAGTGTTTTCTTAGCAATAAGTCTGAATTGAGGAACAACTATCATGACTGGTTAGTTCATTTAATTTTGCCCAGGAACTCTTCTCCTTAGTTTCTAAAATTATGTATTTCAAATGTTTATCCTTTTAGGTTTTATCTATCCTGGCATAGGCCCAAATCTTGAGATTGCTGCTTACCCACGTATATCATTCTTGATAAGACAGGGCTCTCTTTGAAATGGCAAATGCCTGCTGTCTTACCTCCTTCCTATCCATTAAGGAGTTAGGTCTTCATTTTAGTATTCAATCTATTTTCTACCCTCTAGGTTTTTTCTCTTTATTGATTTAACAAAAGCTAAAATAAAAAGCTGAATCACTATCACTTCCACAGGAGATGTATTACTTCTAACCCAAAGGGAATTTGTGATATCAGATATATGAAGGGCTCCCATTTCTTTAGGCCTTGGCAGATTTGGTGTTCATTAAGCTTCCCTCTTCGTGCCCTCCCCAAACCCGTCATTTAATATATCAGAACTCTGGTGAATAGCAAAAAAAATGATCAGAGCCTGGTACCCTGGTCCTATATTGATTTATAAATACTTGTTCTAGTGACTCCCAGTTTTTCTATTATGAACAGCTTTGTGGTTCCTATAGAAGGGGAAGTCTATCACTGTCCCTTTATTTATGGGTTGGGACAAGAAAGAATGGGAGCTGACTCCTCTTCTACCTGCTGTAAGATGGAAGGGGTGGTGACTCCAGCTTCTGAGTCTACTTCAGGCAGCCAGATGGCAGCCACTTTCATAATATACATTAGTGTCCCAAGTAAGCCTGGGAGGTGGAGAGTTAAAACTGTCAAGGAACCTTGAATTTAGAAGGAAAATGCATCTTTACCATTTATCTTTTGCGGAGTACCTCCTTAGTAACTCTGGGCTTCGAACCAGGACCATTTCCAGAATGCAAAGAATTACTCCTATTAGAGAAAAATGAACAGTAGATTTACAATCCTTATATTTATAAAGATTGTTAAAAATTGTGTGTGTGTGTGTGTGTGTGTGTGTGTGTGTGCAAGAACATGCATTGAGATTTTGAAACATGCCCATGGACTACAACGAAAGGTTCTTTTTTTAAAAAACAAGTTTTCTTTTGTTTTTAATTAGCTCATAATCATTGTACCTATTTATGGGGTGCAGTGTGATGTTTATATATATGTATATGTGTGTGTGTATATATATATATATATATATATATATAAAATGACAATAAAATCAGAGTAAATACCATATCCATCACCTCAACACTCCTCTTTTCTAGCTATTTTAACTTATAATACATTATTGTTGAGTACAGTCACTGCTTTGCAACTGAGCATGAGAATTATCTCTCCTAACTGTAACTTTGTACCCATTGATACCCATTGATAAAGGTTCATTTAATGTTGGGCACGACTGAGGTTTCTTGCTAATTTTTACCCCACTCCTTTTCCTCATTACACATTCACCAAGTGCTTAGCATGTAACATACACAGAAGCAGAGTGTTGGCCCATTTTTCAAGTTCCTTGGTTCAAAAACATCCTATTAACCTCAAGTCATCAAAAGGATCTTGATGACATTGAGCTATCCCTTGAAGTTTTAAAATCAAGGTAGCTCATCTCTGCTAGGTTTTACCTGACACGTATGTCCAAACTTGACTTTGATTAAGTAAAATTTAAGCAGTTTCCTGCTAGTGCTCTGGATTCTAGCATAAAGTCATTGCTGCAGGTCCTGACCCAATTTTATGACTTGTTTTGTCACAAGATAACTATCTTTTTTTCTGTTTGAGTCTTGGTGAACTGTCTTCCTCTAAAGAATGAGACCTTGTTTGTTTCTTGCCTCCATCTTCCAGGCACTTAAGGTTGTATTCTAAAACATGACCTAGCACATAGAGCTCACTTAAAAGTTGTGGTTTATTCTCTTAAATTCTGTTGGATGTTGGATTATGGTAGAGCTGTTTGGGAAGAGGATTGAGTGGTGGGAAAATGGAGTAGGAAATTGGGTCATGTTATAAAGGACTCATCTGCCTGGGAGCTGGGATTCAGGCACTATCTGGCTCCTCACTAAGTGCCCGTTCTAAGGCAGCTAGCAGGGAGTGGAGCAAGTGCTCCCAGAAATCATGCCCAATGAAGACATAGAGAACTGGATTGAGACAGCTGTTGATAAAGGCCATAGACAAGGCCAGGGGTCTTAGGAGTAAGGCCACCTGGTTCAGGCCCTCTCTGTCTTCCCGAAATGATGTGAAGTCCAGCCACAGGGACACTTGCAAGGGCAACCAGCAGAGGAAGAAGGTGGTTACCACAGTCGCAAGGACCTGGAAGGGTCAGCTAAACTTAACCAGCTGCCTTTCTCTTAACTTCAAGGCTACAAGGATGTAGTAGCCAGTGATGATAGCCAGAGGGAGAAAGAAGCCAAAGAAAAAGTGGGCTGTTGTGACCAGCGTTTGGTGCCATGGAATGATAATCTCTTTCCAAAGTTGGTGACTTCCTTGAGTTTCATTCTGCAGATCATACTGGTTGTACAAAGAGGGTGACACTTTCCACCACGAGTTTCCTTGAAGATCAAGTAGGGAACAGAGAAACAAATTGCCAAAAGCCAGGTCCTCAAGGGCCCCAGAGTTGCCTTTGCTGGTGTGCAATTGTTCCAGGACTAGATTGGCCACAGGATCACAAGTCAGTGGTCCATGGAGATGAGGGTCAGAAGGAAGACACTGGCCAGAAAGTTAAAAATAGACATGGTGCTATTGAGTTTACAGAGCAGCTGGCCAAAGGGTTACAGAGCTACCATAACCAGCTGGAGAAGCAGTGGGAAGATGATGATGAAGTCAGCCACGGGCAGGTTGAGGTACCACCCACACCGTGTTGACTGTGCAGGACATGTGGAATCCAACTACCCAAATGACAAGGCCATTGCCAGCCAAGCCTAGGAAGAAAGTCACTGTGTAGATGATCATGGAAAAGATGTCAAGAGCAGACTTGACCCTCTCCAAAGAGTCATCACAATAGTCAAACATGGACGTGGGACTCTCCACAGTCAACAGTGACAATGCAGACACATTCTCCATGCTACCTAAAAATAGCCAAGGTATATTTAGGCTCAAACT
Source organism: Homo sapiens (assembly GCF_000001405.40). NCBI lineage: Eukaryota > Metazoa > Chordata > Mammalia > Primates > Hominidae > Homo > Homo sapiens. The sequence goes on from NC_000005.10 coordinate 147,852,706, forward strand.
TTCAAACTACATAAACTGCTTAAATTATCACCACTTCCTTTCTTATGATGACTGCAGACAGCTTTCATGTCCCTGCTTTAGGATGTGCCATTCTCTGTTGGTGATATTCCTCCTCCTCCCCCATGTGCTCTTGCTCCTCTTCCTCCTCTTCTTGTTTTCTTATCCATATTCTTAACCACAGTTTTCACCACTTATTCTATGCCAGCCACTATGCTAGCTATGTTCCATATATTGCATATCATGAATTAAGCAGCTACTAGGAGTCCAATGTTCTGTTCATATATTGCATTTAATTTATTTCCCATAACAAATCTGTCATATGGAAAAGAATTATTATGAATGAGAAAACTAAGGTAAAGGGAGGTTACTAAATTACTGAAAATCAAACATTCAGCAGTAAAAAAGCAGAAATGAATTTTGACGTTAGTTCTGCTTAATTAAAAATTCATATACTTTACCTGATTTTTTTCTTTTTACTGTATATTCCTCCTTCAATGGGCTGAAGGGGGGCTCATATTCGTATTTTTAATTTAGTTTACAAAAGGGCTTTCCTGTGCTTCACACTATTTAATAATTTCCAAAATGCCATGTTAGCTACGTAAGACAAATGTTTTATTATTGAAGTGATTTTTGACATATATGAAAGCAAAGACTGAAAAAGGTTGTTTTCTTTGAGCTGTAGCTCACTGCCTTAGGAACTAGCAGACCTGGTTCTTGAACCCAAACCTCCTGAAACCAAATCTTATCTTTTCCTCACCTCATTACAATGCTCTTTTTTATGGGTAAAGGACATCAGGAGGTGGGTGTCCACCCTGGAGGAAGTGGGATCTCTCCTGGTGACTGACCCTCCAAACTCTCTTAAGGGAAGATGGTCACGTCAGCTGCATTTAGGGGCCACATGAATTATTGTCTAACCCATATGAATTATTGTTTTCTCATTTCCTTATGGGAAATGCCTGCTGCATATTGTTGGCATTGCTATCTGTTTCTGTCCTATTTTCCTGTTTCAATTTTTAAGTTCCTCAATGTGTGGGGCCAGTCTTCAATTCTACCTAATGCCTGCTTTTGTTTATGCTGTTCTCGCTACCTAGAATGCCTTCCCCTCCACCATTTTCTGTTGGTGAAATCTTGCACACACACATCCTAGTAGACTTACTTGCTTCTTTCTCTGTTTGTTCATAGCACCGGATGTCTGTTTAATTCTAGCAGTCTTGCCTGCATATTAGAAATGGTTGCTTTGATATCTATCTCAGGAGTCACAGCTTATTCTACTTCTACCACTAAATACCTTAGGCAAGGCATTTACCCTCTCTGAGCTTTACAGCCTTAATTTTTAAAAGCAATATATAATATTAATACATACCTCAGAGGGTTGTTGTGGTAATATAAGGAAATATTTCAGTGAAATATTTAGAAATATATCTGATACATCAAAAACACCCAGCATGTTGGTTATTATTCTTTTTATTGATACCATCATTACTATCCTAATTTTTGTTTCATGCACCACATTTGATTTATATTAACATTCCATAAACACTTGTTTAATTATTATAGTGCTGATAAAGGATAAAGATTCAATGAGATGATACCTGTGAGTATAAATTATAGAATCAAGAGTTATATAAAGCAGAATCCTTTTTCTTGAAGGAACCAGTTATTTCCCTTGTTTTAGATGCTTACTTATTTAAGTGAAGTTTTCCTCTTCTTGCACAATCTCTTCCCAACTTTTCACCCTTCATCTGGCCCCAAATGGCCACCCCCAGACAACTGTGAAACCTGCCTATGCCTCTCTCAGTAGTGGAACCCCACACACTCACCTTCACCAGCTTGGAGCTCTGCTTCCCTGCTGGGGTTTTATAGCAGCCAAATCCATTTTGGAGGCTTTTGAATCTATGGGGCCAAGGGACTCTGAAGGCATCTGTGTCAGTTATCAGACTGGTGAAGTCTCTGTGCTAGGACCTAAGTAATACAGTCGAAAGGAGGAACCTGGGGGCTCGTGTTGAGGTTTGTCTAAACGCCTAGAATTCTTTTAGGGAGGGAGCTTGGGATACAAACAATTTTTATTCATCAGGGCCTTGAAGTTCAGTGATCACTGGTCCGGATAATTAAGACTTTAGGAAATGTGACCTCATCTTTGATGAAATTTATGTCTAAGATTTTGAAACAAATATAAAGACAATTTAAAAGTGCATGAGCATAGTAAAGCTTGACGTTAATTACAACAGCAACAGCTAATATTTATGGAGTGCTTATTATAGAGCAGGTTTAACCCCTTCACTATTCTGTACTTTGGAATCAGAAGGGTGTGATGATAGGATTTTGTAAAAACCACGTCAGAGGATCCCCTGTGGAAACGGAAAGGGTGGTTGCTTAATCACAGACGGCAATGAGATGATTGAACTTTGTAGGCTTAGTGTTGAGTCTAAACTGTGAGACCAGTCTGTAAAATGAGCTTAATCTAATTGAGCTTTAGCTATAAAATCCGTATATATTCCTCTGAAGCTTAAATAAACCCAGTAAATAAAGGTAATTGGACAACCAGAAAGCATAATACAAATGTGTGATTTACGATTTGGTTTAAAATAGTTGGACATTATTAGGATGCAATATTATTAAATAGTATTTGGAAAGGCCGTCCGCATGGGACACTGTGGTAGATGAGAAAACTGATGCTCAGAGAGCTCCTGTCTGTTTATGGCTTGGTTGTGATGGTGAGGGATCTCCCCCATGTGCAGAAAGTCAGAAGTGGATGCTTCCTCAATGATGAGAGGGGCAACTTTGTGGGAGGAACAAAGAGTGAGTGAAGTTTTAAAATTGCAAGACAGGGGAAAGGATAGTGTTGGAGGTAAATGTTGAATACAAATATATGAACGTAAATCTGAATTTAAGTATTAAATGAAATATATTTACATAAACCTGGCACATTCCTGTTAACAATAGCTCAGAACAATCTCTAGTGTACAGTAGCCTTTTTGATCCCCAGTTTGCTTTTCTCGGTTTCAGTTACCCATGGTCAACTGGAGTTCAAAAATATTACACGAAAAATTTCAGAAATATACAACTCATAAGTTTTAAATTTCACACTGCTCTGAGTAGCACGATGAAATCTCATGCCCAGGGACATGACTTGTCCCTTTGTCTGGAGTACCCGTGCTGTGGATGCTGCTTGCCTGTTACTCACTTGGCAGCCAACTCGGTTATCACACTGACTGTCTCAGTATCACAGTGATTATGTTCAAGTCACCCATATTTTATTTTGTAATGGCCCCAGAGTACAAGAGCAGTGATGCTGGCAATTTGGAAATGCCAAAGAGAAGCCACGAAGTGCTTCCTTTAAGTGAAAATATAAAAGTTCTTGACTTAATAAGGAAAGAAAAAAATAATATGCTGAAGTGGTTAAGATCTATAGTAAGAACAAATACTTTATCTGTGAAACTATGAAGAAGAAAAAATTGTGCTAGTTTTTCTGTCACACTTCAAGCTGCAAAAGTTACAGCCACAGTGCATGATAACTTTTATTTCAGTACGTTGTTATAGTTGCTCTATTTTATTATTAGCTGTTGTTGTTAATCTTTTACTGTGCCTAATTTATAAATTAAACATTATCATGGATAAGAATGTGTAGGAGAAACAGTATATATAAAGTTCAGAACTATTCGAGGTTTCAGGCATCCACTGGGGGTCTTGGAATGTATCCCTTTTGGATATGCAGGGACTCTGGTACAAAGCCTCTTCCATTATATCATCATAATGGCCATGATTACACACCCAAGGGGTCATATATCTTTGAATTGAACTTTCATCCAGAACTCTTAAAAAACAAAATATGTTGGTAAATACTTAGATGCCTAAGTATTTATTATCTCTTATCTCTTCTGACTCTTCTACCTTCCAGCAGAAGACCATGGAAGAAAGATAAACTTTTAAAGCACAGCCTTATAGGAAAGTTGTGTTAATAGATGGTAGCAGGTTTTGTAATTATTCCAATAGGTAAAATGAAAATAAACTTGGGGTCAAATAAATACTCTTAGGCCAAGCCAGTACTAGGCTTGTCTGATGCATATTCACACACCAATACAATTTTATTCTTTTAAGCTACTTTTTGTTAGTCTGATATTTTAATATTGTTTATGATGTGTTAGAACTTGATTCTGGCAGCCATTCTCTGAACTAAAAAAGCTTAATGTGATCTGGGGCCATTAATAAACTCTGATGTCTTCTTCAAAGAAGCTGATAGACCTGCTCTGCTCTGTGCTAGGCAAGACCTAAATAGTATTACATTTAGCTATGGCACCACTTTGGAGATTCTTGGAAACACTTCTGGTTGTGTTGAGGAGGTGACAATGGTTGACCTTAGGCATCCAAATGTGACCTGTACATCTTATTATTAGTGCTGCTTTCTAAGTTTCTGTCCAGGACATAAACTTAGTTCTGTCCTTTCTAAATGCTTTCCACAATTTTTGATGACAATATGTTGGAATTTCTGGAGTTGGCACTCATGGACTAAGGAATGCAAGGAGGGCTGAGTAGCAGCCTGTGTCGACCTAAATGTCTGTTGATTTATCAAAATCCTAGTGTGACAGAAGGATCCTGATGATCCCCCCTATACTGCTGAATATTTAGGGGATGCTATGAAATCTCCTAAGATTAGAGGCCTCCAGGTCTTCAAGGTACATCAGCCAATTTGAGTACTTTGTCTTTACTCTTAAATTCTCCATATTCCCAAATCCAATATAAAAGTTTCTAAGCCTCTGAGTTTCTCCATACCCCCAAATTCAATATAAAAGGTCCTAAGCCTTCTGCAGCATTTGAGGTAGTATTTCTTTTAGCTGGCTTATCATCTGAGAAGTAAAACAAAAACTAAAAACAATATTTCTTCCTCCTCTTTAAACATATATTTTTTTTCCTTTTTCAATTCATTATTTTCTTCTAGCACAGGATGTGGCACAAAGATGGCCATCACTAACATTGCCTGTTAGGTTGCTTTTGTTTTGTAAACTGTAGCACAATCCCGGAAATGGCCACAAGAGGGCATTTGTGCACCACTTTGAAAGTTACTCTTGTTCAACATCGCATTCCACAAACATTCATAGTTTCCCATGGTTTGAACTTTAATAATTCCACCCTGAAAGAAAGAAAATGAAGCTGAAGTCATATCAGACATAATCTAATCCATATTGTCATTCCAAAGATTCCAGATCTCAGGACCTGTGATAGTGTAACTCTTTAAAATATTGAAGCATTGTGAATGATTTTAAACATTTCAAAAAAAGAAATGTTTTAAATATTTTAATTAGTGTTGAGGCTTAAGTAGCTGTACTTTTGACTTAGATTATTATAGATTTGACAGTCAAAACCTTAAAATATTGAGACCCATGGGGGAAAATAATGTGTGCATCAACATTTATTGAATTTGATACTTTTTGTGATAGAGTCCCAGAAATGATATGTGAGAAGCTTAATAAGGTTTAAAGTGCTTTGTTTATTGCAGTTTTAAGTGTCTTCTTCTTGAATTAAATCTTAGGTTAAGGAGGCTGTTGGAGTCATATGATGATATTATGGTGCAAAATTAATTACCTTTGCACCAACCTCATAGACTTGGAAAGTGTAATGAAGATAATCTCATCTATTCTTATCTATTACAAGAGCCTTTTCCACAGTAAATTTGGTATTAGCTAACCTTTATTTGTAGGATTCAGTATGGAGCCATTAAACTTTATTTTCTTGTAATTTGTAGTCACATTTCAAAAACCTCTCAAATTCAATCCTAAATTCATATCTATTTTTGCTTCATGATGATAGCCCTCCAAATATCTGAACAATCTCTTAAGGGTTTCTTGGTTTATCTTCTCTCCAGGCTGGTGTCACCAAGTTTATTAACTGTCTCTCATATGATCCTTCAAAAGCCTGGATAATCTTCTTATTATGGGTTTGTTGTGAATTAAATATGACCACACATTCTTTGCAATTCCTCCTACCAAGAAGTAGAGTTTATTTTCTCTCCTCTTGGCACTGGGCACGTCCTATGGCTTCATTTGAATAATAGAATGTGGCTGAAGAGATGCCATGTGTCTTTTGAGGCTAAACATTAGGACATCTAGGGTTTTAATTTTCATATCTTGGAATGCATTTTCCTGGAACTCATGAATTACCAGATGCTTTGCAAACTGCCTCCACTGAGCTCATAGCCAAAGCCAATCACAAAATGCCAGTATTCTGGCTCTCCAGCCATCCCAGTGCCCCAGTAAACATCAATCAATGAAACAGGTGAAGCAGCTATATGGTATTTTTAAAGAATCATGAAAAAAGTACACTGTGCTTGTTTTGAACCACTGAATTTTGGAGTATTTTGTTATATGGCATTAGACAACTGAGAGGTCCAGGTTGCAAATGATCTCACTGGGTTGAGTTCAGATCTAAATAGAATGTGTTGACTGTGACTAATAACCTGTAAAATAGATTTTTTTCTTATTTGATTTTGATGGCACATTTTCATAGTAACATATTTTTTCAGCCATATTTTCATAACCTGTGATATTTGAAATGATTTGAGACCAGAGCTGTTGTTGCTTATCTTGACTTAAAAAGAAAGACCACTGAAATAGAGCCTGTGACTTTTTCCCCAGTTCCTCAGTTTTTTCTGACAGCCAAAAAATAAATCCTGAATTTTTCTAGACTTGATGGAATGACAAACATGATTTCATTAATACAATACTTAACTGTAAACCAAGGGTTTGCACATACATCATCTCACTTAATCCACACAAACGTATATGGCAGCATTAATAACCCTTTAACACACACTGAAGTATTTGTGAGTGATAGGACATTGGCTAGCAATTTACTCTCCAATGGTTCTGAAAAAAAGAGTTCTATGTACTGTATTCAAATCTTTTCTGTAAGTTTGAAATTGTCTCAAATTTAAAATCTTATACCAAAAAAAATCTTATAATTTGTTCACTGGATGCAGTGATTATCCATTCTCCTACTTCTATTCTGTGTACAAGCTAAAGAAAGGTAAAATTCTTCAAAGAGAAATTACAAATAAAACTCCCCAAACATCACTCAAAATTAAAGTGTTGAGAAGTAGTTCATGAGCTTGGTGATTGTGGCTGCTCTGACTGAGGTTATAATTATGAAGCTGGATAGCTAAAAGTAAAGATAGAGAGGGGATAATAATAATAATAGTGTAACGTATCTTGAGTGTTCATTCCCAGGTACTAATTTTTGTAAGCATTTTGCATATGTTAACTTATTACTTATAACACCCTTAGAAGGAAGGAAGTTTGTTAGCCCAACTATAAAATAGTTGGTAAAACTGAGGCCCAGCAAGGTAAATAACTTCCCCATTGGAAAAGCTGTGCCATGAATACAGACAGGCTGGCTTCAGGACCTGTGCTCTTTGTCACTAAACAAAGAACAAGGGCACTGAAAGCACAAAAGAGCAGCCTCAACCCTAGAAAGATGTGGAGAAGCTGGAGACAGTGTTTAGCAAACATCAAGCTTGTCAGGAGCCCACACACCTCAGTAAAAAGGCCTCCTCCACCCTGTACTACCAAAAGAATCATAGCGCATGTTGTTAAATCAAACTAAATATGGCCTGAGAAAGCCTCCATACTTCCATATTTGAATCCTTGTGGATGAACTATAACCACCTTAGTAGGTAGACAAGACTGAAGTATGCTTCTGTAACAATAGGTGAGTCTCAGCCAATCCCAGAAGCTATACTTAACCACTCATATGCCGCTGACTGTTCAAACTATGCTCAAATAAGACATGCACCAAGCTGTAACCAATCCATCTGTTTCTGTACCTCACCTCTGTTTTTTTATACATCACTTTCCTTTTATTGTTCTGACCGTGAGGCATCCCTGGAGTCACTCTGAATCTGCTGTGATTCTGGAGGCTGCCCAATTTTTTTCTTTTTTTTTCCCTTGCTCAATTAAACTGTTAAATTTAATTTGTCTAAAGTTTTCTTTTAACAGATCTGGTGTCAGAGTGGGATTAAAAGTAAAACTCCAGCAACCCCCAGGAACACCAGGTGACCAGGTGAGGTACCTGAGGAGACTATTGTGCTCACTGCTCTCTTGATTGTAGCTGGAGGTCATGGGTGAGTTTGCTCTCAGATTCCGAGCTCCACCAACTTGTGTTCTGAGCTCTATGTGTTTATTTGAGCAATAGTTAGGCTGGACTGAGTCCAGGATTGAATTGGATTTGATAATTAACTGAACTGGATTCAGTTAGAGGTCTCAGGCCTCAGGAAGGTACTTTATTTTTAAAATGGGATCTTTTGAATCCAAAGAGTCTGGGACTCCACCTTCCAGGACTCCATGTAAATTTTATGTATAAAAATTATGGACCCAGAACATGTGCATTTTTAGAAAAATGGGTTAACCGCACTAGAGAAAACTTAGAATTAAGATGGCCACAATGGGGAAGTTTTAATTTGGATAAAATTATTTGTGAGGCACATTAGAAAAGGGGGGATCAAAAGCCCCATGAAAACAGTGGGACGTATTCTTTCATTGGTATGCAGAGGCCTCTAAAAGACCACATGAATCAAACATTGCTTCCTTAAAAGATTCTTTGCAAAAAACAAATGAAAAGCTTAAGCAAAAGACCAAGAATGTGATAAAAGAGGACTGTACTCTGACTGAACTAACCTCAACTATTCCTTCTCTTTATGTATCTCTACCTACATAGTCTGAGTCCACTAACCTTTTTGGTAAATTACCCTTTCGCCCTGACGATGATGAAAAAAAAAGAAATCAGACAGATGTCTTACAAAGTGAGACCTTCTGACCAGCTGGGCCTGCCTGCTGTAACTACTTTCACTCCATGGTCCAAAACTAAGCTTAGAGCCATTGTGAAGTACTTTCTTGATCCAAGTGAAAATCCTCAAAACTTTACTGAGGAATTTAGAATCCTCATACAAGCTTACAATCCAGGACTTCCTGACCTTTATCAATTTATTCACATGATGTTGGGGCCTGGTGAAGCTTGGGAATGGATGGCAGCAGCAGACTGGGACAAACCTGAGGCGGATGTTAAAGACCCCTCCAAAAGTTCTTCATGAGAAGGACAAAAAGTAGCTCTAAAAATTGGTAAATACCCTTTAAATTTAATTCCTAAAATTTGTCCACAAAAAACTGATTGGCCCATCATACAATCTTGTAAACAGAAAAAGGATGAACCAGTTTCAGATTACAGAACTCGCTTAGAAACACTGTGAAACATGTAGGGCTCAAAGTATAGCAAGGAGTATTTCCTGCAGGGACTGAAACAGCGTTAACTGCTCTGTTCATACATGGACTCCATCCTGAACTTAACAGTTTGATTAGAACACATAAACTGGAATAGGAAGTTACAGGAATGACTGAATTGGTGGTCTTAACTGAACATTTGGAGATGACTCTAGAGGAAGGAAAAACTCAAAAGGCTAACAAACTTATGACCCTTCAACTACAATAGTTACAGGGGCTGGGAGCAAAAGTATGGAAGGGACCTTCTCATTCTCATTTTAAATCACAACCAAAAGGACCTAGAACAAGAAGTTCTTTACCGCAAGATGTCTGCCTTCATTGCAGACAATCAAGACACTTGAAAAGAGATTGTCTGCTTTTATTTCAGTATGCCAATAAGCCTCCCTTTAGGCCGACTGTTTCCACCCTAAAAAGAACCCAAGAGACCTCAGCCCTTCTGATAAAAATCAACATTGATGAGGCTCCAAGGGATTCTCTGGTAAATTTCTCCCTATAATACCTTTAAATAAACATGGAGAAACAAAGGTTAAAATAAATGGGGAGTCATGTACAGTCATGGTGGATACCAGAGCTACCCTATCTACCGTAAACTCCACTTCAATAAGCCAACAAATCCCTTGGAGTAAAAAGGTCATTCCTGTGGTGGGGGTTTCAAATCAAGTACAAGAGGATCTCTTATCTGAATCCATCCAATTAACTTTGGGGCCTTTTCATAATAACAAACTTTTTACTATGTGATACTGCTCCAGTAAATTGGCTAGGGCGAGATTTACTTTCAAAACTAAAAGGGCACATGCAATTTTCCTTGCTCCTTTCAAATAGCTTCTCCTGAAAATTCTCATGATAGTACTTATAATCAGAGGCCAAGGGTTTTAATCTTTATATTTTTTCTAGAGGCTTTCCAAGTTATTATGGCTTGTATTACCAGGGTAACAGTAAAAATGAGATCCTCTTTAAATCAGGCCACTTTACGGAGCGCTATGATCCTTAACTGTTCTCACTCTCTGAGCAAGGACTATGACCAATTTGACCCTAAGACTGTCGAACTGCTTATATTGTCTGAACCTTCAGTTGGTTAATTTGGTTCAGTTCATTTTCACAAGAACTCCTGTTAAGAAGTATACCTTGGTATTTTGGTATAATCCTCTTTATAGTCCTAATAATAGTCCCCTTGGTGCACTGTATCTCTCAAGTCCTAAATGTCTTGTACGTGGCTATCCATTGAGAGTTAAATGGTCTCACTCCAACTGTGTCAGCAACAACATAAACATTCAGCTGGTACAAAGCTGCGACTTGTGAATTTCCTACTGACATTAAAGAAGACTTGTGAATTCCGTAATGAGACTGAAGAAGTCTTTCATGATGGTGACAGAGAATGGTGTCAATTCCTAAAGTTTGGTCAATCTCTCTAAATGGAGAGACTGACCAAAAATGGGGAATTGTTAAATCGAACTAAATATGGCCTGAGAAAGCCTCTGTAACTCCATTTTTGAGTCCTTGTGGATGAACTGTATCCTACCTTAGTGGGTAGATAAGATTGAAAACCTAACTTAGGAATATGCTTCTATAGCAACAGCTGAGTCTCAGCCCATCCCATCAGCCATACTTCAACCACTCATATGCTGCTGACTGTTCAAACTGTGTTCAAATAAGGCAGACACTAAGCTGTAACCAATCCAGCTGTTTCTGAACCTCACTTCTGTTTTCTCTACGCCACTTTCCCTTTTTTTGTCTATAAATTTGCTGTGATCACGAGGTATCCCTGGGGTCATTCTGCATCTGCTGTGATTCTGGAGGCTGTCCAATTCATTAACCTTTTTTTTCCTTGCTCTATTAAACTCTTTTGAATTTAATTTGTCTCAAGTTTTCTTTTAACAATGTAAACATTTAGCAATGGGGAAATGATTTGTAGCCAAGACACTAATCCTGGACCTATAACTTGGCAAAGTAAAACACAAACTTTTGTTCTTCTTTGATTTGCACCCACATGATGGATGTGCAGTCTGGCATTTTTTTTGGAAGGGTGTGGAGCTTACATATACAAGACATTAGGGCCAAGGTCAAAGCCTGACTGATTACACTGGTAAAGATGCAAGAAGACACTTTTAGATTTAGCGTTTATTACTTAGATAGATATCAAAAGAGTAAACCAAAAGTGCCAAACCCCTCTCATTCATATTCCACACATCAGAAAAGACCACACCCAAACAAAAGGGCCCAATAACTGCACTGGGAACTGCTGCTGCTGAGGAGCGAACGGTAGACTTCAGCTAAAAGGTTTTGGATCAGTAGTGGGTGGGGCCAGAGTCTTCCCGGACACTGAAAAATCTTCCTGTCTTGTCTTACACTAATCTGCTTTATAATCCCCATGAGCAGATACTCCTGCTTGAGAATTCATATTTATTCCCAGTGATCAAGTCATTCCAGATCAAGGACAAAGCTTATCAGTCAATCAGAGTTTAGGGTTCTGGAGCCAGACCCTCGCATCTAACTCATCTTACACACTCTTGGCTTGTCTGATTGTAAACTAAACATTGTTCGATATCTGTCATGGGCAGATGCTATGCATGAAGAGTGGTGGGCATAGAAAAGTGAAAGACACTGTCCCATGCAGCTTTCTTGGCATACCTTATTGTCTCTGTTTGTTTTCTAAAATAAGCCTTTGTGAATTCTAATGTTATTTCTCATCAAACAAACTTGACAGTAGTTCCAAATAGCCAGAAAATGGCACTTTGAATTTTTCCATCCTGCAAGATCTAAATAATTCTTATAATAAAATAGGCAAATGGTCTGAGGTGCCTGACATCCAGGCATTCTTTTACAAATCAGTCCCTTCCTAGTCTCTGTGCCCAGTGCAACTCGTCCCAAGTCTTCCTTCTTTCCCTCCCGCCTGTCCCCTCAGTACCATCCCAAGCGTTGCTGAGTCTTTCTAATCTTCCTTTTCTACAGACCCATCTAACCTGTCCCTTCCTCCCCAGGCTGCTCCTTGCCAGGCCGAGCTAGGTCCCAATTCTTCCTCAGCCTCCGCTCCTCCACCCTATAATCTTTTTATCGCCTCCCCTCCTCACGCCTGGTCTACCTTACAGTTTCCTTCTGTGACTGGCCCTCCCCGACCTGCCCAGCAATTTACTCTTAAAAAGGTGGCTGGAGCTAAAGGCATAGTCAAAGTTAATGCTCCTTTTTCTTTATCCCAAATCAGATAGCGTTTAGGCTCTTTGTCATCAAATATAAAAACCCAGCCCAGTTCATGACTTGTTTGGCAGCAACCCTGAGACGCTTTACAGCCCTAGAACCTAAAAGGTCAAAAGGCCGTCTTATTCTCAAAATACATTTTATTACCCAATCTGCTCCCGACATTAAATAAAACTCCAAAAATTAAATTCCGGCCCTCAAACCCCACAACAGGATTTAATTAACCTCGCCTTCAAGGTGTACAATAATAGAAAAAAGTTGCAATTCCTTGCCTCCACTGTGAGACAAACCCCAGCCACATCTCCAGCACACAAGAACTTCCAAACACCTGAACCGCAGCCGCCAGGTGTTCCTCCAGAACCTCCTCCCAGAGGAGCTTGCTACACGTGCCGGAAATCTGGCCACTGGGCCAAGGAATGCCCGCAGCCTGGGATTCCTCCTAAGCTTCGTCCCATCTGTGTGGGACCCCACTGAAAATCGGACTGTTCAACTCACCTGACACCCACTCCCAGAGCCCCTGGAACTCTGGCCCAAGGCTCTCTGACTGATTCCTTCCCAGATCTTCTCGGCTTAGTGGCTGAAGACTGACACTGCCCGATCACCTCGGAAGCCCCCTAGACCATCACGGACGCCGAGCTTCGGGTAACTCTCACAGTGGAAGGTAAGCCCGTCCCCTTCTTAATCAATACGGAGGCTACCCACTCCACATTACCTTCTTTTCAAGGGCCTGTTTCCCTTGCCTCCATAACTGTTGTAGGTATTGACAGCCAGGCTTCTAAACCTCTTAAAATTCCCCAACTCTGGTGCCAACTTAGACAATACTCTTTAAAGCACCCCTTTTTAGTTATCCCCACCTGCCCAGTTCCCTTATTAGGCTGAGACACTTTAACTAAATTATGCACTTCTGTGACTATTCCTGGACTACAGCTATATCTCATTGCCGCTCTTCTTCCCAAAGAAGGCTCTTCCCAAAGCCTCTTTTGCCTCTTCCTCTTGTATCCCCCCACCTTAACCCACAAGTATAAGATACCTCTACTCCCTCCTTGGCGACCGATCATGCACCACTTACCATCTCATTAAAACCTAATCACCTTTACCCCACTCAACGCCAATATCCCATCCCGCAGCACACTTTAAAAAGATTAAAGCCTGTTATCACTCGCCTGCTAGAGCATGGCCTTTTAAAACCTATAAACTCTCCTTACAATTCCCCCATTTTACCTGTCCTAAAACCAGACAAGTCTTACAATTTAGTTCAGGATCTGCGCCTTATCAACCAAATTGTTTTGCCTATCCACCCCATGGTGCCAAACCCATATACTCTCCTATCCTCAATACCTGCCTCTACAACCCATTATTCTGTTCTAGATCTCAAACATGCTTTCTTTACTATTCCGTTGCACCCTTAATCCCAGCCTCTCTTCGCTTTCACTTGGACTGACCCTGACACCCATCAAGTTCAGCAATACCTAGGCTGTACTGCCGCAAAGCTTCACAGACAGCCCCCATTACTTCAATCAAGCCCAAATTTCTTCCTCATCTGTTACCTATCTCGGCATAATTCTCATAAAAACACACGTGCTCTCCCTGCCAATCGTGTCCAACTGATCTCTCAAACCCAAGCACCTTCTACAAAACAACAACTCCTTTCCTTCCTAGGCATGGTTAGCGCGGTCAGAATTCTTACACAACAGCCAGGACCACACCCTGTAGCCTTTCTGTCCAAACAACTTGACCTTACTCTTTTAGCCTAGCCCTCATGACTGCGTGCAGCGGCTGCCGCTGCTTTAATATTTTTAGAGGCCCTCGAAATCACAAATTGTGCTCAACTCACTCTCTACAGTTCTCATAACTTCCAAAATCTATTTTCTTCCTCATACCTGATGCATATACTTTCTGCTTCCCGGCTCCTTCAGCTATACTCACTCTTTGTTGAGTCTCCCACAATTACCATTGTTCCTGGCCCAGACTTCAATCTGGCCTCCCACATTATTCCTGATACCACACCTGACCCCCATGACTGTATCTCTCTGATCCACCTGACAATCACATTTCCCCAAATTTCCTTCTTTCCTGTTCCTTACCCTGATCACGCTTGATTTATTGATGGCGGTTCCACCAGGCCTAATCGCCACACACCAGCAAAGGCAGGTTATGCTATAGTACAAGGCACTAGCCCGCCTCTTAGAACCTCTCATTTCCTTTCCATCATGGAAATCTATCCTCAAGGAAATTACTTCTCAGTGTTCCATCTGCTATTCTACTACTCCTCAGGGATTATTCAAGCCCCCTCCCTTCCCTACACATCAAGCTCCAGGATTTGCCCCACCCAGGACTGGCAAATTAGCTTTACTCAACATGCCCTGAGTCAGATAACTAAAATACCTCTTAGTCTAGGTAGACACTTTCACTGGATAGGTACAGGCCTTTCCTACAGGGTCTGAGAAGGCCACCGCAGTCATTTCTTCCTTTCTGTTAGAGACATAATTCCTCAGTTTAGCCTTCCCACATCAATACAGTCTGGTAACAGTTGAGCCTTTATTAGTCAAATCAGCCAAGCAGTTTTTCAGGCTCTTAGTATTCAGTGAAACCTTTATATCCCTTATGGTCCTCCATCTTCAAGAAAAGTAGAATGGACCAAAGGTCTTTAAAAAACACACCTCACCAAGCTCAGCCACCAACTTAAAAAGAACTGGACAATACTTCTACCACCTTCTCTTCTCAGAATTCAGGCCTGTCCTCAGAATGCTACAGGATACAGCGCATTTAAGCTCCTGTATAGATGCTCCTTTTTATTAGGCCCCAGTCTTATTCCAGACACCAGACCAACTTAGACTGTGCCCCCCAAAAAACTTGTCATCCTTACTATCTTCTGTCTAGTCATACTCCTATTCACCGTTCTCAACTACTCATACATGCCCTGCTCTTGTTTACACTGCCGGTTTCCACTGTTTTTCCAAGCCATCCCAGCTGATATCTCCTTGAGATATCCCCAAACTGCCACTCTTAACTCTTGAAGTAAATAAATAATCTTTACTGGCAAGACTATGCTGAATCTCCTTAGGCACTCTCTAATCAGATATCCTGAGTCATCCCAATTCTTAGACCTTTTATACCTGTTTTTCTCCTTCTGTTATTCCATTTCGTTTCTCAATTCATCCAAAACCGTATCCAGGCCATCACCAATCATTATATACGACAAATATTTCTTCTAACATCCCCACAATATCACCCCTTACCACAAGACCTCCTTTCAGCTTAATCTCTCCCACTCTAGGTTCCCACGCCGCCCCTAATCCCGCTTGAAGCAGCCCTGAGAAACATCGCCCATTCTCTCTGCATACCACCCCCCAAAAATTTACACCGCCCCAACACTTCAACACTATTTTGTTTTATTTTTATTATTAATATAAGAAGGCAGGAATGTCAGGCCTCTGAGCCCAAGCCAAGTCATCGTATCCCCTGTGACTTGCACGTATACGCCCAGATGGCCTGAAGTAACTGAAGAATCACAAAAGAAGTGAATATGCCCTGCCCCACCTTAACTGATGACATTCCACCACAAAAGAAGTGTAAATGGCTGGTCCTTGCCTTAAGTGATGACATTACCTTGTGAAAGTCCTTCTCTTGGCTCATCCTGGCTCAAAAAGCACCCCCACTGAGCACCTTGCGACCCCCACTCCTGCCCGCCAGAGAACAAACTCCCTTTGACTGTAATTTTCCTTTACCTACCCAAATCCTATAAAATGGCCCCACCCCTATCTCCCTTCGCTGACTCTCTTTTCGGACTCAGCCCGCCTGCACCCAGGTGAAATAAACAGCCATGTTGCTCACACAAAGCCTGTTTGGTGGTCTCTTCACAGGGACGTGCATGAAAAAAAGCTTTTCACATAACTCTTGACCCATTGAAAAGAAGAAAAAAAAACCCAACTTAAAGTGCAGGGCTGTGTTAACTGCTGACAGGGTTGAGAAAAGGAAAAAAAAAAAAAAAAAAAAAACCCTCAAAGTGCGGGGTTGGAAAGATGCCTGAGGGAAGAAGCTCTTATTCTTATGCAAATGGTTTCTCCAAGAGGGAGAGAAACTTAATTGCTGTTTGTTCCCTGGGGTTCGCATGGAGCTGGATCCCTCAGCCAGGAGAGGGGAAGACACTGTGGATGTGTGGCTAGGAACACTGGCCAGCCTGCCACATGTGGCCTTTGGGCCATGAGCCCCAGTCTCTTCCGGGAGGGGAGTGGGGCAGAGAGCTGCTGCTCACCTGTTCATTCCAAACAAATCAGGAAAATGTCATAGAAAGCCTGGCTTGGACTGAGGCTGATATCCCCAACCACCAAGAGTGATGGCGGGATGGGGGACAGTTTCCTTTACCCTCAGAAGAAGCCTGAGGGAAGAAAGACTCTGAAACAAAAGGGAAACAACACCCCTACTTCCCCTTCTTGCCTGGGGGCTAGAATGTCTTTCTAGGACTAACATTAGCCAAAAGATTAGAAATTATGATTTAGCAGTCATGTACCTGGAAGTTACAAGATTCTGACTCTCCCCAAATTGCCCCTGGGGATAACATCACTATTGTAAAACCTGAGATCAGTGCTTGAGATATTTTGCAGACTCTGCACTTGATGGATCAGTTGGCACCACCCACATGGATAAACTGGCTCATCTGATCTTGTAGCTTTCATGCGCGTCCGTGTGAAGAGACCACCAAACAGGCTTTGTGTGAGCAACATGGCTGTTTATTTCACCTGGGTGCAGGCAGGCTGAGTCCGAAAAGAGAGTCAGAGAAGGGAGATAAGGGTGGGGCCGTTTTATAGGATTTGGGTAGGTAAAGGAAAATTACAGTTAAAGGGAGTTTGTTCTCTGGTGGGCTGGAGTGGGGGTGGCAAGGTGCTCAGTGGGGGTGCTTTTTGAGCCAGGATGAGCCAAGAGAAGGAATTTCACAAGGTAATGTCATCACTTAAGGCAAGGACCGGCCATTTACACTTCTTTTGTGGTGGAATATCATCAGTTAAGGTGGGGCAGGGCATATTCACTTCTTTTGTGATTCTTCAGTTACTTCAGGCCATCTGGGCGTATACGTGCAAGTCACAGGGGATGCGATGGCTTGGCTTGGGCTCAGAGGCCTGACATTCCTGCCTTCTTATAGTAATAATAAAAGTAAAATAAAATAGTGTTGAAGTGTTGGGGAGGCGAAAATTTTTGGGGGGGTGGTATGCAGAGAGAATGGGCGATGTTTCTCAGGGCTGCTTCAAGCGGGATTAGGGGCGGCGTGGGCACCTTGAGTGGGAGAGATTAAGATTTTAGTTTCCTGACTCCGGACAAGTTGAGTAAAGCTAATTTGCCAGTCCTGGGTGGGGGCAAATCCTCGAGCTTGATGTGTAGGGAAGGGAGGGGGCCTGAATAATCCTTGAGGAGTAGTAGAATAGCAGATGGAACACTGAGAAGTTATTTCCTTGAGGATAGATTTCCATGATGGAAAGGAAATGAGAGGTTCTAAGAGGCGGGCTAGTGCCTTGTACTATAGCATAACCTGCCTTTGCTGGTGTGTGGCGATTAGGCCTGGTGGAACCACCATCAATAAATCAAGCGTGATCAGGGTGAGGAACAGGAAAGAAGGAAATTTGGGGAAATGGGGTGAATGTCAGGTGGATCAGAGAGATACAGTCATGGGGGTCAGGTGTGGTATCAGGAATAATGTGGGAGGCCAGATTGAAGTCTGGGCCAGGAACAACGGTAATTGTGGGAGACTCAACAAAGAATGAGTACAGCTGAAGGAGCCGGGAAGCAGAAAGTATATGCATCAGGTATGAGGAAGAAAATAGATTTTGGAAGTTATGAGAACTGTAGAGAGTGAGGTGAGCACAGTTTGTGATTTTGAGGGCCTCTAAAGTATTAAAGCAGCGGCAGCCGCTGCACGCAGACATGAGGGCTAGGCTAAAACAGTAAGGTCAAGTTGTTTGGACAGAAAGGCTACAGGGTGTGGTCCTGGCTGTTGTGTAAGAATTCTGACCGCGCTAACCATGCCTAGGAAGGAAAGGAGTTGTTGTTTTGTAGAAGGTGCTTGGGTTTGAGAGATCAGTTGGACACGATTGGCAGGGAGAGCACGTGTGTTTTTGAGAATTATGCCGAGATAGGTAACAGATGAGGAAGAAATTTGGGCTTGATTGAAGTAATGGGGGCTGTCTGTGAAGCTTTGCGGCAGTACAGCCTAGGTAATTTGCTGAGCTTGATGGGTGTGTCAGGGTCAGTCCAAGTGAAAGCGAAGAGAGGCTGGGATTAAGGGCGCAACGGAATAGTAAAGAAAGCATGTTTGAGATCTAGAACAGAATAATGGGTTGTAGAGGCAGGTATTGAGGATAGGAGAGTATATGGGTTTGGCACCATGGGGTGGATAGGCAAAACAATTTGGTTGATAAGGCGCAGATCCTGAACTAAATTGTAAGACTTGTCTGGTTTTAGGACAGGTAAAATGGGGGAATTGTAAGGAGATTTTATAGGTTTTAAAAGGCCATCCTCTAGCAGGTGAGTGATAACAGGCTTTAATCTTTTTAAAGTGTGCTGCGGGATGGGATATTGGTGTTGAGTGGGGTAAGGGTGATTAGGTTTTAGTGAGATGGTAAGGGGTGCATGATCGGTCGCCAAGGAGGGAGTAGAGGTATCTTATACTTGTGGGTTAAGGTGGGGGGATACAAGAGGAAGACGCAAAGGAGGCTTTGGATTGGGAAGAATGGCGGAATGAGATATAGCTGTAGTCCAGGAGTAGACAGGGAAGCCGATAATTTAGTCAAAGTGTCTCAGCCTAATAAGGGAACTGGGCAGGTGGGGATAACTAAAAAGGAGTGCTTAAAAGAGTACTGTCTAAGTTGGCACCAGAGTTGGGGAGTTTTAAGAGGTTTAGAAGCCTGGCCGTCAATACCTACAACAGTTATGGAGGCAAGGGAAACAGGCCCTTGAAAAGAAGGTAATGTGGAGTGGGTAGCTTCCATATTGATTAACACGGGGACGGACTTACCTTCCAGTGTGAGAGTTACCCGAAGCTCCGCGTCCGTGATGGTCTAGGGGGCTTCCGAGGTGATCGGGCAGTGTCGGTCTTCAGCCGCTAAGCCGAGAAGGAGTCAGAGAGACTTAGGCCAGAGTTCCGGGGGCTCTGCGAGTGGCTGCCAGGTGAGTTGAACAGTCCGATTTCCAGAGGGGTCCTACACAGATGGGACACGGCTTAGGAGGAATCCTGGGCTGCAGGCATTCCTTGGCCTGGTGGTCAGATTTCTGGCACTTGTAGGAAGCTCCTGGGAGAGGAGGTTCTGGAGGAACACCTGGCGGCTGCGGTTCAGGTGTTTGGAAGTTCTTGTGTGCTGGAGATGTGGCTGGGGTTTGTCTCACAGTGGAGGCAAGGAATTGCAACTTTTTTCTATTATTGTACACCTTGAAGGCGAGGTTAATTAAATCTTGTTGTGGGGTTTGAGGGCCGGAATTTAATTTTTGGAGTTTTATTTAATGTCGGGAGCAGATTGGGTAATAAAATGTATATTAAGAATAAGACGGCCTTTTGACCTTTTAGGGTCTAGGGCTATAAAGTGTCTCAGGGTTGCTGCCGAACGAGCCATGAACTGGGCTGGGTTTTTATATTTGATGACAAAGAGCCTAAACGCTATCTGATTTGGGATAAAGAAAAAGGAGCATTAACCTTGACTATGCCTTTAGCTCCAGCCACCTTTTTAAGGATAAATTGCTGGGCAGGTGGGGGAGGGCTAGTCACAGAAGGAAACTGTAAGCCGGACTAGGCGTGAGGAGGGGAGGCGATAAAATGATTATAGGGTGGAGGAGCGGAGGCTGAGGAAGAATTGGGACCTAGCTCGGCCTGTCGAGGAGGGGAGAGGTCAGATGGGTCTGTAGAAAAGGAAGATTAGAAAGACTTAGCGACGCTTGGGGTTGGTACTGAGGGGACAGGCGGGAGGGAAAGAAGGAAGATTTGGGTCAAGTTGCACTGGACACAGAGACTAGGAAGGGACTGATGTGTAAAAGAATGCCTGGACGTCAGGCACCTCAGACCATTTGCCCATTTGACGACAGTTTGTATTGGGGTCAAGCGGCATTGCAGAAGAAAATAAGACATTTAGGTTTTAGGTCAGGTATGAGTTGAAGAGGTTTTAAATTTTTGAGAACACAGGCTAAGGGAGAAGGAGGAGGAATGGAAGGTGGAAGCTTACCTATAGTGAAGGAGGCAAGCCCAGAGAAAAGAGTAGAGACACGGAGGAGGGGTTGCAGGGGGGTGGTTCTTGCCCTCCAGAAAAGCAGAGAAGGGGTAGGGGCATGGAAATAAGGGATTGGGGCACAGAGATAAGAGGTTGGGGTGTGGAAATAAGCGATTGGGGGTTCTTGCCCCCTAGGAAACTGGGACTTGCCGCTAAGGGTGAAGGAGAAGGGGTTGAGGGGTACTTGCCCCTGCCCCAGGAAAGCGGGACTTGCCGCTAAGGGTGAAGGACCAAGGCAGGCGTCCCTGCGTGGTCTGACACCCTTGAAACGTGAGTGTAAAATCAGAGAGGCGTCCCTGCAATGATTAAACACCAAGGGAAGGCTGCCTTCCCAGTCGGTGACCGGTGCCGGAGTTTTGGGTTCACGGATAAAACATGTCTCTTTTGTCTCTACCAGAAAATGAAAGGAATTGAAATTAAGATAAGGGAGAGACTGAAGTGTGGCGCCAAGATTGAAAGGAGAAAGAGGTTGAGGGATAGTGAGGGAGGTTGGAGAAGAGAGTAAAAAGAGGCCGCTTACCGGATTTGAAATTGGTGAGATGTTTCTTGGGCTGGTTGGTCTGAGGACCTGAGATGGTAGGTGGATCTTTCTCACGGAGCAAAGAGCAGGAGGACAGGGGATTGATCTCCTAAGGGAGGTCCCCCGATCCGAGTCATGGCACCAAATTTCATGCGCGTCCGTGTGAAGAGACCACCAAACAGGCTTTGTGTGAGCAACATGGCTGTTTATTTCACCTGGGTGCAGGCGGGCTGAGTCCGAAAAGAGAGTCAGCGAAGGGAGATAAGGGTGGGGCCGTTTTATAGGATTTGGGTAGGTAAAGGAAAATTACAGTTAAAGGGAGTTTGTTCTCTGGCGGGTAGGAGTGGGGGTGGCAAGGTGCTCAGTGGGTGCTTTTTGAGCCAGGATGAGTCAAGAGAAGGAATTTCACAAGGTAATGTCATCACTTAAGGCAAGGACTGGCCATTTACACTTCTTTTGTGGTGGAATGTCATCAGTTAAGGTGGGGCAGGGCATATTCACTTCTTTTGTGATTCTTCAGTTACTTCAGGCCATCTGGGCTTATACGTGCAAGTCACAGGGGATACGATGGCTTGGCTTGGGCTCAGAGGCCTGACAGTAGCCCCACCCAGGAGTTGACTCAGTGCAACAGGGCAGCTTCAACTCTGGTTTCATCTCCAACCTAACCAATCAGCACTCCTGACTCACTGGCCCCTCACCCACCAAGTTATCCTTAAAAACTCTGATCCTTGAATGCCGGAGGAGACTGATTTCAGTAATAATAAAACTCCAGTCTCCTCCACAGCCAGCTCTAAGTGAATAACTCTGTCTCTATTGCAATTCCCCTGTCTTCATACATTGGCTCTGTCTAGGCAGCAGGCAAGGTGAATCTATTGAGTGGTTACAGTAACAATACCATAACAAAGGCACAAGAAAAGGCTACATGGCTGTTTTAAAATGTAGATTCTATTCTTCTTGTGAACAGATCAGGAGTTGACTGCTGTTGAAAAGAGATTTTAGTGTGCTCAGATCCCAATACAAGGGGCCATGACACACCATGGGGCTGGAGGCACACGGGAAGCACCAGGGTTATTCAAGAGACAGATGGAGTGGAGGAAAATGTGAGCAGGAGTCTTTATTGTGGTTTCTGAAGGAAGACAGGAGAGATGGGGTAAGCAGGTTTTAAATGGGCTAGTGTGAATAATTTTGGTGGGCTCTGGGATCTTGGGGCTGTCCCTAGTTGGTCATGGGGTGATTAAGGCATGGGAATAATGGCCCACAGTGCACAAGCCCAATAAAGGTCGTTGGGGCTTTGGGCTCTGGATTGGTTAATTTGCATATGAAAGGCATGCTCCTGGTGATATCTCTAGGAATTAGCTAGTCCTGGGAAGGGCAGTCCTTTCAAGGTCAGCAAGGCCCCAAGGGGTCAAAACGTTAAAAATACAGAATTAAAAGACATGATTAATACAGTGGCTCAAAACATAGGAAGCCCAGAAGTGAACAAGTCCAAGTATGTTTTCAATTCTGAGCATACCCCCAATCCACTTGTTGTCTTTCACAGCTTTCTATTTGCTTCTTCAACAGCACTAACCACTAGTGTTTTCTGTTTGTTTACATGTTTCTTGCCTGTGTATCTCACTACATTGTCAGCTCCAGGAAGGCAAGAAATTTGCTTGTCTGGTTTTCTGCACTAGTCCTAATTGCTGACACAGTGCCTGAGACACAATGGATACTCAATAAACATTTGTTGAACAAATGAGTGAAAACAATAGTGTTTGATGGTTATCTGTGTATGCATAATATGATTTGCATGTACACACACATACATACTACTATTCATATATGTATATGTATGTGGATATTTGTGGGTGCTTTTGAGTTGATGTTTTTCATGTACATTCCAGTCAAGACTGCATGGCTGGCTGACTACTAGATAGACCCAACAGAAATCTATTTGCCCAGGGGTCTCAGGAATCTCCTGGAAAGAACTTGCCCTCTAGGACCAGCAGAGAAGCCTGATACAGTACCAATCATTTCAGAGGTTAAAAGAGAGAAGCATTTCTGCATGTATAATGCTATATTTCACCTGAGGAGGCCTCGGTCCTATCCCTCATGGATTTATAACTTGGCTTTTATAAGAAGTCAGTTTAGAAACTGGAAAACCTATTTTTTATTGAAAGCGCTACAATATTTTAGGATGCTGTGTCAGTCAGAGTCCAGCCAAAAAGTTAAAACCATACCAAGTGACCACACAGAAAGAATTCAACATGTAGGGTAATTTACAAAGTGCTAGAAATGCAGTTAAAGCAACCAAGCAGAAGATGAATCAACTCTGAGATTAGAAAATGCAGAAAGTTGTTACTCCTTCTAGGTCAGGAAGGACAGTGATGAGAAGGTGGGGTCTAGGAGCTGGGGCCATGCAGTAAAAGCTGGAACAATGTTGGCCTGTGTGGCACAGGGGGAACCACAGATAAAGGACCTTTCCAAAAGGAGATGAGCCTTGGAGAGGGTGCAGCCACTACCCATGATAGCTCCTGAATTGGAGAGAGGGAGACATATCCCTTCTCCTTTTCTCTCTCTCTCCACTCTTTCACCTGTGCCTTCCCCTGGCTTAACTTAATCAGATGCAGTTGGCAAGGAAGCCTGGAAGCAAGGAAGCCTGGAAACCACATTTTAAAAAGTCAACTTTCTATAATACAGAGCCAGGAATGAAAGTGAAGAGAAAGGATTTAAAAGCAAGCAAACAAATTTGAGGGCAGCACTG
Organism: Homo sapiens; assembly: GCF_000001405.40. Taxonomy (NCBI): domain Eukaryota; kingdom Metazoa; phylum Chordata; class Mammalia; order Primates; family Hominidae; genus Homo; species Homo sapiens. The sequence goes on from NC_000005.10 coordinate 147,876,673, forward strand.
GTTTAGTATTCCAAAAGAGACCATAATAAAAAACTAAAGGGCGTCATTGTGGCAGGCTGGATCTCCACAAGCAACCAAGTCTCCATAAGCCCTTTGCTGTAATGATGAATGTGTAAGTTAAACATTGAAGAACTAGAGAAACTGGTGCCTGAGTAGGAGACCTGGAATGCAGAAACAAACCCGTTAAGACCCTACCTGGGCTTTCTCATCCTCAAACCTGATTGAGTGATAAAAGCATTCATGCACATACAAACCATACCAGGACCCATGTAAAATTAAGAAACTTTCCAGCCCACAGACCACTAGTTAAAGATTAGATTTAGGCTAAGTAGAAATACTCCTGCATATAGGCATAGAGCTTGAAATTCATTTATATATACTAAAGGAAAAACTCATAACTTTTAGTTGGTCTGGTAAATTACTCCGACCTTCTCCCTGTGGCTGGTTACAAAAATAAACTCGCTTCTTTCCCAGTTCACCTGTATCTCATCATTGGACCACGAGAGCAAGCAGCTGGACCCTGTTCCTCCGGCAACGGCATCAATCTTACCACCAACCTTGGCTCTTTGAGGGGCTTGGTATATTAATATCACTGGCATCAGTGGGAATATGTGGGAGAAATGGAAGCAGTACTGGTAGAGAAAGAAGGAGAAGTGGCAGGATTGAGGTGCATGGCAGGCATTCATGGTGTCTTTCATGTAGTTTATAAAGTAGTTTATAAAGTAGCAGAAAGATAAAGAAATGACAGTTACAACATGGTAACATAAAAATTAGTAAAATGTGACATAAATTAGATATTAATTTTGGTTTGGCATAGCAGAATGCTCTGTCTGCATAATTTTATTAGATCTTCATTACAATACCACACCCTCAGATGAGGACAAATAAAGCCCCAACCTCTGGCCTTACATCTTAAGGTGTGTTTTCTCAAAATTTTCTGGGTTCCACTTTGGTGGTGGGAATGGCTGGAGCCAGCAGTACCACGTGGCCGGGGAGCCCTGAGCTGGTCCTGTGCCCATATGGACTCCGCTTTCTATTTCACCCCTTCATGGTTCTTTCTTACCCTCTTCCTTGCATGTCGGGCCCACTCGATGCCCCAAAGAACTCCAGGACTTCTGCTCACAAATGAAGTTGTCCTGAGGTCCTGTGGCTGAACCCTGGATCCAGAAAGACAGCCTTGGAAACAAATTACTACTCCTGTAGCCAGTACCTTACAATTACGTATTTTTGAATGATTTTATCGGATTTGATTGCCAAAGAATCTTGCAAAAACAATTTTTTCCCCAAGCTACACACCTTATGGTTGGTTGTGTTATTTATGTTCCCATTTTAGATGAGAGGACCAATATCCTAGATTAAAAATGTCAAATCCAAGATTACACAAACAGTGAAAATTGAATCCCAGGTTTTTCAAAAGACACTCTGATTTTAGATCTTAAGCCTATTATTCTATCCAAAGGCTCAGAGAAGACATGCTCTGAACATACTCAAAGTAACTGACACTGGAAAAGGTAACAGAGGTGTGAAAATCTTACCATAGTAGATGTGTGAGTGGGCTGGGGGCAGGTGAATTCCAGAGAAATGTGGCACTAAATGTCATGAAGCTGACTCTGTATTATACCAGAGTGGCCTCCAGATTGCTTTCACAACTGGGTAGTTCATCAGCTAATGTGATTCTCCAAACTTTAAATGATTAGAAAACTGGGGAAAAATGTAGAAAACCAGAGGAAAACACTCCTTCTAATCCAAATATAAATTCTTCACTTCTTTTCAATGTTCTTCCAGGAGAAGGATTCGTTGGGCTCTTTGCCTTCTGCTTTTATTTCTGTGCAAGGGTTTATGCAAGAGGTACTTGAGAATGCTGTACTGTAGAGCTTTGTTTCTCATGGGAACACACGGGGAAGTGGAAAACCCTCCAAATTGTTTGGTGAGAAAACATAACATTTATCCCTTTCTTTGGTGGGGTGAGTCAAGTGGTAGGGACTAGAATTCAGGTCCTCAATGGGCATATAAATATGTGTGTGCAAAAGCAGCCATCACACTTTGTATGGCAAGTGGAACCACTGGCTTGGTGGATTTTGCTAGATTTTTCTGATTTTTAAACTCCTGAAAAATATCCCAGATAACTGTCATGAAGCTGGTAACTATCTTCCTGCTGGTGACCATCAGCCTTTGTAGTTACTCTGGTAAGTAACTGGAATACATCTGGAATATGTGACATTTCTTTACTTTTCTGTTAATAAGAGCACAACTAGTAAGCCTTGCCTCACTGACAGTGGAATATGGTGGTAGGAATTGTATTTTTTTTTATTTTACTTTTAACTGACACATAATAATTGCACATATTTGCAGGGTTGGAAGAAGTTTTGGAATCACAGAAAATGGTGATGTTGGAAAGTATTTCAGATCCCCACCATCTAAGCTCTAGCCCAATATAAGTATTCTAATACATCCTACATAGGAAGTTAGCCAACTTCCACGGAGGGTCAACAAAGCACATTTCACTGCTGGATATTGGTCACCATTCGTTTTTCTTATTTTCCTCAATTTTGAGTTAAAATTTGACTTTATAATTTCTTTTGTGCTTTTGAACTATATGGAGTCATTCTTGCTATCATCTCCAGTTATCCAATTTGCTAGCTTGGTTCTCCTGAGATAGCTACATTCATCTGTTTATCCACTCAATGGATATTTATTGAATGGCTACAATTTGTTGGGCACTGGATAGGCATTGGAAGATTTAGACATGAAGCAGTCATAAATATTGTTCTTAAGGTGCTACTCTGGTAGGATAGATAGGGCTTCTGCCTAAGTTACTATAATTCTAGACTACTGTAAACGTACTGTGAGATATCCAGATAGAACTCTTTTAGTGTATTGGTGGGTGATTAGTTTAATTTTCAGGTAAGGGTATAGAAGCTGGCTTCTTGGAGGAGAATGGGAACTGATTTATTTTTTTGGAAGGAATCATTGTAACTATCAGGAAGACAGTGTGGGCACATGGGAAAAAGAGATTTCATGATAGCCACTGCTCATTGAGAGAACAGAAGGCTTTGAAGATCTTCTCCCAGGAAGCTGTAAACACATACAGAGAAGATATTTACCAAAATGTCTGAAATAAGAAGTATGGAGATTAATAATGAAAAATTGATTGCCGCCCACACCTACAATGGCAACTTTGGCTTTTGATGTTTATTGAATTTCTGAAGGAATTTGTAACTTCACCAGTTTTGGATATTTCACTGTTCTCTAATGTCCAGGGACAGGTATCTATGGGCAAAGTGGCAGCAGAAAGGAGGTGGGGAAAATAAATACCGCCCCCTCTGGGTGAGAATTTTGGAGGGACAATAGGTGATTGAAAATTTAAAAAAATATATACAGGCTCCATTTTAATAATTTGAATGGGGAAATAATAGGTTTCCAAAGGAAAATAAACTATGGCAGGTCTTAGCCAGTAGGAGGATGTGTGTTCTTACGTGTGTGCTCACATGCATGTGTGCATTTATATATCTGCACATGTTTTTGTAAAAAATACATCGTACATATTTTCCTCAATCTCTACTTTTTCCCACCATTCATCTTCTACGGGAAAGTTATCTTCCTAAAGCCAAAGATATAAAACGTAATTTTCCTATGTAAAAGCCTTGATAGCGCCCCACTGCCCTCAGGAAAAAAAAATCCAAACTCCTTTGTGTGACATCCAACACTTTAAAAAATCTGACCTCACTCAACTTTTGCAGCCTCACTCCCTTTATCTTCCATCCTTTGGTCATAGCCTATTGGAAATCTGCACTCCAGCCTTCTGGGCAGAAGGCTCACCATCCTGTGTATGCACTTTTATCCTAATGGTTCCGTGCCTTTATTGGTCATGTTTCTAAAATGCTTCTCCTCTTCTTTACCTTATGATCCTGACATTTGCCTCAAGACATAGCTCTAACAGCACTTCTGGAAAATTCCTGCAGCACTCTTTCATGTTAGAATTAGTCATCCCTTTCTTGTGTTTCCATGGAGCTTTGTCCATAATGTTAGCATAGCACATGCTACACTGTGGCATACACAGATCTTCTATCACCAACTGGACTGTGTGAAGTCTCTGAATGGGCATCCTTGTCTTATTTGTCTATGTATCTGCACAGACTAGATAGAGTTGGTGCTCAATTATGTTTGTAGCGTTGAGTTGAATTGGTTGGGAGCAGTTTCTTGGGCTGTGGTTGGGTCCATTCCTGTCTTTATGTGGAGATTCACTATAGCATCTCTCCTTTAGCCTCAAAGCTGTGAGCTGTGGAGACAGTCACATACAAAATACCATCGCCTTCAGACAATCACAATGATCTGTTGAATGCTTACGCTGCCAGGGTCAGTTGTAGGCATGGGTGCATTAGCGAAAAAACACACATTCCTTGTTCTCATGGAGCCTCCATTCTAATGAGAAAATAAAGACAATAAAAACAGCAAATGAAGAGTTGCTTTTTTTAGGTAATGGTAAGAAAAAATAAATGACGGAGAGTGACTATGGCCATTGCAGGCTTCTCCGAGGAGGTAATATTTGAAGAGAGACCAAATAATGTGAGAAAGAAAGGTAAGTAGCTAGCTAAGGAAAAAAAGTTCTAGGGAGATGGAACAGCAGGTGCAAAGGGCCAGAGGTAGAAGTTTTCAATGGAAGTAAGATGAGTGGATCTGGAATGGAGCTATTGATGGACACAGGGAAAGAAGATGAGGTCATAGTCTGGGCCCAGATGTGCCTGTCTCACCTGGTTTCTCTTTTTCCTGCAGCTACTGCCTTCCTCATCAACAAAGTGCCCCTTCCTGTTGACAAGTTGGCACCTTTACCTCTGGACAACATTCTTCCCTTTATGGATCCATTAAAGCTTCTTCTGAAAACTCTGGGCATTTCTGTTGAGCACCTTGTGGAGGGGCTAAGGAAGTGTGTAAATGAGCTGGGACCAGAGGCTTCTGAAGCTGTGAAGAAACTGCTGGTAACCACAGCTTGGGAGGCTAATCTGCCAAAGGGGAGGCATACTCACCCTGAATGTCTAGCTCCTCTTCTTGTCCCTTGTAAATGTGCATTTCCACTTTACTGATTATATTCATAGGAAGTTTGCACATCCTGGAATCTCAGGAAAAATACAATTTCTACATTTCTGGGAAGGGTTTTTGAATGATAGTGACATGTGTTATAGTTGTGACAATACCATTTACCACCTTCGTGATTTTGGATGAGACGTAATCACTCTGAGTTTTTGTTTCCCCATCAGTAAAATAGTGGCCAAACAGGACACTGGAAGTGAATATGTTTTGAAACATGCGAATTACATGTAAGCTGCTCTAAATTTTGTTGTCCTTCTACATTTCAGGAGGCGCTATCACACTTGGTGTGACATCAAGATAAAGAGCGGAGGTGGATGGGGATGGAAGATGATGCTCCTATCCTCCCTGCCTGAAACCTGTTCTACCAATTATAGATCAAATGCCCTAAAATGTAGTGACCCGTGAAAAGGACAAATAAAGCAATGAATACATTTTCAGTCGTCCTATTTTTATTTCTGGGGACTCTATTCAGAAGGACGTATCCAGATTAGTTTTCCCTTGGTTCATAAACTCGAGAGAGCCTGTTTTTATAAAGAAAACCTGGAATCTTAAGTAAGACATAATCATTCCTTCTCCTTTCCTTATCTCTAATTTAAACATCTCTATTTTTCCCAAATGTTTTATCTCACGGTGTTTTCAGACCCTTCACTTTCCTATCCCCCATCCTAAATAAATTTTTACATTTAAAAAATGAAAAAATAATTTTCAAAATATTGTCTGATAAGACTAGCATCTTACTAACTTCATTGGTTTGGCTTCTGTTTCACTAGAATGCTAGTTCTTAAGTTTGTAGTTAAGCTATGGCCACTCAATAGCTTTCACCAATCCTTCCACCAAGTTAGGCCTTTACTACATCATCCTTAGGCAAATGGGTGATGAACTATCTTTTCTTTCCTTTACTCTGTCATCTACAGTGATGACAGAATTATCTTTCCAAGGAATTATTCTGGTAATATCATGACGGCCTGTAGAGCAGATTTCAAGCTTCTGAGCATGGCATGCAAGGCTGTTCATGATCTGGCTTTTGGTTACACGTCTAGTCTTCTTATCTACATTCCTTTCTTCACATGCGCTCTACTCCAGCCACACTGAACAGATAACTAAATCCTTTTCCCTCTAACACTCTTACACCTTAATGAAAAATCAAGTTTCTTCCTACCTAGAATGTCTGCCACCATCGACCTTCAGACCTGGCCTGTGTCAGTCTTTGGACTGTTTGCTGTCAGGTCCATTTCCTCCACTTCCCCTGTTCTGCTCTGCTCTGCTCTGCTGTGTGTTGAGGCAGGACAGGAAACATGATACTGATTGCTGCAGCTTGCATTTCTCAGGTTCCCAAATCAGCTGACATTTGGGCTAGGTTCTGCCCCTGGGAGGCGCAGGCAGTAGATAGGAAGTAGGAAAAGAGGAAAACTATTGTATGACCCTTTCTGGCTCTGTATTAGGGAGAAGTCTCTGGAAATGACTGTACCACGTCTGAGCTCCAGGTCCTGCTAGATAGGCCTGCCTTGGTCCCAGCTTTTGCTGGGTGAGTCCAGCCTCTGGGCTCTGGTTACACCACCTCCTTTCTTTTTCTCTCCAGCTGAAGTTAGTGGTTTCCTCCTGTTGTCAGTTTCTGGGTGCCTTACCATCACCTACTTGACTTTTAGCTCTTCTAATGTCTATTCAATCAATTCTTTGCATTACATTCCTTCTGTTGTAAGTACTTTGAGTAGTTTCTGTTTCTTAATTGGTTTCTGACTAAGATGATGTTAAATGTTATCTCTAGGGATATTATCTTAATTTCCTTCCATTGCTTGACTTCCATTTTTTGGCAACTAAAATAGCTTTCACTCTGTGAAATTTCCTACTTTATTTCCTTATTTTACCTATGCCTATAATGATAGATTAGGTTGCCCAGCTGCAGTAATAAATAATCCCAAATCTCAGTGGCTTACGTGCACAGTGTGTCACTTGTTCCTCACAGTATGTGGCCATCTTTGGTTGGCTGTAGCTATGATCAATGTTTTATGAATTCTATACAGGAGCTGATGGAATAGTCTCTCTTGTGCATTTTGCTTATGTTTACAGGGAAAGAGAACTTGGTGAACAATGAGCTAACTCTTAAAGCTTCTTCTTAAAAGTGAAGTATATGACTTCCAATCATGTTTAATTGGCCAGAGCAAGTCATTTGACCATGTTTGACTTCTTTAGGAAGGGGATGTATAATTATCCTATAGGAAAGAGCAGTGCCAAATATGATTAATGTAATGTAATTGACCACATTACTTGATGACTTCAAAGTAATTGTCACCTTAGATGACTCTCATACTTGCAATTTTCTTTTCTATTGAATTACATGCCATCTTTCCGCCTACCTTAGTTTTCTGCTATTTGACCACTATTTTTCAGTTTCTTTAAATGGCCCTTATTATTTTTGACTTCCCTTGGACATTGATACCTCCAAAGATACTAAACTTGATTCCCCTTCTATTTTTACTCTGTGTATAACCTTTATTGGAGAATCTTATGTACTACCATGGACGCCAATATAATCTTTATGTTAGGAACTCTAAAATCTATGGCTACAATCTATACCTTTTTTTTTTTTTTAAAGAAGAGATTTAGTTACCTATAAGACACCTCCAAGGGATGCTCTTTTTTAGGTTCAACTCAAACATTTTTACCTGAACTCATTGTCTCTCTTTCAAAACCCACTCCTATGTTTTAATTTGCTATTCAGTTTACAGCACAGACATTTTAGTGGTTGCCTGAGACAGAAACTTGGGAATAATCCTAAGTACTCTCTGTCATCAGCCTCCTTTCTGATTGGTAAGCAAGCCTTATCAACCCTTTTCACAACTATTGCACACATTTTTCATGATCACCACTGGTACTGTTCCTAAAACTTACTTTCTTTCTTTCTTCTTTCTTTTTTCTTTCTTTCTCTCTCTCTCTCTCTTCTTTCTTTCTTTCTTTTCTTTTTTTGAAGTGCTATAGTGCCATCACAGCTCACTGCAGCCTGGACCTCCTGGGTTCAGGTGATCCTCCCACCTCAGCCTCCTGAGTAGCTAGGACTATAGGCACATACCATCATGCCTGGCTAATGTTTTTTGTATTTTTTTAGATACCATGTTGCCCAGGCTAGTCTTGAACTCCTGGGCACAAGCGATCCTCCTGCCTCAGCTTCCCAGAGTGCTGGGATTAGAGGCATGAGCCACTGTTCCCAGCTGCAGATCTTGTCATTTCCCTTCAAACTACTGTGTTAATCTCTCAAGTGACTTTTGTATTCCCAAAGGTCCCCTTCTAATCCATCATCCATACACAGAAGGAGACTTCCTAAAATACAGGAATTATTCCCCAACTTCAAATTCATCCATAGTTTTTTAATGCTGATTGAAAAAAAAAGAGTCAGACACTATGTTAAATCAATAGACACATTAATAATATAAGTTTAAACGTATTTGTTTTCATACTTATTTCAAAGTCTCTTTTCTAGACTGTCAAGTTAAATGGTTAGTGACTCTAATGTACATGTCTGTATCCTCAGCACATCGCACAGAGCCTGAAGATAGTCGGTGTTGGTTCTGTTGAATAAATGGGATTGTTTCTGTTAAGTTGTATCTGATTGGGTTGGCCCCTTTGTTTTGTTCCACTAGTCATATTATTAAGCCTTTCATTGCTCTCTCTCTCCCAGTGTTTTGCATATTTGAGAAGGATGCCTCTCTATGTCTTCACTAAGGTATTAAATGGAAAAGATTGGGGATAAAGTTCTCTGCCATTGTACTCTGAGTAATAGCAGTAATCTGACAGTTTACTGGGTTGGAAGGTTTTTTTTCCAGGGGTGTATCAAACAGAGGGATTAAGAAGGAATCTGGGGACAAATTATGTTTGGGAAGGCAGGCAGAAACTGATGATAAACATTATCATAAAAGTGACAACACCAAATGCTGGTGAGGATGTAGACAAGCTGGATCACTCACACATTGCTGGTGTGAAAGTAAAACAGTACAGCTACTCTGGTAAAATAGTTTGACATTTTGTTAAAAAACTAAACATGCAACTACCATAAAACCCAGCAATTGTACTCTTGGGCATTTATCCCAGAGAAACAAAAACTTATATTTATGCAAAAACCTGTACACAAATGGTCATAACAATTTTATTTTAGTAGCCAAAAACTGGAAACAACACAGTTGTTCTTCAGTGGATGAATGGATAAATTTTGGACATCTTTGTAAAGAAATACTATTCAACAAAAAAGGAGAACAAACTATTTATATACACAGTAACCTGGATGCATCCTTAGAGAATTATGCTGAGTGAAAAAATGTCAAACCCCAAAGGTTAAATTTTGTATACTTTTATTTATGTAACATTCTCAAAATGACAAAATTATAGAAATAAAGAACAAATTTGTAATTTCCAGGGGTTAAGGAGACGATGGGGGCAGGAAGGAAGTGAGTGTGTTATATAAGAGCTGTATGAGAGATCCTTATGAGGACAGAAATATTCTGTGTTTTACCTGTATCAATGTCAGCATACTGGTTTTGATGTAGCAGCATAGTTTTGCAAGATACTACCATTGGAGGAAACTTGGTAGAAAATATGCTGGATTGCTCTGTATGATTTCTTAAAACTTCATGTGAATCTATAGTTATCTTAAAAAGTTTAAAAATTATTTTAAAGATCATCAGAATATAGAAATATATACATATAATTATCATATAATCATATGGAATATAATTAACATGTTATATATAATTATATACAACTATAATTATGTATAACTGTAGTTACATATATGCATATATGTAACTTTCATTCTCTTCATCCATAAATTCCACAAATTAGAGGAAACCACTGTTCACATTGATGTGCTTTTTTCAAGACATTTTCTAAATATTTACAAACATACATGAATGATACATTGCACATATGAATGACATATGCCTTATTTAAATTGTTATCTATGTGAATATTAATTTAATTTATATAATGTATATTATATTGTTTCTAATATCTAATTATATTTTTTGTTATTATAAAAAGTGCTATAGTGAGCATGCATATTTTGCATACATTTTTGTCTTTATGTCTTCAGAAAAACCTTGAAAGTGGAAATGCAAGGTCCAGAATTACATGGTGTCTAAAATTTTGATAACTAGTCACACATTTCAATGGGGAAGAACAGTTGGTATCTCAGGTGACTGAGGTCGGAGAAGTGCCATTTCCAAAGATGGGATTAGGGACCCAAGACAATGCCTAGGGTATGATTGTTCTCCCTAAGCTAGCTGTAAATCCCTTTTTATTATGTGCTGGAGGGTCAAGCCATGCAAGGTATGAATTATATGATTTCTTAGTTTCATGTCTAAGATAGGCAGTACAACCAGACAGGTAAGTACAATTTATTTGCTACATTATTTTTTATTTTAGAAAGCAACCAGATGAAGAGCTCGCAGGCTATTGAGGCAGATTAAAGACAGCAGAGGGCGCTCATTATTAGCAAAATCAAGGAAAACATTTGTGTATATATGCAAGGTAGATAATGAGAAATATCAGCACCTTCTATTGCATTAAATTTTTCACTGGGGATTCACAACTAAATGGCAACTACCTGATGCTCCCCCTTTCTAGTAACTACCTCTGACTTCATTTCAAGCATTGTTAAATGGTGCATTCTTTGTTCTGTCCTTAACTCTCTCATTATCAAATGAGAACTTGTTTTCTGATACTGACAATGACCATAATAACAGTGATAGCTATTGGTCATTCATTGTTTCCTCCATATATTTTCGATTCAGCAAATAATTATTGAATATTAGTTGCAGGATCTTTGCTGGACAGGAAGCATACAGTAATAAATTGTCATGACCCATATCTCCATAGATTTCACAGTGTAAAGGGAGAGATAGAAACCACACAAATAAACATGGGTAAAAGGATAATTATAAGTTATGATAATAACAATAAAGGAAAAGAATAGGATCCTAAGAAAGGTCACAGTGACAAGAGATTGCCTGTTTATTTTAGGTCATTTCTATGGACATGCCAAGTTGGGACTTGAGGTTGGAAGAACCCATCTTAACCAAATAATATTCTGTGTGGAAGGTACTAAGTGCATGAATATCCTGAGGATAAGGAGAACTTGGCTTCTTCAAAGAACTGAAACATCACCTGTGTTTCAGTGCACAGGTGGCAGCAGGAGCACAGGGACACAAGCCAAGGTCAAACCATGCATTAGGTGTCATGGTCATGGCCCTGTATTTATCCTAAGAGCCCAGAAAAGCCTTGGGAAATTTTGTATCCAATGTTCTCCATATACCTGAGTGGCAACACTGCATATGCAACCATATCCACTTGCATTAGTCAGACTCCTACGAGTCATTCCTGATACTTCCCTCTCCCTGACACGTCATGTAGAACTAATCACCATGTCCTGTCAACCTAATGTCTTAATATTCTCTTGAATCCTTCCACATGGTTCTGTCTGCATTGACCCTCCCTTGCTCAAGAGCTTTTGGCTGGCTTCTTGCTTTACTCTGGACCCCTCTGTCTAGCCTGCACAACAGCCAACTGATATTTTTAAAATGCAACAATGATCATATGTGTTCCAATGCTCAAAATCCTTTGGTGGCTTTCCATTGTTCTTGGATTTAAGAATAAAATCCTGACCATAACCTATGAGGTCCTGTAAGACTTACTTTCTTCCTTCTTATTTGCTTTCCAGCCACCTTGACGTTTCTTCATGGCTAGAGAACAGTATACCTAGCACAGGGCTTTTGCAAATGCCATTCACTCAACTATAAATGCCTCTTCTCCTTCATTGCCTTATGAATTTTGTCCTATTCAACCACTTTATTATTTCTCTTTTGAGATCTCAGCACATGTCTCCCTTCCTTAGGAACCTTCCTTCACCCAGTTGATACACATCTGTGACAGCTTCCAAGAGAACCATCTTCCTTCCTTCCCAAGCAAGTCTCTCAAAATGTAATTATAGGTTTATGTAGGATTATCTGATGATTTTTTGTATCTCCCACTTATTTGTGAGCTCCAAGATTGTTCAGTATTTAAATTGTGTGGTTTTGGGAGTATATGCATATGTTTAAATTCTTTAAGTGTATACTTTAAATGCATGCAGTTTTTGTACATCAGTTATAAGTTTAGAAAATTACTTATATGCTGTGAGTCCATAAAGTGTCCATTTGGGCCAATAAGGGAGTGGCTACATTTTGAAGGCTTTTTCACAATGTCCATTAGCATTTTTTAAAATGCCCTTTGATCTTGCAATTCAATTTTTGAAAACCTTTTATAAAAACATTAAATAAAAATATTTATATATAAATATTAGTGCATGTGCTTATACATATAAGCTTGTTTATTGCAGAATCCTTTGAAAAGCTGAAAAAATAGAAATGATATGAAAGTCTATCAATAGGGAAATAATGAGATATTGAATAGCTTTTTAAAGATTTCTATCTGTTTACCTAAACTAAATGCCATGAGAAATTATTCAGTGACAGTCAAGCTGCAGAGTAAAGCACTCACCCAAACCCCACTCTACATGTGAATATGTTTGGATATGTTTGAACAGTCAGGGACAACAGCAACAATATTGGTTGCTGATATGGCTGGTTTGGGAATAATCGGATTAGTGTGGGAGATTGTTAACTTTTAGAAGTATATACACATTTCCATATTCCCCTCATTTTTCCCTCTCACATGGTAACATATGCCACTTTAATAATTTTTGGATCTAAATTTTGAAGAAAACATTCTGTCAATTAGTACATATTAAAAAGTAATTCCTCTCACCTAGGTAATGGGTTGATAGATACAGCAAACCACCATGGCACACGTTTATCTATGTAACAAACCTGCATGTCCTGCACATGTATCCCAGAACATAAAATAAAATTAATTTTCTTAAAAAGAAAGTAATTCCTCTCACTCTCAAAATAAATACAAAAGGAAATCAGTCACACAGACTTTTGTTCGAGTTTGGCTCCAGCGTTACTCAACTGGGTGATCTTGTCAGATTCTCAATTGCATCATTTCAAAAGGGAATAATCATATCTAATTTTTGTACTAAGTATGAGGATTCAATGAGGTAGCATTTATGCAGGACCAAGCATGGAAGGTATCCTAATGAAATCTGTTTCTTAATAAAGGTAGGTAAGTTTGAAGGATTATAAGGCTATCCTTGAATGTCAAGCATTGCCATAGTCTGAGTTTTGGTTTAAGCTTTCTTCTGTGGTTGAAATGCCCTTCCTTCTCCTTCTCCATGTCTTCAAATCCTTTATCATTCATCAAGTCATGGATCAAATATTATTACATCAGAGAAATCTTTCCGGATTTCCGAGGGAGCATGAATGGTTCTTTGTGCTGGTTCCCATGTTCCCATGTCCGTGCCTCTGTTATGCTGCACCGTGTTGAGTATGTTTAGTTGGTTATGCACGCATATCTTCTGCATCAAGACTGTGAGGCACTTGAAAGCAAAAATCATGAGATATTCAACTGTGTACCCTTACTATCTTGCCCTTGGGTAGAAGCTCTATCATTTAAATTTCTTCACTTTTTGCAAAATACAAGAAACATTTACAGAACAGCTGCTCTCTGCTAGACACTGTTCTAATTGCTCATGATTGCACCAGAAACATTGAACAAAAAAGGCCAAATTCTTGCCTCGTGGAGATTACATTTTAATGAAGGTAGGCAGAAAAAGGAATGAAATAAATAAAGTTTTAACATTGTGTTAAAAGACATATATTAAAAAATATATATCCATAGGAGGAAAAATTAAGCAGCCAAAGAATATAGACGTATTAGGGCAGAAGATGCAGTTTTAAATAAAATGATCAATGAAGGCTTCACTGAGAAGGTGATATTTAGTACAAGACCTTAAGAAATGAAGGAGCAAGCCATGTGGCCACCTCGCGAAAGAGTAATTTAGGCACAGGGAAGAGGAAATGTAAGGCCCTATAAAAAGAACATACTTGGACTATTTAAAGACTGACAAGGATCCCAATATGGCTGGAGTGAAAAGAGAAAGCTAATGAGTAGGAGAAAGGAAGGGAAGTGAATAACTCAGGTAGGATCTTTGCCACATTGTAAAGAAATTTTTAAATGAAGTGTTTGTTTCAAATGAGATGGGAAATGGCAGAAGGAATTAATCTGAATTGAATTTTATTTAAATAGAATTACTCTATCTACTCAGCATTTCTGTAAAAAGTCAAGCATAAATTCCCTCAAGCACTTGAGTCATGATAGAAAGTTTGGGATTTGGGACAGAATAGTGATGATGTAGATTGTGTCCTCAGCATGTCACAGGGGAATTCTCTGCTGGGAGTTAGACACACTTGGCTGGAGCTCCCATGTAGCCTCTACCAATTTTGGTATCTTAGGCATGATACCAATCAGCCTCCTGAGCCTCAGTTTCTTCACCTGTCATATGCAGAAAACAATACCTCCCTAATTCACTTCAATCGCATTGCAGTTATGAGATTACAAGGAGATGATACTGGGAAAGAGTCCCAAAAGAAAAATTCTATGCAGATGAAAGAGATTCTTGATCTTTAAGAACAGGTGTACCTGCTGGCTGAAGACATGGGTCTTATTGGAGGGTAGGGGAAGAAGGCAATGAAGGGGAGGAAGAGGAAACACACATTGTAAAGCAGTTGGGAAATCTTCAAAATCTCTATAGATCGTTGGAGATCTTTGTCAGCGACCCGTTAGGAATTTACCAAATCTTGTATTGATATGGCACTTTCCCAACCCTCAACATGAAAAAGTGATTTCAAAATGTACAATAGACAGGTGAAGATAAAGGCAGGAAAGTTCTGGTAGAGTATGTTTCTCACATATAAGTAGTGTATTAATTAATATAGTTGTAGTAAATATGTTATCTAGGCACAAATCAGTGAGTCAACATTGGAAAAGAGATTTTGCAGCCACATTTGATGGGGAGAAGCAGTTTGTGTGCCAGATACTGAATATAATAGACATTCTAAGTAATTTAGTTAAGTGGGATGTGATATTTGAAATTGACACAATCCCTAGAAAATGCAGAGTGTGAGTTGTCTGAATTTATTGTAGAAAGTAACATGCATTTTTCAACATTTAGTAGGAATTCACTCTTGGTTTATCTACCTGTATTATTAAAATTATTTGTGCTGCATGCACACCTCTTCTGGCTAAGTAAAAACAGGAAGACAGACAAACAAAACATTTATTAAACATACATTTGAGTTACTTTCAGAGTTTATGTGTTTGGGAAGGACAAAACCCAAGATAGCTTTTGAGAACTCAGTAGAAGCACATAGAAACTTTATTCTAGATTAGAGCACTGCTTTAACTGGCATCTTGCTCTATAATAAGATTTCAGTCTTGTCTTACTGTCCACAGTAAACAATTCTGGGAGATTACTGTATTTCTAGCTCTGCTATGTCACATTTTACTTCTGGTAAGTGGGCAAGAACCATAGCCATGGCTGCAGAGGATCCACCTCTGTGTAATAAGGTGGTGGCACGAAAGGCCTGCAACTAAACATTTCAATGACTCTTCCATCCCTGACACTGCTATTTTATGAGAAAAATAGTGACTCTGTGGGAAGGCAATGATTTTATTAATTTTAAAAAGGTCAGTTTTTAAGTTTACTAGCATAGGAGAGTGGGCTCAGATAGTTTTAAAATACTTTCTAAAAAAGATGTGTAAAACTTTTAACTCTGAAATTGCATACATTTTTAGGAGTTGAGAGCTTGTTTTGAGGTCAGGTTTTAATCCTCTTTCTGTCACTTATTGGCTCTGTGAATTCGAACTTGCTACATTATCTGGGCTTTAGTCCTCTTATTTTGAACCATTCTTTGGTTATCCTGTTGAATATATAAATATATAAATATTCACCAAGAGATATATATTTGCATCATTAAAACTTTAAACATGGCCAGAAAAAATTACTAATAGCAACACAAATCCTCTCCATCAACTATGTGATCCCAAAGCGCCATATTTATTCTAACTTTCTAAAAGCAAAAATGCAGTCAGGGTGTTCAAAATGAGTTCTGTTTGGTTGAAGCCAGAGCCTGAATCCTGAGAACTCGTTGGGAGTTGCTTTGAGGGCTCTGTCCTGGAGGACTTGTGGAGCCAAACTGGAAAAGCAGGATTTGGCTGCTCTTGGATTGTCCAGGAGCCACATGGGTGTGTCCTTTGAAACACAAGCCAAAGAGAGGAAAACAATTACCAAGTAGAGCTGGTTTAAGACGTTAAATAAACCAAATAACTTTTAACCTTTCCCTTAAAATTTTTATGCTTCTGCACTTTAAAATAGAAGAGGTTTCATAATAAAATCAACTATAATACATTCTTGAGGAAATGAGCAACAAAAACAACAAAGCAAAAATTCAGAGTATATAAAGAAAGAATCAGAAACAAGAATGAAGGGAGAATGTACATTGAATAAACTCCTAAGGATAAGTTGAGTCACCAGTTTCACTGAGTTTCTGGATAGATAGGTGATGAAAAAGAAAAAAACTAAGTCACATAAATCTTTTTTTTTTTTTTTTTTTTGAGACAGAGTCCCTCTCTGTTGCCCAGGCTGGAGTGCAGTGGCTGTGATCCTGGCTCACTGCAGCTTCTGCCTCCCAGGTTCAAGCGATTCTTCTGCCTCAGCCTCCCGAGTAGCTGGGACTACAGGCACCCGCTACCACACCTGGCTAATTTTTTGTATTTTTAGTAGAGACAGGGTTTCACAGTTTTAGCCAGAATGGTCTCGATCTCCTGATCTCATGATTTGCCTGCCTCAGCCTCCCAAAGTGCTGGGATTACGAGCCACAGTTTCGCTCTTGTTGCCCTGGCTGGAGTGCAGTGGCTTGATCTTGGTTTACCACAACCTCTGCCTCCCTGGTTCAAGCGATTCTCCTGCCTCAGCCTCATGAGTAGCTGGGATTACTGGCATGTGCCACCATGCCCGGCTAATTTTGTATTTTTAGTAGAGACAGTGTTTCTCCATGTTGGTCAGGCTGGTTTCCACCTCCCGACCTCAGGTGATCTGCCCGCTCGGCCTCCCAAAGCGCTGGGATTTGGTAGGCACCTGTAATGGCATGAGGCACTATGCCCAGCCATCACATAAATCTTATAAGCAGAAAAGAGGAATCTGACTTTAGGGAAGGCATATTTTTTTTTTTTTTGCCTGATTTCTAAAAGAAAAATTTTCCATAAGACTTCATGAAAACGTAATCAAGTGACATTGTGGCCACGGGCAATTTTGCTTATCAGGTGCACTGGAATTTCCTGTCTGACTTACTTATTCCTAGATCCC
Source organism: Homo sapiens (assembly GCF_000001405.40). Classification (NCBI taxonomy): domain Eukaryota; kingdom Metazoa; phylum Chordata; class Mammalia; order Primates; family Hominidae; genus Homo; species Homo sapiens. The sequence goes on from NC_000005.10 coordinate 147,894,053, forward strand.
TCCCTAGGAAGTTCTGACTGAGCAAGTCTAAGCATAAAAGTCTAGTGTGTCCTATAGTACATTTTGCCTTAATCCAAAACACTTGTATAAAAATTAAGAATTCATAAAGTGACTTTCTATCCATTACCTCTTTTGATAATTTTAGTAATCTAGTGAGGTTTGTCCAAATTTGTTTTTAAGCAGGAAAGAAAATTTATACTTAAAATATCAAATGACTTAAGACACAAAAAAAGATGACTTGAATTCATATGGTTTTAAACAATGCAGGACAAATGGAGTTAAAATTTTAATTTTATTGAAAATATTAAAGCCAGTAAAAATCATGCCAATGTTGTTCAGTAGAGGCTGAGAGGTTCTCAGATGAACCAGGTATTCGGTTATTGGATATTTTTCCAAATACTGTACCTCTCTCTACTCATCATATCAGGTTGTGTGTAGAATCTCTTCTCTCAGAGTTCACCTTATTTGTAGAGCATTCATAATGCTTATCCCCTCCTCCAGATATTCCTTCTTATCTTTTCCAAGGCATTCCCAAGGCCCCTTTATGCATAACTTTATCATTTCCTTCCACAGTTATGAGATACACAGAGCTATGTGATTGCTGAGTCCATAAACTTCTCAACAGCCAGCTAGTTATTCATTTTGGTAGCATTGGCTGATTGATATAGTAGGTATGGATTAAAGAAGCATTAAAGAAATGTGTAAAAAAAAAAAAAAGGGAGGGATCGGCCGGGAATGGTGGCTCACACCTGTAATTCCAGCATTTTGGGAGGCCGAAGGGGGGTGAATCACTGTCAGGAGTTCAAGACCATCATGGCCAACATGGTGAAACCTCATTTCTACTAAAGGAAAATACAAAAATTAGCCGGGTGTGGTGATGCACACCTGTAGTCCCAGCTACTCGGGAGGCTGAGTCAGGAGAATCACTTGAACCCAGGAGGCAGAGGTTGCAGTGAGCCGAGATGGCACCACTGCACTCCAACCTGGGTGACAGAGTGAGACTCTGTCTCAAAAAAAAAAAAATCAATGTTAATAAGAGAAACATAAGATCTATCTATCCAACTACCTATCTTAATTTAGGAAATTCTGGCTGCATGCCATGTCTCATGCCTATAATCGGAACAGTTTAGGAGGCTGAGGTGGGCATCCAAGTGATCACTTAGATCACTTGAGGCCAGGAGTTCAACACCAGCCTGGGCAGCATGGTGAAACCCTGTCTCTACTAAGAATACAAAAATTAGTCTCTCCCTTAGTTGCTTCCTTCTCCCTAGTTTAATGTTTTTTATATTACAACCCTAGATTGAGCCATTCCTCCCTGCTCATCAGGGCATCTTAGGTTGGTTCATGCATCAATTCCAAGTTTTTCATGTGCAGTTAAAAAATTTATGGCATTAAGATTCCCTATGTTTTAAAAATTCATAAGGAGAAAAGTGGGGCTCAGGCAGGTAAAGTGGCCTGACCACGGTTACATAACCATTAAGTGGCTGATTTAGAAGTTGAATTTACATCTTGTCTATGTCTTCTGTTCTTTCTGCTCCTCCATGTGGCCTTGCCTATTAGACTACATCATAGACCAGACCTGTAGGATGTACTCCAAGGATTTGGGGTGTGGGTACCAAAAATTATAGGTGTGTACCAGAAGCCGGAATGAAGGCAAAGTATTAGGACACCTGCAAGAAGAGGCAGGCTGTTCTCTGAGAAGATGGGAATGAAGACATACAAACATAAGTGACTGAGTTTAAAAGCTTAATTGGCCTTAGGGTAAGAGTCAGGAGTGTCGGGGTTGGGCATGTTTTGATTTCAATGCCCAAGCCTGATTCTCATCCTTAGAAGCACATGGGAAAGGGTGGGCTAAGTTCCGGGGGAATATGATAGTAGCTTTCTGAACTTACATTAATCACACCCAGGTTATGAAATGGAGCCAATGGGGAAAAGGAGCATTTCCAGACCAGATCACAAACAGAAGTTGGGAAAGGCCATGCTTCCTGAATATGCAGATAAAGTAACTCAACTAAGCAAAGGGGTGGTGTTGTATTTCTATGAACATCTTGAGGTATGACTTAGATTACTTAGCTTAATCATTATTCTCCACTGCCTTCTCCTATACTATTCTGCTCTGTTTCCAGTAGCACTATGGCTTAGAGATACAGCACAGGCCTTGGAATCAGGCTGCTTAAATTCAAATTGTGTCTTCATCCTTTATCAATATAGCCACATTAGCAAACCTCCCTGAACCTTCATTTCCTTATTTATAAAATTTAAGAATAATAATATCTATTTTGCATAGTGATTATGAATTAAATACTACAAGCCCTTAGTCATTAATCACTTAGCTTAATGCCTAAAACAGAGTAAGAACACAGTTCATACCAGCTACTAATATTACTACTTTTCCAGATCTAACACTTTTGTTTTCGTATTTCAATATGCATTTTCAGGAGAGACCCGAGTAGGGAAAAAGCAAGTATTTCTGAGCACTCAAACTATATTGTTTGCCCATATATCTAACTGCGTGAGATAGAAAGTTTGTTATCCTTTCTCTCTGAATTAGGTTCAGCAAATTTCACTCTTCTTATGAGTAACTAACTGCATGATTACGTGGGTCCTTAGATTGCTAGTGCGTGCTAGCCCCTCATTTCACAGGCTGAACTTGTACAAAGCAAGTTCCTAGCAGATTTGTGACAGGAATCAGGTCTCCAAACTTGCCATCCTTATTCACTTCATCTCACAGCTCTACCTCCTCTCTTAAGAAAATTTTATTATTAGAAACTTGTACATGAAAAAAATATATTCATTTATTTTTTTAAAATGTACTTTTTCTGCTTGTAGGTAGACATGGGTAACCAAAATTATTAAATAAAACTGGACAGACTCTTTTTCCTTTGTCCAATACACTGTTATTTCAGTTGTAAATTTTAAGTGAAAAATCACCTGAGGATGTCACTTTGATGAATGTTTTCCTTCATTATCATCAAATTCCATAAATCCTCTTGAGAAAAAAAGAGAAAATAAGAATTACAATTGAGACTGAACAGGAGTGTTAGAATGATCACTAAGGCGCTGTATAATGTTTGAGCCACACTGTTCTTCTCTAGATTTTTCTATGTCAGAAAGAAATAAGACCTAAAATTTCTACATAGTTCATAGTGGGCAAGTAATTTATGCATAATTATCTTTTTTGCATCTGCCAACAAACCCATTAGTTAGGTATCTATTCACACATAAACTCCATAAAGTCATATATTTTGGTATATTTTTCCAGTAATATATCCCCAGCACTTAGAACAGTGCATGGCAAATAGTAGAAATTAATAAATATTTGTTGAATGCATCTTTATTATCTCTTTTTATGTGTGAGAAAACCTTTGAAGCTTAAAGATTAAACAACCTGTCCAAAGCACATGGCTGGTAAGTTACAAAGAAAATTTAAAAATTTGGCTCTCCAGAGTCATTACTAAATGCTAGAAACATTATGCCCTATGGCTTAAGGACTGGGTACCAGGGTATCTGCTGAGATCGTAAAAGATAACTAAAATATGGTTTGTGAATTGCAGTCTAGTGGAGAAAACAGACAACTCAGATACAAGTAATTTAATACAATGTGGGGATAAAAGTTGTTATGAAGATTTCTGCAAAGGATTATGAAATCCCTGAATATGAAAAACTGAAATTTCTGATGTTAAGTGTCTATGACTTTTTTACAGAGTTTGTTTTTGAATTGGGCTTTAGAAAATGATTAGACTTGCCAAGTGAACAGAGTGGGGTTTTGGCTTTGGGGCTAGGCATTTTCAGCAGAGGGAAAAATCACACGCACAGATATTGGGGGTTTATACAAACATGACCTGCTTTAAAATGAAACTCATTAGTCATTGGGGCTTCAGGTTGCAGAGGTGAGAAATGTGACTGAAAGATACATTGGCATCAGAGAAGGACATTTGACATCAGCCTAATGCATTTGCTTGAATTTTGGAGGCAATGGAAATTCATGAAAAACTTTCAAGCATGGCAGTGATATGACCAAATTTAAATTTTTTTGATATAAAGTTCTGGTAGTAGGTAGAAGATGAATTGATGAGACAGAAGGTGGAACTTATTAGAAATCCAATAAAAAGAGAGACAGAGAAAAGTGAAACTTATTAGAAATCCAATAAAAGGAACTTGGGAAAGAGATGATAAAGGACTCAACTTGACCAACTAGTCAGTGGAGCTGAGGAAGAGAAATGTATATAGGGTGCATATACATATACCCGAGGAAGGTATATAGGGTAGAATATTCAGCAATTCGATGAAGGTGATGATGAGCAGGAAGGATTTGAGAAGATCCTTAGATTTCTGGATTCTGGGTGGATGATGATGTGACTTAATGAGATATGGAGGAAGGTTTTGAGTGAGATGATGGGCTTGGGTTTAGACCAGTGGAATTTGAAATAGTGGTAGAAAAACGATGGAATTTTGTAGCAAGCAATCAGTTATTCCATCTGGAGCTCAGGAAAAAATTGCAACAGAAATGTGAATTTGAAACTCATTAGATTATAGGCAGTGTTCCCAATGTGTAAACTGCAATGTGAAGAACCAAGCACGTTTGGAATTCTGAGGAACAATGACATTTGGAGGGCAGGTGCATGAAGAAAAGTCAAATAAAAAGAATGAGAAAGAATGGCTAGTGGTAGAGAGAGAACCAGGAAAATACATCATGGAACCCAGAGGGGAAAATATTCCCTAGAATTAAGGGCTCTCAAAGGGTGAGAGGAGTTAAGAATATGTATATTTTTCAGAAAAATGATGAGCAAAATGCAGTCTAGGTAGCTCCAAGCTGATCCAAAAGCAAGTGGAGAGAACAATCCAGTCTATTCATTGTTTCAAATGCATGTCTCTAGCATTTACTATGCATCTGACACACCACTTAGGCATCAGACATATTGGAGTAAATAAAGTAAAATTCCCACCTTTATGAATCATTGTTATTCCTCTCATTCTCTCTTCCAAATCAAATATTGTTTAGTCATTCAAGGCCCAAATTACATCTTGCTTTTGCCATAAACACTTCCCTAAGCACACTGGACCCATTGAGAACTCCTTTCGCTGGAAACTGCCTGTGATCTTTGGCTGACATTTATCTTGCTACTCATTTTTATTTATGGCATTGTGCATTGGCTTAAGTAATTTTACCATAAGGACTGCAAATTATTTGAGGAGAAGGGATTAAGAGCCTAGACTATTCCTTCACAATCCGTGTCCCTGCTTTGTACATGTTAAGTGCTTAGCAATACTTTCTGACGTCTCCTCCTATCCTCCACCCCCTATTTTGCTTATGGTCTTCCCTTGAGCAGGGAGTTATGGGTATGTTTTAGATCCTGGCTCTACCACCCGCAGATTTATCTCTTGAGCAGATATTGCTGTGTCTTTGAGCAAAGATCCTTCAGGATTTCTCAGTCAAATTGAGGTAGATGGGCTTTAGGTCTGATCTGCAAGATATCTTTCCTTAATTAATTAATTCAAGTGCCTGACACTATATGCCATGTACTGTGCTCTTGCAACCAGTCAGGTGATTTGGTCTCTACTTTCACTTAGCTACTTGATTAAAAATAAATAAGTCATTTCGGATGGTAACAAATATTATGACACTGTAACAAGGTAAAGTGATAGAGAATAACAGGCAGTGGGAATGGAAGAAGACAGTATTAACAAGAATGGTCATAGAATAGTTTCTGAGGAAGTGACTTTTAGATTAGCTGTAAGCTCAAGAACTAGTCATTAGAAAAGGAGAGTATTTTAGTAAGGAGGGAGAGCAAGGGAAGAGAGCCTGAGATGGTAATAATTTCTAGCAACAGAAAGAAGGTCATTTACTCAGAATGTAATGAGGGAAAGGGAAACCAGTAGATGAAGGGCCATTTCTGAGCCTAGAGCGGACAGCAATTCTTTAGCATATCAGAGAGTCGACTCTTATGGTTAACACAGAGAAAAATGTCCTATTTTATACTTGGAAAATTCCCTAGGGAAGGAATGAAAAGAACTCTTAGTGTTCTAACTCCTTGTTTTGCTGTGTGGATGTAACAATACTAATTCAACTGGAGTCTAATCTTTAGTTTGTATGTAATGGGTGGTGCTCCTATTGTCGGCCTATGACTTTCCTTCTTGTTTACATTAACAGTCTTGGAAAAATAACAGTTGCAAAAGCAACCACAGTAGGAAATGTAACAATTAAAAAAAAGCACCTGTGAGTTTTAACAATTTGTGGAGAAGGATTGCCTGTAGAACACTGCCCAATCAGATGACAATCTATCCCTTTAAGCAGATCAGAGATTACAAAACCCCTGATTACTCCTACATGGAAGTGGTTCTTAATCTGCTATTGGTTAAAGACCCCTTTGAAAATCTAATAGAAGTCATGAACACTTTCCCCGGGAAAATGCAAAAATAAATAAATAAATAAATCACACTGACACAAAATATTAATAAAAATGTAAAGGTTTTGTGGATCTTTAAGGCCCATCCATGCAACCCAGAACATCTGATCAAGGCATGGCTTTTGAAAATTTCTGTATATCAGAATTACCTGAAAAGCTTGTTGAAAACCATATCCATGGCCTTGTCCCCAGAAAGATGCAAAATGGGATGCAGAAATCTGCATTTTTAAAAATAAATTCCCCCAAGGGATTCTGTATCAGGTGGGTATACCACACCTAGTCAAACTCTGCTTAAGGATCTATATGGGAGAAAATTAGAGAGCAGAGGCTTAGAGCAGTGGAAATTGAAAGCACCTGGAAATTTGGAAGAGTGAATTTCATCTTGGAGAACTGAAATTTGGGAGATTAATATGGGGAGAATAAAGCATACAGTGTAGTAGTGTCAAATCAAAACTATGTAGGCAAAAATAATATGTATTGGGAATTAGACACAGGCTTGGAAGCAGGCTGAGAACATTGGGAAGACTCTGGGATTGGTGATCTGCCCGAAGGCAGTCTCTCATGATGAAAACCAACACTCATGTTGAGAGGTTCTCTAGATTGTCTTTAAAGAGAGGTTATCTACTGTCTCTGCTAACCTTCTTGAGCTACTCAAGCTAGAAAATATAGGCAGGACTCCTCACACCCATCACTAACGAACATATCACTACCTCTTACCTTCATCACGTAATCACAGTGCTTACAAGGGGCGGGCCATCTATTATTTTAACTTCACAGTTAAAATATGAGCAAATAGAGGCCTTCAGAGTGGGAGGGCCTTGTTCAAGACCACCTAGTAAAATAGCAACTGAGTTAGGATCAGAACTTGGCTTTTTGTTCCTTAGTCTAGTGTTCTTCCTCCTCCCTATTTGCTCCTGAGATTAAAAAGAAAAAAAAAAAAAAATCCTGTATGGAACCACTTGATGGGAATGTCCTTTCCCCCAAAAAGCTCAGGGCAGTTGATTCAGATGCAAAATATATTTTAAGTAGGGCAACATTTTTCAATGAAAAATAACACATTTACTTATGCCACAAATTTTGTTTCTCATGTATTTTAATGCCATGAGGTCATTGTGTGGTCATTATCAACAGAGAATTGGACAAAAAGCAACGTTTTTCTCAGTGCTTACGTGCTCCTGGACATGGAGCGGAGGATGAACTCGACTGCATTCTCAATGATCTCTGTGCCCAGGAGGCTTAGGAATTTGGGGAAGTCTGGCTTTGGGTCTTTGCCCGAGTCGTCTGGCTTGTCGTCTGGCTTGTCTGGTTTGTCGTCTGAAAAACAACAGAATCTCAGAGGTGATTCTCAGCAACAAAGAAGGAATCATTCTTTCTGTGTGGGGAACGCTTGGGATTCTTTCTGACCCACTCACAAATTTCATAGCCTTATATGGTTATATTCATCGAACATTTAATGCCTGTCTGGATAAAATCTTCACATGCATTGTCTCATTTATTTGTAAAAACAAACAAATAGACCGACTGATATTGATACTTAGGTAGACACTGGCACCGCCTGGTGAGTGAGAAAACCAAAGTTCCCAGAAGCTAAGTACTTATCTCAGAGTTAAGCAGCCAGTAAGTGCCAGTGCCAGGACTGACATACAGAATGTCTGTTTTTCCATATGATCTCCATGCCCATGGTAATAATAATATTAAAGATAAATTATCAACTGGGTGAGGTGGCTCATGCCTGTAATCCCAGCACTTTGGGAGGGTGAGATGGGAGAATTGCTTGAGGCCAGAAGTTTGAGACCAGCCTGGGTAACATAGTGAGACTTCCATCTCTACAAAAAGTAAAAAGTAGCCAGGTGTGATGGTGCACACCTGTAATCCCAGCTACTTGGGAGGCTGAGGCAGGAGGATCTCTTGAGCCCAGAAGATAGGGGCTGTAGTGAGCCATGATCGTTCCACTGCACTCCAAGCCTGGGTGACAAAGTGAGACCCTGTCTCTGAGAAATAAAATAAATAAATAAAAATGAAATATCAATGGGTAACATTTGTTGAATACATGCCTATGACGATCTACATGGATTGTCTTATTTTATCCTCATAGCAATTCTACAAGGTAGGAACAATTATCCCAATTTAAAGGTAAAGTAATATAATTTGAGAGATGTTTAGAAACTGGTTGAAAGTCACATAGTTAGTAAGTGGCAGAAATACAATTCAAACCCATGTCAGTTTGGCATTAAAATTTGGATTCTAAAGTACTCTATGATGAGCTGCACAGTCTTTGATGGAAAAGTTATGCAATTTGCACTTCTTTTAGAAGATTCAAAATAGTATAACAATAATGATGACAAAGCAATTCTATCCCTTGCATATCACCTAGTAGTTTCATAAATAGTGATTTTACAAATGTTGTGTAATTTTATCCCCTGAGCAATCTTACAGAGTATGCATTTTTTAGCTCACTGAACTGAAAAGTGAAAGGATTAAGAGGCTTACAGAAGACCTCATAGACAGTAAGAAAAATGCTAAGATGATAACTGCAGGCCTCTTAACACTAGATTCTTAAGGGCCCATTGGAATGAGGGCCAAGGATCCAGAGTGAGGTTGATTATATTCAAGGTCCCTTGGGGGCTTTTTGACTTTGCTTGATTGTCTTTATTCCCAGGAGATGAGAAGAGATGGAAGAGTGACAGTAGCTACATGTGGTCGCCCCTCTGAGCCCTGGTCACAGGATAAAGTGGGACCTTTATTTTTTAATTGTATTGTACCCTGACAAGTAATGTTACCAGACTGGGTACATAAAAATACAGGATGCCTAGTTAAATTTAAATTTCAGATAAACAACAAATGCTTTTCTGGTACTATAAAAAAGATCCATGCAATAATTAGGACACCCTGATGCTGAAAGATTATTCATTGCATATCAGAAATCCAAATCTAACTGTGTTTCTCGTAGTTTATCTAGCAACCTCAGCACAAGTTTTAACTCAAGAAGTCCCAACTTCTAGACAATGTACCCCTGACTTTGGATAAAGGAGATGTAACTACCTTTTGTGTGGAGGCTGCCAAATTATGTCAGAAACTTTACATCTATATTATATCCTAAAATGGAAACTATTAGTAAAAAAGATTGGCAGGCAATTCTATGAGCATTTATTGTTTACTATGACACAACTAAAGATTTGATAGAAGCACCAGTTTGGGACATATAACCAAAATCAATATACTAATCATCACCTATTCATATATCCAATGATTGGTTCCTTCATTCAAAAAGTATTTTTGGGCCTACTTTTTTAATGTTTTATTTTTGAAACAGGGCTTCACTCTCTCGTCCAGGCTGAAGGGCAGTGAAGTGATTACAGCTCACTGCAGGCTCAACGTCCTGGGCTCAAGACATCCTCCCACCTCAGCCTCCTGAGTAGCAGGGACGACAGGCATATGCCACCACAGCTGGCTAATTCTTGTATTTTGTGTAGAGACGGGGTTTCGCCATATTGCCCAGGCTGGTCTCGAACTCCTGGGCTTGAGTGATCTGCCCACGTCGGCCTCCTGAAGTGCTGGGGTCACAGGTGTGAGCCATCCTGCCTGGCCTGAGCCTACTATTATGTGCATAGTTATGCTAAGAGTCAAGGTAAAAAAAAAAAAAGACAACTGTAGATATGACCTTCACATAAAGTGCTGGGCAACCCAGGTACTCAGAAGGATTGGTTTGTTTTTATTGTGGGAAGGAGGCGGAAGCGGAACTCATGTGTAAGGTGCCTATCGTGCAGGTACTCCATCAGTGCTTTCAGCACATGCCTTAATCGTCATTTAGCTCAGCAGTGGTATCACAGTTACAGCAGAGAAGACAGATGCTCAGGAAAATTAAATGACTCACCTGAAATCACTCATCTAGAAAGTGGCTGACCCAGGGTTTGAACCTAATTTTTTTTAACTCCACAAAGCACATTATTCACATTGTATAATACAACCTCCAAACAATTGTTCTGTAAAGACATTTGCCAAATGCAAAGCAGTAATTTCTTGCATGAAAGATGAGATTTTTTCTCCTGTGTTTCTATCTGGCTACTTGCATAATAAATTCTATTGACTTGTTATTTTAATATGACACTAAAACCTGGCTTTTCAAGATGCAAGAAGCCTGGGATTGGAGTGGGCGGAAATCAAAATCTTGGCCTTAGCTTGTGAACCCCATATATATTGAGAGGTATTAAAGTGTGATGGATTGCATGCTCTGGAGTTTTATAGATCTGTCTGATTCCTGCCTTTAACAAAAAATTAGCCATGTAAACTTGCACACAGTGCTTAACTTTGCATCTCTCAGTTTCCTCATATGTTGTCAGGATTGAAAGATATTTTATATATTATATATCTATATATATATACACACACATACATATATCTATATTATATATACATACATATATCATATATATACCACTTATCGTAGTACCAATCCCAAGATAAACTTACCTTATATAAATAAATAATAAATGAAAGAATGAATAAATAAATGTTATCTGTTTTATTGTTACTATTAATAATAATAGCAGCAAAATGATTTATAATTCACTTTCTCCTCTAGTGCTTTAGAAGATAATATAAATTTTAAAAATGCTATTAAAATATTAAACGATTGATATCCTAGAAACAATCTTCAAAGTCAATAGTTTAATATTTTCTTTTTTCAAGTATTATATGGGATAGCCTTTATTTACAGTAACTACTTTGTTGAGTTTCTTAGTGAATGTGAATATAATGTTCTTAATAAACAGTATTGCTGATATTTGTAGAGTTTTAATAGTTTACAAAGTAATTAAAAAGCATATTCATTTGACCTGGTGAAGTTGATAGTTATCCCGTTTTACAGATAAAGAAACTGAGGTTCAAAGCAGTGAACGATTTAACCAGTTTCAGAGTTTATAAGAGACAGGGTGGTGCCTGGTCTTGGTATCAAATCTCTCCTTTCACTTCACTGTAGTGATTTCTTTAGGAGTAGAATGGACTGAATAATATCCGTGGCCATGTCTAGAGTAATTCTGTTGTAATGTCTGTCTGTGTGTTCTTCAGCCAAGTTACATTCAAAGGATTCTGTCACTAAATGTTTGCACTCCCTCTGTTTTCTGGTCTATCATTCTGAATGGAGCTCACAGACTTTTGCAGACAAACAGTAAATTAATTAATGAGAAGGCAGCATACAGCATGAGCTTCTATGTGCTTGGAAAAGGTGGGAAAGAAATAGTTGCTCGATAATAGTAGAAAGAATCTAGGAACCTAGGTTTCACTCCCAGATGCCACTTTCACCTGTATGTATGCTCAAGTAACTTGCCCTCTGCAACCTGTTTATTAACCTGCAAAAAGGAAAATGATAAAACTGTACATGTTTACATCATTGGATTACTATGAGAACCAAATGAGATTATACATGACAACAATAGCAGGTAGTATTTATTGCATGCTTACTATCAACCAGGTACCCTTCCAATTTGTTTCATTCCTTTTATTTAATTTTCATGATAACTTTACGAGAAAGTTAAATGTCCCCATTTATATGTGAGGCCTAGAGAGATTGAATAGCATTCCTAAAGTCACATTTCTGGTTAGTGGTAGAGCCAGGTACAGGAGTTTTATTCCAGAGTACATATTCTTCACCAATGAACATTATTAGGAATAATTATCAAAAAATAAATGCCAGTCAGCTCCCATGGAATTTATACTAGAATAGTGTCATTATATCATAAGAGCACATAAAAAAATTTCAAACTTCATACATCCACTGAAAATAGAGGCTAGGTTTTTATTAAAATTCTACTTTCTTTGTGTTAGAAGATACACCTCTTGTCTCCCAGGCCAGTGCTCTTTCTGGAGTGCCCAAAGACCCCTTCTTTCTTTTATGTTCTGAATCAGTGCCATCAGCTTTCTCTAGTCACTGCTAACTACTGAACAATTCATGGGCTGTGATCAGAAGCACTTACCTGCATAGCAGGTCAGGAATAAGACAAGCAGTCCCAGGACAACTGTCAGGCGAAGTACTGAGACAGCCATTCTGGTAGCACGGGGTATTCGTGCAGATAAATTGTTCAGATACATGTGAAACAATGCTCCATTTATAGGGCATAGATAGGTGACATCATCTGCTTTGGAATTTAGATTGTTGCACAAGATGTCTGCACAGCTTGCTTTTGGATCTGTACTAATGAGACATACCCTATCATTCAAACCAAACATTTTACATATAGGGAAAGAAAAACCCTCTTGATTTTTAAAATTTGTATCTATAAAGGGTTCTGGAGTGAATCTCTTGAGGCTAGTTTCAAGGCCAGCATTGATAATTAAAGGGATATCAGGTAGAATTGCTCGTCAGTGCCAAGCAGCAGGCAACAAATCAGATTGGCAAGGCAAGCCTACACCCTCCCTTTACACTCTATGCCTTCCCTCGTGCTCTGGGACAATCCCTTGTTCCCACATGGGCATGCCCTTTCACACCCCATGCGTCTGCTCTTGCTCTTCCTTCTTCCTCAGATACCCTCCTCCTTGTCTCCCTTCGGATCACTCCTACGTATTCCTCAGTTCAAATGGTCCTTCTTTGTGATACCTTCATGATAACCACTCCACCCTTCTCCAGGCAGTTTGTTACTTCATCATCTGCCCTATAGCACACTTGACCCCATTGTATAAGAACTAAGTGTTGGCTGGGCGCGGTGGCTCACACCTATAATCCAAGCACTTTGGGAGGCTGAGGTGGGCGAATCACGAAGTCAGGAGTTCAAGACCATCCTGGCCAACATGGTGAAACCCCGTCTCTACTAAAAATACAAAAAATTAGCTGGTCGTAGTGGCAGATACCTGTAATCCCAACTACTTGGGAGGCTGAGGCAGGAGAATCGCTTGAACCCTGGGAGGCGGAGATTGCAGTGAGCGGAGATCACACCACTGCACTCCAGCCTGGGTGACAGAGTGAGACTCTGTCTCAAAACAAACAGAAAACGACAACATAAACTGTCTTATTTATTTTACTTTTATTTTTCTCTTTTTTTTCCATCAACTTTTATTTGAAGTTCCAGGCTACACATGTAGCCAGCAGGATGTGCAGGTTTGTTACATAGGGAAACATGTGCCATGATGATGATTTGCTGCACAGATCAACCTGTCACCTAGGTTTCTTTCTTTCTTTTTTTTTTTTTTTTTTTTTGAGACTGAGTCTCGCTCTGTTGCCAGGCTGGAGTGCAGTGGCGCGATCTCAGTTCACTGCAACCTCCGACTCCCTGGTTCAAGTGATTCTCCTGCCTCAGCCTCCCTAGTAGCTGGGACTACAGGCATGTGCCACCATGCCCAGCTAAGTTTTGTATTTTTAGTAGAGACAGGGTTTCACTATGTTGGCCAGGATCATCTCAATCTCCTGACCTCGTGATCTGCCCGCCTCAGCCTTCCCAAGTGTTGGGATTACAGGCGTGAGCTACCGTGCCTGGCTGGCACCTAGGTATTAAGCCCAGCATCCATTAGCTATTCTTCCTGATGCTCTCTTTCCCCTTGAAACCCTGACAGACCCCAGTGTGTGTTGCTCCCCTGAATGTGCCCATGTGTTCTCATAGGAGAACTAAGTGTTTTAACAGCTCTCTTCTCTTTCAGCTTGTGGATCCACTTATTTGTTTATTGGCAAAATATTGTACATATTCGTGGTGCACAATATGATGTTTTGAAATATGCATATATTGTGCAAAGGCTATATCTGGCTATTTAATACCCAGACTACTCATACTTATCTTTTTTTGTGTGGCGAGAACACTTAAAATCTGCTCTCTTAGCAATTTTCAAGTATACAATACAATGTTATTAACTATAGCCACCATGATGTAAAATAGATGTCTCAAACTCATTCCTCCTATTTAGCTCAAATTTTATATCTTTTGACCAACATCTCCCCAATCCCTCCCACTACCCAACTCCCGGTCTCTGGTAACTATCATTCTACTCTTTGCCTCTGTGAGTTCATCTTGTTTAGAGTCTGCATGTAAATGAGATCATGTGGTATGTATTTGTCTTTCTTTGTCTTTCAGTGCCTGGTTTATTTCATGTAACATCATGTCCTCCAGGTTCAACTGTGTTGCAAATGATAGAATTTCCTTCTTTTTTAAGGCTCTATAGTAAATAGTATTCCAGTGTATACATATCATGGTTTCTTTTTCTATTCACCTGTTGATGGACACTTAGGTTGATTCCTAGCCTGTAGGTCTCAAGAGAAGAATGTTTTATTACTGCTGAATCCTCATGGAGCCTACTCTATTGCCTGGTCTTGGTCTCACCTTTGACTTCACCTCCTCTGAAAGTTTGTTCCGGTTTTTCCAAATAGAGATAGATGATCCTCTGATGTACCTGCTAGGTCCTTTTTAAATGTCTTTACCAATAGGCTGTAGGCTTCTCGAAGGCAAAACTATCTTTTTTAGAGTTGAATACATATTAACTGAGGCACATGGCAAATACCAAAACACATACATACACACACACACACAAAACAAAACAAAACAAAACAAAACAAAAAAACAGCAGCAGAAGAAAAAATAATCTGGGAATTGATTAAGACCAGTCTTTCTCCCCGACTGCCAGACTCCATTGCCTTGGTCTCTATACCCATACCCATCACCATGGTTCCCCTTGAATAAAGTCTACCTTACCATCTTTTTTTTTTTAAAAGAAATAATTAACTGGATTAAATATATTTGCACTTGGTGAAACAGAATGTTGGATTTGAGATGCTGCTATGTATTTCAGATGTAAAATAATCTCCCTTTGCAATACACGCAAGAGAATAAAGTTTGGTTCAAGTCTAGATGATATTGGTTATCCTGAGGAATGCTATAAATTCATTTAATTGGAATGTGGACTTGGGAATACCTAAACTTATTGATTTACCAATACTTATACTTTGCATGTGTCAAAATACCATTTTATAAATGGGAAAGTTAACTAAAGTATGGACAAAAGGAGGTTCATCCAGCATCTCAGAGCCAAGGCTAGGGCAATGTTTCTTACTTACTAGTTATACTCTTCACAAGGCACCAAACCACTTCTGGAACATAATCAGGCAGCTCTGTTGCACCTTGTGTGGTGTGGCCTTCCAAGGCCTTCCCAACGTATCTTCTCAGGAAAACACTGGTCTTGTCTCTCTTGCACAAAGGGTTGAATCTAGACTCTAGACTCTAGATCACCACTGTTTGTATAGGACAGACAAGGCCAGAGTCTCTAATAAAATCTAGACATTAAAAGGCCTTCATTGAGGTAGATTTATGTCATCAGGGTCACTACTGATGACTGAGCACTGTGATTGTCCAAGAGGCTAGTAGGGGAATGACATTCAAGTGTCCTCTATCAGTTAGGCCATGGATCCTGACACATTGCTGTGTTTGCCTGGGAAAGGGTACATATTTTTCTAATCATCACAAGGGCACTCTATAGATAAGAGCAGGCTGTAGATACAGCAACTTAAGACAGAAATTTGCTGGCTTCTTAGGAATAGCAGCTGGACAGGGCAAGCAGACAAATCCTAAATCAGCTGCTTTTGGAGGTCTGGTGTCAAAAAGCTAGCACTGTCCTGAGTGTCAGGATAGCTGGCCTCGATTCCTGTCAGTAACACTAGCTCATTGCATGGTCCTGATTCAATACCCTCCGTTTTCCCTGCTTCTTGTTCTTATTCTTTCTCTCCTCTTGGTTTGTTCCTCATAGCTTCAGGTCTCAGCTAAAATGTCTTGTCTTTGGTGAAAACTTCTATGACTCTCTAATCCAATTCAGATCCCTATGTGATTAAGTTTTCTACACTCTGTATTCTTTCTTCTCAGCACTTAATTTTTGATGATTTAATGTCTCTCTTTCCAAGGAATGTTAACATCTCAAAGGGAAGCATTCTGATCAGTCTTGTTCAGGGAGATGGCTTTGCTGTCTAGGATAGTGCTTTGTTTGTAAAAGATACCCAACAAATATGCATTGAATCAATGAGCTAATAAACAATTCTGAGAAGAGGAACCAGGTTCTTTTGGTTATTATCTGTGTGACTCTGGCAAATGACAGGTACCCTGTGGGTCTCAGTTTCTACATCTGTAAAGGGACATAATATAAATTTCTGCCTATATATCAGCACCATTGTAAGAATATAGGAGATAAAAATGAAACACCTGATAACTGTAAAGAGCCCTTAATGTTGGCCGTATAAATAACAGTTAAAAAGCTGTGATTTATCTTCCATTGCCATAAACAAGTGAATTTGCTTTAGGTTAGATGAGAAACTGAGATTATGAAAGAGGGTTTTATCCAAGCTGGGAAGAAAAAGAGAACCTTCTTCTACAACACTATTCTAGCTTGGGAAGAAGGTATAGGAATGAAGGAAATAAGAAATGTTTTAATTCCTACAGACTTTTCCAGACTTAATTAAAAATCATCTGAGTGGTTTTTTTTCTCAAGGTAGAAAAGAATTACAATTTGGGTTGGCAATCTCATGGAGAGATTTCAATGTATGCATTAGTGTTAAAAGCACAGGTTTTGGGATCACACAGAACTGAGTTTGAATTTCAGATTTGCCCCTTACGAGCTGTGTGACACTGTAACCTTAAGATATTTTTAATTTCTCTGTGCTTTGGATCCAGTGTCCATAAAATAGGAATAATGATACCTCTTGGTGTTGTTATAAAGATTAGATAAGAAAATTTGTAAAACTAGCACAGTGCCTTGCAAATACTAAGTGAAAAATAAATAATAAACTTGTCTATTCTATTCTATTCTATTCTATTCTATTCTATTCTATTCTATTCTATTCTATTCTATTCTATTCTACATTGAGTTGTCTTAGAGGAGGGAGAGAGACATTTTAGGACCACCACCACCACCACCACCACCACCACCACCACCACCACCACCACCACTAATAATAATAATAATAGGCTGCCTCCTCTGGTCAGGTGCTGAATTAGATACAATGTATCAATACAATTGTTGAGAGGCTACCATTTCCTCATTTTATACAAGGAAATTTAAGCTTAGAGGAGTTTTCCCAAGGTTACAAATTATATACGAGCCAGAGCAGGGAATTGGACACACGAACGTGTGATTCCAATGTTCCTGCTTTCAGCTATTCTGTTAAGTTGCACTGGCATATGCTCATGGTTGCTACTGGCAAAATGCCTGGGCCAAGCGAGGAACACCATGTTACCAACCTGTTTGCCCACAGATTCATCTGTGCCAACTCTGCTTTTTTTCATTAGCCTCTGAATAAAGTTCTGGCCTATTTCATTCACTATATTTTTGCTCAGTTTGATATAGCAAACATGCAGTTTACACGGTGTCTTTTTTATCCTCGGCAGAAATAGGACTGGAGATAGGGCTGTAGGATAAAATACATGATGCCCAATTAAATGTGAATTTCAGATAACAATGAGGAATTTTTTAGGATAAATATATACCAAATATTTCACAGGAATTCTTATACTAAAAAATTATTTGTTGTTTAGCTGAAATTAATTTTTTCTTACATTTTTAGCTGAAATTTAAATGTAACCGGGCATCTGGTACTTTTATTTGTGAATCTACCTGGAGAAGCCCTCATAATTCTTCTCTTATTAAAAAACCCGTGATCAGGGAGTGCAGAATAGGACTGAGAGAGGTTACATAAAGGATTAAAGAATAGTATGTGAGAAGTTGAAATCAAATGAGGAAACTAGAAGTCATTAAAGGGCTCTAGTTCCTCTTTAACATCACATCTGGAATATGTTTCCTCCTTGAAAGCCTCATAAAGAAATCATAAAACCCTCTCTTGTTCTTGGTTCATTCCAGCTAAAGTTTCAGACTAGTCTTGGAAGGGATGCATGTGGCTTCAGCTAGGGGTGCCATTCCCATGGTGTCTACATGCTAAGGAGTGGTCACACTCTTTGTTACCCTAATCACCTTCCTCTATGTAGCTTATACATTAGTCAATCTTCATGCCATAGATCCATTTAACAGTTACTTTTTCAGTGAACATTTATTTATTGAGCTTATACTATTTGCCAGGTACTCTGCCAGACACTGGGGACAAGAAAATACAAAACAACAGTCCCTGACCTACCTTTGTTGAGGAGGCAAACACGTAACCAAATAATTGCAATTTAAATATGAGAAATGCTAATGGAGTTGTGAACAGATTCCTATAGAAGACTAACAGGGAGTGGTTAACGTTGCCTGCGGGAGGGGGTCACAGACAAATCATTGTTTGGGCCTTGAAAAGTGATTGTGTAGGTGTTTACTATGCAACCAAGGTGTGGAGAAGACACCTCAGGTAGGAGGAATGACATCTGTGAAGACACAGAAGCATGGAAGAGCATTGCATATTTCTAGGAATGAACCTCAAATTCTTCAGTGTTATTAGAAGTGAAGATTGAAGTGAAATAACTTAATCTCAAAATTTGTTTTAATTAATGAGCATGTTGGAAGGAAAAAAATGGAGGGGAAAGAGAAGAGAGAAGGAACAGAATGTTTGGGAGTGGAGAGTAAAAAATCATTAAGTATTTAAACTCTTAGCTAGGAATTTTTTCTCTCTTCCTGTTCCCTAATTAGAATTTCAGATAAGGACATTGCCATGCATCAAATTATGTTAGAAATGTGAATTTTCTTTACCTTTTATTATCACAGAACCGATTTTCTCACAAAGTGCTATCAATTTTCCTCTTAAATATCCTTAAAATTTATCAACTTCTTTCACGTCCACAATAAGAGTCACAGTTTGGGGCTTCGTCTTGACTCTTGCAGTAACAATCTAAAGTCTCTCTGATGTTTGCCTCTCCCCATTCCAGGCTGTCTTCCACATTGCTGCCATTTTTATCACTCTATAACATAATTATGTTTACATCCTCTGTCATTTCTCTAATAATTTCTGTGGCTCCTGATTGCATATAAATAAGGCCTTTCATACTTCTTTCACAATCAATATCTCTAACTTCACTTTAGGAGTAGTATAATTTTAATGCATGAGTTCTAGAGTCAGGTAGCCTGCATTCAATTTCTGACTTCACCAGGGCTGGTATTTACTGGGCATGTACTGGGATGCTCATATCCAGTCTACTAGGCTGGGTTGGTGTTTGCACCCTAGTTGTTGAATAATTTAATATCTTCTCAGCTGCTAACAATGTGATTTGGCAGTTAGCTTATACTCTCTAAACTTTAGTTCTCTATCTTCAATATAAAGATAATAAAAGTATCAGTCCCAAAAATTTTAATAAATCTGAAATAAAATATTAATGAAATAAATAAATTATAAATGAAGTCATGCTATACAAAGTTTAGCATCATGTATGTTTAACAAATGCTGACTATTTGCATTATCGCCTCCCACCACTCTCTAACCATGTTACCTCCTGTTTTACCTTACCAGGCATGCTCCAGAACTTGACTTATTTTATCACTCTACTTGTTCTGCTTGAACCAATTCATCCCCACCAATTCATCCTTCAAACATTAAATCCTTCGGAAAGACATTGTAACCACAACCCTGACTTAATCCATGGTACAATTAATCACTTTTCCTGTGTGCTCACTGTGCACACATCTCTATTATATTAAATCATGAGTTATTGTTTATATATCTGCCACTGCCATTAAGTTACGAAAGCATTCTTTGCATCATTTCAATTTTGTTAAATTTGTTAAGGTTGGTTGAATGACTCCATAAAGTCTATCCTGATTAATGTTTCCTCTGCACATACTAAAATTTATATTTAAGTTGGAGTATTTTATAAAAGTTAATTAGGTCATTTTTCATTAATTGTGATAATCAGATTTTCTTTATCTTTACTGATTTTCTATCTGTTTATTCTATCAATCACTGAGAGACTAGTTTTGAAGTCTCCAACTAGAATTTTAAATTTGTATACTTCTCTTTTCTTGTCTGTCAAATTTTACTTTGTAGATTTGAGAATCTATTGTTACTTGCTTATACATATAGGATTGTTATGTTTTCTTAGTTAATTGACTCCTTTCTGATTATGCAGTGTTCCTTTTTTTTTGTTTGTTTGGTTTTTTTTTTTTGTTGTTGGAGATGGAGTCTCACTTTGTCACCCACGCTGGAGTGGAGGGCTATGGCGCGATCTAGGCTCATTGCAACCTCCACCCCCGGGGTTCAAGCAATTCTCCTGCCTCAGCCTCCCGAGTAGCTGGGACTACAGGCGCACCCCGCCACGCCTGGCTACTTTTTTGTATTTTAGTAGACAGTGGCTAAGTTTTTGTATTTTAGTAGAGACGATCTAATTTTTCGTATTTTAGTAGAGACGGGATTTCACCGTGTTGCCGATGCTGGTCTTGAACTCCTGAGCTCAGGCAATCCGCCCGCCTCTGCCTCCCAAAGTGCTAGGATTACAAACATGAGCCGCCGTGCCCTGCCGCAATGTTCTTTTTTATCTCTGATAGTATTCTTTGTTCTGAATACTATCTGTTCTCATGTTAATATAACCATTCCAAGTTTTTTGTGTGTGTTTAATGATAAATCTTTTTGAATTCACTTACTCTCATCTATGTTTTTATATTTAAAGTGGATTTTTTTGTAAACAGCATAATCTATCTCTGTTTTATAATTAATGTGATTAGATTGCTTACATTAATGTAATTATTAATATAATTGCTTTTAAATCTACAATGTTGCTAGATGTTTTATTTTCCATCTTTTGGCCTACTTTTGGATTAACTGACTGTTTGTTTACAGATCTGTGTTACCTCTATTATTGACTCAGTAGATAAACCTACTTTAATTGATCACAGTTACTCTTCGATTTATAGTTTTCGATTTATAGTTTGACAATTTATAGCTTTCATGTCAATTATGTATTTATTACCTCATTTGGTCCCACAAAAACCTTGTAATTTAGCTATTATTATACACTTATCTGGCATAGATAAATTATGCATAATTGGCATAGAAATATTTACACTATTAATTTGGTACTATGGCCTTCTTAATTTAGGTGGGAGTCACTATTTCCATGTAATTAATTTATAATTTTGTAAAATGTTCCCTTCACTCCATCCTATGTACCAAAGTGAGGCATGACATAGTACCTGTTTTGAAATGTTGCCTCCACCCTCAGCCATGGCTCCAGCTGCTAGAAAAACAAAAGCCACTGGACTCTTAACTGCCTTCCTTGTTTACATCTGATTCCTTGGCTTGAGATTTGGCTATTGTTCCAGTGGGGCTCTGGAATCACCTCTGCCACTGACATTTTATATAAAACAAATCATACAATATGTGGCTTTTTGCGTCCAGCTTCTTTTATTTATCATGTTTTCAAGGTTCTTCTGCGTAATAGTATGTATCAGTACTTCATTCTTTATTACTGCTAAATAATATTCCAGTGTATAGATATACCACATTTTATTTATCTATTCATCTGTTGATAAACACTTGGTTTGTTCTACTACTATTTGGCTATTATGAATAATGCTACTGTGAACATTCCTGGATAAGTGTATGAATGAACATATATTTTCATTTTTCATGGGTATACACATAGGAATGGAATTGCTGGGTCATATGATAACTCGTTTTAAACTTGTGAGAAACTTCCAGACTCTTCAAAGCATCTACACTATTTCACATTCCCACTAGCAATTTAAGAGAATTCCAGTTTCTCCATATTATAACCTACCCTTGTTATTGCATCCTTTTTATTCTAGTCATCATAGTAGGTATGGAGTGGTATATAATTTTGCTTTTGATGTGCTTTTCCCTAATGGCTAATGATATTGATCATACTTCATTGAGCTTATTGGCCCAATCATTTTGGGAGGCCAACATTACCCTGAGGCCAAAATCAGAATGAGAAATGACAAGACAATTACAAATTAATATCCCTCAGAAACATAAAAATAAAAATCCCCCCAAAAGTACTAGCAAATCAACTAAGTAGGGTTTATATCTGAAATGCGAATCTTATTCAACATTTGAAAAATCAATAAATTCAATTTATCATATGGTCAGATTAAAGATGAAAAAGCATATAATCATTTCAATAGATACAGAAAAGTCATTTGACAAGATTCAGTATCTATTATATAATATACATATATAGTTATATACATATATATAAAATAGTATGTCTTTATGCATATACCTCTCAGAAGACTAGCAATAGAAGGGAAATTCCTCTACTTGATAAGGAACATCTATAAAACACTCATGCTTAAAGATTTTAACATCACTCTTAATGATGAAAGATTAATGCATTCCTCTTGGATCAAGCACAAGACACAAATATCCTCTCTCCCTATTCCTTTTTGATGTTGAAGGGAAGGTCCTTACTAGTGCAATAATGGAAGAAAAAGAAGTAAGAGGATGGAAAAGGGAGAGGTAAAACTGTCTGTATTTACAGAAGGCGTGACTGGCTATGTGGAAAATCTCAAAGAATCTACAAAAATGCTATTAGAAATAATAAGTGCATTTAACAAGTTTGAAGGATACATGGTTAACCTACAAAAATCAATTGCATTTCTACATACTTGCACAGAACAATTGGAAATTGGAATTAAAATGCGCCTTTTCTAATAACACCAAAACCATAAAATTCTTAGATATATGTCTAACAAAATAACTACAAATTATGTTTGCTTATAACTATACAGTTCTGTTAAAAGAAGTAAAAAATGACCCCTAAATAAATGAAGATATTTATTGTATTCATGAATTAGAAGATGTTGACTCTTCCTAATGTGATCTATAGATTCAACAGAGATCTAATCATAATTCTAGCATGATTTTGTATAAAAACAAGCAAACTAATTTTAATATTAAACGGAAAGGCAAATAACTAGAATAACAAAAAAAATGAAAACAATAAAACCATGTAGAACGAAGTCTGAGGCACCACTCAAACTATTATCAAGGCTTCCATAAAGCTCAATGATTAAGACAGTATTATATTGGAGAAAGGCTAGGCATATTGATGGAACAGAAGGCAGTCCAGAAATATACTTACATTTGTATGGTCAATTGCTTTGCAATGAAGGTGCACAGGTCAACCAATGAAGAAAAGATAACGCTTTCGATACATAATGGGAAGCAATTGGACAAAAAGAAATAAGGAATAAATGTTGATCTATATATTGTTATATAAAAAGTAACTCAAAATGGGTCACAGTCCTAAATGTAAAAACTTATACTCTAAAATTTCTTGAAAAAAATATAGAGGGAAAAATTTGTATCCTTGGATTAGATAAAGGTTTCTTAGACATAATACCAAAAACATGATTGTCACAGACAGAAATACACTGTTAAACAGCAAAGATAAACCACAGATTAGGAAAAAACTCTATATCTGTTAAAAGATTTGGAACCAGTATACATAAATTATGGTTTCAAAACTAAGTAATATGAAAACAACCCAATTTAAACAAAAGGCACAAAATATTTGAATAGAAATTCAGAGTAGACATGTGGAGGACAAGTATATGAAAAGATAATCTGCACCATTTGACATTAGAGAAATGAAAATCAAAACCATAATGAGATATTGCTACCCACCTATCTAAAACTAAAACATTAAAAACAAAATTTAAAAAGCTAAAAGAACAAAAACAAAATAAAAAAATAGCAAGTGCTAAAGAGTATATAGAGAAACTAAAACTCTCATACCTTGTTGGTGGGAATGTAACATAAGAAAATAGTTTGGCAGTATGTATACTTATTGTATAACCATATAAGTATTTACCCAGCAATCTCACTCTTAGATATATACTAAAGTGAAATCAATACTTACATTTACACAAAAACCACAGATGAATGTTTATAGTGGCTGTAATAGCCCTAAACATAAGCTCTAGTACGTCCACATAATAAGATATTACTCAGCACCATTAGGAATGAATCACTAATCTGTGCAACACCAAGAATGAATTTCAAAGTATTATTCCAAGTGGTAGGAGCCAGACTCAAAATGCTGTAACTGTATAATTCTAATTTCATTCATACAATGTTTTCAAAAAGCAAAACTGTAGCAACAAAAAGCAGAACTTTGGTGGTTAGGGGCTGAGCAGGGAGGGGAAGGCTTACTACAAATGAGCACAAAGGAATTCTTTTGGATGGTGGACATTTTGTGTCGTGAGTATATAGTCTGGTGACAAAATTGTTTGTGTTTGACAAAACTCACAGAACTTACTTTAAAGGGTAAATTTAAACTGTATGTAAAATATACCTTGATGTTTAGCTATGTGTAAATTATACCCTAATAAAGGAAAAAACATATTTATAATAGCCTTGTTGATGGTGGTGGTAGTGATTAGACTACATGTGAAGCGGTAGTTATGTTTACATGCCATCTCTGCAGTGAACGTTCTGCGTAATCTTGAATACCTCTTTTCCCCCTTGCTACGTCCAAGTTTCTTCATTTTCCAATGATAAATTTGGATGGGATGATGACTAGAGTTTCTTCTGGCACTGGCATTCTGTGAAGACTGAAGAGGTGATTTCTGAGGTTGCTTTTATGTTCCCTCAATCTTTGAAACCTATGCTTTTGTTGAGATCTGGGCTGGGCCCACATTCTGAGACATTTCCATACATGACAGGTAGGTGTGTGTTTGTGCATGAGGATGGCTAGAGGTAATCAGGCCACCACCCTTTATCTTTCTCATGCCTCCTTCACCAAGCTGTTTATGACTAATCTCTGAACAGCTGCCATCAACAGCAACCCAGAGCCCGAAGATGAATTTAAAAAAACAAAAACCCCAAACATCTTGTACACTATCAGGTATCCTGTTGTGTCTCTTGATTGAACAGCTCAATAGAGTATAACAAAAATAATTCCCATTCGTAATGCCTGCTCCCAGGTGGGAACTCACGCATTCTTTACAATTACCCTACCCACAAATGTAGGTCATTGTGGATGTAATTATCCTCATTTTGCAAATTATTAAAAAGAAAAAAAACTAACAGCAGCAAAGACACAATAAAACAAAGGCGTGAACATTTTAATTCACTACCCTATTGTCAATCTACTAGTAAGTGGCAGAGCTAGGACTTAAACTCACTGCTATCTGATACTAAAACCATTAATAAAAATGCGTCTAACAGGGTTCCAGTCTGAAAAATGAGAACCCGGTTACTGTTCATATACTTATTTATCTATTCCTTAATTTATGCATTTATCGACAGATATTTTGTAACTGCAAAGTGTCAGGAAATATACTGTGCACAAGAGATATAACAGGAGATTGGATAGGCACTATCCCTGCCACCGTGGAACCTACATTTTAGTCAGGGGGAGCGAAAAAATTCAGCAGGGAATTATGCTTCAGCATCGTAATTGCTACAATAGAATATTGTGGGCAGATAAAGGAAGACCAAAGAAATCTCCCAGAGGAAAGTTATCTATGCTGAGATGTGAGAGATAAGTAGGTGTTAGGCAAAGATTTACAGGTAGGAAAAAGCATGACAATAAATGAGAAACTTAAGTAGTTCAGTAGGACAGGGACTTGAAGTAAAGTGTCACGGAACAGGATAAAAAAAAACTGAAAAATATCTAGGGCTTGACTCATCCAGAATTCTGAGAAGTTTTTAAAATGGCTGGGACTTTTTCTAACAGCAATATGCAAGGGTTTTAAATAGAGAAGTGACATGATCAGATTTTATTTTCCAGTTTCTTTAATTGGTAGTAGAAAATGAGAGTGAACCAACACTGAAGGCAAAGAGACCATTTAGGAAATCATTATTATCATTATAATCACATTGTTATAATAATGACCATAATGATAGTGCTTGGAGATGGGGTTGGAGCCAGTGGTAATGTAACCAAGTGGATGGACTTGAGCAGTAAGTTTTTGTAACTTTATTAGCCCTAATGCTGCAATCTTGACATATATTTTGTAATATACCTTCCATTCTATTAAAATTAGTAGATAAAATATCCTACTAACACATAATTTCAGAAGTCCATAAAAAATTAAAAATAAAACAAGAATTAAAATAAATAATATAATATGTATTTTAATACAGGTAATAAATAAATAAATGTATAATATAGTATGTATCTTAATAATATAATATGTATTTTAATATAATATGTATTTTAATATGTATTTTAATTTAATAATATAATATGTATTTTAATATGTATTTAATATTTAAATATAATCTTATTTTAAAATAAGAATTAAAATAAATAATAATATAATATGTATTTTAATATAATAATATAATATGTAATTTAATATAGTATGTATTTTAATTTCCACCAGGAAATTAAGTCCTCCATAGAATTACAAAGTGCCTCCCTGAAGCATTGCCATTTCAATAGAGAACTACGAGATTTGAATGACATTCAGTCAGTCCCATTGACAGGTGTCAGTGATGACTGGATTTGTTGTGTGAGGCCCAGGGAGATGTCAAGTATGTTTCTGTCTTTGGTGGCCGTGTGGTTGTGGTATATTACTCAGCGTTGTGGATACCCAGTGAAGAGAGCTGGGGACAAGGGAAAGATCATGGGTTCCGTATTGGACAGGTTGAATTTAAAGTGATTCTGAGACATTTACATTGGAGATGATTGGCAATTAAGAATTTTGTATGAGTAAATATAAACCTTAAGCCCAGAAGGGAAGACTTTACTTGAGAGATGGATTCGGGGTCATCATTTTACAAATGGAGGAAAAAAAAAAGCCATAGAGCAGATGAGACTCTCCAGGGATAGTGGGTAGAATTAGAAGAGTACTTAGGTAGGTGCTTGAGGACCACACATAGCAAGAAAGCCCTGCAGGAGAAATTTCAAAACGGCTACTCAAGAGAAAAAAGAAAAAAGAGGATACTTGGATCCCATAGAAATGAAGGAAAGAGAGAGTTTATGAAAAGAGGAACTGTTCTGCTGTGTTGGCTACTGCTTAGAGATCTAGGAAGATAAGGTTTGGGTTGCTTTACTCATCTAGAAACAAGGAAGTCTTTAGTCACCTACAGGAAAATTGTCAGTGTAACGGTGGGATCAGCCTCATTACATTGGTGCCTGGAGGTAGCAGAAGGCAAGGAAATAGATTCCATCAGGTTCCACATCTCTCCAAGGTCTTGCATATCTGTGAAACATGTGTGTTGATGTCCCCTGTCCACTTCAAATGAGGTACATTTGAAGTACCTCAAATGTAAAGAACTTCAACATAAAGCAGAATAAAATACATCTGTAATGCTGGCGTACGTAGGAGAAAGGGAGAAATCATACTCTGCTTTTGCTAATTCTTCTGCTTCCATCGTAACTGTCCTCTTAAACTCATCTCTGAATGTTGTAAAACTACTCCAAACTTAAAGTTCTCATGTTATTGGGAAGGCTAAAAGCCCACAGTTGTAATCGTTCTCAAAAATGTTTTCCACCGGGTCTGTGGCTCATGCCCGTATCCAAGTAATTTGGGAGGCGGAGGCGGGTGGATCACCTGAGATCAAGAGATTGAGACCAGCCTGGCCAACATAGTGAAGCCCCGTATCTACTAAAAATACAAAAATTAGCTGGGCGTGGTGGCAGGTGCCTGTAATCCCAGCTACTCGGGAGGCTGAGACAGGAGAATCGCTTGAACCCGGGAGGCGGAGGTTGCTGTGAGCTGAGATCGTGCCATTGCATTCCACCAGCCTGGGCGACAAGAGTGAAACTCTGTCTCAAAAAAAAAAAATTAAAAAAAAAAGATGTTTTCGTTTACTTTGCTTACTTTGCTGCAGCGTGGAGAACCCTACTCGCTTTCTCTGCGAAATCACCAAGGCAGCTGGGAGCCTGAACACATGTCCTGAAAACCGGAGGGCGGGTGTATGATGAGCAGGCCCTCATTCTGCTTGGTAATGCGGGGCTCAGATTCGCGTCCTCTACGCTCACTTTTACTTTGGCCAAACCAACTGTACCCCTGAATTTCCTTCCCACAAGGTTCTAGCATTTAAGGGTGATGATGGATTCTCTGTGTGGGAGAGCAATGCTATTGCCACCTATGTGAGCAATGAGGAGCTGTGGGGAAGTGCTCCAGAGGCAGCAGCCCAGGCTGTGCAGTGGGTGAACTTTGCTGATGATAGCCAGTACCAGGGTGTTCCCACCTTGGGCAAAATGCACCATGACAAA
Organism: Homo sapiens; assembly: GCF_000001405.40. Lineage (NCBI taxonomy): Eukaryota > Metazoa > Chordata > Mammalia > Primates > Hominidae > Homo > Homo sapiens. The sequence continues at coordinate 147,922,530 of NC_000005.10, forward strand.
CAGGCCACCCAGGATGCAGGGGAAGAGGTGAGGTGAAGTCTGGGGCTGCTAGATGCTCACTTGAAGATGAAGACTTTTTCTGGTGGGTGAGTGAGTGACATTGGCTGACATCATAGTTATCTGCACCTTGTTGTGACTCTATAAGCAGGTAGGTTCTAGAGCCTTCTTTCTACCAGGCCATTCCCATTATCAACTGCTGGTTCCTCACCTACATTTACCAGCCCCAGTTCCAGGCTGTCTTGGGTGGAAATGAAACTGTGTGAGAACATGGCCCACTTTGATGCTAAAATATTTGCAGAGAGCCAGCCTAAAAAGGACACTCCACGGAAAGAGAAAGGTTCACGGGAAGAGAAGCAGAAGCCCCAGGCTGAGCGGAAGGAGGAGAAAAAGGTGGCCACCCCTGCTCCTTAAGCGGAGATGAAGGAATGTGAGCAGCCCAAGAACACCTTTGAGTTGGATGAATTTAAGCACAAGTACTCCATCGAGGACACACTCTGAGGCAATGACATGTTTTGGAGAGCACTTTGATAAAGACGGCTGGTCCCTGAGGTACTCTGAGTATCGCTTCCCTGAAGAACTCACCAGACCTTCATGAGTTGCAGTCTCATCACTGGAATGTTCCAGCGATTGGACGAGCTGAAGAACATGTCTTTGCTAGTGTCATCCTCTTTAGAGTCAACAATAGCAGCTCCATTTCTTGAGTCTGGGTCTTCCAAGGCCAGGAGCTTGCCTTTCTGCTGAGTCCAGATTGGCAGATGGACTCCGAGTCATATAAAAGGCAGAAACTGGATCCTGGAAGCAAAGAGGCCCAGACACTGGTTGGAGAGTACTTTTCCTGGGAGGGGGTCTTCAAGCATTTGGGCAAAGCCTTCAGTCAGCACAAGATCTCCAAGAGAATATTTTTTTTTACCATTGCCAAGCAGCCTGCACTTGCCCTTCACGAAGATGGGAATCATTAAAGGAAACTGAACATTGACAATAAAAAGATGTTTTCGTTCAACGGCTCATCAGCTATTTAGAACCCCATTCTATTGTTTCCCTGAGTGTAATCCAGATTTTGTTTTCACACTTCCAAAGGTGAGTGGTTCACGAGGGCAACTTACCAGGTGCTAGATAGCATGGACTCTGAAATCAGACGAAAGTTGGTTTGGATGCTGCCTCTGCCAAATCTTTGACTGTGATATCTTGGACAAGGAATTTAAGCTAAGAGTCTTTTTTTTTTTTTTAATGTGAAATGGGAATTATAACACCTAGCTCTCAGACCTGTTAAAAGACTCACATATGATGATGCATGTAAACAGAAAATAGCATAGCCTTTGGCACAGAGAATATGTTAACATATAATAGATCTAAAATTTTTCCATTTTTAATTGAAAAAAGTACAATTAAAAAAGAATTATTTAATTGAAAAAGCATTCTTTTCAATTACAAGATTCTTTTCTAATTGAGAAGAATTTTAATTTAATTTTCAAGTAAAAAACAATTATTTTTAATTAAAGAAGAATTCTGTAATTAAACAAGAATTCTTTTTCAATTAAAAAAGAATTTTTAATTAAAAATACAAGAAAGATTCTACCAGTCTTTGATTGCTGAAATATTTCTTAATCGTTTTGGCTGAAAGTGTCTTTCTGTAATTCCCAAGCATTGGCCTTAGTTATTGCTCTTGGACCTGGCCAATAAGTGTAATCTATTTTCCCATTATAGCTCTCCAATCATTAAATCTTCTCCCCTCCACGGTAAGCATCTCAATTTCTTCAAACTTTCCTTAAAGAGCATGCTTTTAAGACCCCTCTCTATCATTGTTGCTACTTTTTTGAATTCACTCCAAGGTGTCCCTATTCATCCAGAATGGAGAAGGTGGAATTTGATCTGATAGTTGAAGGATTATTGGATTTTATGGAATATATTCAGAGACTTTAGTCTGTTTGTGGATCATCTGAGGTCAGGAGTTTGAGATCAGCCTGGCCAACATAGTGAAACCCCCTCTCCACAAAAATACAAAAATTAGCTGGGCGCCGTGGTGCTTGCCTGTAATTCCAGCTACTCGGTAAGCTGAGGCAGGAGAACCACTTGAACCCAGAAAGCAGAGGTTGCAGTGAGCTGAGATCATGCACTCCAGCCTGGGAGACAGGGCGAGAATCATCTCAAAAAAAAATCAATTATATTCATTTGACAGCAAAGTCTCCTCAATGTGTTTGGAGTGGGTGTGAGACATGATCAGATGGTCATTTTGGTGCATTATTCATATGGTGGGTGTAAGGGAAAAGAGAGAGAAATAAGGGAATCGTTCATGTGTATTAATTGAGAATCAATATTAATAGTAGTGTGACTTGGAGAAAGGTACAGATTTGAGGTCTACGTTAGCTATTTACAGGAATTATTTTAACTTTCCCTATTTCCTAGAATATCAGATATGAATATACTTGTCCACTTTTCTCCTTTTAAAACAAATGCTTATTAAATGTCAATTTTTTTAAAAACAGAGCATTGTTTATACATGCCAGGACTTTAGTCTGTTTGTGTTGTTACAAAGGAATACCTGAGGCTGTAATTAAAAAGGAAAGAAGTTTATTTGGCTCGCAGCTTTGCAGGCTGTACAAGAAGCATGACACCAGCATCTGCTTCCAGTGAGGGCCTTAGGAAGCTTCCACTCATGCGGGAAGGTGCAGGGGAGCAAGTATCACATGGTGAGAGAGGAGGGAGAGGAGGAGGAGCCAGGCTCCTTTTAACAGTCAAATCTCACAGAAATGAATAGAGCAAGAACTCCTTCATTATCGTGAGGACAGTTCATGACAGATCTGCCTCCATGACCCAAACACCTTCTACCAGGCCCCATCTCCAACATTAAGGATCAAATTTCAACATGAGATTTGAAGGGGACAAATACGCAACTAGATCATGCAAGGAATTTAAAAAAATCAAAAATAAAACATTAGGGATGTTTATAGTTTGGGACAATGTGATTTTAAAAAAGCTTCATAGAACATGGGGCATTTGAACTTTACTTATAAGGATGGTTATATATTATGTATTTAATTAATTATGCATTTATTTAATTATGTATTAATTACACATTAATTAATTATGTATTTCTTTTGTCTTATTTGACAAAAGAAAAGAAGACATTCCAAGTGGAAAAAACAAGGTGAGCAAAGGCAGGTGGAAAGACTAGGTTACAGTCAGGGAAAATTTTATTAGTTTACAGTTGTATTGTCTAATACTATAGCCACTAGCCATATATGAGCACTTAAAATTAGTTAAATCAAATTAAAAATTCATTTCCACAGCCACACTAGTCACATTCCAAGTGCTAGTAAGTTGTATATAGCTAATCGCTAGTATACTGAACAGCACAGCTATAGAACATTTTCATCATTACAGAAAGTTCGATTGAGTAGTGCTGGGCTAAAGAATGATGCTGCGTATAGAGAGTAAGAAATTATCAGATTTACACACACACACACACACACACACACACACACCAGATTTGGAGTCTGAATTTTATTGTGTTGGTGTATCAACATCTGTTTTGGTTAAAAGAAACAAAATGTAACTTAAACTGGCTTAAACAACAAATGGAGTTTATTAGCTCAATTATCTGAAAAGTCCAGAAATAACCTCAGCTTCAGAAATAGCTGCTTCAGAGTTTCTGCTGAGCTTTTATTTGATTTTCTCTTGTCTTTTTTCTTCTATGTATTGGCTTTATTCTCAGGCTGGCTTTCCAATATAGAAAAACAGCTGAAGTAGTTCTAGGTCTCAAGCTCCCAAATGACATTGTCTTTGTTTTATGTTGCTATAACAAACTACCTGAGACTGGGTAATTTATAAAGAACAGAAATGTGTTGGCTCGCAGTTCTGGAGGCTGGGAAGTCCAAGACTGAAGGATTGCACCTAGAGAGGCTCTTCCTCTTGCACCATCACATGGTGGGAGGTATTGTGTGGGTGAGAGAAAGAAAGAGAGAAAATGAGAGAGACAGAGAGAGCGCCAAACTCACTTTTATAACAAATCCAGTCTTCTGATAATAAACCCACTCCTGTGATAACAACATTAATCTATTTATAAGGAAAGAGCCTTCATGACCTAATCACCTCTTAAAGGTCTCACCCCTCAACACTGTTGCATTGGGGTTTAAGCTTCCAACACTTGAACTTTGGGGGACACATTCAAACCACAGCGCACATGATTCAGAAGAAAAGAGCTGCTCTTCTTCTTCTTTTTTTTTTTTTCTTTTTTTTGACGGAGTTTTGTTCTTCTTGCCCAGGCTGGAGTGCAATGGCACAGTCTCGGCTCACTGAAAACTCTGTCTACCGGGTTCAAGCAATTCTCTTGCCTTAGCCTCCCAAGTAGCTGGGATTACAGGTGCCCACCATCATGCCCAGCTAAGTTTTTTTATATTTTTACTAGAGATGGGGTTTCACCATGTTGGCGAGGCTGGTCTTGAACTCCTGACCTCAGCTGATCCACCCGCCTCAGCCTCCCAAAGTGCTCTTCTTCTTGATCTTGACCACAGGAAAATAAATTCCTGCACCTTTTTGAACTTGCCCCATTTATGTCCCTGCCCACTCCTGCACTGTTTTGCTATGGCCAAGGGAGTGTCATGTACTGACTGATGCCTGACACAATCAGCGTGGCATGAGAGATAGGATAATGTAGATGGGCTTAGGCTGGTCTGGGTCAATCTTTGAGGTGAGGGTGGAGTCAGTTCTACCCATAAGCCATCTGGGTGCCACCCAGCCTGGGTGGGGTTAAATGGGGCTCTTTTTAAAAAGCAATTCCTGTTGCAATTCCCAATACGAAATCATTATGTAATTTTATTTTTTTAAATAACAAATCTTTATTTGACTTGATTAGGTTTGAAAAACTTTAAACTGTAATACAGATAAAACAGAGAAGAGATACAGCAAAGAATAACCAGAATTGCCTTTTTTTATAAAAAGTGTTATGATTTTATTTAAAACATAAATTCACAGAAGATAATTAAGTTCAAAACTTTAAGGAACGATTTCTAAGGCACTTAACACACAATATACATACTGCTATAAAAAGAATATTAAAATCCATGCACCACATAGTCAAATAAAATCTTCATTATCTTATTGCTACTCTCTAAACTACTCTTGTGACAAAACAAATGAACAAATAAACAAATTGTAAGTTATTAAAAACATTACCAAGCAAACAAACAAACAAAAAGCCTTCAAACTAGAGATCTTAGAGTCAGCTGTGAAAATGATCAACTTGTCATGAAAAAAATGGTTTGACACATTATGAATGAAATGAACCACATTAAACCTGTGTAAAATTAGTCATGTCTTAATTGATGGCTAATCAGCACTAACAAAAAAAGGAGAAAAGCTAAAATTCCGTATAAATATATATGGAACTTGACAATGATCTCAATGAACATTTTCTCCCTATAAAATATTATCACTAACATATTAATAAATCTTATTTTGCATAATGACAATATGAAAATAGTAGAACACATACTTCCCATAAAAAGTGACATGTTACTTTCTACAGAAATAACCATTAACGACCATCCTATTGCAAAACTAGCAAGATCAGGAAGTCTGGTTTTAGAATGATCTTGTTATCTCTTTCGCTCTCTTATGCCTAACGTCTTTTTTCCTCTTTTTCCCTCAAAAGTATTCTGTTTATCTTCCACTCTTTCTCTGTCAACATAGCTATCATAATATTTATTCTAAAATTATTCTTTCTTTGAAAATGAGCAGCCTATTTCCTGTTTTCCCTTTTCCAATTCTGAGCTTGCTCTCTTGTCCTCATTCTCCTCTTCCTCTTCCTCAAATTTTCTGGGTGGACCAGCTCATCTTCCACATCATCTTTATTATCATTATTTTCATACTCATCCTCTTCCTCTTCTGAGTTGGCATTCATTAGCTTTCTTACCAAATCCCTCTAAATATGTTTTGCTGCATCAGTTGAAAAATATACTTTCTCTAAGAATGTTTAGGACTGCTAAATAAGTCAAGGTTTTGCAGAACTCTACTAAACTGAGCTTTCTAAGTTTTGGTTTCATTCCAAATGAAATCGTTAGAATTTTGGCATTTCTTTGCCAGGACTTCTAAGTCTCCAGAAATAGCATTGTTTCTAAGAAAACCAGTCAAAGAAGGACTTATGCTTCAGCCATACATAGAAACACTGGTTCTTTGAAAAGATCATTCCTCCCTTCAATTTCTCCATGGATGACTGGCAACTATTAATGACCAGTTTGGTCACTCAGGCTTTTCACGACTCCCTCCTCCTCTGTTACCACTAGTCTCATTTTTCCCCTTCCTCCTTCTTGTACTAATTCTAATATCAAAATTTAAAAAAAAATAGAAAATGAATGAAAAGGGAAACAAATATACCACTCACCTCCAACGAAAAGATGTGTAAGATAAAGAACAAAATAGCCAACGGAGTTCAAATAGGTGGAATGTTAACTTGGCCTCCCTTTTCTCTTCATCCGTAAACATCCATAGCTCCTTTCCCTTCGATGGCTGTTCAGAGACTTGCATTATTTTAAAAATATATAATGTGATCAGAACTGTAATTCTGGAATATTATTTGGATGGTGGTGTGTGTAAATTGCACCAGAGAGGAAAAAACCAAGAAGCAGGGAATTAATTATGAAAGTATTCTATTAACCCAGGCAAGAAAAAAGGTGGATTAAACATGATTTTTTTTTCTCAGTGGAAAGTAAGCAGAGGATAAAATTCCTGGCAGTGTTATTAAGCTAAAATTTGTTAGACCTGTCTTGGAATCTAGGTGATCGGCAGGGAAATTATAGTGACTTTACCATGAAAAGGGAGCACAGAAGGAAGATTAGAGGAATGATGGTAAATTTTGGTTGGGCACTTATCGAAATTGAGGGGCATCTTCAGCGTTTAGGTAGTTTTCCCACAGGTAGATGGCAAAATGGAACTGAAAGAATGGAGTTGAGAGTGGATCCCCAAAGATAGAAAGGCTTGAACAGGCAAAAACAAAAAAATGTTGATAGAGTACCATAAAAAACTGTTATGTATAAGAAGAGGTACTTAGCAGTGAATCTGAGAAGAAACAGTAAGGTAACTTGCAGGAGAATTCTGAGAGTTAATTATCTGGAGTTTGAGAGAGGAGTGAATTTAAGGTGGTAAAGCATGTCTATTTGGGGGGAGAAAAGAGTGAGAGGGTTTTGTGATTATTCTATAAGCACTTGCAAAGGGTTTAACCTCCCAAATAAAAAGACGTATTTCTTTTCCACAGATAAGAGATAAGAGTTCTAGATGAAATATATAGGCACGGAGTAGAAAAAAACACCTTCCATCCCTACTTTTTTTTCTTATTGTTTTTTTCCACTCCAGATAAAAGAGAAAGTTGAAATCAGCTTGGTGTGGTCTCCACAGAGAGTCAAATACCTCAGCTAGCTTCAGTTTGCACTTCCAGAACCACCGTCCACCTTTGTTTACCCTGCTTGTGACCCATTGAGGCTTACTTAGTTGAATTATGTCAAGGGGCTTCCTTGCCTCCTGTTTTCCTGTTGGGTTTGGACAAGGGTGAACACTGTTGGACCATCACAGGGCAGTAGTAAAGTGTTATTGAGTATTTTCCTTCCGGTTTTCTCCATGCTGCTTCATTGCGTGTTGACTCTGTCCCACTGTGGTGTCTTGTCTACAGTAGGGACCAATGGGATTGGGGTCTGGTTTTAGCTCAGTGTTGTGATGTAAGCATTAATAAACCACCTATGCATAAGCACTTTGTAATACCCAGGCTCCATATTTCCAGTTTGACTGCCTAAGTTTCCCTTTAAACCTCTGACATTCTGTGAGTGTGGATAGTGCTTTGCTGTTCAGTACAATCTGTGAAACAGCAGGATCTACTTTTCCTAGCAAGTTGTTAGAAATGTAGAATTATAGACCTTACTCCAAATCTACTGAATTGGAATCTACATTCTCAAAAGATACCCAGATGATTTATATGTATTTTAGGACTTGGGAAATACTGAGATAGTATACAATTATAGTTAAAGAGTATGGAGTTTAGGGTCAGAGTGACCTGGTTATGAGTTTTGACTCTTCTACTATTTACTAGCTCTATGAACTTGTGACAAGTTGTTGACTTTTTTGAATCTCAAGGTCTAACCTGAAAATAATAACCCTAGGGATGTTGTGAAGAGTCAGTAAGACAATGCGACAATGCGATTCTTATTGTTGTGCAGCACTTATTCATTAAATACTTATAGTTAAAGCAAGTAAGAAGGAGGCCATTAGCCTGAGATTGTCTCTGTAATAGGAACTCCAACATAGGCAAACCAAAACTCAATTAAATGTAAACGGTAAAACACAAGTTAAGTTTAACCAATTAGAAACCTCCAGCTAACCTCTAGCTTGGGACTCTCCACTGCAACACACCCCAGTAAAGCAAATGCCTAGCTGTAGCCTATCAAGTAACTTCCTTATTTTGCTTTCATGGTCTAAAAAAGCTTGCTACTCCCACTGCAGCGAGGGGCTGTCTGAACTTCTGGTTCTGTTTTCCTTTTGACTTTCCTGCTTGATTCATGAATCATTCTTTGCTTAAATAAATTCTGTTAAATTTTTGCCTAAGGTTTTTCTTTTAACATTATGGATACCTTCAATGTTCCAGACACTGTGCTGGGTGCTCAGCAGTCAACAACACAGACAGTCCCTGGCCTCATGAAGCTTAGGTTGTTTTCAAGTCCTATGGACCAAAGTTATGCTTTGGTCCTGGAACAAGGAAGCATGATGCAGTAGATAGATCATTGACCTCAAGGGTGAAAATACATAGATTGCAACCCTCCTTCTTTTAAAGGCATACTGAAGGGCCTTAAACAAGTCATTTCAGCTTTCTGAACCTTGTCTGAAAATGGGATCTTAAGAATATTGGACTACATGAGCATATTCCAAACTGTGTTTCATAGAACACTAAACTTATGAGCTTCTCCATGGAGGAGATAAGAAAGACACGTGGCCAAATAAGTTTGGGAACTTATTTCCTTATAAGGAAATCACAAGTAAAACATCTCTTTAACTTGAAGTAATTTTGCATTTCTGACACTCATTATTGACAGACTTTCTTTCCTCCTTTCCTTCTTCTTTCTCTCTCTCTCCTTCCCTCCTTTCTTCTTGCCTTTCCTCCCTTCTTTCCTTCCTTTTTCTTTCTTTCTGTTGCAGTAATTTGGGAAGATGTTAGACCGTTTCCCTAAGGCCATTTATGGATATGATAGTTTGAGGATCTATTTTAGTCAGGAGGGAAGGAGAATTTTGTCAAGGGCAGTTCTCCATAGCCATTGGTCAAGATGACCCCATGGTTGTCAGATTTCCCAAAAGAAAGCACCAAGGGTTAATTGAAGGGCAAGAAGGGATTTGGAGCATAGTCTTTAAGAGTTGTTTGACATTGAGCAAGTCTCTGGCCTCCCAATTTCTGAGTCTGGAAGAGGGTGTGGGGTCAGTCTGGTGGCTCTGCCATGGTCTGGGAGGCTAAGGGTGTGTCTGAGCTGTATAAAAATCTAATTTTGGAAATGCTTCCTTGCCTGTGTTTGAGTGGAGAGTTGTGAGTTGGTGTTCATGAATTTTAGAGGCAAACTCTAGTGTTTGTCTTCTTGTTTCAGTTGGAAACTGGGTTTTCTCCAGTGAAAGCTGGCCTTTCTCTCCCAGTTTAAGGACTGGGATGTCCTGTATTTAGTTCAACAAGGGCCTACTACTTACTTAGATTAAGTACCCAAACCTGTACCACTTGCTTAGAGTGTTGATTTCAGAAATATGGACACAATCCAGAATGATGCCTGAAGCTTGTCACAACTGGTAATTTGTGATTGTTCTCTCACGTAAAGTTCTCAAGCCTTTATTGTGAAGAGAAATATGTCTTATCAAGTTCTAATGTCTCAAGCTTATTTTTCTTCGTACTATAAATGGAATAGAAACTGTATAAATAAGTATATTCTAGTTTAGTGCAGTGGGAAAGGAAGGAAGAGGCGATGCATCAACAATTTAGGGCAGGAGATACAGCAGAGGAGAGGGGTTAGGCATGGAGAAATGGGCACTGAGGTTAGAGAGGAGGGGCCTCTGCTCACATTCAGAGGAGAGGATCTTCTACCCACATAAATTCAAGACAAGGGCTCAGGTACAGGGGCCACAGAAAAGCCCCACTTATTCAGAAAGTACAAGGCAGTTGTTAAGAACATAGATTCTGTGGAAGACAAACCCAGATGTAAACTCAAGCTCTACAACTTACTGAATAGGGTAGAGAAATTTATTCCTTTTAGTTCTTGGTTTGCTATTTTTTAAAATGTGGATAATAAAAGCACCTACCACATAAAGCTGCTTCAAGGATTAAATATGATAGTGCATATACTTTATATAATTTTATGTGCTTAGCAATTGATTTATAGACAGCACTTAATACAATTTGCTACTGCTTTTATTTTTATATTATTGTCATTATTATTATAACTTTCATTTAACAAATTAGTATGTACACTAAGTATGCCAAGTCAGCATCATGCCTGAGAGAAGAAAGCCTCATAGCCACTCACATATTTTCATAATTCAACAGAGATTTTTAGGCAATTTAGTACTATGAAAATAGAATCTTTCTGACCTGTATGCAAATCCTGGTTCTGCTATTTGACAGCTTGGGAAAATTATTTTAACTTCTCCGAAAATTTGCTAGGTTATGAAGATTAAATGGATGATAAATCTGTATACCTAACAGAGGTGCCTATCTTAAATAAGCCTTAGTAATAATAGCTAATATCATTACGAAGTAAAATATTTTACTTCTAAAACACGCACAGCTGAAGAAGTTGATAAACAGGCACAGAGCAGAAAAACGACTTACCCAACATTATAGAAAGGGCAGGACTGGAACCAAGATCTTCAAGCTTTAGGCCCATTGGTTTTGCCTATACATACATAGAACTCTCCATGAAGGAGTATTTGAAGTACGTTTGAGCGGTGTGGAGCCTAGTGAACTTGCAGTGAGAGACCAAAGTTAAAATCCAGCTCTGCCACTTAGTGACTGGGTGACTTTGTGCAACCCATGCAACTTCTATGAACTTCTCTTCCCGCATCTTATAAAATGGTGATAATGACCCTTGTTTGCTTTCCAGGAATGTTGCGAAGTTCAAATGAGATTAAAGAGACGTTTGAAAATTATAGAGAGCAGCAGATGTATAAGGGATTTATATTTATATTACATACTTTAAAGTGGCAAGGGAACATATGCTTAATATTAGTTTATTAGCATATTGAAAATAATTTATTTTCTAGCTTCTGCTTTGGAGCAGGAAGGAGCAAAAGCAGTATTGTTTTAGGTACCCTTCATGCCAGCACGGTGTGTGCATATGTGGATGCCTCCAAGTGTTGCTGTAACGAGAAAAACCTGGGAGCTCCAGCTGCCTGGAGTTCTTGTGCATTCAACTTCAAAGAAACCAAACCTGATATTTAAAGTAATTAAAGGTGATTCAAATCTTTTCTTGAATCTCCTGGCAAAGATTAACAGGGATATAATTTATAACTGAAATCTTCTGACCATCCCCCTTTTCCTGATTCCTCCAATCCTCATATCTCTTATACTCTGAAGCCACTCCAAACCTTTTCTTTAAACCTTCTCTATCACATAAAAACTCAACTTGATTAACAAAAACAAAACAACCAAAGAAAACGAACCTTAGTGACTCTTCATTTTTCTTCTCATCTCTTGTCTTTCAGCTTCCATATCTCAGCTTTTAATTGACTAAATATGTGTCTTTCTGATAAAAATTCCATCTCTTTACTTTTCAATTTGTCTCTCTGCTCATTTGCCAATTCTATGTCAAAAATTGGCCAGAGACGAACTGGAGTGGCTGAAATTCATCTTCTGAAGGTGGGAAAGAATTGAGGCATAGTAGGAAATGCTGAAAATGCAGAATTCTCATTAATACATTGGGGAAGGGTAGAAGACAATAAATACTTACAGGTTTATATGTGCATAGTTTAAATTCATTGCAATTTTGTTTCCTTTCTCCCTTTCTTTTTTTTTTTTTTTTTTTTTTTTTGACACAGTTATGCTCCTGTTGCCCAGGCTGGAGTGCAATGGTGTGATCTGGGCTCACTGCAACCTCTGCCTCCAGGATTCAAGTGATTATCCTGCCTCAGGCTCCTGAGTAGCTGGGATTACAGGTGCCTGCCACCACACCCAGCTAATTTTTGTATTTTTAGTAGAGATGGGGTTTCGCCATATTGGCCAGGCTGGTCTCGAACTCTTGACCTCAGGTGATCTGCCCGCCTCAGCCTCCCAAGGTGCTAGGATTACAGGCATGAGCCCTGCGCCCAGCTGCAATTTTGTTTTCATCTGTCCAAAGGAATGACTGAATTGTGGATATGGGGATGTGAAGTGTATATTACGACTCCAGTTGTGGAGTAGTTGTCGGAAGCTGCTTATTTTTTGATTACTTTTCACAAGGGTTTTTCCTTCACATTTTCTTCAAGCGCCTATCTTGTGCTCTAAATTTCTACTGAACAAACCTCTTTAATACTGGCTACAAGTATCCTTATTTAAGTATATATCTTTTATCTCCAAATATTTAGTTTCCTTAAATACTGAAAGCTCTCCTGCAAGAAAATGCCTTTTTAATAAGGGTTAAGTACTGACTAACCACCATGGGACATCATTTTGATTTATTAAGAGGGTGTAGGAGGACAAGCCATTCTCTATTGTTGATCGCCATCTTGTGGAAATAACGATCAAAACGGCATAATTCAGATGTTGCAATCCTGCATGGGTCAGAATTCTTGGATTAGGATTCCTTCTTTGTCATATACTTTGAGCCAGCTACTTAATCTGTCTCAGTTTTTTTCATCTGTAAATGGGGGTAATCTACCAACCTCATGGTGCCTGACTTTATTGAACACATGGAGCTACTACTATGATGTATATTACAATTTGAGGAGCATTGACAAATAAAACTAGGTTGCTAAATAAGAGCAATCATAATAACAAGTAGTAATAATATTGAAAATATAAAAATGGTTAGTATTTACTGAATGTCTACCTTGTGGAAGATTAGTAGATGCTGTTCTATGTTCTTTACATGAAGTATTTTCTTTAATGCTCCCCACAGCCCTTTTTATTGAATACTGTTTCTATATTCAATGCACAGATGAGGAAACTGAGACTCTGAGGTTAACTAATTTGTCCAGTCTCATGGTGAATGAATAGTAAAGGTGGAATCAAACTCAAGTCTGATGTCACTATGTGAAATCTTTACTGCTCTAGGATGCTTGTGAGAGGATTGGGCCTGGAAATCATATTTTATAGGGAGAAAACTGTGTGTGTGTGTGTGTGTGTGTGTGTGTGTGAGAGAGAGAGAGAGAGAGAGTGTGTGTGTGTGTTGGGAACATTTCAAGTACTCTCTTCTAGCTACTTTAAAATATACAATACATTTTTGCTAACTATAGTCACCCTATGAAAAAGTGGTGGCTCATGCCTGTAATCCCAACACTTTGGGAGGCTGAGGCAGGCAGATCACCTGAGGTCAGGAGTTCGAGACCAGCCTGGCCAACATGGTGAAACCCTATCTCTAGTAAAAATACAAAAAATTAGCCAGGCATGGTGGCAGGCACCTGTAATCCCAGCTACTTGGGAGGCTGAGGCAGGAGAATCGCTTGAACCTGGGAGGCGGAGGTTGCAGTAAGCCAAGATCGTGCCATTGCACTCCAGCCTGGGCAACAGAGCATGACTCCATCTCAAAAAAAAAAAAAAAATGGGCAAACAACATTAGAACTTATATCTTCAATCTAACCATATGTTTATATCCGTTACTGAAATGTTTTCCATCTCCCTGCCCTCACATGCCTTCTCAGCCTCTAGTATCTATAATTCTATGCTATACCTCCATAAGATCAACTTTTTTAGTTTTCACATATTAGTGAGAACATGTGATATTTGTCTTTTTGTGACTGGCTTATTTCACTGAACATAGTAATCTCCAGTTCCATCCATTTTGCTGCAAATGACAGGATTTCATAGTTTTTAAACGGCTGAATAGTATTCTATTATGTATATATTCCACATTTTTAAAATCAGTTTGTCCATTGATAGACATTGAGGTTGATTTCATATCTTTGCTGTTGTACTAGTGCTGCAATAGACATATGGGTGCACATATCGCTTTGATATACTGATTTCTTTTCCTTGGTATAAGTATCCAATAGTGGGATTGGCAGATTATATAGTAGTTCTATGTTTGGTTTCTTGAGAAATCTCCATAACATTTTCCATAGTGGCTGTATTAATTTACACTTACATGAACACTGAAATTTATTTTATCGGGTAGAAGTATAGCTATTCTCGCTCTTTTTTGGTTTCCACTGGCATGGAATATCTTTTTTTTTCATCCCTTTATTTTCAGTCTGTGTGTGTCTTTATAGGTTAAGTGTGTTTCTTGGAGGCAACAGATTATGTTTTTTTTTTTAAATTCATTCAGCCAGTCTGTGTTTTGATTGGAGATTTAGTTGATTTACATTCCATATTATTGTTCATAAATAAGGATTTACTCCTGCCGTTTTGTTATTTCTTTTCCAGTTGTTTTGTGATCTTCTCTTCCTTATTTCTTTCCTTTCTGTCTTCCTTTTAGTGAAGATGATTTTCTCTGAAGACATGATTTAGTTTCTTGCTTTTTATCTTTCGTGTATCCATTGTATGTATTTTGGTTTGAGGTTACCATGAGGCCAGAACATACTATCTTATAACCCATTATTTTAAGCTGATAACAACCTAACATGATTTGCATAAACAAACAAACAAGCCAAATAACCTAATAAATACTCTACACCTTAACTTTATCCCCCGCTTTTTAACTTTTTGTTGTCTCTATTTACATTGTATTGTACAGTCTATGTCTTGAAAAGTTGTTGTAGTTATTATTTTTGATTGGTTCATTGTGTAGTCATTCTACTGAAGATAAGAGTAGTTTACTCACCCCAGTTACAGTGTTATGATATTCTGCGTTTTTCTGCGTACTTACTATTACTAGTGAGTTTTGTACCTGCAGATGATTTCTTATTGCTCATTAACATCCTTTTCTTTCTGATTGAAGTACTCCCTTTAGCATTTCTTGTAGGACAGGTCTGGTGTTGATGATATCCCTCAGCTTTTGTTTGTTTGGGAAAGCCTTTATTTCTCCTTCGTGTTTGAAGGATAATTTCACTGGATATACTATTCTAGGGTAAACTTTTTTTTTCTTTCAGCACCTTTAATTAATCATGCCACTCTCTCCTGTCCTGCAAGGTTTCCACTGAAAAATCTGCTTCCAAGTATATTAGCGTTCCATTGTATGTTATTTGTTTCTTTTCTCTTGCTGCTTTTAGGATGCTTTCTTTACCTTTGGGAGTTTGACTATTAAATGCCTTGAAGTAGTCTTCTTCGGTTAAATCTTCTTGTACTTGGATATCGATATCTTTCTCTAGCTTTGGGGCATTCTCTGTTATTATCCCTATGAATAAACTCTCTACCTCTATCTCTTTCTCTGCCTCCTCTTTAATACCAATAAACCTTAGATTTGCCATTTTGCAGCTATTTTTTTCTAGATCCTGTCGGCATGCTTCATTTTTTAAATTCTGTTTTCATTTTTCTCCCATATATATTTTAAATAGCCTCTCTTCAAATTCACTAATTATTCTGCTTGATCAATTCTGCTATTAAGACTCGGATGCATTCCTTAGTATGCCAATTGCATTTTTCAACTCCAGAACTTCTGCTTAATTCTTTTTAGGTATTTCAATCTCTTTGCTAAATTTATCTGATATTCTGAATTTCTTCTCTGTGTTATATTGAATTTCTTTGCGTTTCCTGAAAACGGCAATTTTGAATTATCTGTCTGAAAGGTTACATATCTCTGTTCCTTCAGGACTGGTCCCTGGTGCCTTACTTAGTTCATCTGGTAAGGTCATGTTTTCCTGGATCATCTTGATGCCTGTAGATGTTCGTTTATGTCTGGTCATTGAAGAGTTAGGTATTTATTGTAGTTTTTGCAGTCCAGGTTTACTTGTATTTATCCTTCTTGGGAAGGCTTTCAGATATTTGAAAGGACTTGGGTGTTGTGATCAAAACTGAATCTGCTTTAGTGGTGACCCCAAGCCCAGTAGCATTGTAATTCTTTTTTTTTTTTTTTTTTTTTTTTTTTTTTGAGACGGAGTCTCGCTCTGTCGCCCAGGCTGGAGTGCAGTGGCGCGATCTCGGCTCACTGCAAGCTCCGCCTCCCGGGTTCACGCCATTCTCCTGCCTCAGCCTCCCGCGCAGCTGGGACTACAGGCGCCCGCCACCACGCCCGGCTAATTTTTTTGTGTTTTTTAGTAGAGACGGGGTTTCACTGTGTTAGCCAGGATGGTCTCGATCTCCTGACCTCGTGATCCGCCTGCCTCGGCCTCCCAAAGTGCTGGGATTACAGGCGTGAGCCACCGCGCCCGGCCAGCATTGTAATTCTTGTAGACTCATAGAGATAACCTCCTTGATGGTCTTGGACAACATCTGGAAGAATTCTCTGGATTGCCAGACAGAGAATTTTGTTCTTTTCCCTTATTTTCTCTCAAACAGATGGAGTCTGTCTCTGTTTTGAGCAACTTGGAGCTGGGTTGGAGTGACATAAGAACCTCTGTGGCCATCACCCCTACGACTGCATTGGATCAGTCCTAAAGCCAGTACCGCACTGGGTATTACACAAGGCCTGCTGTAACCACTCTCTGACTACCACCTATGTTCACTCAAAGCCCTGGGGCTCTACAATCAGCAGGTGGCAAAGCCAACCAGGCTTATATTATTCTCTTCAGGGTGGCAAACTCCCCCAGGCCCCAGGTGGGTGCCAAGGTGCTGTCCAGGAGCCAGGGACTAGATTCAAAATCATAGAACTCCACCTGGTATTTTATTGTACTGTGGCTGAGCTGGCACTAAAACCATTAGACACAGTTCTTCTCACTCTTCTCTCCCCTTTCCAAAGGCAAAGGAGCCTCTCCCCATGGCCACCGCCATGTCAGGCTCATGGGGAATACTGCCAGACTACTACTGATGTTCCCTTAAGGCCTGAGGGCTCTTGAGTCAGCTTGTGGTGAATGCTGTCTGGCCTGGGACTCACCCTGCAGGGATGCAGCCTCCCCTCTGGTACAAAGCAGGCCCGGAAGTGCTGTCTAAGAGCCAAGTCCTGGAACCAGGGACTCCAAAAGCGCACTTGGTGCTCTACCCACTGTGGCCAAGCTAGTACCTAAGGTGCAAGGCAAATTCTCCTTAACTTTTCCCCTTGTTTTTATCAAGCAGAAGGAGTCTCACCCCATAGCCACTACAGCTGGGAATGTGTTGAGTCTTACCTGAGGCTAGCAAGTCTCAGAGACTCACCCAAGGGCCTCAGTGTAGTACCTGGGTACTGCTGACGCTTATTCAGAGCTCAAGGGCTCTTCAGTTAGCAGGTGATTAATCCTGTCAGGATTGGGTCCTTCTCTTCAAGGCAGCAGGTTCCCTTCTAACCCAGGGTGTGTCTAGAAATGTCTGGGAGCTAGGGCCTGGAAGGGGGGCCTCACAGCTCTGACCATACTCTATGCTGCTGTAGCTAGGCTGGTATCCAAGATGCAAGACAAAATTCTCCCCACTCCTGTCTCTGCTCTCCTCAAGAGGAAGGAAGGGATCTCTTTTGGAGCTGCAAGCTATACAGCTTGGGGTTACGGGAGGGTTAGCACTGCTTAAATTGTCCTGGCTGGTGATCAGTAGGTTTTGTGCCCTCCAACCCCCAGTTCACTGCGGGCCCAGTTCAGCCCTAGGACTCACCTAGGTGTTGCAGTCCTTGTGGCCTAGATTCTTTTTCAAATTTATTTGGTGCCCCAGAGCACTTTAGCCCACAGTGGTGAGGCTTGTGGGAACTGAAGTTTGGACCTCTGGGATCTGTGATTTCCCTCTGGCCAGGGCTGATTTAAATGCATCCTCTATGGGCCAGCATCAGCTAAGTTTGGTCTAGTTTTACTTTCTGCTATAACAAGGGCAGTGCTGAGTTTAACGCCTCATAATTGCTGGCTCTCCATCTCCCCGGGGAACAGAAATACTCTCTGTACCACACTGCCCCTGCCAGGGAGGTGGGGGAGAAGTGGCATCAGTGATTCTAGACTGTATTTCCTCCCTCTTCAGTGCCTCTTTCAGTGATATGAAGTTAAAATCAGGTATTGTGAGAGCTTACTTGACTTTTGGTTCTTACGAAGGTTTTTTTTTTTGAGCGTAGATAGTTTTTACATTGGTTTCTTTGCAGGGGGAACAATTGGTGGAGCCTTCTATTCTGCCATATTGCTCCACCTCTCCATCTGTTTCTTGATGTGTTTCTTTCTCAAACATATAACTCAACTTACAGAAATTTCTTTCTTTTCTGCTAACACTTTAGCATTAAATGTTAGAGATGGAATGAAACTTAAAAGAAAAAAAAAGCTAGCCAACTCTAGCCACACACCATGCATGCTTCTATATCACCCTTGCTTGTTTTGTTACTTCCACACCAGCAGTGTATGAAAGTTCCTTTTTCTTTACAACCTCACCAGCATCTATTATTTTTTGTCTTTTTATTTTTATTTTATTTTATTTTTCTTTTATTATTATACTTTAAGTTTTAGGGTACATGTGCACATTGTGCAGGTTAGTTACATATGTATACATGTGCCATGCTGGTGCGCTGCACCCACTAACTCATCATCTAGCATTAGGTATATCTCCCAGTGCTATCCC
Organism: Homo sapiens; assembly: GCF_000001405.40. Classification (NCBI taxonomy): domain Eukaryota; kingdom Metazoa; phylum Chordata; class Mammalia; order Primates; family Hominidae; genus Homo; species Homo sapiens. The sequence goes on from NC_000005.10 coordinate 147,941,263, forward strand.
TCCCCCCTCCCCCCACCCCACAACAGTCCCCAGAGTGTGATGTTCCCCTTCCTGTGTCCATGTGATCTCATTGTTCAGTTCCCACCTATGAGTGAGAATATGCGGTGTTTGGTTTTTTGTTCTTGCGATAGTTTACTGAGAATGATGATTTCCAATTTCATCCATGTCCCTACAAAGGACATGAACTCATCATTTTTTATGGCTGCATAGTATTCCATGGTGTATATATGCCACATTTTCTTAATCCAGTCTATCATTGTTGGACATTTGGGTTGGTTCCAAGTCTTTGCTATTGTGAATAATGCCGCAATAAACATACGTGTGCATGTGTCTTTATAGCAGCATGATTTACAGTCCTTTGGGTAATGGGATGGCTGGGTCAAATGGTATTTCTAGCTCTAGATCCCTGAGGAATCGCCACACTGACTTCCACAATGGTTGAACTAGTTTACAGTCCCACCAACAGTGTAAAAGTGTTCCTATTTCTCCACATCCTCTCCAGCACCTGTTGTTTCCTGACTTTTTAATGATTGCCATTCTAACTGGTGTGAGATGGTATCTCATTGTGGTTTTGATTTGCATTTCTCTGATGGCCAGTGATGATGAGCATTTTTTCATGTGTTTTTTGGCTGCATAAATGTCTTCTTTTGAGAAGTGTCTGTTCATGTCCTTCGCCCACTTTTTGATGGGGTTGTTTGTTTTTTCTTGTAAATTTGTTTGAGTTCATTGTAGATTCTGGATATTAGCCCTTTGTCAGATGAGTAGGTTGCGAAAATTTTCTCCCATTTTGTAGGTTGCCTGTTCACTCTGATGGTAGTTTCTTTTGCTGTGCAGAAGCTCTTCAGTTTAATTAGATCCCATTTGTCAATTTTGTCTTTTGTTGCCATTGCTTTTGGTGTTTTAGACATGAAGTCCTTGCCCATGCCTATGTCCTGAATGGTAATGCCTAGGTTTTCTTCTAGGGTTTTTATGGTTTTAGGTCTAACGTTTAAGTCTTTAATCCATCTTGAACTGATTTTTGTATAAGGTGTAAGGAAGGGATCCAGTTTCAGCTTTCTACACATGGCTAGCCAGTTTTCCCAGCACCATTTATTAAATAGGGAATCCTTTCCCCATTGCTTGTTTTTCTCAGGTTTGTCAAAGATCAGATAGTTGTAGATAAGCGGCGTTATTTCTGAGGGCTCTGTTCTGTTCCATTGATCTATATCTCTGTTTTGGTACCAGTAACATGCTGTTTTGATTACTGTAGCCTTGTAGTATAGTTTGAAGTCAGGTAGCGTGATGCCTCCAGCTTTGTTCTTTTGGCTTAGGATTGACTTGGCGATGTGGGCTCTTTTTTGGTTCCAGATGAACTTTAAAGTAGTTTTTTTCCAATTCTGTGAAGAAACGCATTGGTAGCTTGATGGGGATGGCATTGAATCTGTAAATTACCTTGGGCAGTATGGCCATTTTCAGATATTGATTCTTCCTACCCATGAGCATGGAATGTTCTTCCATTTGTTTGTATCCTCTTTTATTTCCTTGAGCAGTGGTTTGTAGTTCTCCTTGAAGAGGTCCTTCACATCCCTTGTAAGTTGGATTCCTAGGTATTTTATTCTCTTTGAAGCAATTGTGAATGGGAGTTCACTCATGATTTGGCTCTCTGTTTGTCTGTTGTTGGTGTATAAGAATGCTTGTGATTTTTGTACATTGATTTTGTATCCTGAGACTTTGCTGAAGTTGCTGATCAGCTTAAGGACATTTTGGGCTGAGACAATGGGGTTTTCTAGATATACAATCATGTCATCTGCAAACAGGGACAATTTGACTTCCTCTTTTCCTAATTGAATACCCTTTATTTCCTTCTCCTGCCTAATTGCCCTGGCCAGAATTTCCAACACTATGTTGAATAGGAGTGGTGAGAGAGGGCATCCCTGTCTTATGCCAGTTTTCAAAGGGAATGCTTCCAGTTTTTGCCCATTCAGTATGATATTGGCTGTGGGTTTGTCATAGATAGCTCCTATTATTTTGAAATACGTTCCATCAATACCTAATTTATTGAGAGTTTTTAGCATGAAGGGTTGTTGAATTTTGTCAAAGGCCTTTTTTGCATCTATTGAGATAATCATGTGGTTTTTGTCTTTGGTTCTGTTTATATGCTGAATTACACGTATTGATTTGCGTATATTGAACCAGCCTTGCATCCCAGGGATGAAGCCCACTTGATCATGGTGGATAAGCTTTTTGATGTGCTGCTGGATTCGGTTTGCCAGTATTTTATTGAGGATTTTTGCATCAATGTTCATCAAGGATATTGGTCTAAAATTCTCTTTTTTGGTTGTGTCTCTGCCAGGCTTTGGTATCAGAATGATGCTGGCCTCATAAAATGAGTTAGGGAGGATTCCCTCTTTTTCTATTGATTGGAATAGTTTCAGAAGGAATGGTACCAGTTCCTCCTTGTACCTCTGGTAGGATTCGGCTGTGAATCCATCTGCTCCTGGACTCTTTTTGGTTGGTAAGCTATTGATTATTGCCACAATTTCAGATCCTGTTATTGGTCTATTCAGAAATTCAACTTCTTCCTGGTTTAGTCTTGGGAGAGTGTATGTGTCAAGGAATTTATCCATTTCTTCTAGATTTTCTAGTTTATTTGCATAGAGGTGTTTGTAGTATTCTCTGATGGTAGTTTGTATTTCTGTGGGATCGGTGGTGATATCCCCTTTATCATTTTTTATTGCAACTATTTGATTCTTCTCTCTTTTTTTCTTTATTAGTCTTGCTAGCGGTCTATCAATTTTGTTGATCCTTTCAAAAAACCAGCTCCTGGATTCATTAATTTTTTGAAGGGTTTTTTATGTCTCTATTTCCTTCAGTTCTGCTCTGATTTTAGTTATTTCTTGCCTTCTGCTAGCTTTTGAATGTGTTTGCTCTTGCTTTTCTAGTTCTTTTAATTGTGATGTTAGGGTGTCAATTTTGGATCTTTCCTGCTTTCTCTTGTGGGCATTTAGTGCTATAAATTTCCCTCTACACACCGCTTTGAATGTGTCCCAGAGATTCTGGTATGTTGTGTCTTTGTTCTCGTTGGTTTCAAAGAACATCTTTATTTCTGCCTTCATTTCGTTAAGTACCCAGTAGTCACTCAGGAGCAGGTTGTTCAGTTTCCATGTTGTTGAGCAGTTTTGAGTGAGATTCTTAATCCTGAGTTCTAGTTTGATTTCACTGTGGTCTGAGAGATAGTTTGTTATAATTTGTGTTCTTTTACATTTGCTGAGGAGAGCTTTACTTCCAAGTATGTGGTCAATTTTGGAATAGGTGTGGTGTGGTGCTGAAAAAAATGTATATTCTGTTGATTTGGGGTGGAGAGTTCTGTAGATGTCTATTAGGTCTGCTTGGTGCAGAGCTGAGTTCAATTCCTTGGTATCCTTGTTGACTTTCTGTCTCGTTGATCTGTCTAATGTTGACAGTGGGGTGTTAAATTCTCCCACTATTAATGTGTGGGAGTCTAAGTCTCTTTGTAGGTCACTCAGGACTTGCTTTATGAATCTGGGTGCTCCTGTGTTGGGTGCATATATATTTAGGATAGTTAGCTCTTCTTGTTGAATTGATCCCTTTACCATTATGTAATGGCCTTCTTTGTCTCTTTTGATCTTTGTTGGTTTAAAGTCTGTTTTATCAGAGACTAGGATTGCAACCCCTGCCTTTTTTTGTTTTCCATTTGCTTGGTAGATCTTCCTCCATCCTTTTATTTTGAGCCTATGTGTGTCTCTGCACGTGAGATGGGTTTCCTGAATACAGCACACTGATGGGTCTTGACTCTTTATCCAATTTGCCAGTCTGTGTCTTTTAATTGGAACATTTAGTCCATTTACATTTAAAGTTAACATTGTTATGTGTGAATTTGATCCTGTCATGATGATGTTAGCTGGTGATTTTGCTCGTTAGTTGATGCAGTTTCTTCCTAGTCTCAATGGTCTTTACATTTTGGCATGATTTTGCAGCGGCTGGTACCGGTTGTTCCTTTCCATGTTTAGCGCTTCCTTCAGGAGCTCTTTTAGCGCAGGCCTGGTGGTGACAAAATCTCTCAGAATTTGCTTGTCTGTAAAGTATTTTATTTCTCTTTCACTTATGAAGCTTAGTTTGGCTGGATATGAAATTCTGGGTTGAAAATTCTTGTCTTTAAGAATGTTGAATACTGGCCCCCACTCTCTTCTGGCTTGTAGGGTTTCTTCCGAGAGATCTGCTGTTAGTCTGATGGGCTTCCCTTTGAGGGTAACCTGACCTTTCTCTCTGGCTGCCCTTAACATTTTTTCCTTCATTTCAACTTTGGTGAATCTGACAATTATGTGTCTTGGAGTTGCTCTTCTCGAGGAGTATCTTTGTGGCATTCTCTGTATTTCCTGAATCTGAATGTTGGCCTGCCTTGCTAGATTGGGGAAGTTCTCCTGGATAATATCCTGCAGAGTGTTTTCCAACTTGGTTCCATTCTCCCCATCACTTTCAGGTACACCAATCAGACGTAGATTTGGTCTTTTCACATAGTCCCATATTTCTTGGAGGCTTTGCTCATTTCTTTTTATTCTTTTTTCTCTAAACTTCCCTTCTCACTTCATTTCATTCATTTCATCTTCCATCGCTGATACCCTTTCTTCCAGTTGATGGCATTGGCTCCTGAGGCTTCTGCATTCTTCACGTAGTTCTCGAGCCTTGGTTTTCAGCTCCATCAGCTCCTTTAAGCACTTCTCTGTATTGGTTATTCTAGTTATACATTCTTCTAAATTTTTTTCAAAGTTTTCAACTTCTTTGCCTTTGGTTTGAATATCCTCCCGTAGCTCAGAGTAATTTGATCGTCTGAAGCCTTCTTCTCTCAGCTCGTCAAAGTCATTCTCCGTCCAGCTTTGTTCCGTTGCTGGTGAGGAACTGTGTTCCTTTGGAGGAGGACAGGTGCTCTGCTTTTTAGAGTTTCCAGTTTTTCTGTTCTGTTTTTTCCCCATCTTTGTGGTTTTATCTACTTTTGGTCTTTGATGATGGTGATGTACAGATGGGTTTTTGGTGTGGATGTCCTTTCTGTTTGTTAGTTTTCCTTGTAACAGACAGGACCCTCAGCTGCAGGTCTGTTGGAATACCCTGCCGTGTGAGGTATCAGTGTGTCCCTGCTGGGGGGTGCCTCCCAGTTAGGCTGCTCGGGGGTCAGGGGTCAGGCACCCACTTGAGGAGGCAGTCTGCCCCTTCTCAGATCTCCAGCTGCGTACTGGGAGAACCACTGCTCTCTTCAAAGCTGTCAGATAGGGACATTTAAGTCTGCAGAGGTTACTGCTGTCTTTTTGTTTGTCTGTGCCCTGCCCCAAGAGGTGGAGCCTACAGAGGCAGGCAGGCCTCCTTGAGCTGTGGTGGGCTCCACCCAGTTGGAGCTTCGAGGCTGCTTTGTTTACCTAAGCAAGCCTGGGCAATGGAGGGCGCCCCTCCCCCAGCCTCGCTGCCGCCTTGCAGTTTGATCTCAGACTGCTGTGCTAGCAATCAGCGAGACTCCGTGGGCGTAAGACCCTCCGAACCAGGTGTGGGACATAATCTCGTAGTGCGCCGTTTTTTAAGCCCGACGGAAAAGAGCAGTATTCGTGTGGGAGTGACCCGATTTTCCAGGTGCCATCCATCACCCCTTTCTTTGACTCTGAAAGGGAACTCCCTGACCCCTTGCGCTTCCCAAGTGAGGCAATGCCTCACCCTGCTTCGGCTCGCGCACGGTGTGCACACCCACTGGCCTGCGCCCGCTGTCTGGCACTCCCTAGTGAGATGAACCCGGTATCTAACATGGAAATGCAGAAATCACCCGTCTTCTGTGTCAGTCATGCTGGGAGCTGTAGACCGGAGCTGTTCCTATTCGGCCATCTTGGCTCCCTATTTTTTGTCTTTTTAATAACAGCCATTCTCACTGGGTAAGATGATATCTCATGGTGGTTTTGGTGTGTATTTCCCTGTTGATTAATAATATTGGAATTGTTTTATGTGTCTTCTTTTGAGAAGTGTCTTTTCATGTCCTTTGTACACTTTTCAATGGGGTTTTTTTTGCTTGTATATGTGCTTAAGTTCCTCATAGATTCTGGATCTTAGACTTTTGTTGGATGCATAGTTTGCAAAAGTTTTCCCTTATTCTGAAGGTTGTCTGTTTACTCTTTTGGTAGTTTCCTTTGCTGTGCAGAAGCTGGTTATTTCAATTAGGTCTCCATTGTCACTTTCTGTTTTTGTTGCATTTGCTTGTGAGGGCTTAGTCATAAATTCTTTGCTTAGACCAGTGTCCAAAAAAGTGTTTCCTAGGTTTTCTTCTAGGATTTTTATTGGTTGAGGCATTATATTTAAGTTTAAAATCCATCTTCAGTTAATTTTTGTATATGGTGAAAGGCAGGGTTCCAGTTTCGTTCATTTGCATAGGGTTAGCCAGTTATCCTAGCACCATTTATTAAATAGAAAATTCTTTCCCAATTGTTTCTTTTTGTCAGCTTTGTCAGGTCAGATGGTTTTAGATTTATGGCTTTATTTCTGTGCTATCTATTTTGTTCCACTGGTCTATTTTTGTACCAGTACCATACTATTTTGACTACTGTAGCCTTGTAGTATAGTTTGAAGTCAGGTAATGTGATGCCTCCAGTTTTATTCTTTTTACTCAAGATTGCTCTGACTGGGCTCTTTTGGCTTCATATGAATTTTAGAATTTTGTTTTCTAATTTGTGAAAAGTGATGTTGGTAATTTAATAGGAATTGCATTGAATCTATAGATTGCTTTGGCCAGTATGGTCATTTTAACAACATTGATTCTTTCTTTCTTTCTTTTCTTTTTTTTTTTTTTTTTTTGAAACAGAGTCTCGCTCTGTCACCCAGGCTGGAGTACAGTTGCATGACCTTGGCTCACTGCAGCTTCTCCTCCCAGGTTCAAGTGATTCACCTGCCACAGCCTCAGCCTCCCGAGTAGCTAGGATTACAGGCATGCACCACCACTCCCAGCTAATTTTTTTTGTATTTTTAGTAGTGACGGGGTTTCGTCATGTTGGCCAGGCTGGTCTCGAACTCCTGACCTCAAGTGATGTGCCTGCCTCGGCCTCCCAAACTGCTGGGATTATAGATGTGAGCCACCATGCCCAGCCAATGTTGATTCTTTCAACCCATTAGCATAAAATATTTTTCCATTTGTTTGTGTCATTTATGATTTATTTCAACTGTGTTTTGTAGTTCACCTTATAGAGATCTTTCACCTCCTTGCTTATATGTATTCCTAGATACTGTATTTTATTTTTGTGAGCTGCCCATGTTTTAATTGGCTCATTTTTTATTGAGTTGTAACAGTTCTTTATATATCTTAGATAATAGACCCTTATCAAATATAGCCGATTCTCACTATTTGTAGGTTTTATATTTGTGAATTTGCCTATTTGCTAAAATTATTTGTATTCCCCAAATCAGTGGTCATTTGAAGATATGCAGAGCAGTGAAAAATTTAGTTGCTAGAGGTGCACATTCTTAGCTGAGGTTGACTAAGGCATTGCTCTATCTTCTTGTTTCAGCTTTCATACAGAGATTACCAGAAGATTGCCAGTGCAGTATACTGCAAAAAGTTTCAGCTCTGGGGTCAGTTGCACGGGTTTGAGTCTCAACTCAGACCTGTGAGGCAGCCTCAGGTAAGTTTCTTATCTCTTCTGAACCTTGTTTCCCCTTTTGTAAATTAAAGAAAATAGAGTCTACCAAAATGAGTTACTTTTAGGATATAAGATTATAATCTATGATATATATCCAAACATTATATATGATGTAAATATATATACATTATATATACAATGTAAATATATATACATTATATATACAATGTAAATATATAATGCAAATATATATATAATTGGGATATACATATACACACACATACACACAGAGTGTATATAAAAATGTGTATATTTCTCTAGGAACAACGTTCCAATATTTGCTAATTCAATGTCTGCAGTGACTTTTAGAACCTGAGTATTACAAATAACACAAATAAGAAGAATCCACTATGTATAATTTGTAAATACTGTTTCCCATTTGGTAGGTGGTCATTTCACTTTCTTGATAGTGTCTTTTGATACAAAAAAGTTATTAATTTTGATGAAGTGCAATTTGTCTATTCTTTATTTTGTTGTTTGTGTCTCCAGTTCTAACTTTTAAGTCAAAGTGATTTTTAGTTCAGTCACAGGTGAAACAACTATGCTGATATGGGTGGGGTTCCATTCATTCATAAACGGCTGCATAAACACTTAGAAGAGAAGGTTGATTGATTTGCGGAGAGTTATACAGCTAATAGAGGGCAGAGTTAAGAATCAAACCCATGTCTGATGTTGAAACCTATAATCTCAAGTGCTTTAATTATGCAGAAAGGATATTTATGATGAGCTAAAGTTGATGGTAAACTTTTTTTTAAAGAGTGGGTAGCATTTAAACCAAAGGAAGAAAGGAAGTGTTTTTCTTTTCAGGGAACTGTTATTTGTAGAAGATATGTTCAAATATAACAGATAAGTACAAATAAGCATTGGCAAACCCTTGTTATCACTTCTAGTTCTTTGTTGCAAGAATATTATCCCACTATCTGAGAACTTAGATGTTATTAATAGAGGGGTAGGCTGTTGTAATCACTACTTATGGACACAAGAGGGTGCTAAAAGATCTCAGTTCTCCTAGTTCTTTATGTCCAGGTGTAGAAAATCTGTTCCCTTTCCTTAATGTTGTTTCTCTGTGTGAAAATAAACTTAGATTTAAAAGTTCAGAAAGACATTAATAGAGATAAATGAAAATACTGCCTAATATACAAATATTATTCAGATTTCCAGAATAACAGAAATTTAGTAGAGTTCTTAAAGATTTGGTACTATTTTACATGAATGTAGTAAAATGTCAGATCTAGAGAGAACATTTGAGATTACTCTTTTTTCCCCTTCCTGCTCTCTTTCTTCCTTCCCTCTCCCTTCTTTTTTCCTTCCATTTTGTTAAGCAATATTTCCAATCTGACAAACAAAACAAACTATAAGTACAACTATTCTTCATGAAATGAAGACAGGGCACTGAAGCCCAATCTCTGACCTTATTTCACCACCATGGCTGGCCTGGTGATATGTCTGGGTAGCCTCAGGGTGTCACGTAAAAGAGTTTAAAGTATAATTGCCGATGTCCAGGTGGTTGGAAAACTATGCACTCAGATTGAATCCTGCCCCTGACTGTTTTCATATAATTTGTGAGCCAAAGTAGTTTTTACTTATTTAAGTGGTTGGAAAAAAATGACAGACTATCTCATGATGTAAAAATGACATAAAATGCAAATTTCAATGCCTATATACAAAGTTTTATTGGAACACAGCAATGTTCATCATGTAAGTGTTGCCTATGGCTGTTTTCATGCTATAGTTGCAGAGTTGAGTAGTTGCAACAGACATCATATCTCAGCTTCTTTAATAGACATAAAATCATATGAAGTAAAAATTAAAATACAATATTGTTAGATTTGCAGCATATATTATGTAACATATTTGTAACATGTATGATGTTATATAAAGTTATATATATATACACACACATACAACAATAAGTACAATAGCTATGGTAGTATAAATTTAAAGTAGACTGTGATAATTAAAATATGTATAGTAAACTCTAGAGCAGCCGTTAACAAAACAAAACCATTAATGATTGTAGAAGAAATTAAAGGAATTAATATATTACATTAGAAAATATTCTCTCAATGCAAAAAAAAGCAGTAAAGGAGAAATAGAGGAACAAAAAGACATGAAACGTAGAGAAATAAACAAGCTAAAAGGTAGATGCAAATCCAATTATATCAATAATAATGTTAAATTTGAACGGATTAAATAGTTTAGTCAAAAATTGTCAAACTCAAATAAAAAACAAGATGCAATTATTTGCTGTGTTTAGGAGACTTTGTTTTTGTTTTTTTGTTTTAGATTTTAGTTTTAATTGACAAATAATTATATATATTATGTGGTACAATGTTATGTTATAATACATGTGTACTTTGTGCGATGATTAAATCAGACTAATTAACATATTTACCACATCACATACTTATCATTTCTTTATTGTGAGAACATTTGAAATCTACTTTTTTAAAGAAATTTTGAAATATACAATAATTATTATTAACTGTAGTCACTATGCTATGCAACAGATCACTAGAATCAGTCCTCCTAACCAACTGAAACTTTGTACCCTTTGAGTAACGTATCCAGTTTTCCCATCCACCCTCCAATTCCCTGATCCCTCCCAGGCTCTAGTAACCACCATTTTACTCTCTACTTCTATGAGTTTGACTTTCATAGAGTCCACATGTATGTGATATCAAGCAGTCTTTGTCTTTCTAAGCCTGGCTTATTTCACTTGGATAACGTCCTCCATGTTTATCCTTGTTGTCACAATAACAGCATTTTCTTTATTTATAAGACTGAATAATATTCCATTATGCATATACCACATTCTTTTTACCCATTCATCCATCAATGGACATTTAGGTTGCTTCCATGTCTTAACTATTGTGAATATCACTTCAATAAAATATGAGAATGCAGATAATCTTTATGAGATCCTGATTTCAATCTCTTTAGGTATAAACCTAGAAGTGGGCTTGCTGGATCATATGGTAATTTTTTTTTTCTTTTTGAGAAACTTTCATACTGTTTTCTAAAATGACTATATTAATTTACATCCCCATCAACCATGTATAAGGGGTCCCTATAGGAGATACTATTTTAGATTCAAGGATACAAATTGGTTGAAAGTAAAAGAATAGAAAATTATATGTCTTGCAAATAGCAACCACAAGAAAGCTGAAATGGCTATACTAACATCAGACAAAATCATCTTTACAAGAGAAAGAATATGGCCGGCAAAGCCTAACGTATTTACTACCTGGCCCTTTATAGAAAAAGTTTGCCACTCCATGCTCTAGGTGCTTATGATGACTCACTGGGATAAAATGAAATATATTACACTCATTATTATATTTTAAAATTCAAATTATTATTATTATTTTATTTATTTATTTATTTTTGAGACAGAGTCTCACTCTGTTGCCCAGGCTGGAGTGCAGTGGCGCGATCTCAGCTCACTGTAACCTCCACCTCCCGGGTTCAAGCAATTCTGCCTCAGTCTCCTGAGTAGCTGGGATTACAGGTGCGCGCCACCATGCCCGGCTAATTTTTGTTGTTGTTGTCGTTGTATTTTTAGTACAGACGGGGTTTCGCCATGTTGGTCAGGCTAGTCTCGAACTCCTGACCGCCTGATCCACCCGCCTCAGCCTCCTAAAGTGCTGGGATTACAGGTGTGAGCCACTGCGCCTGGCCAAAATTCAAATTATTTTAAAAGTTTTACTTGTGGTATGTTTTATACTATATATGTTAGCGTAGCTTATGTATATAATTTATGGGTAAGTAAAAAATATATATTTTTGGTGTTCATGTGCAGAAATGTTTTCCTCATTGCAGTGAGTAAATAAACACCTTAAGAAACTACTCTAGAGGGTTGTGGGATAAACAATTACATATTAGGTACAATATATACTACTCAGGTGAGGAGTGCGCTAAAATCTCAAGATTTGCTTTTATATAATTCATCCACATAACCAAAAGCCACTGCACCTCTAAAGCTATAAAAATAAAAAAAGTGTTTTAAAAATCTCACTCTGTCTTAATCCTATTGTTTTACAAGTGGGAAAAAGAAAATCAAAAGAGGTAAAATCATTATTCAAGGGCCCAAAGTGAAATTTTTGCAGAATCAGCTACAGGCTCCTGCTTTTTGTACTGTACTTTTTTTTTCAAACTTTTAATTTTAATGGGTACATAGTAGGTATACCGTCATTTTGCCGACATGCCCACCCCATCCCCTGCTGCCTTACAGTCTGGGGCTTCTGACATAAGGAGCACTTGTGGTAATTTCAGATTCTCACTATTGCTGGACTAATTACTACATAACACATGCAGAACCTTTTTCCTAGTCTTTGTATAAATCTTGGTATGCTATAGCATTAGGAGTGCATTTTTGCTCTAGAGAGAGGTTGAAGAATATCCTCAATTGATCCCAAGCACCTTCTCTGAGGTTGGAAATATCTCCTAGAAAGATGCAGTAGAAGCCTATACACATTCTGCATGGTACAGTCATATTTCAATTTGGAAGTGTGGTGCCAGGAACAATGATATTGGGAAAGTGTCTGTAGTTAACTTTAGACCTCCCTAATTGGAATGATGCAGCTTGATTGAGAAAGTCACAAGTCAAGAGAGACACACAAAAACTTGTGCACTTCCAGAAGAAGGTCCAGGAAGATGAAAAGATGGACAATATTATGTCTAGGAAGAACAGTAGAGGAGTTAGATGGTGTTTAGCTTATAGATGGCTCAGGTGCCAAAATAGTTATTTTCAAATATCCAAATGACTATCTTGAGAAAGAAGGAACAAAGCTGCTCCATAGGCCCAGACTAGGACCTTTGAGTAGAATTTGCAGTGATTTAGAGTTGGGCATGCTAGTCAGAGAGGTCTAATGATGGACTGGATGTCACATCAGAGAGACCACATCAGAGAGACCACATCAGAGAGATGTGGATGTAATGCCTGCCTTCATCTCTTATTGCCTGTATGGCCCTGGGATTATAAATAGTAATCATGTTTTGCAATATTGTTTATGTGGTTCGTTTCTTACTCTTCCACACATCCTTGTACCTCATGCTCCCACCTCTAGCTTATATTGCCAGGATTTTGAAACTCAAGACTGGGAGAGTAGTTTGAGAAAAATAGTTCTTATACCCAAAGTTTGACTTTTAGAGTCAAAGGCCAGAAAATCTAGAATAAAGTAGAACATAAAACATATGCTAAAATAACAGATCGGAAAATACGCTGCACTGTCCCTTGAGACCAAATAAAAATTACAAGGGCTAAAGGTTAAGATATGGAGGAAAGGCAATGTTGAGGGAAGAGGTTGGTGGGGTCCAACATGCCAAGGGCTCAACATACCTGGAGGAACCAGACAGACAGAGGGGAATCAGTACTGTGACTCATCAACTGCTAATAGAAGGATGTTATCAACCGTGAGCTGGGAGTCAAGTTATTGAATGCAGATCATGGGATCACGTTAGACATTTGGGCCAGTGTCACAAATCATCCATGCCATTGAGTTACGTTAGCTCTCCTTATAATGTCCCGTAAAGGCCTCCCACTGACAGCACCACCAGAGCTCTGCTCATGGTCTTCTAGGAGTGAGGGGTCTTTGGGACTGAAATTTTGCTCAGCCCTATTGAACTGGCTCCGTGTGGTATAACTTTTTGTTTGTCAGATATATTCTAAGGCTCCTTGGAGACGATGAGATGTTTCGTGAACACCAACAGAAGGATTACATGGAAGAGAAGCCTCACTGTGCCTTGGCAGGAATTAATAGAACTGGTTTTGAGGTCTGTTCCATGCCACTCAATTGCATTCCAGATTGTATATAAACTATATTTTTACCTTTGTAATCCAGCTGCAGTTAATTATTCTAGAACTTAAAAAATTATAGATTATAACATTAGTCATTATTTTATAGGGTGACTGTAAGATTAAATGACATAAAGCACGAAAGTATCAGCATACTGATTGTCTTAGAATATATATGTTCATTAGTCATTATTTCATAGGGTGACTGTAAGATTAAATGACATGAAGTATGAACGTATCAGCACACTGATTGTCTTAGAATACATATGTTCAGTAAGTGGAAGTTGTTATTTTTTTTCAAGGTGTGATGAGATCTTGTGAAACCGAACGACAATTTGATCTTTTTGTGGTAAAAGACCATTCAAATTCCTGAATGTGATAATGGTCATGGTGAGTGATTTGTCGATTTAGAGTTAGTACTTTTTTTTTAACCTCCTGTGCACAGGCTGCAGGCAGTATCACAATAACATTGGACAGTTTTACACAACAAAGTCTGGGCCCAAATCGAGATAATGTGATTTCGTAGACATAGAACAGGGTTCAAAATTTCATATTATTAACAAGCTACTTCCTTCTGGAGGTCGCAGGGGAAAATCAGTTTCCTTTTCCTTGCCAGCTGTTAGAGGCTGCCAACATTTCTTGGTTCATGGCTCTGGGTCACCCCAAATTCTTCTTCTATTGTCACTTCTGCTTCTATTGTCACATCTTCCTCTCTGACTCTGACTCTCCTGCCTCCCTTTTATAAAAACACTTGTGATTATATTGAACTCTCCAGGATAATCCAAAGTAATGTTTCTATCTGAGTATCCTAAATTTGATTGCCTATACCTATTCTTAGGGCCCAGAACCTAAGAATATGTTACCTTACATGGCAAAAGGGACTTATTCTCCCACATCTTTGGGAGCCATTACTTTGTGTACTGCAAATGGAAACTTTTTTTTGGCTGCTAAATACACAGAAAAACCCCTAGATAATTTCCTTTTTTTCCACCTATGTATATGAGTAAAGGACTTTTTGTTATATGCTACCACCCTTGTAAGTATCCATTTCATAGGTATACAGTTGTCCCAGGATGCTGATAAAGAGTAGACAATTCTAGGGTAAGTGGATGCCAACAGAACACGCTTAAGAGTGGGCTTATGAATGGCTATCACTCCTGATACATGACCAGTGGGCTAGGTGCTGACTTCTGTCAAAGGGGGGACCTCATCATAGCTCCTCAGTGCAGGCAATACATAAGACTTCATGTCTAAAGCCTGCTGTCCCTAGGTTCTGAGCTACAGATGATGTACAGTCAAATGGACTCTGGTCATTCCCCAGATGCTGATTCAATACAGTCATCATGGTCCATCTGCCTATGTTTCCTTATTCTTTCTCCAACCAACTTTTAAGTTTCTTCTATATCTTTCTTCCCAAGCTTTGGACTCCATTCTTTGTCTTTGAGATCAGAACATTTTTTCTTATTCCATATTCTCTCAAAATCTCATGTTTTCATAGCTGAGTCATAATATCTGTATTGCTAAACTCAAAAGCCAACAACTGACTCTGCTTTCTGCTGTCAGTTCACCCCTAAGGCACTGATGAAGAATACTTAGCTGACTGAATGAGAAAAGGAACAAGGGTTGAAGCAAATTCGAGAAACAGAAGCATATTAATTAGCATTTCAAAACATTATTCATCTACATGATTTTTAAAATAAGTTCCAGCATTGAAATTAAAAGGCACAATATCCTAAGTTCATGATTAGAGCTTATTCTGCTGTGCTATACCCCTTGGGTTCTGTCTTTAGCTTATTCATTTAAATAAGTTTTTCAGCAACTTCAGGACCTTGGATTTCCAAATAGGCACCAGCATACTACACCTTTACCAATGTATCTCCCCACTGTCACTAAACCTCCAGTCTCACTGTTGTGATGGCATCCTGCTCTGTAACTCATAGGAAAGGCTGAATAATAGACCTGCATTATCCTGGGGTAAGCTGCCCATTTGCCTTTCTATAATGTCAGCTAACTCCCTCTGACTCAGCAATCTGTCTGCAAAGCCAGGCAATGATTTGTAGAAATCATCTCCTACTGCTCCTCCTCTCCCAAGGAGAATAGGATTAGCACACAGTACACCTGAACACAGGACAGCTTCATTTTAGTTTTTTTGTCTCATATTAAAAGGGGATGAGAATTAGCTTAAGGTCTGAAATGAGTTCCTTCCCACGGGTACCTGTCTGCCCTCTAATACCCAGGTACACATCAAGAATGTGGACTCTGCTTGGCAGTTCAACTCGTCCAGCTTCCTGAAGGCAAGTGACTGCTTGTCTAACCATGTCTCACCCTTCCAGCTTTTCTCTTTCAATTTTATAACAAAATAGTCAATACAGGAAGGCAGCCTAGATTAGTGTGTAAGTTACCCCATGTTTAAATCAGAAAAAATATGGATTGAGTCCCAACTCTGCTGCTTACTAATTATGTGACCTTGGGCAAGTTACTTAATTTCCCAAAGCTTCAGTTTCCTCCCCTGTAAAACAAGGATGAAGACACCTACATCATTCAATTGTTATAAGGATAAAATCAAATCAAATACAAAGAGCACCTAACATCACAAATGACACACATTGCTCTATAAACGGTAGCCATTATTATATTCTGTTTTGTTAAATAAAAACATGCTGAGCATCTATTATGAAAAATATCATGCTTCGTACTTTGAAAGTTGGAGACTTGATTGCTGCCTCAAAAACACTGCAGACTAATGGGAGGGATAGGAAAAATCGAAGTAAGTAAAAGGAATGAATGAAAAGGGGTAAAGTAAGAGGGATAGAACTGGATGGGAATGAAGCTAGAATAACACAATGGGAAAAGGGTCCTAAGGGAATTCTCGTTGTCGAGGTGTGGGAAAAGCCACCTTGATATTGTATCCTATCCTGGGGCAAACCTTCTCCCATGTCCTTGTGTGGAACTCTTCTAATCGATGATGCTGCATCAGGACCGTGAAAATGCATGGTCCTATTCTTTTGTATTTTCTGGGATACTCACAGGTTAGAGCTACAGTTACCTAGGGGCCTCTGGTAAAATGAACAAAAAGACATCTCTTTGTTCCTGGTCAATCTGTCTTTCCCTCATCCCTTTATGACCATTTGGTTTGTAATTTTAAAGTTTAAATATTTTTGGCAAGCTGGCACCCATTCACAGATAATTTTCTGGACAGCTTTCAGTCAGCTCTAAGGTTTGGAATGAAAATTCACTGACGTGTAGTATGCCATGCTGAGTGCATATACATGTACTCTCTCTACACTAACTATGCAAATTAGTGTAGACAAGCGCTTGACAAGATACTCATTGGCATGTGTGGGCTGAATGCCTTAAGTAGTTTGTGGGAAGCTGGCTGGGTTGCTCCTTAGCTGACTTGATGAAAGTTACAAAATTTCCCCATTCCCTGAATGTCACAAGGAGACAGTGACACCGCGGAGACAGCGAGAATCCGGGCATCTATACTTTAGTGCTAGTCCAGCTGTGACAAATGCATGTAAAATCAGGCAAATTTTCATAATTCCTTTCTCAGTCAGCAAAATAGGTGAAATAATCTTTGCCCATGGCTCTGTTAAACATAAATTAATTTTCTTTATGGAATCTGACACTTCTTACTTATGGGAAATGATAACTTCAGCTTGGTCCACTTGACCTGGTTGTTGTGAAGATCAGATGAGATAAAGGATAAAGTCTTGGCTACCTTGTTTCCAGGCTGGTGTTTTTTTTTTTTTGTTTGTTTGTTTTTGTTTGTTTTTTATATTGTTACTGTTTTTATTTTTTTTTTCTTTTTTTTTTCTTTTTTTTTTTTTTTATTATACTCTAAGTTTTAGGGTACATGTGCACATTGTGCAGGTTAGTTACATATGTATACATGTGCCATGCTGGTGCGCTGCACCCACTAATGTGTCATCTTGCATTAGGTATATCTCCCAATGCTATCCCTCCCCCCTCCCCCGACCCCACCACAGTCCCCAGAGTGTGATATTCCCCTTCCTGTGTCCATGTGATCTCATTGTTCAATTCCCACCTATGAGTGAGAATATGCAGTGTTTGGTTTTTTGTTCTTGCGATAGTTTACTGAGAATGATGGTTTCCAATTTCATCCATGTCCCTACAAAGGATATGAACTCATCATTTTTTATGGCTGCATAGTATTCCATGGTGTATATGTGCCACATTTTCTTAATCCAGTCTATCATTGTTGGACATTTGGGTTGGTTCCAAGTCTTTGCTATTGTGAATAGTGCCGCAATAAACATACGTGTGCATGTGTCTTTATAGCAGCATGATTTATACTCATTTGGGTATATACCCAGTAGTGGGATGGCTGGGTCAAATGGTATTTCTAGTTCTAGATCCCTGAGGAATCACCACACTGACTTCCACAATGGTTGAACTAGTTTACAGTCCCACCAACAGTGTAAAAGTGTTCCTATTTCTCCGCATCCTCTCCAGCACCTGTTGTTTCCTGACTTTTTAATGATTGCCATTCTAACTGGTGTGAGATGATATCTCATAGTGGTTTTGATTTGCATTTCTCTGATGGCCAGTGATGATGAGCATTTTTTCATGTGTTTTTTGGCTGCATAAATGTCTTCTTTTGAGAAGTGTCTGTTCATGTCCTTCGCCCACTTTTTGATGGGGTTGTTTGTTTTTTTGTTGTAAATTTGTTTGAGTTCATTGTAGATTCTGGATATTAGCCCTTTGTCAGATGAGTAGGTTGCGAAAATTTTCTCCCATGTTGTAGGTTGCCTGTTCACTCTGATGGTAGTTTCTTTTGCTGTGCAGAAGCTCTTTAGTTTAATTAGATCCCATTTGTCAATTTTGTCTTCTGTTGCCATTGCTTTTGGTGTTTTGGACATGAAGTCCTTGCCTACGCCTATGTCCTGAATGGTAATGCCTAGGTTTTCTTCTAGGGTTTTTATGGTTTTAGGTTTAACGTTTAAATCTTTAATCCATCTTGAATTGATTTTTGTATAAGGTGTAAGGAAGGGATCCAGTTTCAGCTTTCTACATATGGCTAGCCAGTTTTCCCAGCACCATTTATTAAATAGGGAATCCTTTCCCCATTGCTTGTTTTTCTCAGGTTTGTCAAAGATCAGATAGTTGTAGATATGCGGCATTATTTCTGAGGGCTCTGTTCTGTTCCATTGATCTATATCTCTGTTTTGGTACCAGTACCATGCTGTTTTGATTACTGTAGCCTTGTAGTATAGTTTGAAGTCAGGTAGTGTGATGCCTCCAGCTTTGTTCTTTTGGCTTAGGATTGACTTGGCAATGCGGGCTCTTTTTTGGTTCCATATGAACTTTAAAGTAGTTTTTTCCAATTCTGTGAAGAAAGTCATTGGTAGCTTGATGGGGATGGCATTGAATCTGTAAATTACCTTGGGCAGTATGGCCATTTTCACGATATTGATTCTTCCTACCCATGAGCATGGAATGTTCTTCCATTTGTTTGTGTCCTCTTTTATTTCCTTGAGCAGTGGTTTGTAGTTCTCCTTGAAGAGGTCCTTCACATCCCTTGTAAGTTGGATTCCTAGGTATTTTATTCTCTTTGAAGCAATTGTGAATGGGAGTTCACCCATGATTTGGCTCTCTGTTTGTCTCTTGTTGGTGTATAAGAATGCTTGTGATTTTTGTACATTGATTTTGTATCCTGAGACTTTGATGCAAAAATCCTCAATAAAATACTGGCAAACCGAATCCAGCAGCACATCAAAAAGCTTATCCACCATGATCAAGTGGGCTTCATCCCTGGGATGCAAGGCTGGTTCAATATACGCAAATCAATAAATGTAATCCAGCATATAAACAGAGCCAAAGACAAAAACCACATGATTATCTCAATAGATGCAGAAAAAGCCTTTGACAAAATTCAACAACCCTTCATGCTAAAAACTCTCAATAAATTAGGTATTGATGGGACGTATTTCAAAATAATAAGAGCTATCTATGACAAACCCACAGCCAATATCATACTGAATGGGCAAAAACTGGAAGCATTCCCTTTGAAAACTGGCACAAGACAGGGATGCCCTCTCTCACCGCTCCTATTCAACATAGTGTTGGAAGTTCTGGCCAGGGCAATCAGGCAGGAGAAGGAAATAAAGGGTATTCAATTAGGAAAAGAGGAAGTCAAATTGTCCCTGTTTGCAGACGACATGATTGTTTATCTAGAAAACCCCATCGTCTCAGCCCAAAATCTCCTTAAGCTGATAAGCAACTCCAGGCTGGTTTTAAAGTGTCCCAAAAGATTGCCTGTCCTCATTAAAGTTTCTCCCAATTGGTAATTTCCTGTTCTTAAGGTCCCTAAGCTGTAGACCCTTATAGGTTGGTCCCTCTAGGCTGGTGAATGGCTTGTTATCATCCGCCACATACACCTAGCAGAAGATGAATCAGCCTCAGGTTTCTCGATTGCAGTAGAGGGACAATATGAGAGTGCCTTCTGAGACCTGAATTTCTCAGAATAAGGTATTTTGTAAATATGGTAACCACATTTTAACATATTTAAGTCATTCTAATGGTTTTTCCTCATACTTGGAATAAAATCCAGGCTACCAAAGACTGCAGCACACAAATGCTCCAGCCATGCCTACCTTGGGCAACCTGCATTATCATCTGATCACATGGGCTGTCTTTCTATTCTTCATACATGCCAAACCCATTCCTGCCCAAGGGCTTTTGCTCCTATTCTTCCCTCTGTGGCAATGCTCCTCCCTTGGATCATTGCATGGCTGGCTCTAGTTTTCTTATTCCCATTCCTGTCTCAACTCACATCTTACTTCCTCATGGAGACCTTTCCTGATCATGCTATCTAAGATTTCGCCTCTCCACCCCAGCACGACTCATTTCTTTATAGTTCTTATCATAGTCTGCAATTGAATTATGCATTGTTTCATTCACTTGTTTACTATCTCTTCTCAATAGAATGGAACCTGTTCTCCCAGAGTGATATTCAAACTATTTAACAACCAGTGCAACATGGCACTAATCAATCATAATTGACAGTGGGCAAATTCCTGGAACAGAGTCTGCTGGGGGCGGCAGAGGTGGGGGCAGGTGAAGGGCAGCAGGTGGGGGCTGCAGTCTGGACTTTAACCCTTCAGTTGCTGGCTTGTGGGGAGGTCTGGAAGTTCTGAGTGAGGGGCTGGAGTAGATAGGGTAATGTGTGTGAACTATAAGACTCAAGGAAATGGCATGCATCTATTAGTATGAAAGTATTTAGATATTGTAGCAATCAGTACGTCCACTAGTTTCTACTGGTTGAATATCAGCTCTGCTTCTCTCCCCCATTCAACATTGTATCTTAAGGCCTGGAATAGCAACTGACACACAGCAGTTCCTCACCTAATCAATTACGTGAGTATCATTGAGTCTTGTCCACATACCACTTCTCCACCTTCATATTTTATAGAAGAGCTAGAAAGTGTCCTGGGTTTATAGATCACTCAAGGAGGTAAGTAAGGGTATATTTAGGCCATGAAGTCTGCCCCAGCAATGACTAATATCTATGACTTTTCACGGTTTACAAAATCTACAATCCATCGTCTCATTTTTATTCTCACAACCATCCTGAGACGCTGGCAGGACAAGAATTATTATATTCGTATTTTAGTTTAGTGAACTCAGACTCCCATAATTCATGTGATAGCTAAAAGACAGGCAGGAATGGGAAAGGGCTCCTGTCTTCTGGGCTGAGACTATGATCCTTCCATTAGGATGTGTATTCTGCCCCTAGCCCTGGATGGAGCTGGGCCTGCGCGTGGAAGCAGCTTCTGGATACAGGCGTGAAGATTCTGGGCTCTATAACTAGGGTTGTATATGCCCTTATAGAACAACTGTGGCTACTTTACAAAATAGAGTATTTCAGGCAAAAGTTACAGCCCAGGGGAGTCTAGTGGAACCTAGACCTCCCTGTGGAAGAAGTTAAAAGAACAGAAAATGACACACCTGAAGAATTTTTTTTTTTTTTGAGACGGAGTCTCGCTCTTATTGCCCAGGCTGGAGTGCAATAGCGTGATCTTGGCTCACTGCAGCCTCCGCCTTCCAGGTTCAAGCGATTCTCCTGCCTCAGCCTCCCGAGTAGCTGGGATTACAGGAGCCACCACGCCCAGCTAATTTTTGTATTTTTAGTAGAGACAGGGTTTCACCATGTTGTCCAGGCTGGTCTCGAACTCCTGACCTCCAGTGATCAGCCTGCCTCGGCCTCCCAAAGTTCTGGGATTAGAGGCGTGAGCCACCATGCCCTGCCACACCTGGAGAATTCTTAATGGGGATATAGACAATCTTCTTAGACACTCTATAACCAGCCTTGGACTTTTCCAAGATCGCCAAGACTTTTCCTTGGCAAGCTCACAAGGCAGAGCTAACACCAACAGTGAAAAATTACCACAAAATCAATCAGGTTTGGGTTTAAAAATAAATATGTAAAAATGAGAAGAAATATACCTTAGAGTAATGTTTACCAAAATATGGTACATACAAAAATGGCATTTAGATATTTGTACTTAGCATGTGGATGAACATTTTGTAGCTTTTTATTACTTATGAACTTGTTTTAATACACATATTTAGAGAAAAATACACAACTACACCGATTTTGTGATTTCAGATGTATAAGAAATGATTAAAAGTAGGTAT
This sequence comes from Homo sapiens, assembly GCF_000001405.40. Classification (NCBI taxonomy): domain Eukaryota; kingdom Metazoa; phylum Chordata; class Mammalia; order Primates; family Hominidae; genus Homo; species Homo sapiens. Next base: position 147,963,382 of record NC_000005.10, read on the forward strand.
TTAAGTTTTTGTTAATACAAGAGAATTTAAAGAAAAAGGTAAAAAATAGTAAAGGTGATTCTCAGACATGTTACAAATGAAGTGATTTTGTGAAAATCATATTCTTTAAAGACAGTTCTATCAGTTTGTGTGACCTTGAACACATTCTTAACATGGTGATACTTAATTTCCTCACTTCCTGACAAATGAGGATAACACTAAAGCTGTTTAATAATTTTGTGGCAAGGATTCAAGATTTCAATACATGGAAAGTATTCAGCCCGGTGTTCAGCACACAGTGAGAATGCAATAAATCTGAACTATTGTTTTTACTTTTCATCGATAACAGTGAGAACTCTTGAACCATGGAAAGCTGCCTTGCAGAAAGCTCATCACTGAAGATTTGTAAACAGGACCAGGAGGACATTTATCAGGGATGCTGCAAGGGAGATTCTCACATAGGTAAGAGCCAAGCTAGTGCTTTGAGGTCCTTCCAACCTGGAGATTCCAACCCTGCTTTTCAGTGAAATCCAAGGGACTTGGAACCAGAGTTTTCCTCTTATGTTTTGAGAGGACACTTAGTTACTGATCATCGGCATTGAAAAGCCATTGCTCTGTGAACACTATTGTTGGCTGTGACACCGAGACTTGGCCTTTTCATCACCCACATCACTGTCAAGAAGAGCTGTTTGAGAACCACACAGCTATTGTCCCATAGTTCTTGCCCAACCAGGAAAATCCCTATTCTGTCCTCACATCCTTCCTCATAACCGTGGGAATTGCTGTGAGGGTTTCTCATGGGTACAGAGAGGAACCATCCTGTCTCACTCTCAAGTGGAAACTGGCCTTTTCCCAGTGGAGGATACTGGCAGGCAACCAGTTCCACACTGAGAGCCCTGGCTATGGGAAATCCTTCTTCATACAAGCTGAAATATGCTTCTCTGCAGCTTTCACCCACATGTCCTAGTTTCATCTCCTCGAACCACAAAGAACAAGTCTATCCAGTGCCCCCCATGTAAACCCCTCAGAATTCTGTAGACTAAAGGAGCATTTGCCCTGTTGTTTTTGTTCCCCATTGTTCCACAGACACACATTGTTCCTTCTGAGCATAGTTTCCAGCCCCCACCCCTTCCTTATCACTGACATCATTTCTAACACAGTTCCTCTTTGCCCTTTTTGCATGCCAGAGATTGTGGACTCTGGGCTCCTTTTTCTTTATAGAGGGACAGACACTCTCAGTAAACAGTTCAACTGCAAAGGATCCAGCAAATATACTCATTTGAAGCCTTCAGTGACAGATCATGATGTGTTTGCTGCTCTTTAGGGCTCTGGTCCCTTTCTTACTCTGTGCACACTTCCAAGAAATCTCCTCCAGTCCACCTGGTTTTATTCCATCAACTGAAGATTCTAGTATCTAATTCTAATGTTGTTTCTCTTCTGAGTTCCAAGATTGTGTACAATAGGCTCCTGAATATCCACACATAAATATCTCACAGGTGTTTCAATCTCACTGAGTTCAAAACTGAACCTACTCACTTTCTCCCAGTTTCTCTATCTCTGCAGTGGGGATATTAATGATACTTAAATCACAAGGTTGTTTTAAAGATTAAATAAATAAATGTGTGTTAAGCACTTAAGATAGTACCTGATAAAAAATAGATAGTATGTATATTGCCATTATTGGTGGGCACAGAAAAACAAGCAAAGATAAAATATGCTGGTGCTGATATTTTATGAGGAAAAAAAACATGAAGCATGAGAGGCTGAGAAGTGCCAATAGAGACAGAAGGATACCACAAGGCAATTTTGGAAAGCGGTTGTAATATGTTCTCGATGCATTCTTCTTGTAGAAAACAAATGTCTAAGAAAATTATTGATAACTCACTAAGTATATATATATATGTCATTATCGTTGGTTGGCCATTCTGAGTGTTTTTCAGTTGCTCAACATGCTCAGCATGAGGGGCCTTCTGTTCTATGGCTAAAGTCACTTCTAGGGTCAGTATCTCTTTTTCTGGGCTTCTCAGAGGAAGTGAGTTCATGGTGAGGTTTATATCCAAAGAAGAAAGGATCGCCTTTGGAGATGGCAGCAGTCTGCTTTGTAAGTGCTTATGCAAGTCAAGCATCAACTTGCTATGGAGAAGCATCTCATGAACCTGCAAGAGTGGTTGGTTAGGACATGCAAAGCTGTGCTACTCAAAGTGCTGCCTACAGATTGGTGCTGATCCACAAACTGTTACTGGTCTGCAGTGTAGTAAGTACAGAACTGAGAATAAGCATAAGACATAAAGTATCTTTATGTCTTAAATCTAACAGTGGTAAAATGTAGACTTGTATTTAACATATGTGAATATATTTTCATTTAATTTAAAGCATTAAATTGTGATGAATAGAAAACAAACAAAAGAAAAAAGGAAAAAAAATAAATTAGCTCCTCATAACATATTGTTTGAAAGCATTGAGTCTGAGTGTGCATCCCTGAGTTCTGGTCCTGGCTTTGACACCACCTCATGAGAGATCCCAGGCAACTCAGTCCTCTTTGTATAAATACCACCCACTGATTGCACAACTGGAGCAATTACTCTGTGCACAGAGTAATTTCCAAACACTCACTCCTGTTTGGAAATTACTTTCCATGTATATGAATTAAGGATCTTGGAGTAGCTTATTCTTAATTTTCTTCATCTTTGAAGATGCCATAATCCTAATAATCCTTTAAAATATTTTTTAAAATAAACTGAATAAAGCTCCATTGCTTGCTTTTGAGCTAAATAATCCTGCTTTCTGATAAAAACCTAACCACAGCCTAGACTTTGACTGCTTTTCTTCAGATCTCCATAAGGAACATATTATTTTCTTTGGGTGACTATCTCCCAGCTTTCCTCTTTCACTGTGAACATCTCCTTTTCTTGCTGTTCTCAGGTCTTCCCCCAAATCAAAGTATTTTACAGGAATATCTTCCTCTGCTGTCTGTTCATGGACTTATGATCTTGAATTTTCCAAGTATTTATCTAAGACATTCTCTGAATAAAATCTAAGCAACCAGGCTTTGTAAGGAGTTTGGATTTTATTCTGAGTAATGGGAAGCCATCGGGTATTGCTAAGAAGGGGAGTGACGATATGATTTATGCTTTCAGATAACCCATGGCTGGTCTTTGGAGATTAGATTGTAGGGGTCAAATATGTGCACAGAGAATACCCTGGAGGCTAATACAGTACTGAAGGTAGGCTGTGATGGTGGTTTTGTCTATGAGACATAAAGAATAGGCCTTTATCTTGTTCTTATCTAGCTTATTCACCACTCTTGGTAGTGCTATAGTATAGAATGGTGTATATGTCTCAGATATGGCTTTGCTTAACTGGATTGGGATTGCAGTTGTTTCTGGGTAGTTATTTAACACTAATGCTAAATAATGTAACAGGAGTTAACATTAATTCACAAGAAGTTATGTCTTGAAATCATTGCCCAATGTCTCATTCATATGAGTGTATGTAATCAGAAAACATGCAGGCGAAAGACTGTTGATGCAGGGTTTCAGATGGAAAAAGCTTCCTATCCTTCTGTCTTTTCACTTTGAAAACAAAGGTGGCAAACAAGATTTCTGCACTCTAAAGGCCATCCCAGACAATGTGCTGGTTTGTTGAAGCAGCCCTGGGGCTGCTGAGGAGATGAAGAGGTCTGCCTTTGGGAATCAACTGCCTTCAGTCACGCAGACCCATAGACCGTGCATCAGCTGACTCAGCAATAGATGGCACTGAGCTATTCACTCCATTTCACCTTGGGCTGTATCTAGGCATTTCACTGAGAAGTGAAAGAGTTAGGAAAAAAATTAAGGACTATATCCCGGTAAAATCATTCTAGTAATAGAATTGGTTGGAGATTTCTATCTGGGGAAATGTTCAGCTTCATAGATGACCACGATCAGCAACCACACTGAGAATAATTTAGGATAAGGGAAGAATCCATGAAATACATAAAAAGAGGCAGTGGGAAGTGATGTAGATCCCCAACTTTGAAGTTTGAACCAAGATTCAATTCCCCTGTCTTTGTTTTGCTAGCTTCTAACTTCAGATTGTTTTCTGATTATTAGAAGCTGTATCTTTTCTGCAAAATATGATAATTTCACATTCATGGTTGATACAAGCATCAAATGAGAACTAGATGACAGTGTTTATAAACTATAAAAAGCCATGAACAGTTTAGTTATAATAATAAAGCTTCCACTGAATTGCATCTTCTTATCAATGCTATTTGTGGAATTCATACAGCTTGCTTGGTCGCAACATTGCTAAGTGAAACTTGAAAGACACTGTAAGAAAATACCTGTAGGTATCAAATTACATAATGCATAAATATGATGATTTTATGTGCATGCATGTGTGTACATGTTTGCATTATATCAGTGTTATATTCAAATTTTGAATAATAAAATTTTGATGGGGTGGGATCAGATGCAATATGGGAAGCAGGTTTGCAACCAGGGCTTTGCAGACAGAAAGACCAGTGTTCAAACATCAGTTTTCAGGGTTGGTGAGTTTAGACAAAATTGCTTAATTTGTATGATAATCTGCAAACTGGTGATAGCAATATCTATTTAACAGTGTGGATGTGAAAAAGTAATAAGGTAAAGAATATTAAACATTTTGCAAGTACTGAGAAAAAGGAGACCCCAATAAATGCTAGTTTTTTTCATTATTACCAATAATAAAACCCACTCCATGCATATGTGTGGGTAGATGGAGACTCTTGCCTGAGTGACAGTCCCTGGAATGGTACAAAGAGATGTTCACTTGTATGAGAAAGAAACATCCTTTCTTGAGTCTGCCTCTCTTGCTTTGTGGAGGAAGTGCCAGAATTTGATTATTCCTTTTCTTCCTGACTTCTTTCAGAAATGGAACAGGCCAATGGGTTCTAGGAATGTAATTTTTTAAAACATTCTAAGCTTTAGGGGTACAAATGGTTTTTGGTTACATGGATGAACTGTTCCAGTGGTGAAATCTGGGCTCTTAGTGGACCCATCACCCAAATAATGCCCATTATAACCAGTAGTTTTTAATCCCAGACCCTCTCTCCCAGCCTGTCCCATCTGAGTCTCTAATGTCCATGATACCACTCTGTATGTCTTTTCGTATCCTTCGCTTAGCTCCCACTTACAAGTGAGAACATGCAGTATTTGGTTTTCCATTCCAGAGTTACTTCACTTAGAATAATGGCCTCCAGTTCCATCCAAATTCCTACAAAAGACATTACTTTGTTCTTTTTTTTGTGACTGAATAGTATTCCACGGTATAGGTATATCACATTTTCTTTATCCACTCATCAGTTGATGGGCACTTAGGTGGATTCCATATCTTTGCAATTGTGAATTGTGCTGTGCTAAAAATACACATGCAGGTGTCTTTGATATGGTGACTTCTTTTCCTTTGGGTAGATACCTGGTAGTGGGATTGCTGGATTGAATGGCAGTTCTTTGAAAAATCTCCACACTGTTTTCCATAGAGATTGTACTAATTTACATTTCCACCAGCAGTGTTCAAGCGTTCTGTTTTGGGAATTTTGAATGAGCAAAACAAAGGAGTAAAAAAAGTTTTCTGTAATCTCTTCTGAAATCACTCAAGTAATGAAGCAAGATAGAGAAATGAGCAAGGGAGGTAATGGCACTGCGCCCATGGAGAGGGGCCGACGGAAAATGACTCATAAGCATGGTTGGGACTGTCCTTGGGAAGAAGTTGGGAGACTCTAAGACATATAATTAATAGAAGTGACTTTAAAAACAGGATAATATGCATTCACATTCCAGTTCTACCACTCACCATGTGTAGTTCAGCAAGTTACTTAAATTCTCTGTAAAATACAAAATGGAAATAAAAATAATATCATTCTCACTGGGATGAGGTAATGTATATAAAGTGTTTGGCAAATATTTTTGTTTTATCATAGTTTTCTATTTTTAATAGCTAAGAACCAGAAATTTCTCCTTTGGAAACCTGTTTAGTTCTATTTCTTAAAGTTATTATCTTATTGCACTATTTGGCATAGACTAATATTCGTTTTGAAAATATAGTTCTGATGTTTTTTCACACTAACATCATAAGAAAAAGGATTTTGGTCCAAATAGAGACACAATTTTAAATGGAGGAAGAAGCAGAGTCCATCTGGTTTTGAGCACAGAAATGGCAGCAGATAACAAAGGGAGAATTCTCCAAGGGAAGGGAGAATTCTGGACGGTTGAGTCAAGGCTGTTAGAACAGTCATGCCTCTTCTAGTAATTATGGGGCTGGTGTACCTTCCTTTTAAAACCTTGGAAATATTTATAGTTTGATTAACTAAATAAATTGTTGCCCAACTTCTTTTCTGTTTCTGTTCTATGTTCTATTTTCTTTGCTCCACAAATAATTATAAAATGACTACTTTGAATAATGACAGTTCTTGGCATTGGAAGAAACAGAGAGGGCTATGATGTCTGTCCCGAAATAACTACAACCCAAGGTGGCAAGCAATAAGAAACTGAAGAAAAAAGGTCAAGAATAATACTTCAGAGTTTCATAAGGAAAGGTGACCCAGAGCTAGAATTTGAATTACAGAAGTATTCTAATAAGTAATTCATGAAAATCAAATTTTAGAAAGAGACAGTGATGTGGAGAGAACTCAAAGGCTCAAGTATAGCCTGTTTCCAAAGACTATTAAGTAGCTTAGTTTGGAGGGGTCGGTTCTTAGGAATGATTCTGTAATTAATCTTTTATTAAAATATTAATTCATTTAAGAACATTGGCATTAGAGTGTGGACCTCCTTGTTTCAATCCAGCTTTATTTCTTAACTAGCTTGTGTGACATGTGGTAAGATAAATAATGTCTCTGTGCCTCAGTTTCTACATCTGTAAAATGGAATCATAATTTAGTTAACTCTTAAAGTAATCTGGGAGGATTAGATTAGGTAATCAATGTAACACAGGGCCTGGCACATTGTACGCCCTCAATAACTCTAAGTAGGTATTATTATTATTAAGATGATCTGAATTATTTTTAAGGAAACAAAAAAGAGAAGATTTGAAGTTCACATTAAGGTTTTTTTTTTTTTTTTTTTTTTTGAGACAGAATCTCACTCTTGTTGCCCAGGCTGGCATGCAATGGCGTGATCTCAGTTCACTGCAACCTCTGCCTCCCAGGTTCAAGAGATTCTCCTGCCTCAGCCTCCTGAGTAGCTGGGATTACAGGCATGGGCTGCCACGCCTAGCTAATTTTTGTCTTTTTAGGAGAGACGGCGTTTCACCATGTTGATCAGGCTGGTCTCGAACTCCTGACCTCGTGATTAGCCCTCCTAGGCCTTCCAAAGTGCTGGGACTACAGGTGTGAGCCACCACACCCGGCCAAGGTTTGTTTTAAGTTACACATCAATTTCATGAAACTTGGACTATAGAAGCTTTACTCAGAAGACATAACAGTGAAGGGATTCTTTTAGGATATATATCCTTTTAAAGATAAAAGTTGAACCTGCATTTCTTTGTAAAAAGCACATGTGATATTGCTGCTTCTATATCTGTTGTACTGTAAACCCACAGAACATAAATGTGCTTCGTGATATGATGTTGAAAAGTAAGGCACTAGTACCGCTGTGCCCATTTAAACTCAGCCAGCCTTCTACACTCTTCCTCATTTGGGTTATTCTGGTGATTCTTCCAAGCCTGACTAAATAGTCTTTCTTTTGATTTAGTGTTTCTGGTAAACTTAATCACCAGACTTTTCTTTTAAATTATATTTAATTAGCATACTGTATCCTAAGCAAGAAATTCAAAATAAAATTAGTTATTTTAATATTTATAATTGTTTATTAAAATACGAGTTAATATTTTTGCATCTGTGCTGTACTTCCCAGTTAAGCAAGTGGTAGAGCATTAGGTTCAAGAGCTTGATTTTAATCCTGGCTCTGGCACACGGGACTATGGTGCTCCATGCTTACAGGGGACACCATGCACATGGACTGTGATAAGGATGGTGCCAACTAGAGTTGCATATTATGACAGGTCTTACTATGGCAGTTTTCTTCAAACCAAAAGCAAAGTCTGCTTCTAAATTGAGTGATTTTTCCACAGTTACAGTTAATTACTTCAAAATTGTGATATTTATTTACTTAATTAAATGGTGCTGTTTTCTGTCGTGTGAACATATATAGAAACTAGAATTTAAAGCTTAAGTACCAAAACAGCTGAATGGCTGCTTCACCCACTTTGGCCATGAAAAGTTAGGTGGGAATGTGCTATTATCCTCACATTCCTGAAGGCTGAGAAGCCCTAGGCAGGTTGACTTGGTTAGACAAGTCACTTTGAATGCAGCTTTCTCCTGATGACACCAGATGAAACAATAGAAGCACTGACTATTATAATTTTTCTCCCTTACAGAATAATGTGAAAGTACAGATGGGGAAACTATTTTCTTAGTCATTAGATTTGTTAATGGAAGGCATTAGTACTCTACGGGTTAAAATGATGCATTTATTGCTGAGTGTTATTTTGAAAGATTCTTATAAGTGCAGTGAAATAATTTGTAATGTTTAGTAATGATGGGAACAAACTGACTCAAGAGTGAGAGATATAAGGAGTCAAGAAAAAAATAATGTGTGGTCTCTTGGACAGGTCAACTTTGTTTTAGAATGATTTCTTCACAAAAATTTCAATTTTGCGTTTTCCATTAATTAAGATTTCTCATTTGCCCCGAGAATACTCTTGTCTCTAATCCTAATGTAACACAAATGCATATGATGTTACATTAGGATTAGAGACAAGTTCTGTTTAGAAATAACTCCAAGAACAGTTTTTATATTTTATTTTCACGTTGAAAATCAGTCAGATTTTCTTCAGCTTCAAAGAGCGTGTTTATGTAAAATTAAGTGAGCGCTGGCAGTGAGCTGCAGTTTATTTTCCTAAGCCGGAAATGAGTTAATATCATCATCACTTTGAATACTACAGTAATGCTTCACTTAACAATGGAGATGCATTCTGAGAAATGTGTCGTTGAACGATATCATGCTTGCGCACTTACACAAACCTGGATGGCACAGCCTACTACAACACCTAGGCTGTATGGTATAGCCTATTGCTCCTAGGCTACAAACCTGTACAGCATGTTGCTATCTTAAATACTGTAGGCAACTGTAACACAGTGGTAAGTATTTGTGCCTGTAACCATAGAAAAAGTACAGTAAAAATATTATATAAAAGATGAAGAGTGATACACCTATATAGGACACCTACCATGAGTAGAGCTTGCAAGACAGGATGTTGCTCTCAGTGAGTCAGTGAATGAATGGTGAGGGAATATGAAGGCCTAGGACATTATTGTATGCTATTGTAGACTTTACAGATGCTGTACACTTTGGCTACACTGTTTATAAAAATACTTTTTCTTCAATAATAAGTTAACCTTAGTTTACTGTAACTTTTTTTTGTAAATTTAAAAAATTTTTAAACTTTTTGACTCTTGTAATAATGCTTAGCTTAAAACACAAACACATTGTACAACTGTAGAAAAATAATTTCTTTCTTTATATCACTATTTTAAAAGCTTTTTTTCTATTTTTAAATGAAACTTTTAAAAATTCTTAAACTTTATTAAAAACTAAGATATAAACACACACATTAGCCTAGTCCTACACAGGGTCAGGATCATCAAGATATCACCAGTGATAGGAATTTTTCAGTTCCGTTTTAAGCTTATAGGACCACTGTCATCACTGACCAAAAGTTATTATATGGTGCACAACTGTATTTTAATAACTCTTTTATGGGATTAAATTTTATTAAGTACCAATCATATGGCCTGCACCCTTCTAGGAGTTGGGGGCAGAATGTGGGATGAAACAAACAATTCATGTCCTGCCATAAGCAGGGAAGACAAATAATTAAACAAATGACTTAAAGTAAACAAAGAGTGCAGGGGGATCATCTTACAGGGAGAGCTTTCGTTGTCTAGAGGGTCAGGGAGGGCCTTGCTTGCAGAAGTCATGTGCAAGTTGATAGCTGAAAGATAAACAAAAATTAGCTGCATTCTAAGGCAGACCTGGTCTGTGCATTAATTAATTAATGAATTGATTTTGTCACTCTTTCTTATGACATATGTATATTGTTTTTCTACTATGAGGCATACCCTATTCCAAGCTCTGAAGACTCGGAAATGAACAAGAACTCCCTTTCTTTTTAAAAATTATTAATAATTTTGTATTGCTGCTGTAACAAATTACCATAAAATCAGTGATTTAAACAATACAAAACTATTATAGCTCTGTAGATCAGAAGTTCAACACAGATCTCTCAAAGGGCTAAGATTAAGATATCAGCAGGGTACCTTCTTTTCTGGAGCCTCTGGGGGGAGAATCCGTTTCCACATTCTAGAAGTGATCCACTTTCCTTGACTCATGGCCCCTTTCTCCAGCTTCAAAGGCAGTAACATTAAAATAAGTTTTTTACATTTGTCCTTCTTTGGCTCTCTCTATTCTGCCTCCCTCTTCCACTTTTAGGAACCCCTGTGTTTACCCTGGGCCCATCTGGTTAATCCAGGATAATCTTCCTTTTTAAAGGTCAGCTAACTAACAAACTTAATTTCATTCTCAACCTTAATTCTCTTTGCTATGTAACCTAACATATTCCTAGGTTCCAGGGATGAAGCCATGGACATCTTTGATGGGCCATTATTCTGCCTAATACAGAGATGTTTAAGGGCTGATGAATAAAGTTACACTAAACGGAAAAGTGGGCCTTCGGAATTTGCTTGTCCATTGTATCAATATTTGTTGAATGCTTACAAGATGTCAGGAATTGTAGGTGACACAGATTCAATAGAAAACATGGCAGACTGGTCTGTCTTCATTGAGATTACAGTATAGTGTATTATAGGTTATAATACACTTTTAAAAATTCCTGTTAAAATGAAACAACATAGTAATATGACTGACCATTATATTGGCTCAGCACCCAATATGGAGCTGCTTTAGCTTTCACAGTTAGGTTTGACAAGAATGACTCAATTCATATAATCAACTTTCGCATCTGTAATTATTTCCCATTTTTTATTATGAAGTTTGCATTTACTCTCTCTAGGTTGGTTTTCTTGTTGATTTTTCTCTTGCCTTCCTCAAATTTTGCCAGATGTCTGTCTAGCAGAAATGCCTTTGGTTTGAGAAATAAAAATAAAATTCTAGGCTCCCCAACTAACTGAATAGACCATCTCTTAGCCATGGAGACCCCAGAGAAACCTTAAAAAATGAGAAGAATTCCCTTTCTAAAACAAGAATACAAATAAGCAAGTAAAGAAATATATAAGGTAATTTCAGGTTATGGTAAGGAATAAAAAGGAGAATGAAAAGGAGGAGGAGGAGAAAATTACAACAGAAAGATTTGTTATGGGAAGATGATCTGGAAGGTCTGTCTGAGGAGATGGCATTGTAGATGACCCTCAAATTAAGCAGAATCTGCCATGCAAAGAGCTTTTTAAAGTTATTCTCAGTATTTAGTGCACCTTCCTTTCATTATCCACAAAGCTTCAGTAAATTCTAGTCAAAAAAAAAAAAAGCTTTTGTTCAGGGATGTTTTGAGTAGGAAAGACAAGCCAATTTAAGGAATCCACCTTCTCCAGCTGATGCCAGAAAAGAATGGTAGTGGTGATCTTTGGACAATAACTGTGTCCAAGCAAGGAATGATTTCCCTGGGTCATTGGAAATAGAGACTTTGGCTTGATAAAATGTTGAGGGTGAAAGAACCACAAGATCCATTTCCTAACTATATAAATAGCAGTAGTGGGGGAAATCTCGGAAATACCTGGCTGATTTTTGACCAGAGAATCATTAGTCCCTTTATAATTTGTTTGTAAAAAGGAACTATAACCTCGCTTTGTTGTTACATCCTGGTGAAGCCTGACATATGTGGCCTATATTTAACTATGGACATTTTTATTGAACATTCAATAAAATGTTCATTCATTGTTTTACTTTTATGTATTTATTTATTTATTTTTAGAGATGGGGTTCTCAGTATGTTGATCAGTTTGGTCTCAAACTCTTGGCCTAAAGTGATCCTTCCATCTTGGCCTCCCAAAGTGCTGGATTACTGGCATGAGCCACTACATACGTTCAAAGACAACTTATGCAATAATCATAGCTAAAATGTATTGAGCATGAACTATGTGTCACCCTCTAATCTAAGTTCTTATATATGTTAATTCATGTAATACTTATAACATCTCTGTGAGTAGCTACTATTGCATTTTGTATTTTATATATGGTGCAGAGTTTGCCTGACTTCACAGAGTTGGTAAGTAGATGTTCTAAGAGTCAAGCGCAGGCAGTTCAGAACCAGGGCACTTAACTAATTTTTTAGCCTTTCCCTTATATATCACATTGACTATCAGCTGCAAGGTAAGCTCCCCACATCAGCTATTAGCTAAGCATAAATGTGCTATTCTTTAAATGGTGAGGAGTGAATTGTGTGTGTGTGTGACAGAGAGAGAGAGAGAGAGAGAGAGAGAGAGAGAGAGAGAATTACCCCTCTTAAAACAATTCCTAATAAGGAAAAAATAAAATAATAATTTCATTAGTAATGAAAATAGTTAAGGTAAATCTGACTTAACCAAAATCCTGTAGTCACTATCTATCTTTTAATTTTCTGTAACAGTGGCATATAAGTTTAAAACCTCCGATTTAGGCTTTGAGAAGTAGAAAGGAGTCTGCCAATTGTTTATCTCCTCTTATTTCCCAGTTACTAATCCAGATGTGGTCCTTATTTCTTCTAAGTGTCGAGGCAAAACAAACAAAATGGTATGTTTAATCTTATTTTACAACTGTGAAAACTGAGCTGAGAGAAGTTTAGCAACTTGGGTCTGTCTTATGCCTAAGTATATGATCTTTATGGTACTACTCTCTAGGGATAATTTAGAAAAAAAATGAATGCAAACATGAAGCCATTGTCTGGCCTATCCTTCAGCCATAGACATGTGATGCAGAGATAGACTTTTACATAAAGAATAAATAAAGAAAGCTTTTAATTATAGACCACATAAGGCATATTTTAACCTACAGAAGTCTGTATGACCCACTACCAAAATACACTTTATGGAAGAAGTGAGGATCCTTACTAGTAATACATTGAGAATGTTGGAGTATCCTTACTTCTTCCACTAGTACCAAGAATATATATATGTACATATATACATAGACACATAAAAAAATACATGAATATAGGTATATATATTCATGTATGTGTGTGTGTACACACATGAAAGGATAATGAATATTCTTTTGTTGCATGAAAAAAACATACATTCTAAATAGGGCCGTTATTCTTATCATAAAATATTAAAAAGATAAAAGATAATCACCTAGATTAATTTACATTATATTTAGTATATTTATGATTATTATTTTTAGAGAGGAGTAATTCAACTTTTTTCTTGCATTATATTTTTAATATTTTGGTTTTTTGACATAAAGTCATCCATGTTTCAAAAACTCATACTCTTTTAAATGACCATTTTATAATTATAATCTCACAACAATAACATAAAGTTTATGCTACTGCTTTTTTCTTGATTTCTTGATTTGGTTTATATTAGTAATAAACTGGACTTGATTAATATAAATGTGCACATAATTTCTAAATTGGATATAACAACTTTTAGATAATGGGTTTTCTTCTCTTTACTTTCTTTTGGAATAGTTTTATTTCTTGCTCTAAGTAATTTTACTAGATTCTATAAATTCTGGTATATAAAATTTAATCTTTAATTATTCTGAATATTTTTATTCTGCTTTTGTCAGAAACTTCCGTTTCATCTGCAATAGATTCATTTTGTTGTGTTAATATAAAACGTATATTGTTTCTGACCATTCTTTTAATATATATAATGTGTTTTGCTTTACACATTTCTTTGTTTCATAATGGTTTTGTATCTTTTAATTATAACTTTAATTATTATAAAGTAAGCCTCTGAAACTTGCTTAATATTTTTTGCTTAATTTCTTCTTTGAGATTGACATTGGCAGCTCTGTTTTTTTTATTTAAACTATCTTTAGCCTTTTAGATTAATTAACTTTTTTCTTTTTTTACACAGAGTCTTGCTCTGTCACCTAGGCTGGGTGAAGTGGCATGATCTTGACTCACTGCAACCTCTGCCTCCCGGGTTCAAGTGATTCTTGTGCCTCAGCCTCCCGAGGAACTGGGACTGTAGATGAGTGCCACCATGCCTGGCTAGTTTTTTTGTATTTTTAGTAGAGATGGGGTTTTGCCATGTTGGCCAAGCTGGTCTCAAACTCCTGAGCCCAAGTAATTCATCTGCCTCTACCTCCCAAAGTGCTAGGATTACAGGTGTGAGTCACCACACCTAGACAATTTGTTTTAAAAATGTCTTTTAAAAGGTGTGTTGCTAAATTTCTTTTAAGATAGAGTCAGAAACTTCTTGCTTTTTATTGTGAAAATTTACACCATTTATATTTATTGAATAATTTTCATAATTTGATTTCTGATCTTTTTGTATATCTTTAAATTTACTCACATGTATTTATTGTTTGTTTTGTTTATTAGTGCATGGACTGTGTTCTATTTGATTTTATATTCAAAATTATTTACAAAGAGAAAGAGTCTCTCTGCTATCACATTAGTTATTTTCTTATATAATTTCAAGCATTATTAGCCATAAAGTTATCTATCTATGCTTATCTACAATGTATTTTTAATTTGTATTCATAAAAAGTTATTATTAAAGACCATTCTTAATGGTTTTAAAGACAATTTTTTTTGTTTTTTACTTTTTTGTGTTGTTTTGTTTAATTTGAAGAATGAGGCTCTATCTTTGACTCTTTATTTTTTAGTAGTCATGACTTAAAATTTCTTCAAAGCATTACATTACTTTGGAATGGTTATTAGCTTCAACTCTTTATGTTTGCAGTTAATGTTTTATTTTATTTTTTCTCTTAAATGTTAGTTGGTTTCTTTGGTCATCATCAGATTTTTTTATTGTTAATATTTTGTGTTAGGTCTGTATTCGTTTTCTATTACTGCAAAACAAATTGTCACCAAACAAGACAGCCTTAAAGCAACACAAATATGTTCTTTCACTCAGTTCCTATGGGTCAGGAGTCCAGGACGGGTTATCTTGATACCAAGTTTATGGTCTTACCAGGCTGAAGCCAAGACAGCAGTTTATACTAAAATCTCATCCGAGGCTCTGGGTCTTCTACAAGATCACCGGTTGTTGAGAAAATTTACTTTTTTGCAACTGTTTAACTGAGGCCTTCAGCTCCTGGAGATTACCTGGTATTTCCTGGGAGGTGACCCTCTTCAAAATATGGCTGTATGCTTCTTCATGATCTGCAGCAGTGTGTCTGCTATTGCCCCGAAACTTTCTGGCTCTTCTGTCTCTGAACTCTAGACCCTCTTTCTAAGACTCACCTGATTAGATTACATACCAGGGTAATCTTCCGTTCAATTAACTTTTTCAATACATGAAGGACTTTATACCTGCAAAATTACATTACCTCTGCCATATAACATAACCTCATCTTGGTGGAGTATGCTCTTATATTTATAGGATCTGCCGCACTCAAGGGGAGGGGACTATACAGGGCACTTGCAATAGAGAATATGGGGGCCATCTTAGAATTCCTCCTGCCACACGGTCTAATTTATATTATACCAATTTCTATGTTCTTTGAAGAAATATTTTAAAGACTTATTTAAGGATTTTTTTTCCTGTATGGATAACTTTTGTGTTGTTTGAAAAAAATTTTTGACACATTCTTTCTAAAAGTTTTGTACAAGCAATATATATATTGACAAATATAGAAGAAAAATATACTATATAATATTGGTACATTTATAATGAAATGGGTGGAATAATATACTATCTGATTCTAATTCTAACATCTGTTGGTATCATTATAAATTAGTACAGCATTATAAAATATGAATTTTCTCTAAATTGTTGCAAAAATATGCCTTTTGTGTCAATCCGACTCACAAAATTCCACACTAAGAACACGATTGAGGACAACAACAAAAAACATTTCTGTATAAGAGTTTATTTTCACACTGTATCATAAATTTACAGTAACCTTAAATTACAAAGTTGTAGAAATATTAAGGATCATAAGGTAAGCCCTCTGGATATATATTTTATTATAAATATGAATAACATAAGAATATAAAAGATATATGCAATATATATGAAATACAGAACACAAAATTATATATGTACTGTGATTACAACTATGTAAAATATGTAATCAGTTGTGATAGGACTGGAATATTTATGAGAGATTAGAAATGGTTGATATAGCCGGTTGATATATATGTGTAAAATTTGAAACTATTTCATTAAGGCTACCAAAAGGCTTATACAATGTATAAAACAAAATTAGGTCAGATTCCCAAGTGTCTGGAAAAGGGTAGGTGTAGACCTCTTTGACTTCTGATTCTCTTTCGTCTGAAATTTGCTGAGCCTTTACTAAGAGAAGGGTGAAATCTTTCTTCTATTGCCACTGATGAGAAATAAGTGAATTATATTGGGAGTAGACAGACCCAGCCCTTCCCTCAAGTTAATGACTAATTGGCAAAACCTCCTGATTGGGTGTGACCTAGGGCTGACCCTTGATGACTAGGGTTGGGTTAAATGTAGGATGGTCACTTTTCCCTGCTTTTCTATGAGGTTTCAAATGGGAGTACATCATATGAATGAGAAGAAATTATGAGATTTCTTTTAATAAAAATATCAGTATGAAGGGAGCAGAGAGCATAATTTAGTTATATAGTCAATTCTTTCATCCAATGTGAAAATCCCTTCTAATGCATGTGTGAGAGTGACTACCATCTTGTTTTTGCTTGTACAACATGGACTTGCTACCACTGAATGTAGCCTATGTTCTTGGCAAGCAGCACACTTATTTGCCAACTGATTGCCCTTTTTATGGAACACATCTTAAAACATGGTCCTCTGAAACATAATTTGGAAAAGGCTGAACTACACATAATCCTTTGATCCTCATACAAAGAGCCATGTCAAATGAAGAAACTTAGAATGTGAAAGAGGGATTATGTTTACTTTTCAAGGTCCCAAGGAGATTAAAGTTAGAACAAAAGGCTAAAATTATACTGAATTAGATAACTATCTAAAGAGATGATTTTGTTCTTAAGTCTTCTATCACTAGTAGTTCTCAAACATGGATTTGATCGTCGTTTGCTGTAAATATTATAGAGAAGATTCAAGTGTTAGACTGAAGATTAGGAGAATTTGGAGAATTTGTGACTTCCAACCCTGGCAGAAGAGCATCAGAATCTTTTGGGAAGATAACTTTAAAAAGAAAGAGCAAAGAAAAGAAGAAAGAAAGGAAAGAAAGAGATATCTGGGCTTTATCGTAACACTATTAATTCATAAAATCTGAGTTTTGGGCTTAGAAATTTGAATTTTTAATGAGCTGCCTAGGAGATTTTTATCAACTAGCTCAACAGAGTAGGGAATGAAAATCAATGGGCCAGATTTATTCTTAAGGATAATTGCAGCTATAAAAATCTGTTTCCATAGTACAAACAAACAACATGGAAAATTAGGCAACTAAGGCGTCTAAAGAGGTGATATTGCTTGTTCTCTGGGAATGAGGGAATAGAAACACAGTTTCTGAGATTTCCAGTCTGGGGACAATGAGACCAGTCTGTGTTGTTAAAATTCTCATCTTATTCTGAGATAGATGAGAAGAGATGAGAACTAGGGAAGAAGGTGGTGGCCTAGGAGGGCAGTTTTGGAAACAGTTTTCTCCACCCATGTACAATCCCTTCCTTGCACTCTGTTGTAAAAACCTAAGATTTTGATTGCCTGAATCTGTGACTATTGCTTCATGGAGTTTAATGAGGCTCACCCTGTACTAAGAAGCTGTGGGGCTTCTCTGATGGTTGTTAACAGGGAGTGGCTTCTTGGATCATAGCAATTTATTTAATCCTTCCCCTGCCAACAAGTGTCTGGCAGGATGTGTCTGCACTTTACATTTCTAGATCTGACAACGCTAGCTGGTTTTGTTCAAACCAAGAGATTGACTTCAGACAGTGTTCTCCACAAGTAGTCAATTTAAATCTTAGTTCTGCCTAGTGTCATATAAAGATCAAGGAAAAGTGGCAGCTACTTGACAAAGAGTGCACCTAGTTACTGGTTCTAAAGGTGGCTAAAGGATCTGGATGTTCCTTTCAGTAATGGAAGGCTCTTTCCCCATGAATGAGAAGGATTACTGCTCCCCAAATTCTGGGCAGCTGAAAGGTAATTGCAAGACCTATTTATCCATTTATTTATCGGTATTTCTGCAGTGCCAACTATGTGCCATTCACTGCACTGGAAACTGAAGAGAAAACAAATAATGAGTAAAAACTGACAGCCTGGAATTTACAGTCTGGCTAAATTTCTGACTGACTAGGAATTGGCTAGCCCCTCTTCATAATCTTCCTCTTCTTCCTCCTCCTCCTTCTCCTTCTCTTTTTGTCCTTGTTCTTGTTCTTCTTCTCCTTCATCATCATCATCATCATCATGCCATTAGCATAATAGGAGTTAACATTTATGGACTTGGTACCTATGTGTTAAAAGCTTTTTAATGGAATCTTTTAAACGAGTTAAGCATTATTTTTATTATACCTATTTTTCAGATGAGAACATGGAGACACACAGATAATTGGATCAAATAACCTGGCCTCCATCCATCATGAGGGTGGGCCTGGGAAAGCAGAGATTTAGTGTTCCTTCAGCAGCTCCTTTGAGTTTGGATCTTGCTTGCTCTTGATCTCCTGGCTTAGGGCCTGAATGAGGGCAGCCTCTGTTAGTATTGTGATAATACAATCCAGTCTCCAATCTCAAATGAGGATCACTTGAGGAATAGAGATTGCATTCTGGCCCTGAATAAAAGAAGAGAAATAAGGTTGACAGTATCTAGCTTTCAAAACTCAAGGGACCAAATAGGCTCAGGTGAGGCAGGTAGACTTTGGGGCATTTGTAGTCGGCTGTAGTTGAGGTTGTCTTTTGGGTGGATCAGAAGTAAACTCTTATACTTCAAGGAGTCAATGGGACACCTAAATCTGACTTCCTGAGTTCAAAAGGGTCATCTGCACCTAGCCCCATTGGGTCAAGGAGACCAGCCAAACCTGAAGAGCAGTAGCAGTAGCACTAGCTAGCCAAGTAGCTCAGATACAGTTCAGTTTTGTTCCTATAATTCTGAGGAAGCCTCAAGGGTGTGATTCATTTTAATGAGATTTAGGTGTAATGCAACAGAGTTGAGGTTCTTTCAATTTGTAAACTCTGAACTATTTCATGAAGACAATAATATAATGAATGTAAATCTCTATTCTTGTTTTAAAACAGAATTCTCCGTATGTTCTTAAATTAACTTTTTATCTGCTCCTTCGAAGAGCTTTACCATCTCCTTATGTGTAATGTACTTCTCTTCACCTAGTCAAGGATGTTATTGCCTATCTTTGCAGCTGCATTTAAACATTTAAATATTCCTTCAAAGAAGATTTACAGTCTCCTTATTTAATAATGTATTTCTCTTCACCTAGTCAAGGATGTTATTGCCTATCTTTGCAGCTGCATTTAAATATTTTCTGAATACTTTTTCAAAACAAAGTTGAAATCATATTCTATATATAACTTTGGATTATTTTTACCTATTACCATTTTCAACAATATTTTGGAACATTTTCTTATGTTAGTCAAAAATGTGTTACCCATATCATTTTGAAAGGCTGAATGATATACTTTGTCATATAGACAATAATTATTTAACAATTTCTCGAATACCATTTCCAAGTTTTCACTCTGTAATTTTAATATTCACATTTATAACAGTGAAATAAGTCAGAAATAATCTGAATGCTAACACTTTTTTGAATACATTTGTTCATAAATATTTCCATACAGTTATTACACTAGGTCAAATATTTATACCTTACGTTTTCTTGCTGCGTGGCATCTAAGTAATTTTCAGAATGGATGCATTACTTTAATTAGTAACCTTGGGAAAGTTACTTAAACTTTATAGGCTTCAACTCCCTCATTTCTAATACAAGAATAATTATAGAATCTACCCCATAGAGTTGAGTTAATATATGGAAAGTACTTAGGATAGTTATATACAGTTCTAAACATTTTTGATTTGTAGATATGTAAGAAGGAAGCCACCTTTGCTTTAGATCCTGTAGTGCTTGCTCACAGTGGGCTTCTTACCTCTCCTCTCCCAGTTAGCCCATAATTCAGATGTTAGCTCAATTTTCCTTCTGCTAGAACCTCCCTCGCCTCCCCTGTTCTCCACCCTACATCTCTTTGACTAGGTCAAATTCAACATTATTTTCTTACAGCAGCATGTGCCTCTTAGTTGTAGGAATCAACACAGTTATAATTTCTCATTTCTTTATGAGAATACTTGATAAAAGTCAGTCTCTCCCTTTAGACTATTAGCTCTATAAAGGCAGAGACTATGCTAGTTTTTTTGCTCACCATAGTGCCTGACATCCCAACTATGTCCGAGTAGGCCTTCCAGTAATGTTACTTGAATGACTAGTGGGATGGTTAGATATGCATAAAAGCATTTCAGGAGGCATAACAGTGTAAGGAACAGAAGCAGGAATGAATGTGTCATGACAAAGTTCTGGTAATGATATAAGCATATTTGAACTAGAGGGTAGTATATTGTATGGAGAAAAGCCATGGGAGGTGGAATTAGAAAGGGGGGTTTGATCACTGAGAGCCTTAGGTATCAGCAGATGAGTTGTAGTGAATGAGACTTGCAGTGAGCAACCATTGAATAATTCTGAGCAGCAGTGGTATATAAAAGAAGTGTGTTAATAGGATGTACGTGGCATGTAGAGTAGATTAAAAGAGAAATGCTAGAGATGGAGAGCCCAGTTAAGGGACTATTGCAATATTCCTTAAAGGCTCTTGAGTAGCTGCTTGAATGTGTTACCACTAAAAATAAGAAAAAATGAGCAAATGTGAACTGTTTCTAGACAAGAATTGACATTATTTGTTGATATTATATATAGGGCAGAGAGAAAAAGCGAGAGGAAAAGAGAGAAAGGGAGGGAGAGAGTCATCAAAAATAATGGCATACTAGTTTTGGAAGAGGTCTTTTAGAACACATCATGTAGTGTCCATTACAGCTGTGGAGATTGAGGTCAGGAAGAGGAAGAGGAAGAGGGCTGTGAGTGCTGCATGGCATACAGCATGATATGGCAGAGGGGACAAGAAAGACATTTTTCCTGAACTGCATTTATTGTCATTTTATACACAGTGATTAAGGGAACGTGTCTTTTCCAGAAACAATGGAGGCGAGTTAGAAGGGGAATTATGAGTTCTATTTTATATAGGTTGAGTCTGGAATAACAGTGAGATATTAAAATGAAAGTGTCAGACAGTTTAACAGGCGGTAGGAGTTTGGCAGGGAGGTCAGAGCTGGGGTTACATATTTTCGATTCAATGGCCCAGAGATAGTTACTGTCGATCACCTGAATTTTTTCATTATGAATTCAATTATTGTCCTTCTGATTTCCCACTTTTGAAAAAAAAATGATTGTTATAGATTTAATGAGCACATATTTTATGATAAATGCTTAACCAGCATCTTATTTAATCTTGTCATAAATCCTAAGAAGGAGATACTACCACTTTATGACTCCATTTTACAAATGAGTTAGCCGGATCAGAGGTGTAAAATAACCTTCCCAATGTCTCCTCAAGTCCCAACAATTTTTTAAACAGGATTTCTCAGTGTTGGCACTGTTCTAATTCTTGGCCAAATAATTCTTTGTTGGGGTGGGGTGAGGGGAAGCTTTCCTGTCCATTGTAGTATATTTAGCAGCATTTCTGGCCTCTACCCGCTGGATGTCTGTAGAAGTCACCCCCCAGCTTTGACAACTAAGAAGGGCTCCAAACATCACCAATTGCTTCCTGATTGAGTTCAAATCGCCTCTTCTATTAAAAACCTTCCCCAGAAATTTCAATCTTACTTAATATATTCTTTCTCTGTATTTTTGTGCCACTTATTGCCCCAAAATTGAATGATGTTTTTGGTTTTCTTTTGTATACATCTTGTCTTCCCAAGAAGCTTATGAGGTTGTTGAAAACCAAGACTTTTACATTTAATAAAGTGTCAGGAGCAAGTGCCTTTCACCTATGTCTTTGCTTCTTCATTCCTACTATCATTTCACGTCCTCCCTTGGATTAAGCCCTAGTAATTCTTACTCATAATCTAATTCTAATAATAGTCTAATTATAATAATCTCAGACGAAAGCAGCCTTTCGAAAGATTTTGCAATAGAAATTCAGGGATTTAGTGGGTAATGAGACCAGTCCTACCGAGAGTACTCACAGGAGCTGATTGGAAGATTCCCATGGCACAGAGAATGCGGTGAGCTAAAGCAGATGGCACAACATCAGAAAGCAATGGGTGGATGACGAGCACAGAGCTGCAATGCAAAAAACTGAATGAGAATGCATGGTTCAGAGAACATGGAATGAAACCCCAGGCTTTCAGTTTGAAGTAGGCAGTTCCACTTGGCAGCTAGAATCTGTTTCTGAGCAAAGCCATGCCATGTAAATTTGTGGTAGCAGTCCTTACAAGGAGCCCAGTGGATAAATTCTAATACAAATTTACAGACTTGCATTAGAACCAAAGCTAATGTTCCCAGAAGGAGGAGATAAAGTAGGAAGAATTGGGATTTTGAGACTTGACATACCTATAAGAAGAAGGCAGACAATCTAGGAGGGTCCAGGAATAGGTTAAAAGATGGCTACGAAATGTGTTAAGTGGATCTTGCTACATGTACTATGTAATACTATAGTCAAGTTTGTTGATGGCTTCAGCAAATAGGGCTAATCCACATGAATTAAAATTCAGGGACATGACCCTGGAAGTTAGGCAATTATAACATTAATGGTTAACATTTATTGAGTAATTACTATTTACCAGCCACTGTGCTAACAGCTCTGTATGCATTAAGTCAATGAACTTGCAAAGTAATCCTGTAAAGCAGGTGCTATTGTTATCCCCACTTTAAGGGCTAGGAAAGCAAGTACGGGGATGTTAAATAACTTGCCCATCATCATATATGCAGTAAGTAGCAGAGGTGAGGCTTGAATCCATTGCAGCATCTCTACTCTTAACCACTAGAATCACTGGAGTTCAGAAACTGAAGACACTGAGAGGCTATGTAGTCCAATCCATTGATTCTAGAGAGGAACTAACTAAAATCCAACTGGGAAACCATGACACTATTGAAATTTGTAGTTCACTTATTTTTTTCTTTTCCTTTTTTTTTTTTTTTTTTTTTTTTTTTGAGACAGGATCTTACTCTGTCACCCAGGCTGGAGTGCAGGGTATGTGAGATCATGGGTCTCTGCAGCCTCAACCTCCTTGGCTCTGGCAATCCTCCTACCTCAGCCTCCCAAATAGCTGGGATTACAGACATGCACCACCATGCCCAGCTAATTTTTTAAAATATATTTTTTTGTAGAGATGAGAGTCTCACTATGGCTGGTCCTGAATTCCTGGGCTCAAGCAATCCTCCCACCTCGGTCTCCCAAAGTGCTGGGATTACAGGAGTGAGCCACTGTACCCAACTGTTCATTTATTTTCTAGTAAAACAAGGTCTGATTGATCATTCATGATTCAATCTTCTCAAATAAAGAAACGAAAAGAAAAGAGCATGGGGGATAAATGTGTCATCTGCCCTTCTGTCTCATTTCCTCTGTTGTGTTGGCCATCGCAACGGGTCAAGCTCTTGGGCTTCCTGCATGTGCAACCCTTCAAGGTGTGTACCCTGATCACATGGGTGATACTTTAAGTTAATACTGCCCAAGTTCTGGGGCAAATCTGGTCCTGTTCAAGAGAATTAAAAGGCTTAATGCTCAGGTGAGCCCTCCTCCAACTTTAGCCTCTTCCCTAGTAGAGCGTAAGAGAGACTGAGCCTCCCATTCAGGCTCTGCCATGGGCTGGCTCCCCATGAAACTTAATGACAGTGATTTTCTGCCTTTGGATTTTCAGTGTAAGGTTACTTAGAAGTGAAGCTCATATCCAGTAGGATTTTCCAGAAATGTGTCATTCTTTAACTCCTAAACTCTATATAATCTTGCTTTTACGTATTTCATACTACTACTCTCTTTACTTCCTAACCCAGCCATACTACGTATGTTTTGATTTCTTCAATTTGTCACCTTCTTCTGACCTGTGCACAACTTCTTCTTTTCTCTCTGCTTGCAGTAATATTTATGAAGCACTATCTTCTATTCTGCACCTGGGGAGAGAGCAAAAAGTAAGAAAGTTTCTCTGCCAGACAGGAAATGGCTAGAATTGGTCCACTGTGAGCATGAACATTTTCTGAAAACATTTTATTTAATTAAAACATCAGGAAAATGTGTTGTTATAATCTATAAAATACATATATTGATTTCTATACACAATTTTTTTTCCCTGAATGTTTGAGTAAAACTGATACTTTGTTTAGAAAGAGTCACCAGGCTTCTCCATGGATTTGCAGATCTCTTGGCATACTATCATCTAATCCTGAGACAATGAGTACTGCAATTTGAGAATGATAGCTAGGCAATTAAAAAAATTGTGTTTTTAACGTGAAGTTTAGGAAAATGTGGAAGAGAAATGTGGAGTTTCCCAGGCTCACAAATGAATTTGGTAGTAGTGGTGGTGGTGAGGTCTTATACTGGAATCCCAATTACCTCGATCCTAGTTCTAGTCTTTCTCTTTTTCGGAATACTGGGAAATGATGAAGTCAGTTCTATCAATAAGACAAGAGCACATGCCCATAGTTAGAGAAAGAATGCTAAAGTATTAAATAATAAAGAGATTGTTAACAGTTTTTTTATTCTTCCTTATAGATACTGTGACTTCCTTATATTCCTTAAACACACAGCTGGACAAACTGTGAACCCCCTTACAAAAAAATATCACTCCCTTTAAATAGTCCTGATAAAGTCTACTAAATTATGGCAGTAAGATTTAACTTAACTTTCTTGAGCAGTATGAAACATTTCCTCCCCTGCTGAACACATGGAAATTCTTGGAGGAGGAGCTTAGAGTTGTTCTTATGTCTATCTATCTATCTATCTATCTATCTATCTATCTATCTATCTATCATCAATCTATATTCGTTATACATACTTCAATAAAGACATCTATAATACATATAGATATTTGTGACTATTATATTGAGCTCTTTTTATATAATGCTCAAAATGAAGTGGTTTCTAAATCAACAGTTTTGTTTAAATTAGCTGACTTTATTTCTTAGAGCAGTTTTAATTTTATGGAAAAATTGAACAGAGATAGTTTTACTTCTTCTTTTCTCATTTGGATGTCTTTATTTTTTTTTCTGACCTAATTGCTCAGGCTAAAACTTTCAGTACTATGCTGAATAGAATTGGCAAGAGTGGGCATCCTTCTCTTATTACTGGTGTTAGAGAAAAAATTTTCAGTTTTTCACCATTGAGTATGATGCTAGCTGTGGGGTTGTCATATACAGCTTTTATTATATTGAGGTATGTTCTTCCTATACCTAATTTATTGAGTGTTTTTTTAATGAAAAGATGTTGCCTTCTGTCAAATGCTTTTTCTGCATCTACTGAGATGATCATATAAAGTTTATCTTTTATTCTGTTAATGTGGAGCATTACGTTTACTGCCTGCATATGTTGAACCAACCTTGCATATGAAGGATAAACCCCACTTGATTATGATGTATGATACTTTTAACATGCTTGCTTTTGAATTTTTAATTAGGTTTGCTAGTATTTTGTTGAGAATTTTTGCATCTATATTCATCAGGCATATTGTCCTGTAACTTTCTTTTCTTGTGGTGTCTTTGTTTGTCTTTAGTATCAAGTTAATGCTGGCTTTGTTAAATGAGTTTGCCAGTGTTTCTTCCCCTTTAATTCTTTGAAAAAGTTTGAGGATTGGTGTTAATTCTTCTTCAAATGTTTGGTAGAATTTACCAGTGAAGCCATCTTCTGATCCCGGGCTTTTCTTTGTTAGGAGGTTTATGGTTACTGAGTCATTCTCCTTATGTATTATTAGTCTGTTGATATTTTCTTTTTCTTAATGACTCAGTCTTTGCAAGCTACATATTTCCAGCAATTCATCCATTTCTTCTATTTTATCCAGTGTGTTGGCATATAAATGATCATAGTATTTTCTTATGATCTTTGTATATTTGTGGCATCATTTGTAATGTCCCTCTTTCATTTCTGATTTTATTTGTTTAAATTTTCTCTTTTTTTAAGTCTAGCTAAAGGTTTGTCAATTTTGTTTATCTTTTCAAAAAATCAACTCAGTTTTGTTGACCTTTCCCATTGCTTTCCTAGTCTCTATTTCATTTACTTCTTCTCCAATCTTTATTCTATTTTTCCTTCTGCTAACTTTGTACTTAGTTTGTCCTTTTTGTAGTTATTTGAAGTCTAAAGTTAGATTGTTTTACTTGAGATCTTTCTTTTTCCCTCTTAGTAGTGTTTATGTTCTGTCCCATAAGTTTTGGAATGTTGTGTTCTCATTTTCATTCATCTTTAAAAGTCCATTAAAAGATTAATAAATAAAATGTAGTATATACAAATAATAGACTATTATTCAGCATTTTTAAAAAAGAAAATTCTACTATTTGTGACAATATGAATAAACCTATAGGACATTATGCTAAGTAAAATAAGCCAGTCACAGAAGGCAAATACTGCATGATTCCATTTACATGAGCTATCTAAAATAGTGAAACTCATAGAAGCAGAGAATAGAAGAGTGGTTGCCAGCAGCTAGGAGGAAGAGAAAATTAGGACTTGTTACTCAATGGGTATAAGGTTTCAGTTATGCAATACAAATAAGTTTTAGACATTTCTGTACAGTATAGTGCCTATTGTTAATAATTATGCACTTTAAAATATGTTAACAGGATAGATCTCATGTTAAGTGAGCAGACCATAAAATACATACACATGTACACAGACATAAAGAATACAAAAATTTTTTGGAGGTGATGGATATGCTTAGTACTTTGATTATGGTCATGGTATCACAAAGGTATACATATGCCAAAACTCATCAAAAATGTTTATATTTAATAGGTAAAGTTTCTTGTGTATCAATTAAATCTTAATAAAGCTTAATTACAACAAAACAAAAAATATTTATATATTTCATAGCTCAACATAAATAAATGACCAGATGACAATTTCATAGTAGAATAGATATTGCCTACTACTAATTGAAAATTAACTAATGGAAAATTTATATTAAATGTCTAGAAAAAATCTGCTTAAATTTTGTTTAAAGGACCTTCAGGATCAAGCTTCCAGCATAAAAATAAAAACAAATAGAAGAATTTTAATGCATATTAATAAAACTTGAAACAAATAAGGCCGGGTGCGGTGGCTTATGCCTGTAATCCCAGCACTTTGGGAGGCTGCAGTGGGCGGATTACTTGAGGTCAGGAGTTCAAGACCAGCCTGGCCAATATGGTGAAACCCTGCTTCTACTAAAAATACAAAAACTAGCTGGGGGTGGTGGTGCATGCCTGTAATCCCAGCTACTTGGGAGGCTGCAGCAGGAGAATTGCTTGAACCAGGAACACAGAGATTGCAGTGAGCTGACCAAGTTCACACCACTGCACTCCAGTCTGGGCAACAGAGTGAGGCTCCATCTCAAAAATAAATAAAATAAAATAATAATAAAATAAATATAAAAATTGAATAGAAGCACAGAATTCCCATATTATGACCAGCTTTCCCTGTTATTACCAACTTGCCTTGGTGAGGTACATTTGTTATGATTTATGAACCAATGTCGATACATTATTTTTAACTAATAACTATAGTTTACATTGGAGTTCACTTTGTTGTGTTGTAGAGTTCTATAGGTTTTGACAAAGGCATAATGTCAGATATCCACTATTACAGTATCCTACAGACTTGTTTCACTGCCCTGAAAATCCTCCGATCTCCACCTATTCATCCCTCCCCACTACCATCTTCTGGCAACCACTGATCTTTTTAGTTTGTCTTTATAGTTTGTCTCTTCCAGAACATCTTATACTTGGAGTCATACAGTATGTAGTTTTTTTCTGATTAACTTTTTTCACTTAGCAATGTCCTTAAGTTTCCTCCATGCATTTTAAATGTATTTTTGGTTGTTTGGTAGCTGATTTCATAATTCACTAATATTCCATTGCATAGATGTAACATTTAAAAAATCTATTCATTCTTTGAAGAAAACCTGGGTTGCTCCTAATTTTTGGCAGCTGTGAATAAAGATGCTATAAACGTGTGTGCAGGTTTTTATGTGGACATAAGCTTTCAACTCCTTTAAATACCAAGGAGCATGATTGCTGAGTGGTAAGAATATGTTTAGTTTTGTAAGAAACTGTCAATCTATTTTCCAGTGTGGCTGTACCATTTTGCATTTCTACAAGCAATGAGCGATAGGTTCCATCCCATTGCTCTGCATCCTGCCAGCATTTCATGTTGTCAGTGTTTTGGATTTTGCTCATTCTAATATGTTTGTGTGGTACTTTAAATATGTTTGTATTACTAGCAATTTCCATGTGTTAAGAAATTGGGGTTTGTTGGATTCCAGCTTCAGCTCTTCTTTCCTCAATGGACTTTTGTAAATAATAAAGTATTTACAAAATATTGAAGTGGATGGTCATATTTTCCATAATGATTTGCCTAGTTGGGGCACAATCTGAGCAAGTGGTCCCTGAGGACAGGGAGGACAGCAGGTCTTGGACCACATACATGCAGGGTAAGCTCCTTGTCTCTTACTTTTTGTTCTTTTCTTCATCTCCACTTTGCTCTCCAGGAATGCCATGGCTAAACTCAATGCTGAGCAATTTTCAGTTCAGTAAGTCTTTGTCATTGCACATAGGAATCATAAACTGAGTCTGTTAGTCTGTGTAGCCTCTGCCTTCCTCCCTACATTTTTGTCTTTCTTCTAAGAATTACATAGCCTTTTATTCATTTGTAGCTTCAACTGACTTTAGTGATCCTAAATCCAAGGCTTAGGAAAAACCTCTTCCTCTGCTCAATTCATTTTACATAGTTAAAAACTAGTTTTTTCTCAATGTATCATTCTAGGATGACAATACTCTGAAATACGTAAGGAAAAATCTAGAAAGTTCTCATCTTTGTCAGATGGAGTCACATGATTTGTGACAAGATTAAAAAAAGAGAGAGAGAGAGACAGTCATGATTACCCTTATATTTACTGAGGAGAGATTGCAAGTATCTGCAAAAATTGCCCAAGAACAGATGACCAAACTTTTACACCCTATAAGAGGAACAGAACCTGGACTCTCTGCCAGACTATATAAGGGAAAATATCACCCCATTTAAAATCAAAGAGGCAAATGAACCTGCCAATGGTAAAATGAATGCCTAAATAAAACTCTGACATTTCTATATATTGTTTGTAGACTCAAAACTACCCAAGAGCCATCAGATTTTTCTACTCTGGAAAATGTCACAGTTACTAGATTGACTCAGTATAGAATTAGGCTCTAGACGTGTTATTATTCAAGTTTCTGTGCGTTAGAAACGCATTCCCTTAAAATAATACCCAAGGATATCACCAAAAGGTCTTTGAACTGGTAAGAACAAGACATAGATTGAGGGAAAAATAAAACGTATGGGCTTAAAGCTAGAATATAAAGAGTTGTGTGACACTGGTGGTGATACAGGAAGACAGATTTTAAACTTTGGACAATATCCACCTATCCCACCACCAAAAGAAAAAAAAAAACATAGAAAAGAAATGAAAAAGAAAGCCCATGTTCTATAAAAATTTAGAGTCTAACTGTCAGTCCTTCTTTGGTTAAAAAGTTTTCTTTATAAATATTATTTTTCTGAAGCATTTATTCCAAAATCAGAGCTATTATAATAAATGCCTTTTAAATACCAAAAGTTGATTTTTAAAAACTACGGTTTAGAAAATTTGAAAATTTACCTTAATTTTAGAGGGTATAATTGTGTGCTTTTCTCTGTGATAGCTCTACAGAATGCAAAATTGAGAATTTGCGACATGCACACCTGATTACATTCAAGATCTTGGATTTAAGTTCTTTAGTAAATAGTGAAAGACACATATAACTGTAAAATATTATAGAATTTTTATTGACATGCAATGCAACTGAGTTTTGTTACCATCTATAAAATAATGGTTTTTAATAAAATCATTTAAATGGAATTTAGGTAATTTGAAAAATAAACAGACCAATAGAAAATTGTGCTCCTAAAATTTCTGGGTAAAGTTAAAAATGCAACACAACCATTTTGTTGATTGATTTGATTATATTTTATTTTGCTATATTATGGTTTTGGAAAACATTCTTAATTGTCTGGAAATTTGAAGTCATATAGCATTAAGTAAATCATGAGAACACTATTAAGAATACTATTATATGAAACAAAGTCTAAATTTTGACACATGAATCAAAAAGAATTTAAAAAACACTTTTAGTTTATGTAAATATTCGTTACAGTAAAAAAAATGAAAGATCTTCTTGATCCTCTGACTTAAAAATTCAAGGTTTTTTCAGTTATACTGGGTCAAAACAATTTTAAAAGCTTCATTGAGGTAGAACGGACACACAATAAACTGCACATATTTAAAGTGAACAATTTGATGCATTTTAAAATATGTATACACCAGTGAAACCCTCACGACAATCAAAACAATGAACATACTCATAACTTGTAAACTTTTTGAATGCCCCTTTTAAAAACTCATCTCTTAACCCTCCTATCTCTCTGCCCAGGCAACTGCTTATCTACTTTCCATCACTATATAGTAGTTTGCATTTTCTTGATTTTGTTTAAAAGGTAAACTGAGGCACAATAAAATTATAAAGAGTTTATTTGAGCATGCAAGAATTCATGAATGGCACCAGACTGAGAGTAGTTCGGAGGCTCCGTTGAAGTGGCATAATGGACAGGTTTAGCAGAGGGAATGCAAAAGTAATTCAAAAAATTTTGATTGGTTATAGTTGCAAAGTTGCTTTATTTGGTCTATGCTGCTGGAAAGTCCTTAGTTACATAATTATAAATTAGTCGCTGAGTTTGATTGGTTGAGCATAAGTTGTTTTCTTTAATATAGGCATTTACAAGAAATAGCTCAAGTTAAGTTATGTTTGCAAATCAAGCGAAGTTAAGGTCACTTATAAGGCCCATTTGATTTTGTCTGTTCAGGGCTTCTTCAGGCCTGATCTCCATTTTAATTTATTTAACAACTTTCATATAACTAAAATCATGCAATATGCACTTATTTGTCTAGTTTCTTCCACTCAGTAAAATTATCTTGAGATTCACCTATACTGTTGCATGCATGAATAGTTTCTTTTCTTTCATTGGTGAATAGTATTCTGTCGCATGGATGTATTGCAATGTGTTTGTTCATTCACCTGTTGATGAATATTTGAGTTGGTTCCAGTGTTTGACTATTACAATAAAACTGCTTTAAGCATTCTAGTACAAGTTTTACATAAACATATGCTTTTCTTACTCCTGGGTAAACACCTAGGAATAGAATGGCTGGACTAAATAGTAGGTATATGTTTAACTATTTAAAGAAACTGCCAAACTTTTTTTTTTTTTTTCCTGAGGTAGTTGACCCATTTTCTATATGAGAGGTCCAGTTCTTCCACATCATCTTCAACACACGGTGTGGTTAGTCTTCTGATTATAGCCATTTTCTAATAAGTGTGTAACAGTACCTCACTGTGGTCGTAATTTTCATTTTCCTAATTGCCAATAGTGTTGAGCATCTTTTATGTGCTTATTTGCCATTTGTTTGTTTTGGGCCAAATTTCTCTCCATATCTTTTGCTGCTTTTCAGTTTGCTGTCATAATCTTATTATTGAGTTTTGAGAATTCTTTACAAAGAGACTTAGAAAAATTTTGGGCAATGAACATATTCATTATCTTGATTCTGGTGATGGTTTCACACGTATGCATATACGTATGTCTAAAATTGTGACATTATACATTTAAAGAATATACAGCTTTTGGTGTGTCAATTATATCAGAATAAGAAAGATAGTCCCCATGAATATTTGTTTTTTTATATATCTGTAATATGCAAGGAAATTTGGTTAATTGAAATAACAACTTTGTAAATACATTTAAATTAGTAGTCAATTGGTTTACACTGACACCTTTGAGTTGAGATGTTGCAATGTGAGTATCAGTATTGTGGTGTCTAAGAGAATTTTAAGTTTGTTGTTTTTTATTAAATTTATAAAAATTCATTAGTACTCGAAAAATACTTACTCATTTTATTATCTAATTGAAATACTTGAAAGGAAAATTGTTTATAAATGTAGTTTTAAAAGTTTTAGGGCATCTAATTGGCTGAGTTTTAAAAAGATAACAAAATTTTTCAGAGACTATTTTAACAGTGATTTTTAAAATAAAGTCAACCTAAAATGTCTTATAAATGGAACAACAAATTTTCGAACTAAATTTAATTACTTGAAGGGGAGCCTGTAAATTTTTACTGCCTGAGACAATTTTAATCTAGAAGAAAAAGATATTACTCTGTGGCTTCTACAGCCAACTTCAAGGTAGCTGCAAATAAAGGTTTGGTGACAAAACAAATAACCTCGGGACTTGTGGTATTGACCAGGACAACCACAAGGCTAATAGCACCCAAGGTCGACATTTCTTCCCTACTTCTCACTATGTTCACACCCTCCCACTGTCTTTTATAGTAATGGTAAGCAATTATATCATCAGGGTAAAATTTATAACTTAGTGGACATATAGATATAAATACGATGATTGCATTTCTATGAACTGGGAAACCAAACATGAGGAATCAACCTATCAGCCCTCCAGAATATGCCAGTGCCTTATAACAATGGAGGAGGAGTGGTTGAGTGGGGAGGAGGGTATAATTGAAAGTTTCAACTGCAGTCATCCTTTATACACAATGTGCCCCCTTTACAGATGATCAAGTTTTACCGGACAAATTCACAATTTATTCCAAATGTCTATTAGGAGCACCTTTCCAGGTAGTGAAATGGGAAAGGTTCTCTTGTCCCCTTCACAGGGTGTGTGATGGGGGTGTGGCTCACTTCTTCAGTGCCCCGCTGCTCAGACCTCTAGGGAAGCATACAGGTGGGCAGACTGTGGGGCTCCAACCCCATGGCAGTGTCTAGGGGTGTTTACAGTTCCTGACGTCCCAGCGGACGTGTGTTATGGGGTGCTCTGTTAGCTTGCCATCTATAGGTGGCTTGTGGTAAGCAACTCAATTAAACCCCCTTCCTTATCACAAGGACAGAATAATTTCTATATCCCCGAGTTTCTTGCCTTGGTGTAACAAAAGAATTGGATCACATGTGGGCTTGGAGACTGAGTGCAAGGTTTTACGGAGTAGAAGTAGGGATAGGGAGCAGATAGGGAAGCCTGAAGAAAAATGGTTTTCCCTGAAGTCGGGGCACTCCGGGGCCTCTGACCGCTTTGGCTAAACTCCAAGGTGTTCTGCTGGTGGATGGCCTGCTGACCTACTGGTGGCTGTCTGCGTGCTCTTCTGCCAGCTGGCTCTCGACGACCAGCCGCTTGTATCTTCTTCTACGGATGTGTTCATCACAATGTCCAGCCACTTCTGTGTTTGCCCGCTAGGGTCTTGGGTTTTTATATGCCCAGGATGGGGGCCTGGTGGGCCAGGGTGGTCTTGGGAAATGCAACATTTGGGCAGGAAATGCCTGTTCTCACCTAGGTCCGTGGAGGTGGAACCCCAGCCAGGGACCACACCCTCCTCTACCCAGCACTTGCCTTTCCCCCTTCTGTATTGTTTAAAAGGACCACACTCTTCCCTTCCCAGCACTTTCGTAGCAGTAACTCTTTGGAGTTCGCTACTGATGACAACATGGCCCACCCTTTTCTCCCTTACCCCAGCATCATGAGGCTTTCTTTCCTACGTGAGTACCTCAGGACTTCTCATCTCTTGGCAAAAAGGCAATCTGAGCAGGGTATTTATGTTATAGTTTTGTATGAAAGAAAAAGTCTTTAACTTTGATGTTTTTAGACAGTGATAGAAGGCAGTTGGTTCTCACCCTTCCCTGAGGAGCACTAATTTCCTTCCTTCTAGCAAAGCAGTTTTTGAAAAAATAAACTAATAAAAGATAAGATGTTTATTTGCAAATTTGAAATCTGTGAGCTCATTTGTCATCACACAAACTAAACAGCTCAGCCACATAAAGGAAATCACAAGAACAGTTTAATGCAAAAACCACGGTATATGGGATCTGTGGCCAAGAGCCTTTTCCTGTCTGGACACGAACTCCTTTAACTGTTTGAGAGAGGCGGCTTAGAGCTGATTGAACACCAGTAATCCTTGACCTTAATGTACAAACCAAAGCAGCATGTAAGGGAAGGGGCTAGCTTTCCAGCTGGTGGAAAGCACAGTTGAGTAGAGATTTGTGATTTCAGTGGAAATGGGAGGAAGGCCAGATGGAAGAAGATTTTGGTTCTGGACATTCTGCTGCATCTGAAATGTATTCTTTACTGGAAACAGATTACTCTCCTGCTATGGCAGGTGGTTCTTCTTTTTGTTTCAAACTGCCAAAACTAAGACCCAGAAAGGTCAGATACTATCAGGCAATTTTTACCTTTTGGAGTAAGACCCCCAAAGGCACAGAAAAGCTTATGGTAAAAGCATATTCAGTTTCCCTAAGGGATCTAGATGTGGAATGCTTTGTCTAGAAATAGCCTCATGCCCTAATCATAAGGGTCAGAAAACTTGTTTGTAAAGGGCCATTCAGTAAATATGTTTGGTTCTACAGATTGTAACTTATCAACTCTGCTGTCCTGGTGCTAAAGCAACCATAGACAGTACATATATGAATGAGTATGGCTGTGTTTTAATAAAACTTTATTTACAAAAACAGACAGCAGGCCAGTTTGACTCATGGGCCATAGTTTGATTGTTTCAATGAGTTGAAAGAGTATTGGCATGAATATGAAGTTGATGGTGGCCTCATGTTAATCCTGCTCCAGGCCAAGTATGTGACTTCAGGAAATCTTCTTTCTCTCCCTGGAACTCATAGTAAATATTTATTGAACATTACCTATGTTGTCATAACTTTATAATCTCATTTATTTAATGCTCATAGCAGCCCAACAGTGCAGGTACTATTATTAACTTAGAGCACAGTGAGTGAGTTTCAAAGTGACAACTTAAACCCATCCAAGTCTGTTTATCTTTAAAGCTAATGTTCTTAGTTATAACCACAATGTCTCCCAGTAAAGTGGTGGATTTTGATTTAATATTCCCTAATTCCTCTTCTATAGCTGACAATCAGTAAATATGGGGGAAGAAACAGTGTTCTCTGTGGGATGTGTCTCCATCTTTTTCTGGTCTGTTACTTAGAGCTTCTCTTTAAAAATTTCCTGAGTGTCCTTTGTTTTGTTTATTGTTCTAAGCTGGTTTTTGTACTTGGTCAACCACTGGAGTGACAGACTTTGAGGAAACACTGATGCCTCCCTGCTAAAAACAAGG
This sequence comes from Homo sapiens, assembly GCF_000001405.40. Taxonomy (NCBI): domain Eukaryota; kingdom Metazoa; phylum Chordata; class Mammalia; order Primates; family Hominidae; genus Homo; species Homo sapiens. The sequence goes on from NC_000005.10 coordinate 147,998,916, forward strand.
TTAACCAAACTTCCCCACCCTCTGTAAAATGACTCAACTGTGATTGACTGGCTGCCTCTTTCTAGTGCCAATGCTTACTTGGATTTCAAATGAGAATTTGTGTTTTTTACTTTTTAAAGAACTATCATTACATTTTAATATTTCTAAGATAATAAGAGAGAAGGTTCAGGTATGCATTAAGGAGGCTATGCAAAGGCCTTTAGGAAGGCATGCATAATTTTCTGTTAACGACCTACAGGCATTCCATGTTGATTAAGAAAGTGATAAAAATGTAAATGCTCTAATCAGCCTAGGCTCATTTAAAAATGAAGGTTCCCATGAATTGTTTTTAGAAATCAGATTAGGTGTAGGACTGGATAGAAAAAACAAAGACGTTAGAACTTGAGTAATATATTAAACAATGTGTATATAGTAGACGCCATGACAAGAAATGACAAGATTTTTAAAACGCCATTGTCATCTGGTTTTAATTTAAAGAGAGCTAATGTAATAAAGTTATCCATTTAGAAGGAATATAAGATTTGTAAAACCAGATATAAAATAATTTTAAGGTTATATTAATATGTATGTAATACAATGTTTTTTAAAAAAATCTATTGCCTAGACATTAAATAAAATGCTTTAACATTTAATTGAAAAGCCTGTTAGAAAAAAAAGTGCAAAGTGCTCTAAAATAGTTCTTTCTTCCCTTTTGGAAATTGTAGGTTAGAGGGAGATGGATGTCAAGAAAAAAGTGGCACAGAAACTGAATCTTGAAAGATAAGTAGGATCAGAGAAAGGGGAAGAGGAAAAGACTGTTCAAGACAGAGGAATTCTAGAATCCACTTGAGATAGAGAGAGATGAAAATGAGATAGAAGGGATTGAAAAAAATTCAGAGAAATAATGTGGAGTCTGTTAAAAGGGAAGAGGAAATGTAAAAAAGAAGTTGAGAAAGAAAGAGGATAGCAAAAGACAAAGGAAGATAGAAGGGCCAGAAAAAGGAATAGAGATGAAATGAGAAGCTGCTGCAGAGAGAAATGGGTGGAAAAACAGTCAAAAACAGGCAGTGAGATAGGCAGGTGGGAGAATTATCACAGAAAGAATGGGAACCAGAAAGAAGAAACTCAAGGAAAGAAAGGAAAGTGGGGGAGATGGAGTGTGAGAACAGATTATGAGTGGCCTCCCCAGCTACCTCTTTTAGCTTTTCCTCCACACAGCTTCCTCACTTCCTTTTCCTTTTCTTCACTTCTTTCAGTTTCAAACCTGAACAAAAAAGGGTAAGCAGGTGAGACACTAAAATTAGGGCAGAGAAGTTTCTGGCAGGAAAGCAGTAGTCACTGTGTCTCACGACCTCCTCCAGGTTGCCAAATGAGTTTCAACTTGAATTCCAGCTTGATTAATGGCAGTGGCCCTGACATAGAGGAATCTCCTGGGCTCAGCAGAAAAGAGGTCAGAGATTAAGCAGGGAAGCTTCTCATGCCTTTGGCAAGGGGGCAGTGGTGTCTGGACAGGTATTTGCCATCCTTGGGCTAGAACCAGAAATAAACTGACAACACTGTCTCTTAAGACCCTGGTTTTGTCTTTTATTTCTCTCAAGGTTTTTTTTTTTTTTTTTTTTCTGTTTTGATAATGATTTTCTCAATTCTTGGTGTTTCACCTCTGAATATGAATAAGTGAACAGTCTTATTTTTCAGAGATTTTGTTAACTCTAGTTGTTTATCTCACTTACCAAATATTGAGTACTTACTAAATGTCAGACACATGATAAAGAATGGAATTAAAGTAAAGAAAAGATGGAGTTCCTGCATTCAATGTAGCTAATAAGTTCAGTGACATAAACAGGCAAGAAATAGAGCAATGCCAGCACTCTCTCAACAGTAGAAAGCATGGTGTGCTGTCTGAGGGCATAAGCAGAACATCTCACCCAGGCTTTCAGGGAGGAGATTTAGAAGGCAGTGTATGTCAGGAAGAAAGGCACAAAGAAACTGCAACTAGGAAGATTACTAAGAGTAAGGCTGGGGGCAGAGGAAAAGGAAAATTGTGTTCTAGGCAAAGGAACAGCATAACTTATTGAACAACAGAAAGTAGTTCAGCATGGTTGAAAAGAAGAGGGAGTATGTGGTTAAATGATGTGTGGTTAAATGATGAATTGGTGGTGTGTTGGCAAATATGTTCTAAAAAAAAAAAGCTTTTGTTTATATATATATATATATTTTTTTTTTACCAGTTTCTGATCAGTATTTCCACCATGACCAAATTTAGCCTACCAACAATTCATCAACTGACTTGCAGAATTTCTGCCTATTTAACAAATGTTTCTGAAAGGCCAGTAGAAGCCTTGTTTAGTATACCAGAAATAAGCAGTAGCCAGACCAAGATGGATTTTAAAGTCCTGGACTTAGCCCCAGAGCTTTGAACTCTACTACGCCTCAAAGTGGCATGGTCAGATCTTTCATTAGGAAGATCATACCTCTACTCTGTTGGGGAATGGATTGAGAGAGGGCAAGGCCAAGGCTGCCTCTTAAGGGCCTCCCTGAGCTCAAACCTTGACTTTGTTCTTTGGAGCTATGTGAATTTGGACACACCACAACTTTTTTGGTCTTTGGTATTTATTTAGCAAGACAATATTGATAATATGACACAGGTTTCTTTTTGTGGGAAGGGAAATGAGAAGAGATTACATGGAAATGCTTTGTTAAATGTAAAATTTTTAGTTTATTCTTTCTCTACTCATCTCATTCCTATTGAGACAACCAGGTGAGAGGGGGTCTGTGGAGAAACTCTAACCAGCCTGCCCACTGAGGTGGAGCCTCAGAAAGTTTGCGCCCTTTGCAGTGGGGAGGAACCTGGTCCTGCCTCTTCCTGTGTGGAACCTGGAATTCAAACTGCCAGGCAGGAAGCACTCTAGCGGAGGGACTCTGACCTTGTGAGAGTCCCTGTTTCCCCCATTTTTCTCTTTTCACCCAATAAAACCCTGCTTTACTACTCTTTAAGCCATCTTCAAGCCTAAATTTTCATAGCCATGGGATGGACAAGAACTCCATCTTTAACTAAACTAAGGAAAAGTCCTGCAACATTTTTGGCACCCAACATGGGGCTCAAGAAGTGGTGAGTGAAATGGGAACTTAAAACCTCTCACTGTTGCTTCTAAGGCTTTTCATCCTGTGACTCATAAGGGTGGGGGAAAGCATGTCCCCACCCCCATCACTCCCAGGCCTTTTCATGGCCTTTTTCTTCCTTTTTCAGGACCCACTGGTGAGCAGCAGCTCCCCCACACTGCCCACTCCCTACTGGGGCTGGGATGCATGGCCCAAAGGTCCCATACAGCTGGCTGGCTGGTTCCCAGCCACACACCACTGCCACTGCCATAGCCTTCCCTTTCCCCAGTCAAAGGGTTTTACTCCATCAGACAGTAATTAAGCTTCAACTTTTCTCCCTGGTAGAGGAATCAGTTGCATAAGAATAAGAGGTTCTTCCCCAGGCATTTTTCAACCTTTTTTCATTCCCTTTCTCTACCCCATCAACAAGTTAACCCTTAAAGTTTTTTTCTCTTAGAAGACATTTTACTAGGCCAGGTCCCCCCAACTATAACGGTTTGTATTTTCTGTAAAGCTTTAATTGTGAAAAAGGATTTGGCTAGTCTTGGAGTGCCCGATCTGGTGTGCTTTGCATGTCTGTATGGTTTATGTTGCAAGCCTCTATCTTGCCTTACATACTGGGGCATGGCCAGTAACTACTTGGCAAGGCTTTGTTTAGCAATCCTGCCTGAGGGGATGAGCCCTCTCAGGTTTGATATCTGAATGTTTTCCTAGCCGTGTCTCTTAAAGGGCCTCACCCAGCAACTGGTTTCTCTTCTGCCTGTCTATGTGTATACTGTGTGTGATGTCTGTAAAAGGAGCTCTAATTAATTTGGCCTAATGAAAGACAAGTGCTTGGATCAAATGCTTTTTTTTTTTAAGGAGAGGTAAAAGCTGTGGTACCTTACAGTTCACATGACTTTAATCTTTGAGAAATAAAAGCAGCCCTAAAGACAATTAGTAAAATGCAGGTCAGATGCAAGGTTTGCTAAGTGTTTTGAGGTTACAAACTACTTTTTGGGTTTTGAGAACTATTTGACTTGTGAGCTTCACAATTGGCAAGGCCTGGGGACATATGGAAGAAGCAATGCCCTTAACTAAGAAGGCAAACCTTGGCTGCAGTTAGCACACAATTAAAGCAACTTACAAAGTTTTACCTTAAAGTTAAAAATTGCTAGGAGTTAAGTGAAACTACTCGAAATAGATTTACAATCAAGGTATGTAAAAACAGTAAAATGTGTCTGTTTGAAATAAAAGGTTATAAGAAAGCATGAAAATGTAAACTTTTGGCTATGGTTAAATAATTGTTTTGAGTTAGACAGGAAAAGCTGAAGGTTCAAAGAAGTGATGGAAGAATGTAGAAATCAATCTTTGAGAAGAGTTTCTCTGTGTGAACATATTGACTAAATTCAAAAGGGTTATAAAGGGTTTTTGCCTCTTTAAAATTCCTGAGTCATCATTTTGGCAAAATAAATAACTTATGGTAATCTGGAATTCTATTTCATAATATCAAGTGTTTTAAACCTCAAACATATTTGACAGCATTCCCCAAATCAAACTTCAGTTTCAAAATTGTCTCCCCTAACACTTGGCTTTTTGAATATTTCAGAGGGCCCCTGAAGTGTCCAGAAAATAAATGTAAACAGAATTATTTGAATGTTTGGGGATTGCAAAAATGATGCTTAGTCTTCTTTAAGTTATATTTTTGTGAATAATGCTGAGGTATGTTCCAATTGTATGGGATTTCTAAAATTCTAATGTCTGAGTGTATGCTATCAATTATAATTAAGATTGTTATATTAAATTATTGTAAACCACAGAGACAACCAAACTTTTTTGTCAGTTGTGTTTCTAACTGTAACTACCCTGGACATTTTGCTATTCACAGAAAATTGTTTTCTTGTTTTAATCCTTTTCAAAAGATGGTTGATAATGAGCTATAGAACTGTAACAGGTGCTCTGAAATACAGGCCTCTGATAACTTTGGAGATTATGACATTTGAATAAAAATGTACAGGACTCATAAAGAGCTGAAATGTTTACGAATATCAAGCAAAACAAGAGTTAACTAAATGGACTGAACTCAGGAAGCTGAAACAACCTTTTTGGCTTTTACTTGGAATATTGCTGATCCTTGTTTTGTTTTTCAGAGTGAAGGAACTTATTTTGAACTATTTACAGCCCTTAATAATTGAGTAAGGCATACTCCTATGAACAAAATTTGGAGCATGTTTGTTTCTCTCTGTCTGGTTCCTCTAAAACTTAGAAACTACCTGTGAGTGTTCTTATGGCAATATAGTTGTTTGCATCAGTGCAGTAAGAATCCAATTTTCTTTTGCAACAGGACACAATTAGAAAAACTGGTAATTTTACCAAGACTTTGACTGGAAGGGTATGCTTCCCTTTAAGGAGTCAATCTCAACTTGCAGAGCCAATAAAAGCCCAGTGTGGAAATTGGCCTCATACTCTTGCCTACGCAGTCCCTGTACAGGGTTCCTGACCTGTGGTCAGTAAAGAATGTCACTTTCTAACAGGTCTAGGAGCTCCAAGTTTATCTTAGGACCTTAAGAAGAGAGAATCACCCAACTCACAGGTGTTTGAGGATAAAAATCCATGGTTGGGCTTGGCCTTAAAAGATCTTATCTGAGATTCCCTCTGGAACAAACTTCCATCAAATCCAATCCAAAAGGCCTATGTAGAAATAATTATTCTTGCTGCACTTTATGCAAATAATCAGGCCAAGTATAAGACTAAAGTCTTATTTTGCAAACCACTCAGTCCTTATTGTAATTTTTTTTAACAAAAATGATGACTGGGGAGAGAGAAATTATGTTCCAAAACTTATTATATATTTGCCATTAAATTCTAAACTCACTAGTTGTTTTAAGTTTTTGCCTACATTTTAGACTAACCCTGCTGGTTCCTGTGAAGCAACTGGCAATCTTCGGCTGCAGCTCAGAAAGAACAAGAGGGATAGGTAATGTGAAAATCTGAATTAATATTTTAGTTTTGAGCAACTATTCTGCAAATCCTGCCAGGTGATGGGAATAAATAAGATGGCTATCACTTGGAGGTTTCCTCTGGGAAAGTAAGACCAAGGGAACTAACCAAAGCCAAGCACCATGCACCCAAATCCCAGCAATCATAACTGCAGCTACCAGTTATCTGGTTGTGTCACAAGGCATTCTTCACTCTCCCTTGTTGGAGGAGAACTCAGTTCCACAGTTTCACCTTAGCATTTGGCTTATGATAAGGAGTCCATGCAGCCCCCCACCCAGAGACACATTTTTGTCCCAGACTCAATTCCAAGCTTTGGGTCAAAGCCCTAGGAAAAACAAATGGATCTGAGGGGTCCAGAGGCAGATGATATGGAGGTTAAAAGGCACAGCACAGGTGAGCATGGCTGATTCCTGCCCATTAAGCTAAACCCAAGCTTCCTGTTTCATGGATAAAGGACACATTAGTATCCATTGGCATAAATGAGGTCTAGGGAACTCCAACGCTACTGAAAGTAGATGGGAAAGAGACATAGGTGAGAGCAGATAATTCCTGTTCTCTAGGGCCTTCACGTTTCATGGATGCAAGCCCCTTTGGCACTCATGGTGCTGCCTGCCAAGGTCGCCGGGACTTGGAGATGCAAGGATGGAAGATGGAAAGAAGATGCTCTTCCCTCTCTCCCTCATGTATCCTGGGTGTCTGCTAGGAAAAGAAAGGAACCAGGGACACCTGCTCCCCTCTTTCTAGATAGGTAGCCATTCATCTTCAGTCTGTACCCCTTTCGAATGCATCCTGAACCCCTGGGATTCCTTTGAAAAGCACCTTCTTTTTCCTTTCTTCTCCTCAGTCCTTTCTTCAGTTAGGTAATTGTGTCTCTGTACTATGGGACTCACCCCTCAGATGCATCCTCCAAACTGGAAGGAGTTAATTTCCCAAACCTTAAACTGGTTGGTTTAGGATTGGGCTCAGGGGAAGCGAACACAGAAGCCCAACATGCCGGCAACAGGGTAAAATTTTTTTGCCAGTTGGGCTTTTGGCCTCCCTCCTCCTATACAAACTGGTAAAAGGCCTCGGAATTTTTGAGCTGTCCTTACCCCTCCACTTGTTTCATTTGGATAAATGTTTTCTAATAACTCTGTTTGTCTGTTCTTGCCTTCAGGACATCAAACTCCAAGCAGTCATGCAACTGGAGCCTCTGACGATGGCTCCTTCTGGCAGGAACGCTTACATAGGCCTCTGAGGGAGATCTGACTGCCATTTCCCCCAAAACAGCGCCCCCTGTCAGCAGTAAGCAGTTAAGATTGGTCTTCATCCTTATCCTTAATCTGATGACAGATGTACTTCTTTAGAGAGGGGAATGAGACAGCCAGGTGGGAGGAGGTCCCTGGAGAAACTCCAACCAGCCTGCCCACTGAAGGTGGAGCCTCAGGAAGTTCACGCCCTTTGCAGTGGGGAGGATCCTGGCCCCGCCTCTTCCCGTGTGGAACCTGGAATTCAAACTGTCCGGCGGGAATCGCTCTACAGGAGGGACTCTGGCCTTTCCAAGAGTCCCTGTTTCCCCCTTTTTTCCCTTTGTACCCAATAAAACCCTGCTTTACTCACCTTTTAGGCTTTCTGTGAGCCTAAATGTTCGTGGCCGTGAGACAGATAAGAACCCTGTCTTTAGCTGAACTAAGGAAAAATCCTGCAACACCATCTCTTTCCCTTTCTCTGTCTACCCATCATTCCTAAAATCCTCCTCTCTCTCTCTGGCCATAAGTGCTGGGGAGGGCATTAAAATGGAAGTAAGAATGCCCTGGATCTGCGCATTGCTCCACCACTGACTTAACTTCTCCGGTATCTTGATATGTCATAAATTAGATAACTCTCTTAATTCTGAGAAGATAAAAATACTTGCTGCCTAATTTATGGACTATTGCACATATCACAGATCTGTTTTGCATGATGATTCATTTCTATAAATGAAATAAATTGGAACAAATGAAATTTTGATTTAACTATTTATATGCCTTTGTAGAGCAGTTGGATTGGTTAGAATGATTGCAAGCTGATGCTTTTTTCATACCCCTTTCTCCCTTTGTTTAGCAAGACAAGTAATTTGTGAACAATGCAGCAATATATATCTTCTGACTTAAATAAATAAATAAGAAAGCAGCCCATAGATAGAATACACTCTGAAACTTAATACAAACCTGTTATATTTATTTTCTAGATAATTTAAATATTGGGAATTTGGCTGCCTCTGTTAATATTTCTCTTAGCTGGTAACTCTGATATTTTGCAAAGTAAGTATCATAATTTGCTTCTTTTTTGCTTCTTTTTTTTTTTTTTTTTTTTTTTTTTTGAATTGTGGTTTAGCACAGTGGTTCCTGCTTCCATTACCACCAAGTGGAATCTGTTGTCTACTGTTTTAAAAACCCACCCAGACAAATGTGGAATGATTGATTGTCTTTGAAGATCAGAAATCTTCTTAGGTATACAAGCAGTCTACAGGGCCACAGTCTGGCAAGGCTGTAGAGCAGGGGTCTTTAAATGTTTTGTGTATGTGCCGAGGACACCTGTGGTGGTGGGATGACACCTCCAGTTTGCTTCTCAGAACACTTACAAATGCCTAACATAAAATGCATAGGATTACAAGGAAACCAACATATTGAAACACAGTTATCAAAATATTGCAAATTTGTGATCTAGTTACGCATTTGCTTGTTCTTTAATCTGTTAATAATAGCCCCTCTACTAACTGCCTAATGATTTCTAAATAGTGAAGATTATAAATGATATTTTGAACAATATAAAGTGAAAGATCTATTGGTGACAGTGAGGGCACTCCTTATACTGCTTATACTACTGCCTCTATCATCATTAAAGAGCGTGGTAAAGTTTAGTTGGAAATTAATAAAAGCTTGAAAAAATATAGTAAGTCATAAACCACAAATTAAAAACACTTTTAGGGGAAATTTAAGCCTTGAGCAGTAGGACCTGGGAAAGGTTAGATTAGATGCACTTTAGCAATTTTAAAAATATTCCCTAGATTTTAAAATTTGTGGTCCTAGAAGATGAACTATATCAACATTTCATGGCCAAGATGATGGTAGTGCTGCCACTGATGATAAAATAACAGCACTTATTGAACACTTCCTAGGTACCAAGCACTATAGTAAAAGAGTAAAAGTTATCACTGTATTAATCCTCATAGCCAACTATGGGTAGACACTTCTAATGCCACTTTTGCCAATAGTAAAAGTGCGTCCCTGAAGGAATATATAAACTACCTCAAATCTTAACTTCTGTAAGTTGGGTTAGAAAACCAAGTGTGTTTGACTCCAAAGCCTGTGTTCAAACCATTATGTCGGTTTCTGTCATACTTGAATCATTCTTGTACCATTTTCAAGATTTAAAAAAATCACATTACCTGTACTATCATTTGCTTAATATTTTTCTTTAAATTGATTGATTTCAGAAGAAAAATTTATATCAGCATCATATTCAGAAATTTTATATCACTTTCCATAAAGAGAAGGTAATTATAAGAATAAATACAATAAGACAAACTGATTGCTCTCAATTTCTTAAAAAGGGAGATCATCAGGTTATAGAGGTGCTAAGGCCATATTAGCACCATTCTGAGACTTTCTCTGTGAAGGAAGTAAAAATATCGAAAAGAATCAGTAAGAATTTACTTTTCCGTTGTGTGACTCAACATAATCTGAAACCAATTCAATCCTTTTCTAGGTTGATAAGGCAGAGGGTCCCAAATTTTGAGAAATACTGCCCCGCCCTGCCCTGCCATGGAGCCATGGAGCCATGGAGCCATGGATGAAGGTGCAGCAGCAATAGCAGCACTTGTACTGTTTTGAGGAAGCAGAGACCAGAAGGCCTAAGCATTCATCTCATGTAGTGTGGTGTATTAGTCCTTCCTCACACTGCTAGAAAGATATTATCTGAGACTGGGTAATTTATAAACAAAGGAGTTTTAACTGACTCACAGTTTTGCATGGCTGGGTAGGCCTCAGGAAACTTACAATCATGGTGGAAGGGGAAGCAGGCATGTCTTACATGGTGGCAGGTGAGAAAGAGAGTGAGCAACAGCAGGGAAAACTGCCTTATAAAACCATCAAGTCTTGTGAGAACTCACTATCATGAGACCAGCATGGGGGAAACCACCCCCATGATCCAATCACCTCCCACCTGGTCCCTCCCTCGACATGTGGGGATTATGGGGATTACAATTCGAGATGAGATTTGGGTGAGAACACAGAGCCAAACCATATCATGCAGTAACATTGGAGTATTTCACCTGCTGCAGCCACTCTCTTGTTTTATTACCTATAAAAATTAGAGAGGGTTAAATAAATATTTATAAATTCCCTTCTACCTCTATCACTTTAATAATTTGGAGAATCTTTATTGAACCTGTTACTTTTTCTTGCTGTCTGAAAGAAATAAGGAGAGACATTTATTTACATGTTACATCCAGTTTTGCTCCTGGAAGAATTTTGGGATGATAGAAAATAATAATAAAATGCAAGGGCATTTGGATAGAGAAGTGAGAAGCGATGTTATGTTACCTTTCCTTGATGGACATTTCTTTGTTGTGAGCTGGAAATCCTGGAAGCATTTGGTTGAGCTGTATGCTCTGGGAAAGTTCTTTTCCTGAGTGGATCTCAGAATCATTCTTAAGAAGGACAGATTAGCGCACCAGAAGCTAACAGTAAAGAAACTAATACCTGGGGATAAAAAGTGACTTCTCCAAAGTTATAGAGACTGTTGGAGTCAAGAGGAGGAGAAAAACTCCAGGAGTCTCAGGTACCAGCAGATACTCCCACCTGGTATAATTTTGGGATTGTGATGTAAAACTTAGGTTCTAAGCTTTTAGTCAGTGGATTTTCATATCTACAAAATGAAAGCTTCCAGGTAAGATCAACTTCAGAAGGTCTTTGTTCATGTGTGTTTACTAGTAAGATTTTAATCTTTTCTCCATAATGGTTTCTTAAACATCATAAGGCAGAGTAGCACAGCAATGTGTTAATAGATAGTAGGCAAAAAACCCAGTGAAATGCACAACTTTTGGCTCCATCTCAAAGATTCTAGTTTGATGGTCCAGGATGGGACTAAAGAGTTTGCATTTTTAACAAGTATCCCAAATGCCATTGATATAGCTGACCATAGACCACATTTTGAAAAACATAAGCATAGGCTTTGGAGACAGAAGAGTCTGGGTTCAGATCTTTCATTTGTCATTGCTCATATACCTGGGGCAAATTACTTAACATCCTTTGAGTTTCAGTTTCCCAATCTGTAAAAAGCAGTGATAATAATAATTATACCTACTTCAGGGATTTCTGATAATTAAGACTTTATTTGTAAAGTGTCTAAGTACTTACTACAAGGGATCTTATTATCATTAATTTTTAACTAAACATTGGGCTCCATCTTTAAATTATCAGAATATTCTTTATAGAGAGTTTCCTGTCAAATCTTTAGCAAATATAGCTTGTAGTTAGCTAACTGTCATTTGCACTGATCTTGTTAGAGTTGCACTTGGGGAACTAGCCATGCTACTGATCCATGTCTTTATGCAATTCCATTTTCAACTAGAGTATAAAGTTTATAATGCATAGACTGTTGAAATCATTTCTACATAATGGGGTCAACAATAAAAATTCTCCATTCTAATATTGGTAAGATGAAAGTATGCATACATTTCTATATTACATTTATTAATAATTTCTCTTAATCAGCGTATGCACACATCCATTAGCCTAAACCAAATGTATGAGTCCATCCTTCCATACTTGTATAGTATAAGAAGAAACACATTATATTATAATAATTTCCATCTATCTTGCCTCAACCATCAATACACACATTGATTTATTTATGTTAGTATGCCCAGTACCTAGAATGTTATCCGGCATATAGCACTTGCTCAGTGAGTTTGTTAATTGATGAATTTTGTGAATGAATTACTACTAAAACTGATATGCTGTTATTGCGGTTCTTGCATCTTTTATAAATGATAATTTTCTGTCATTCAAGTTAATAAACTACGAAAAGACATTTATTGTATTCCTGCCCTAAAATGTCAGGTATTGGCATATTTTGTTGTTGTTGTTGTTGTTGTTTATTTTTTGAGATGGCGTCTCACTCTGTCACCAGGCTCTGTTGCCAGGCTGGAGTGCAGTGGAGCAATCTCGGCTCACTGCAACCTTCGACTCCCTAGTTCAAGCTATTCTCCTGCCTCAGCCTCTCAAGTAGCTGGGATTACATGCACGTGCCACCATGCCCAGCTAATTTTTGTATTTTTAGTAGAGATGGGGTTTCGCCACGTTGGCCAGGATGGTCTTGATCTCCTGACCTTGTGATCCGCCCTCCTTGGCCTCCCAAAGTGCTGGGATTACAGGCGTGAGCCACCGTGCCCGGCCTGGGCATATGTTTTAAAGACATTTATGAAGCAACTTCTATTGTCTAATATGAGGACTTCCACTGAAGCATTCTTTCATGTGGGTCCTGTTCCTACATTGCAGATACACCCACCTGTTGTCCTCTAGTAAGCACTGTTATTTCTTTACTCGGCATGTATATCACTCTTCAGCTAGCAGATGCTAATTTCGTTCTCTATTCATCTCTTTCGTAGCCCTGTGCTTCCAGAGAAGCTGGTCTTACCAGAAGCTCCAGGCTGGACCTGAGTGATGTGAGGGAAATTCTACTGACTTTGCCAGTGATTAGCTTAGAATTACCTAAACTCAACACAGGTAAATGGGATGTCTGCCATAAGCTTTTTGTAAAAATTTCTAGGAATTACAATTCCTGAAGGAGAGATGATTTTTTTTTCCTGTGGTTTGATGCCTGGAACTACTGCAACCAGTTGACCTCCAGCCTGAGGATGATGCAAACCTTGCTACTGAGTCACCCAGTCTTGAGGCTTGCTCCACCTCTGGACTTCCTGTTATGTGAGATGATAAATCTCTTGCTGATTAAGATCTTGTAATTGAAACAGGCTCCCTTCAAATAGATCACTTTGCAAACTATGTTAACATAGTGGTTCCTGATAAAGGGAATCAAATTTCTGTGGTAAGAAGGGGTTCCTCAGGTTTTGCAAGCTGCTGGAGTCCACATGCACATTAGGTATTATGGCTTGACTGCATAAATAGAGATACAACTTTTGAGTTGTGGAATTCTCAAAATTATTTGATAATGTTAATATAGGATGCTTTGAGAACAAAAAGTAAAGAAACAGCTGATATTGAGTCCTGGAAAATAAAGTTTATGTTTTAGAGAAAGTCCTTAATTAGGTCTGGACTTCTCCAGTTCCTATACAGGAGTCCTCAGGCAAAATACTTAACCTTATTAAACTTTAGATGCCTGTTTGTAAAATGACAAAAATCCCACCCTGACTTGCCTCTTTAGGAGTGTTGTTATGAGGCTGAAATGAGATATGGTAAGTAAAAGGGCTTTGTAAATAAGAAAAGCACTTCCCAGGCAGTAATTTGAGGAACTTTCTCCTTTTCTAAGTTTACCAGTTTTTTTTTCTCATTTACTTTCAATGCTAATAGTACTTCAGCATGAAAATGTCACTTCTACAAATCTTGAACCCCTAATTTATGCTAGACATTGTATACACCAAGAGGATTATAGCTGATTATTCCTGTCTCATCTGTAAATTAAAGACTGGAAAATGACCACATCCTCAGTTCAAAGGCCTTTAATTCAAAAGTTTCATATCTAGGATTGATAATGAAATCCCATAAGGAAAAAATGCACATGTATTTTCTATAGAAAATTCTGGCAGGGGTTGGAAAAAATAAGCAAAAATATATGCAAAACTTATTTGTTCTTTTAAAAAGTCACTTGAAACTTAAATCACAAAATGGAATGCTGAAAATCAGAATGCTAAGACTTAATAGCCATAGGCAAACGAGGTGAGCCATTTCACCTCCACGAATGTCAGCTGTGTGAACCTTGGCAGAAACATGCAGGAAGAAGGGGAAGGAGATGATTGTTCATAGGAAGTAAAATTGAAACAGGTATGGTACACCCTATGGGAGTGCTGCTATAATAAGAGGGTGCAGTTTTGTTAAGCTGGGCACAGAGCCAAAGCAGAAATATGTATGAATATACATACCTACATTTGTACGTGTATGTGTCCATAAATAGGTACATGCATAGTCACATATATATACATAAATATAGACATACACACATACATATATATGAATATATACATACATATGTAGTATCTGAATTTTTATAATTACTGTATAGACTAATATTAATGCAGAATAAAATTGTTGCTAAATACACAACTTCATATGTTTCTTATAACCTTGAGGCTTATATAGGGCTTATTGGTCTTTTTATCTGAGTAAAGAAACTGAAGCTCAGAAAGATTAACTGATTTATCCATGGTTGCAGAGCTGGTCAGGTTTTTTTTTTTTTTTCTTTAAACAAAAGGAGTATGATGCTGCTTTTTTTTTTTTTTCTTTACAGAAAGAGTTTGATCTAAACTGGTTAAGTTTGAGTTGGGATTTCAACTGATATGTAATTTTGGACTCAGAGTCCAGGGTTCACGCCCTTCTCTATCCAGGGTCGTAGAGTCTCAATGTTTCCAGGGATCTTAAAGTGGTCTGGTCTAACCTACCTTTAATTTAAGGACTAATCCTCCATTTGATTAATTAGTTGATCAGTTCGTCATTTCATACTCTTAAAAAAAAAAAGGAAACAGAAAAATGGTAGCCAGTTGAATATATCAATTTTTCACCATTCCTTCTCACCAAAGGAAACATTCACAATGCTCAAAACACAATAATCATCCTAGTATCTTGCTTTCATTTGCTGTAGTTCAAATTGACTACTCTTTTGTAGCATGCTAATAACATAAGATATAAAATAATAATAAGAAAAACATGAATTATATAACTCCTGAGAGGAAGGAAGAGTACATTGGGTTCTTGTGCCTCAGCTTTGACAATGACTCACTATGTGAGCTTGGGCAAGTCACTTATTCTTTCTGTGCCTCAGTTGCATCACCTATAAAATGAAGGCATTGGGAGAGATGCCACTTGAGGCCCTTCCTACTTAGTTTCTACACCGCTCTGAGAAGCCAAGTGGAGGGAACAGTGTCTCCAAGCAAGGGTACAGAATGAGTTGTCTATGGAGGTTTCTTGTCCACTTAGAAGTTTTCAGTGAAAAATACCAAGGGTTGGGCGAAACCTCCATGTTTCCTGAGTTTTCATCAACAGTGTTGATTGCATCTGCTATGCTGGGGCCTGGTCAGATGTTGACATGGCTCATCCAAAAATAGTTTGAGAAACCTAGGCTAACCTTGGAAAAAATCTGTTTTACCACAGTAAACTTTCAATCCCATTAACAGAATTTTTCCTTTCCTGATTCCTGTCTAGAACCACCCAGGGCTCTTACTCATTTTACTCTTACTTCATTCCTTTGTTCCTCTTCCTTCCATTAATTATATCGTGTCATTCAAATGCACCAGGTCATAGGCTCTGGATCACTGAATGTAACTGCCTCCTACACTGCATGGATTAGCATTGTTCTAGCATATGGGCTAATGTGGTATAAAGAGGTGGTGAGTAAGGGTGAAGAGAACGGTAACATCTTAGCCCCAAGCAATTGTACAGAGCTGCATTTGTATGCACTTCAACACAGTGATGTATTGAACTCTGCGTGTGTGTTTTCTATATGCCTTGTCTAGCTTAAATGTATTTGGTGTGAATTTAATGCATGAAGCTTTAGTGTTTGAGTCAGGAAACCTGGGTCTGGTCATGGCTTTGCTTCTGGCTAGCTATATTTAACCCAGACTATTCAAAGTAATTTTTTGTGTCTTGGCCACTCTCATATAGGGAGTGGGGCTTATGATCTATGTGGTGTCAATTCCACCAAGATTTTGGGAGGATCAAATAGATGACATATTATATATTGGGATAATTCTAGGCATGGCCTGGTTAACTTCAGTGGGATTTAATGACTCGGAGAGGCTGGAACATGGGGCTCTATCCACCCACTGGGATGAGACAATGGCAAGCAGGAACTCAATCACAGATCATGCTGTTCGAAATTTTAGGCCAGCCAACATAATTCAATATTCATAGGAAGGTTATGATGAAAGGCAGGTGATGATTAAGTTAGCCTGTTTAGCTGTTAGTGAAGAACATGGATTTTAAAGTTTAACCAATCTGAGTTCAAATCTTTCATTTTTTAACTGTGTAAACTTGAGTCAGTTCGGGTTGAGCATCCCTAATCTGAAAATCTGAAATCTGAAATGCTCCAAAATCTGAAACTTTTTGAGCATCGACATGATGCTCAAAGGTCATGTCCAAAGAAAGCACTCACTAGAACATTTCACATTTTAGATTTTCAGATTAGGAATGCTCAACTGGTAAGTCTACGTGCAAATATCCCCAAATCTGAAAAAATCTGAAACCCAAAACACTTCCCGTCCCAAGCATTTTGAATAAGAGATACTCAGCCTATATGTAATCTCCTTGAGCCTCAGTTATCTCAACTGTAAAATGAAAGTAATAATATTTTTTGATAGTATTATTGTGAGATAATACACATAAAGCACTTGGAAAGCTCCTGGACACAGTCAGTTGTATTGCTGTTATTATTAAGCTGTTCGCATTACAGGAGTTTGGCATTAAATTTTGGGGGAGTGCCTTCCTATGGAGGAGCTTGAGCATTATGGTAGGGGGTTGAGAGGACAATATTTGGGCACCCAGTCAAGTTTACAGCCTCAGAGAACTCTATTAGCAAGGAATTAGGCTCTGCTTAATGTTCCGGGGCAGGACTCTAGGCTGTGGGCACATGGGGAGGAAGCAATGCAAAACCCCAGGCTCAAAAGGGCTGGGATTTTATTCAGGTAAATAAGACAGGGGACCAAGCAGAAGTCTAGTTGGCTACAACAGGTGAAGCAGAATCTCAAGAAGGGTGACTCATGGGGAGCCCTGGACACTAGGCTGAGAAGGATTTAAATCGGGAGCCCAGAAGCCTCAACAGCTAAAAGAACATAGCAACAAATAACTGGCCGGGATCTGATGAAAAGTCTTCGAAGACCCTTTAAGAACTGCACAGTGCTAAACCTAATGTAAGATGGTATTAGTGTTTGCAGAAGGAATGCAGATGGGAGAAAGAGGAACATTGGCAATGTTGACCTGTAACATCATGGAAACACCTGCAAGGAAGCATCTATTCAAAAAAGAATACACAAAGGCAGATAGCAGTCATGGGAGTAAGTTCTTGAGACACCAAATATTGGGTTATCATATGATACTCTTCTCTAAGGTAGTTTCAGCGTGTCAATCTGATAAGACATGTTTGGCCTTCATTTCTTCTGTTTTCTTAAAGGGAACATTGACTTTGACTCTCCAGTGAATTAAACCACATAGATATGCACTGACAAGCACGTGTCCCATTTTTCATACATCATAAAGAGAATTTCAATTTCCACCAAATTCAACTCCTTTATTTAACAGATGAGGAACCTGTAGTGTAATGAAAAGGAGTTCTGGCCTCGTCTCTTAATGTGTGACCTCTTACGAACTACTTAAACTCCCTGAGCTATAGTCTTTTTTCATAGAAAAAAGAAGATAATTGCATCAGTATTCTCAGGGTTTTTGTGTTGATCAAATGAGATGTTGTATGTGAACGTACTTGTGAATGGTGAAGTGTAATTCATAGGTAACTGACTAATTGGTTGGTAAGATTCTGAGCTATATCTTGACTGGAGGATTAGTCTCTTTCCTGGTTATGGGAATATATTGGCTGGTGTTAACTGTTTGCCTTCCTAAATTCCATTAAAAATCTAAATCCTTGCTTTTTCCTGTTTATTCTCTTTGACCTGTGCTCCTCACATTTTTTGGTAATGAGAATTACCTTGTATTAATATGTAATTACCTCAGGGAACTTGTTAAAATGCAGCTCTTATAGCCCTTTCCCAAGAGATTCTGATGTAGTAGGTCTAATTTAGGGCCCAGGACTCCAATACTGGTGGGCCATGGATCTCAGTCACAGAAATTTGTGCCTGGTGAATTGTTTGCTTATTTAATGGTTGGCTGCACATGTTGTAGCACAAGGGCTCAAAGCTGGGAGTCTGAAAACCTGGAATTTATACACGGCTGTGATACCAACATAATTATTGGTACAAGGTAGAAGTTAAATAAATATTTGTCTTAATGAGTGTATGAAATGGCTTGTCCTGTGACCTTGTATCTCTTTCCTTCAGTCTCTTCATTAGTAAAATGAAAAAGTTGAACTAGATAACTTCCAATTTTTCTTTTTTGAGACAGAGTCTGTCAGCCAGGCTGGAGTCCCTCTGCCTCCCGGGTTCACATGATTCTCCTGCCTCAGCCTCCCAAGTACCTGGGATTACAGGTGCTCGCAACCAAACCTGGCTAATTGTTGTATTTTTAGTAGAGACAGGGTTTCACTATGTTGGCCAGGCTGCTCTCGAACTCCTGACCTCAAGTGATCCACCTGCCTCAGCCTCCCAATTTGCTGGAATTACAGGCATTAGCCACCATACCTGGCCAATAACTTCTAATATTCTTTATAGCTTTGACTGTCTTTGACCTTTCTAGCTCTTAGACCTACTGTGGAGACAAGTAATAGCTTCTAGAAAGTTCCTTAAGCACCTTGAAAAGCTGCATTTATTCTTTCCAGCAAATAAATAATTTTCAGTATTATAATTTCATAGCTAAATTGGCATCCTGTTGACTTGTGGTTAATGCAATTTAATAGTGTGACTAATTTCATCTCATAAAATTGTAGCAAAAGGGAGAATACTGTGGGTTAATTTCTTAAGATAAAATATGTAATTTTTAGAAATTTAGAAGTAACTCCTTAAAAGACTCCCATGCCTTTCTCATGCTATTAGCAAATAAGCATGTTCAATCTCAAGTTAATCTACAGCTCTGGGATTCAGTAATCTAACTCATATTTAATAATACCAAATACCAGGCTGCCTTGGCCTCCCAAAGTGCTGGGATTACAGGAGTGAGCCATCGCGCCCGGCCATCTTTTTTTTCTTTTATTTCTTTTTAGTTTTCTTCTTTTTTTTTAAACAGATGGCACAACTCTTCAAATCTTCAGTGCCTCTTATTAGGATTTTGGGATGACATTCAAAATATCTCATTATCTTTCTACATTCGAACTCGTCCTTTTCTGCTGTTACGCCTCTCTTCGGCAACAGTGGAGTTTTTGAATTTGTGATTGTCCATTGTTTTAGTTCAGCAGTTCCTTCTGCTTGGAGTGACCCTCATTTGACTGTTTCCACTTCTCAAAACTTAAATCCTTGTTCAAATGTCACTTCCACTTCATGTGCTTCTTTGGTTCCTCTGCCTGAATTAAACTTTCCCCTCCAAACTTCCACATTACTTTGAGAACAGCAAGATTCTATCAGGTGAAAAAAAAGGAAGGTCTCTTCAGGCAAAAGGTGTAGCAAGGACTAAAATATAAACTCAAAAATAATTATGTGTTATAAATTTAAGTATTTACTACATATAAGTAATAGTAATATAACACTAATACTATATATACAGACCATGTTTATGTAGGATAAAAAATATATAGTTAAGACTCATATACTTACTGTCTATCTTAAGAAGTAGATATTACCAAATATATTGAAGTTCCTAGATCTCAGAGCGTCTTTTATCTCCAAATGTAACCACTGTCCTGAATTGTCTGTTTGTGATTTCTTTGCATTTTTTGCTTTTCCCTTACATATGGTCATCTAAATAATTTCTTTAGGTTTTTGTGTGGAATATAAAGTATAATATTTTATATGGAATATAAATAATGTATTTTATTTCTGCTACTGGTGTTTTTTATTAATCTTTCACTTGTGTAAATATATAATATATAAATATATAATAACATGACTATTTATGTATATATCACATTTTTATTGCCATGTACTATTCTGTTTGAATAAATCACAATATACTAATGGAAATCTTTTACTGACAAATATTTGTATTGATTGAATTTTTTTCTTTTTCTCTTCTATTGGAAAAAAAATTTATTTAAATATTTTTGTACACATCTCTCAGTGCAGAGGTGCAAGGATATATTTGAGATGTATGCCTAGGATTTGCATTGTTTTCTTAGGTGGGGTGTACATCTTTGATTTTGATGGGTAGTGTTGTTTCCCAAAGTGTTTTTGGAATGGCAGTTAGTAATGCTTAAACCTTTGTTTTTAGCATTTAGGACTATTGGGAAATAAAACTGGAAATGAAGGTTAGAATCAGACTGTACAGTAAGTTGACATGCCAAAGCATTTGGATTTTATTCTATAGGTAAAGGGAAACCATCGTTGTGACACTCCGTAGGTTACTTACTTTATCTGAATCTTAGTTTTCCCTTCAAAAATTTTGGGACAATACCTTCCTCACAGACTTGTGAATATCCTGGCATGTAATAATTGATATTAGTATTATATATTAGTATCAGAAAAAATTGTGAACTGAGTGTGACATAAACAGATTTATATTTTAGAAAGCTAATGGCAACTGGGTATAGAATAGATGTTTGCAGAAAGACAGGAAGCTATTGTGGTCATCTAGCAGGCAGAAAATCCTTATTAACATTTTAAGATCTAACTCAGGATTTCTCAGTCTTGGAACCATTGAAATTTTGAGCTGGATAATCCTCTGTTTTGTGGGTGTTGTTCTGTGCATTGGAGGAGGTTTAGCGTCATCCCTGGGCTCTATCACTTGATGCCAATAGCCACCTGTCCCCTACAACTGTGCCAATTAAAAATGTCTGCAGACATTGCTGGGGGGATAAAACCACACCCATTTGTGAATGACTGATCTAATTCCAGTGTCCACTCCTTTATGAAAGCTTCCTTGTCTCCTTTTAGAAAGATTCAATTGTTCTCTTCCCAAATACCTTTTATTGGCATCTCCCCATATAGTTTTAGAATTATCTGTAGACTTTTCTACAAGACCAAAGTTCTTGAAAACAACAATTAACAATTTTTGTATTTCAATAATTTAGAACATGGTCATAACTAATGTAGATGTTTAAGATGTAAATTGTCAAATAAATGATTCGACAATTATTTTGAGGTAAGAAGTAAGTTACGGGAAGAATCAGGTAAAAGAAGAGCTTTCCAGGCAAAGGAACTAGCAAGAGCAAAGTCTCTGAGTTAGAAAAGAGTTTTCTCTGTCTTAGAAACAGAAAGCTAGTGCAATCAGAGCCAAGTGTGCATGAATGAAAGTAGCACATAATAAGAAATGAAATAGATGAAAAAAGAATTGATCTTTAAACAGCTATGCTTAGTGACCTTCAGTAGAGTTGTGGGAAAGAAGCTAAAATGAATTTGTTGGATGGTAAATGAATGAATGAGAGGCAAGGAAGTAAAAGCCGTAAGTAGATGCTACCCTTGCCAAGAGCTTGGCAAGGCAGGCAGGAGACAGCTGAGGTAATACAATATAGGAGAAAGATAAAGCATGTTTGTGGGTTGAAGGGAAAACATCCTGTTGTGGTAAGAATGCAATAAAGAAATTTGATAAGGCAATGCATTGAAGATGTGGCAGTGCATGGAATGTAGAGAAGAGGTGGAAGATTAACTTTGGATAATTGTAGTCATTCTTCACCTGAGTTGTAATGGGCGGGAAATGTTACCTGAAATTGTGAACATATTTTGAAATGAAAAAAGAGAACATTACATGAAATTAATAGCCTTTTCCATGAAGTTAAACAGGTTAGTGTTAATTTTCATTCAACAGATATTCATCTTGCATCTGGTTTTTTCAGGCAGTGTATTCTATGCTGAAGACACAGCAGTGCATATGCCATGCATACAGAACTGAGTCACTGAGAAGTTGAATCAATGGTCTCAGGTCATAGACAGCTGGTAAGTGGCAAAAATGGAATTCAAAATTAGGTGTTCATGAATCCAGAGCCTATTTTTTTTTTCTTTTTCTTTTTTTTCTTTTTAGGTTTTAGGGTACACGTGCACATTGTGCAAGTTAGTTACATATGTATACATGTGCCATGCTGGTGCGCTGCACCCACTAACTTGTCATCTAGCATTAGGTATATCTCCCAATGCTATCCCTCCCCGCTCCCCCCACCGCACAACAGTCCCCAGAGTGTAATGTTCCCCTTCCTGTGTCCATGTGATCTCATTGTTCAGTTCCCACCTATGAGTGAGAATATGCGGTGTTTGGTTTTTTGTTCTTGCGATAGTTTACTGAGAATGATGATTTCCAATTTCATCCACGTCCCTACAAAGGACATGAACTCATCATTTTTTATGGCTGCATAGTATTCCATGGTGTATATGTGCCACATTTTCTTAATCCAGTCTATCATTGTTGGACATTTGGGTTGGTTCCAAGTCTTTGCTATTGTGAATGGTGCCACAATAAACATACATGTGCATGTGTCTTTATAGCAGCATGATTTATAGTCCTTTGGGTATATACCCAGTAATGGGATGGCTGGGTCAAATGGTATTTCTAGTTCTAGATCCCTGAGGAATCACCACACTGACTTCCACAATGGTTGAACTAGTTTACAGTCCCACCAACAGTGTAAAAGTGTTCCTATTTCTCCACATCCTCTCTAGCACCTGTTGTTTCCTGACTTTTTAATGATTGCCATTCTAACTGATGTGAGATGGTATCTCATTGTGGTTTTGATTTGCATTTCTCTGATGGCCAGTGATGATGAGCATTTTTTCATGTGTTTTTTGGCTGCATAAATGTCTTCTTTTGAGAAGTGTCTGTTCATGTCCTTCGCCCACTTTTTGATGGGGTTGCTTGTTTTTTTCTTGTAAATTTGTTTGAGTTCATTGTAGATTCTTGATATTAGCCCTTTGTCAGATGAGTAGGTTGGGAAAATTTTCTCCCATTTTGTAGGTTTCCTGTTCACTCTGATGGTAGTTTCTTTTGCTGTGCAGAAGCTCTTTAGTTTAATTAGATCCCATTTGTCAATTTTGTCTTTTGTTGCCATTGCTTTTGGTGTTTTAGACATGAAGTCCTTGCCCATGCCTATGTCCTGAATGGTATTGCCTAGGTTTTCTTCTAGGGTTTTTATGGTTTTAGGTCTAACGTTTAAGTCTTTAATCCATCTTGAATTGATTTTTGTATAAGGTGTAAGGAAGGGATCCAGTTTCAGCTTTCTACATATGGCTAGCCAGTTTTCCCAGCACCATTTATTAAATAGGGAATCCTTTCCCCATTGCTTGTGCTTCTCAGGTTTGTCAAAGATCAGATAGTTGTAGATACGCAGTGTTATTTCTGAGGGCTCTGTTCTGTTCCATTGATCTATATCTCTGTTTTGGTACCAGTACCATGCTGTTTTGGTTACTGTAGCCTTGTAGTATAGTTTGAAGTCAGGTAGTGTGATGCCTCCAGCTTTGTTCTTTTGGCTTAGGATTGACTTGGCGATGCTAACTATCCTAAATATATATGCACCCAATACAGGAGCACCCAGATTCATAAAGCAAGTCCTGAGTGACCTACAAAGAGACTTAGACTCCCACACATTAATAATGGGAGACTTTAACACCCCACTGTCAACATTAGACAGATCAATGAGACAGAAAGTCAACAAGGATACCCAGGAATTGAACTCAGCTCTGCACCAAGCAGACCTAATAGACATCTACAGAACTCTCCACCCCAAATCAACAGAATATACATTTTTTTCAGCACCACACCACACCTATTCCAAAATTGACCACATAGTTGGAAGTAAAGCTCTCCTCAGCAAATGTAAAAGAACACAAATTATAACAAACTATCTCTCAGACCACAGTGCAATCAAACTAGAACTCAGGATTAAGAATCTCACTCAAAACCGCTCAACAACATGGAAACTGAACAACCTGCTCCTGAATGACTACTGGGTACATAACGAAATGAAGGCAGAAATAAAGATGTTCTTTGAAACCAACGAGAACAAAGACACAACATACCAGAATCTCTGGGACGCATTCAAAGCAGTGTGTAGAGGGAAATTTATAGCACTAAATGCCCACAAGAGAAAGCAGGAAAGATCCAAAATTGACACCCTAACATCACAATTAAAAGAACTAGAAAAGCAAGAGCAAACACATTCAAAAGCTAGCAGAAGGCAAGAAATAACTAAAATCAGAGCAGAACTGAAGGAAATAGAGACACAAAAAACCCTTCAAAAAATTAATGAATCCAGGAGCTGGTTTTTTGAAAGGATCAACAAAATTGATAGACCGCTAGCAAGACTAATAAAGAAAAAAAGAGAGAAGAATCAAATAGACGCAATAAAAAATGATAAAGGGGATATCACCACCGATCCCACAGAAATACAAACTACCATCAGAGAATACTACAAATACCTCTACACAAATAAACTAGAAAATCTAGAAGAAATGGATAAATTCCTCGACACATACACCCTCCAAAGACTAAACCAGGAAGAAGTTGAATCTCTGAATAGACCAATAACAGGATCTGAAATTGTGGCAATAATCAATAGCTTACCAACCAAAAAGAGTCCAGGACCAGATGGATTCACAGCCGAATCCTACCAGAGGTACAAGGAGGAACTGGTACCATTCCTTCTGAAACTATTCCAATCAATAGAAAAAGAGGGAATCCTCCCTAACTCATTTTATGAGGCCAGCATCATTCTGATACCAAAGCCGGGCAGAGACACAACCAAAAAAGAGAATTTTAGACCAATATCCTTGATGAACATTGATGCAAAAATCCTCAATAAAATACTGGCAAACCGAATCCAGCAGCACATCAAAAAGCTTATCCACCATGATCAAGTGGGCTTCATCCCTGGGATGCAAGGCTGGTTCAATATACGCAAATCAATAAATGTAATCCAGCATATAAACAGAGCCAAAGACAAAAACCACATGATTATCTCAATAGATGCAGAAAAGGCCTTTGACAAAATTCAACAACCCTTCATGCTAAAAACTCTCAATAAATTAGGTATTGATGGGACATATTTCAAAATAATAAGAGCTATCTATGACAAACCCACAGCCAATATCATACTGAATGGGCAAAAACTGGAAGCATTCCCTTTGAAAACTGGCACAAGACAGGGATGCCCTCTCTCACCACTCCTATTCAACATAGTGTTGGAAGTTCTGGCCAGGGGAATTAGGCAGGAGAAGGAAATAAAGGGTATTCAATTAGGAAAAGAGGAAGTCAAATTGTCCCTGTTTGCAGATGACATGATTGTATATCTAGAAAACCCCATTGTCTCAGCCCAAAATGTCCTTAAGCTGATAAGCAACTTCAGCAAAGTCTCAGGATACAAAATCAATGTACAAAAATCACAAGCATTCTTATACACCAACAACAGACAAACAGAGAGCCAAATCATGAGTGAACTCCCATTCACAATTGCTTCAAAGAGAATAAAATACCTAAGAATCCAGCTTACAAGGGATGTGAAGGACCTCTTCAAGGAGAACTACAAACCACTGCTCAAGGAAATAAAAGAGGATACAAACAAATGGAAGAACATTCCATGCTCATGGGTAGGAAGAATCAATATCGTGAAAATGGCCATACTGCCCAGGGTAATTTACAGATTCAATGCCATCCCCATCAAGCTACCAATGCGTTTCTTCACAGAATTGGAAAAAAACTACTTTAAAGTTCATATGCAACCAAAACAGAGCCTATGTTTTTTAAAGGCTGATCTTCATTGACTAGGGTTAGAATTTTGCAAAGAGATTTGTGGAAGTTACGATCATGAGGTACCTATGGGACAAAGAGACAGCAAAGCTAAAAAGGGATATTTCACAAAAGATAACATAAGAAGTAAAGAAGGGACCTTGGGTGTGATTAATAAGAGGAGCAAGTTGAGTGGGAGATGGAGGCCGGAAGGATAGAAAGAAGGTGATATGATCGGAGAGTGTACTTAAAGTGTTGTATCTTGGGGTTGAGGAATTCTGTGTAATGATGCCAGTGATGGTGAGGCTATGCATATAAGCTGCTAAGGTAGAAAACTGAACAAAGAAAATTTATAGGAGAACTCAAGTAACACATCAATTTGGGGTTAAGATAGTGCATGGCAAAGAATCTCACGTGCCTCAATAAAATCCAGAGGGTATAACTATATTTTGTATAGTTTTTGAGGATCGATTAAATTATATATATTATTTTTTATTCAGGGAGGCAAAATGTGAATGTATAGATTTTTAGAATGACTTCCTCCTGAACATGGGTAAGCCATACAGCATGTCAATTCTAAATTATTTAGAAATCTTGACCATGTTAAATAACATATTATCTAAGATATTGCTT
The DNA here is from genome assembly GCF_000001405.40 of Homo sapiens. NCBI lineage: Eukaryota > Metazoa > Chordata > Mammalia > Primates > Hominidae > Homo > Homo sapiens. The sequence continues at coordinate 148,025,258 of NC_000005.10, forward strand.
TACTGATACCATTTTCTTTAAAATTATTCCTACTCCATTTATGTTTACCTAATGTGTTAATCCCAATTGTTTTCCTGATTCTTTTGTTACACATGGCCAAGTTGGCTATATTATCTGTTGGGTAAGGTGCCAGCAGGTGCGGAAGTCCTGATTCCCAGGAGCCTTCTCTACTTAGTGATCTCCTAATTGAGCTTCCTTTCCCCATGTCTGATAAACTTTGCCTGCCTCCTGATAACATCTCAGGAAATGCCCACCCACATTCCACCTGAGAATCTTAGCTTCTTCCTTCCTACTCAGATCTTTTTGATAGTTCCATAAATATCTCCTTGTCATCTAGCTTTTCTATTTTCTTCCTGACACAAGCAAAATTTCTGAAGTAATAAGAGCAATAACAAATATATAAATGCTTGTTTTGAAAAGCTTCTACGTGCACATTTTTTGTTCTCACTCTAATAATGTGATAAAGCTGAATTATTTCCAATTTTCTGACGAGAGAGGTCAAGAGACTTGTTCAAGGTCTTTTCTCTTGGTAAGTAAAGGTGTCCATTATGAGAACATAGTTCTTCTAAGGTAAAATACCACTCCAGAAGCTTCACCCTTTTATAGAAATATGTATCTGAGAAGTGGAAGAAAAAATAAATCGGCATCATTGATTTTAACTTTCCAGTTATTGCTAAAATCTCATCATCTGTATCTTTGCAGATGTAGGCAATACATTACCTCTTGTGGCAGGTTGGTTTATCTTGGATTATTTGCTTTTCTTTATAATGAGCTGATACTGTTCTCCATATAACTTCTGTTCATGAGTTCTAGTCCATCTTCTGCAGCTATACAGACTAAACAAATAAGCACTCACTTTTCCTAGACAACCTTTCAGTATTTTCAGGTACTCTTCTCTGTGTGCCATGTCACTATTATTATTATTATTTTACAGGACATATTTTTCAGGCTGTTTTGTGGAAGTCACTCTCTTCTGGACCTGGTCTTATTTCATTAATCATAACTCTAAAACATGAAATCTACACTTCAGCATAATATTTTAGATGTGTTCTGTTTAGTGGATTCGAACACAATATAATGATCACCTCCTTTGTTCCAATGATGTGTAAATATGTTCAAAGTTCATGTGCTTTGGGATAGCTACTAATGATTCATATTGAACTTAGAAATCTGCATGATTGAGTTTCTTGTGATAATTCTATAGTAATTGTGCCTCTAAATCCATATATCTGATAAAGGTCCATCATGAAATTTCTAGTAATAATTACTGAGCATGGAATAATGACATCTATATACTCTGAGTTTAAAAGTTGGAACATTATGTCTCATTCACATAAACTACAGTAATTCTAGATGTTACACATTACCTATTTATTTTTATTTTGTTAATTTGATTACAAGCTCAACTTAATATTTTATATTCTCCAGTTTTTATTTTTAAAATAGTTTAAATTAAACTAAAAATAAATACTTCTGGTTCTATGCATTTTGCATAATGGATATTCAACCTGTATTACATTCTATGAATATACCACAATTTATTCCACTCTACTGTTGATAGATATTTGGGTTTTTCTGGTTTTGAGCTGTTATGAGCTAAGCTGCTAGTGAAGATTTTTGAACATGTCTTTTTTTTTTATTTTAGTGGACATATACACCAACTTCCCTTGAGTTTATACCTAGGAGTATAACGGTTGGAGCATAGGGCAAGCAAGTGTTTAGCTTTAGGAGATATTGTCAAACAGTTTTCCAAAGTGGTTGAGTCAATTTATACTCTCAGCAGGAGGGTATGAGAGTGCAAGTTGCTCAGTGTACTCCCCAGTACTTGACATTGTGTGTCTTTTTAATTTTAGCTCTTTGAGTAGGTGTGTTATTTCATTTCAATATTAGTTTGCATAGATTTGATTATTTATGATTCTTTGTATCTTTTGATATGCATATTGGCCTCTTGGATATTCTCTTTTTTGAAGTTTTGGTCAAGCCTTTTGCACATTTATTAATGGATTGTTTTTCTTTTTTTAACAAATGCATAAGAGCTTATATAATATGTTAAATATGTTAGCTATGTCAGAATTTATGTATTGCAGGTTTTTTATCCAGGCTGTGGCTTATCTATTTACTTTCAGAATATTTTTTGACAAACAGAAATTTTTACTTTTGCTTTGTTGATTTTTTCTTTTGTGATTTGTCTTTTTTATGTTCTATAAAGATTTTTTTCCTACCCCAAGGTCATGAAGGTATTTAATCATATTTTCTTCTGGAAGCTTACTGACTTTGGCTTTCACATTTGGGGTATGAGCCACCTCACATAAATTTTGGGTTATGCTGTAAGTTCAGAGTCAAAGTTCACCTTTTTTTCTCATATGTATATCTAACTATTTCAGTCTTTATTGAAAAGACCATACGGTTGCCACTGAAGAGAACTGGTGCTTTTACCTAAACCAAGTGACTGTTTATGTGTGAGCTGTTTCTGGTTTCACTATTCTTTTCCGTTGATATGTTTTTCTACCTTTGCACTGAATCCATACTGTCTTAATTACTGTAGCTTTCTAGAACACGCTGGAATCTTGTATTTCTTCCTCTTCTTTAACATCTTCCTGTCTATTTCTACATAAACTTTGGAATCACATGTCAATTTCCACATGCAAAAAGTGTCAACCTTTTTGATTGGGAGTATATTGTACTTATAGATAAGTTTTGAGAGAATTGATATATTGAATATTTAATTTTTTTGACCCCAAAACATGGAATACTTCTTTACTTATTCAGATTTTAATGTCTCTCAGTAGTGCAATGGTACTTGCACTACTTTCTTAAGATTTACTCATAAATGTGTGATTTTCTAAAAATGCTGCTGTAAATAGTTCCTATTTTATCTTATTTTTCAATTATTTATTGCTAGTATATAGAGATACAATTGTTTTTTGTTGTTGACCTGGGTCCAGTGACCTTGATGAATTGATTTATTGATTGCAATAGTTTATCTTTTTATTTGATGTTGTATGTCCACAATTATGTCATCTGTGAAAAAAAAAAAGGCAGTTTTACACACTCCTTTCCAAACATTGTAACCTTTTCTTGACTTATTGGAATGGTTAGAACTTACTTTATAATGATGCATAGAAATAGCAGCCGTTGATGCTCTTTTTGTATTTCTGACCTTTTGGGGCAAGCGCTAGCATTTCACTATTGAATGCAACAATTTCTCTCTCTCTTTTTTTTTGTACATATCTTTTCTAAAAATCAGAATTAGGAAATTCCCTATAGTGCCATCTTCCAGTTTACCAATTCTTCATTCTATTGTGTCCAGCAGTTTCGTAACTTCATGTGTTATCTTTTTAAGTTCTGGAATGTCATTTGATTAATTTTAAATCCTCTATTTATGTGTTTAAGTTCCTCATGCTTTCATTTATTTTGTTCATGTTTTCTTTCAAATAACAAATGTATTAATCACAGTGAACCAAAATTCTGTTTCTACTACTTACAATATCTAGATTATTTTTACTTCTGCTCCTTTCGCATATTTTTCTCTTGCTAATTGGTTTTATTTTGTTACCATGTTGCTTGTCTAGTATTTTGTAAAATAGTATTTTGGACATAGTATATGATGTAATTATAAAGTCTCTATCTAGATGATACCATTTTCCACCGGTACTGTTGAATTATTCCTCCATTTCAGTTTTTTCTTTTAGACAGGATGAGAGCCTAATCACATAAATGTAATTAGGGGTTAAATTATCTAAAACTGGGCCGGGCACGATGGCGCACGCCTGCGATCCCAGCATTTTGGGAGGCCGAGGCGGGTGGATCACCTGAGGTCAGGAGTTCGAGACCAGCCTGACTAACATGGTGAAACTCTGTCTCTACTAAATACAAAAAGAAAAATTAGCCGAGCATGGCGGTGCATGCCTGTAATGCCAGCTACTTGGGAGGCTGAGGTAGTAGAATCACTTGAATCTGGGAGGAGGAGGTTGCCATGAGCCAAGATCATGCTATTGCACTCCAGCCTGGGCAACAAGAATGAAACTCTGTCTCAAAAAAAAAACAAGAAGTTATCTGAAACTAAACAGTTTCAGTGAAACCCATTCTACACTTGGATTGTATTATAGTCTTTCTGGACTTTTGATTGAGAGACTGTTGGGTGTAGGCCTTCAAAAACTGAGGGAGATCAAGTTCTGCTTTTCAAAGATTATCAATTTAATGGTTTTTGTGGTCAGAGAAAAATGCTTTGTGCAACGAAATCCTTTCGAATTTGTTCAGATTTATTTTACAGCACATAATATGATCTATCTAAATGTTGTTCCATGTGCACTTGTAAAAAATGTAACGGCCAAGTTGGTAATAGTGGTAAAGTCTTCTGTAGCTTTTCTGATTTTCCTTTACTTGTTCTATTTATGACTAAGAAATGGCTGTTAAAATCTCCAAGTCTAATTGGGATTTGTCTATTTCTTTTTCAGTTTTATCAAGTTTTGCTTCATTTATTTGATACTGTTGTTAGATGCAAACAAATTTAACATTATAATTTCTCTGTGACTTAATTTCTTTTTCTTTTTTTTCATTGTATTCTCATTTTATTTCGTGTTTCTTTTTTTTAATTTTATCATTTTTATACTTTAAGTTTTAGGGTACATGTGCACAACGTGCAGGTTTGTTACATATGTGTACATGCACCATGTTGGTGTGCTGCATTTTACCCATTAACTCGACATTTAGCATTAGGTATATCTCCTAATGCTATCCCTCCCCCCTCCCCCCACCCCACAACAGTCCCCGGTGTGTGATGTTCCCCTTCCTGTGTCCATGTGTTCTCATTGTTCAATTCCCACCTATGAGTGAGAACATGCAGTGTTTGTTTTTCTGTCCTTGTGATAGTTTGCTGAGAATGATGGTTTCCAGTTTCATCCATGTCCCTACAAAGGACATGAACTCATCATTTTTTATGGCTGCATAGTATTCCATGGTGTATATGTGCCACATTTTCTTAATCCAGTCTATCGTTGTTGGACATTTAGGTTGGTTCCAAGTCTTTGTTATCGTGAATAGTGCCGCTATAAACATACGTGTGCATGTGTCCTTATAGCAGCATGATTTATAATCCTTTGGGTATATACCCAGTAATGGGATGGCTGGGTCAAATGGTATTTCTAGTTCTAGATTCCTGAGGAGTCGCCACACTGTCTTCCACAATGGTTGAACTAGTTTACAGTCCCACCAACAGTGTAAAAGTGTTCCTATTGCTCCACATCCTCTCCAGCACCTGTTGTTTCCTGACTTTTTAATGATCGCCATTCTAACTGGTGTGAGAGGTTATCTCATTGTGGTTTTGATTTGCATTTCCCTGATGGCCGGTGATGATGAGCATTTTTTCATGTGTTTTTTGGCTGCATAAATGTCTTCTTTTATATTGCATAAATATATGCATAAATATTCTTCTTTACCCCTGGTACTATTTCTGGTTCTGAAATCTATTTTGTCTAACATCAATATAGCCACTGCAGCTTTCTTTTGATTAAAATTTACATTGTACATATTTTCCATCTTTTTACATTTAATCTATGTTTTTATGTTTAAAGTGGATTGGCTATAGATATTATATAGTTGAGTCTTTGCTTTTTTATTAAGTCGATTTCTGCTTTTTATTCAGTAAATACTGCCTAAGTGAAGTATTTAGACCAGTTACATTGAAGGTAAATATTCATAATACTGGATTTGGATCTATTATCTTACCATACATTTTATAATTTTTTTTGCCTTTTTTTGGTCCCTTTCCTGCTGTCGTTGGATTTTCTTTTTAATGATTCCATTTTATCCCCACTATTGGCTTAATAGTTATGTATCTTTTAAAAATTTGTAAGTTTTATTTTAGTGTTTACAATATATGTCTTTAACTTGTACAGTCTACTATTAAATATTATACCATTCCATTTAGTATGTAATAATCTTACAGTAGTATACTTTCACTTTCTTCCATCCTTTGTGCCATTGTTATATATTTCACTCCTCCATTTGATAAACCTCAAAATATATTTAACTATTTTTTTAGAGCCTCACATCTTTAAAACATGTTAATAATAAAAATAATGTTTACATTTGAGTTTGGGAGTTAGTAAAAGTGGAATCTCATCTCATTTCATTTATTTTTAGTCCGGGTATCCTTGACCGAACTTGATGCTTTCCCACATCCTTGAAAAAGAGCTATCTCTTCCTTTCTATTTATAGCAAGATGTTGAGATGATCACTGAGACCTGCAAAAAGATTTGTATTCCTCAACAAAAATCTTTTCATAAATTAATGAACTTTTATTTATTGCTGCAATATGTAATTTATACTTCTTGAAACCTGTCTTTGGAAAAATTCCAATGAAGAATGAAATGCCCCCTTTCAGGGGGCAACTTATGATTTATTAACCCAGTGAGACTAACAAACTAAAATTTTATTAATGCAGCATAGTTGCCAAAGTATATAGAAACATTCTATATATTCTATGTTTCTGCTTTGTGAGATTTTAGTAAACATTCTAATCTAGGAGGATTTGGTGATCAAATGGTTTTAGAAAATGCTACAAACTTTATTTTCCTGCAGGAATTTCATTTAGCTGAATCTCTTTGGTCTAGGAATATTTTTTAGCACTTAAACAGAAGTTCTGCAGACAAGCAAAGTTACTTAATTTGCTTAAACTAAAATTGGCAAACACATTGGACTCTAGAAAGCTTTTTTCTTTTTTTTTTTTTTTTCCTGAGACAAGGTCTTGCTCTGTCGCCCAGGCTGGAGTGCAGTGGCGCGATCTTGGCTCACTGCAACCTCCACCTCCCGGGTTTAAGCGATTCTCTTGCCTTAGCCTCCTGAGTAGTTGGGATTACCGACATGTGCCACCACATCTGGCTGATTTCTGTATTTTTATTAGAGATGGGGTTTTGCCACGTTGGCCAGGCTGGTCTTGAACTCTAGGTCTCAATTGATCCACCCACCTCAGCCTCCCAAAGTGCTGGAATTATAGGCAGGAAACACTGCACCCAGCCTAGAAAGCTTTTTTCTATTGGTACAATTGTAAGTATCTCATTTTTTATTGAATGTATTTTGAGGATTACTGATTTAAAATATTCAAATGTTTTTCATTTTTATCATTCCTAGATTTAGAAAAGATAAATAATTTATATTTAATTCTATCTACCTTATTCACCCCCTTAAAAATCCATTGAATGCCTGCCATGTGCCAGGCATTGTAATTTATACAAATAATGGTATTACTGATCTTTGAGTACAGATTATCTGGCTTCAAACTCAATATTGGTTTTACTTTGCTTTATGCACTTTATCACAGGGGCCTCCATCGAAACTTATTCATAATACCAGATATTTCCAAGGCATTACAGCATGGAAATGTAAAATCTAATTCTAGCTCTTTCCATATTATATGATCTTGAGAAAACTTGCTCTCTGCTCGGTACCTCAATTTTCCTTGTCTCCAATTCTAAACGTAATTCTAAATCTACCAGAAAAGCATCTCTAGGTATTATTCAATAAAGAATGCAATTCAGACAGGAATATAGGCAGGTTTTTTTTTTTCTTTTCATTAATGCATGCTCTATATACATTAAAATTTGCAGATCTTAAGTATACAATTTGATAATATTTATGTAAACATGTATCTGTATAATCGCCATTTAGATCCAAGTGTAAAACATTTCTATTGCCTCAAAGTTTTCTTTGTGCCTCATTATGGTCATTGCCTCTTCCCCCCAGACACAGACATTGCTGTTTGAACTTCTATTACTATAGGTTTGTTTTGTCTGTCTGGAAGTTCTTATAAAGGGAATTATATGCCATATAATCTTTTGTGTCTGGCTTCTTTCACTCCATATAATGTCGCTGAGAGTCATTCAAGTTGCTACCTAGTGTTTTAATGCCAGTAGGACTTCAGTTTCTTAACCTATACAATGAAAGGGATTGGGCTAGATGAACTCTGAAGATTTTTTGAATTCTGAGAATGAGAGGCTCTTTCCACTGTTTTGCAATAATTAACATGCAGGAATTCTGACCTGATTCAGTTGCCATGATACCATGACAATATTGGGAATGACAGCTTTGAATGTGTCATCCAGTGAGAGGATGACATTGCATGTCTGGGCGTGGAACATTTTATGCACCTCTGTAATGTAAGGTCAGAAACTTTTGTAGCTCAGGATGACCTTACTGATTTCTGAGCCCTCCCACATCTAGCATTCTTCCCATGTGACATATTAATTGAATTGTCTATATCACATTTCTAAAAGTCATTGATAAAGAGACTTAAAAGAAGACTTTATGCAAAGCTTCTGCCTAATTATGTCTTGGTAATCTCTCTATGTGTAGTGTTTAGGGGTCATCTATGGGATCAGACAGACTCATATTCAAATCCTGGTGCTTCACTTCTATCTGTGAAACCGTGGGCAAGTTGCTTAAATTCACTGAGTCTGTTTCCTCACCTGGAAATGAGGGTAATGATAGCTACCTCACAGTGTTGTTATAAAGAACTGAATGAGTTAATGCATGCAAAGTGTTCATAGTGCCTTGAACTTGAGTACTGCTCAGTCAAGGACAGCTGTTAGTGCTGCAGCTTCTCAGCAAAATCTGTTATCTTGTGCTCCTGCAATTCCTCACTGAAGTTCCCTTTCTGGGACAGTCCTGTGTGTTCACATTTGCTGGGACAAAAGTGAGTGTAAGCAGTGAGTAGTGAACAGCCACAGGATTTTAATCAATCCTGTGAAGAGGGAAACTTTCCATAGAGAATGAACTGGGGCAGTTAAAAGAGAATGAGCAGTGACTGGAGGATGGAAGCCTTGGGTTCTAATGACTTCCTTAGTCAAGAGAAGTTTCATGACCTTGATTGTGGCACTAAATCTCTTTAGAATAAACTAAATAGTGTAACACTTTTGAGCAGTGATCCCCAACCCCCGGGGCCACAGACTGGTATTGGCCCATGGCCTGCTAGGAACTGGGCTGCACAGCAGAGGGTGAGCAGGGTTTAAGCAAGTGAAGCTGAGCTCTGCCTCCTGTCAGATCAGTCATTAGATTCTCATAGGAGCATGAACGCTATTGTGAACTGTACATGCAAAGGACCTAGGTTGCATGCCCCTTATGAGAATCTAATGATAAACGTAATACACTTGAATCATCCAAAACCATTCCCCCCCCCAACCCTTGTCCACAGAAAAATTGTCTTCCACAAAACCGGTCCCTGGTGCCAAAAAGTTTGTGAATCACTGGTTTAGAGAACAGTTGTTCATTGGTATCTTTGGGGGATTGGCTCCAGGGCCTCCCCCATATAAAAATCTGCAGATGCTCACGTCCCTCATTTAAAATGGTGAAGTATTTGCATATAACTTAGGCATTTCTTCCTGTATACTTTAAATCCTCCCTAGATTATTTATAATACCTAATACTATGTGAATGCTATGTAAATAGTTGTTATACTGTATGGCTTTGAGAATAACAACAAGAAAAAAGTTTGTACATTTTCAGTACATATATGCAATTTCTTTTTCAAATATTTTTTATCTGTGCTTGGTTGAATCCACAAATGAGGAACCCCATAAACATGAAGAACTGACTATATGTGTTTCTGGTTCAAACTCTGTTCTGCCACTTACTCTCAAATCCTTCAAACTCTCCCAAAGGAAGTTTTTCCATATTGGAAAGCAAGATAGTACGGAAGTTAAGAAAATGAGTCTGGATTCAGATGAATTGGATTTGAATCCCAAAGTTGCCATTAACAATGTGTAAAATCTCAGACAAGCTAATTTATTTCTCTATTCATTGGTTTCCTGATCTGTAAAATGGGTTGTTGCAAAGATAAATTAAGAATACTTTTAACAGTGCCTGGCACAAAATAATTAGTCAATAAATGTTAGATATTATTCACAAAATAGGTATCATGCTACCTCTTCAGATTACTGAGGATACTTAAATGAACTAAGGTTAAATGACCAGAACAAATCTTAATTATTATCAACATTGTAATTTATGAAAACATGGCTGGAGATGTAATGAGATTTGAGGCAAAATTGAGATCATCAGGAGAAAATTAATAGATTTACTATTTCTTAAATGGAAAAATAAGAAAAATGAGTGGGAGAAGTTATATTTATGGTTTATAATACCTATGAAAAGAATGCTTTTATTTTTGCTCTGAAGTAGGAAAAACTAAATATAAGTTCTCAACTCAGCCAATAAAATAATAATAACATAGGCAATAATACTGATAACAATAAGTTTAAAATGATATTTTCATGAAGTAAAAACCGAGAGAGAACATGCAATTCTTTCTCAAGTGAGGTCCTTGCTTTGTGGAGCTTCTATTCTGGTGGGAAACACAAATAGTAGAGAAGTAAATAGGTTAACAAAAAGAAGACTTCAGACAGTAATTATTGTATAAAGAAATGAAAATAAGCCATTTCATTAAAAAGCAACTGGTCTTGGGGATGTAGTAGAGGACAATCTGCTTTAGATTTGGTTGTAAAGAAAAGTCTCTCTGAAAAAATAATATCTTAAGTTGAGCTGTGTATAATAAAAAGGAACCAGCCACTCTCAAATCAATGGCAGGGGCTTTCCAGGCACAAGAAGCACCTGCTATAAGATGCTAAAGTGGAAGTGAGCTTGGCACAGTTGAGAGATAGGAAGGGGACTGATCATAGCAGAATATTATAAGTGAGTGGAAGAAACAATAGTACAAGTTGACATTAGAAAAATTTATTTGCAACTTGTAGGCCACAGCTGGGAGTGTGGACCTAATGCCACATGTGAAGTTTGATGGAAAACCATCAGAAGTCTCTAGGCTGGTTGTTTACTTAATCTCATTTATTTTTTAAAAGGCATGTCAGGCTGCTATGTGAAAATCCAGATAGTGGCAAGGAAGCTAATGAGGAGGCCAGAGCAGCAGTCCGTGTGAGAGATGGTGGTGTCGGTTTCTGTGAAGAGATTCATGTTGTAGAAGAAGAGTCAATAGGACTTACTGAGAGATTAAACAGAAAGGGCTCATAAGAATCCTACGTTTTTGGAGATGGTATTGAAGCTGGAGACATCTTCTAAGCTAGGCTGTGGTAATGGAATGTTAGAACTGGAGGGTTGATAGGCTGAAGTCTAAAAAGCTGCATGATAGATATCCTATGCTGAATTTTGCCATTTTTCTTTGGGTGTATGTTTAAGTTTCTGTTGTTATTTTGTTTTATTTATACATATATATATGTTTGTGTATATATACTTAATTTTAATTATTTAATTATGACATAGCTATCGTCAATATCCAGAATTTATATATCTGTAAACAGAGGCAAGAAGAGGCAAAATAACTTATTCAAGTTTACACAGTTAGTGATTAACTATATGACCATTTAAGATATTTATGGACCCTCCATATTGCTCTTCCAAAAGGCTGCACCAATACACACTTTCCCTGCACCATATAAACAATGCTCATCTCCACAAACTCTCCCAGCATTGCTAGTGTTTTTCTTTTTAAGCCTTGTGAATCCAAATTGAATCCTCTTTCTGGTCATTAAGGACTGCGGGCCTTCTCTTTGGCTAATTTTGAATCTTTTGGGAGGGAGTCGGGAAGAGGATTATCAGAGAGAACAAGAAATGAAATAATAATAATAATAACAATAATAATATTGAGAGTTTATAATTGCCAGGAACCATTCTAAGCACTATATACATATATACATGCATATACACACATGTATACATATATATACACATGTATATAAGTATATATGTATATACATGTATACATATATACACATGTATATACTTATATATGTACATGTATATACTTATATGTATACATGTATATATAAGTATATACATGTATACATATATATACACATGTATATACTTATATATACTTATATACATGTGTATATATATGTATATAATACTTAGAATGGTTCCTGGCAATCATAAACTCTCAATAAGTATACTTATTTATACATACATATGTGTATATATACTTAACTTTAATTATTTAATTATGACATAGCTATCATTAATATCCAGAATTTATGTATCTGTAAACTGAGGTAAGGAGAGGTAAAATAACTTGTTCAAGTTTACACAGTCAGTGACAGATGCAAAGCTAGTCATTTACCTGCAGAATCTGTGCTTTTAATCATTATCTGCTACTGACAACCTACAAGACATCTGGTTGGTGAATGTTTCATTTACACAAAGAAAACAGTGTAAGATAGTTTATGTGGTTCAGGTATTAGAAACTCTAGTAGTTAGGAAAAAATACACACAAGCTGAATAAGTCAGTATTGATTTAGTTAGGATTTGATTGAAATACTGAAAGGGAAAAACTTTCTCTACTCTCTGTGTTTCTGTTCAGGTGTCTTCATTATCAGAATATGTGTGGCTTAGCCAGAAAAACCATCATCCTCATTATCACCATCACTACCAACTCCTGAGTGCCTACTATATTCTGGGCCCTTAGCTATAAGCACTGGAGATATTATGGCAATCCTGGAATTACAATCACTTTTAAAAGGGGGACTAGATTAAGTGAAAAGATCCCATTGGTATGAAGTGGTAGAGTCTGTATTCAAACACAGTTTGTCTCTGTCTAACTTTAAAATCTTTACTCTTCCCAAAGTGGTAAATGAAGGAATAAGAAGACAGATTCATAAGCCAAGATGGTGTCAAAGACAAAGAATCACATAGGTTTACAAATATTTAGACAGTAAGCAATAGCAAAATTATCTGGACTTTGAAAAGCAGAGATGAATAGAAAGATCTTGATTCTAAGGCGGGAAGGAGTCACTGGAGGATTTTTGTGGATAGAAGTCACAAAGTAGGATTCGTGTTTGGAAGGAACTATTAATAGTTACCACTTACTGAATACCTATGAAAGCCTAAGAATTTTCAAATATTTAATATAATAACTTTATGAAATAATTTAATCTCACTTGAGGCTCAGAAATTTTAAGTAATTTGCTAATGCTTTCATGGTTGGTAAAGAGTGGATTCAGAACTTAAGATTCTGATCTAATTGGAAAGCTGATGTTCTTGCCTTCCTTGCTAATAAATGTTATAGGGATATAGATCAGACAACACTGCCAGATTTGAGAGTGATGGAGGCTGGGCAATGTGACAGCAGCTGGCAGCAACAGCCAATATCAATTTCATTTCACATGAGGGGACATATAGAAACTCATAGTTTTTCTGGTTGGCTTTTTCTTTATTTTCCTTGAAAAGGCTATAGGTAGTATATTCTGAAATTCCCTGAATTTTCTAGCAGTATGTTGGAATGCTTGAACCCATCTTTCTTTTTTTTTCAGTGTAAGCTTGGCATATGATCAAGAAATATGGTTTTTAAGTGTTTGGGGGAAGAAATTACATCAAAATTGAGAGGTGTTAAAGCTTCAATTGGGTCTTGAGAGATAGGAGACATTTAAATGAGATGTGATGAGAAAATTGATGACTTAAAAGTAATTAATTAGCACATATGGATATTTAGAAGGGGAAAGAAATCTAGGGCAAGAGTTAGAATATATGTGGTTTAGCCTCGACTATGACACTTCCTAGAAATTATGTCCTGAAATTAATTCTTTGGAGCCATCTTTTCTCAGCCACGAAATTCCAGTAAAAATATTTCACAGAGCTGTTGGAGTTATGAATAATTAAGTTGAAAATAATTTTATAGTATCTGGGACTAATATTAATGACAAAATTTTTTTGGAACAGGCAACATCCACAATTTTGAATACATTCTAGGTATTTAAATTTTTAAATGTTAGGAAGACAAGAAAATAAAAAAAATTCCTTGTCAACAAAAATTTGTCATCTTTGGATACTCTTTTAGGTATTGTGGTTACAGACATGTATAAGACATTGAGTCTGCACTGTTAGATACATAGCTATGAAAAGAAAAAGCAGTTCATAATTTAGTAATTAAAATATTGTATTAAATGGGTGATCTAGTTGACACATGTGTCCTAGAGGAGGTTTGAGGAGAGAATGGTTCCTGAAGCCAGGTGGACAGAGAACTTTCCTTGTAGCAGGTGAAACTGCTCTACTTCAACGTTAAGGGAGTAGGCAGATTCCTCAACTGATACTGTGCTCTTGTAATAACATTGCATCATAAAATTGGGAAGAAAATGATGGATCAACTAGTCTTTCTCCCTCATTCTACAGATAGGGAAACTGAGGCTCAGAGAGTGCAATTTTCATATAGCGTAACTTTTTTTGATGATAAAATCAGTACTCAATTCTAAATATATCTGACTTCCAAATCATTGTGCCTCACCACTTTAACCAGTCTATTATTACATTTGTCATAGCAACTGTTATCATCAATGAATGTTTGAGTAGGTAGATAAAAAAAGATAAGTATAGATGGATATAAATAGATATATAGATTTATAGATATGTTTAAAAAGCACAAGCTTGCAGTATTCTTTTAAAGCAACTTTGATAATTTTTCATTTTACTTTTTTTCCAAATTATTATTTGTACAGCTGGACTAATTTCCAGTAAAATTGTTTACTGCAGTTGCATTTTAAAATGTAGTTTGTGTTAACTTTTACCAAACTTTTAATAAAGATATATCCATATCGATGATGCACAATTGACAACTCTTTCCACTGATTATATTTTCTAATTTATGGAGGTAAGTTATGAAGAGTTTACTCCTCAATTTGGCATGCAAGGATTTGGCCACACTCAGTAAATATTCAAAGCAGAATAGTTAGCCAAGATGTTTGCTTCAATATAACATTAGCCGAGTATATTAACTTCCTATAAAGAGGAGATTTGCTAACAGAAAATATCAGATAGGAAAGCCATGAGAAATAAAGCAGGATGAGCCCTTATGATCCGTGTATTGTTTCCTTTGCATTTTGGACTCAAATTTTTTTCTAAGCATGTCTATCATTATTTTTATTCACCTTTGTTACAGTCTAATTAAACTCTGCAATATCACTTTCCCCCCAACTATTCTCCTTTGAGACTTACCCACATATCTGTGTCCAGATCATCCATCTCTTAAGGTTTTTGTCAAATTTTATTTGTCCTATACTTTTTTTTTTTTTTTATCTTTCAGCTAGGAGTAAATTCCCCCATTCCAAATTCCCATGGGACTTTATTTTTTGGCAGTTATAACTTTTCATTTCAAAGTAGGTTACACTAGGGATATGCCTTCTCCATCTTATTATATTATAAGCTCCTTTAGGGCAAGGTTTGTATCTGATTCATTGCCAGTAACACCCACAGAACTTTGAAACTGATACTAAAAAACTACTGAATCAATGAATGAGTAAAGGTTTTTGATAGAGGAAATGAAAAATGAGAAGTGGATTTTAAAAATGAAGAAAGGGATGGCAGGTCTGAATAACATGTTCAGTGCGGAAACATACAATTCTTCATAACGTGAGAAACATTCAGCTGATATATGACATACCTCAGAGCAATTGAATACAGGAGAAAACATGGCAGGGAGAAAGTGTTCACAATTGTCATTACTGTGATTTTCAAACTCTTTATATATGCCTTTTTCCTTTTCACCAGTTAATCAATATATCAATAAATATGTACATACCTCTTTGCATGTCCTTAGTGTGCTAGATCCTGGATAAAAACTGATGATTTAAAAAGTTATGCTCTTTGAACTTTCAATAAAGGAGAAGGCTGGCTGAAGCACCCTGTTCTCATCTCTGCTTAAACACATAACACTTCTATTTATTATGTATATTATGGTTATATTCAAGGTGTTATTTGAGCACATTTTATTGCTTAAACAGTAAGTTAGATATATTAAAGGCAGAAACATTGTAAGTCTCAGAGAAAGACCGGAAGACTACTAGAAAGGTTCTAAATGAGCAAGCAGAGAGCAAGTTAGGAATGTAAGCCTTGGAACCCAAGTTTGAGATAGACCATGGTTGTAAGACTAAAGAGTTAGAAATACAAATAAAGCTGTAAAATGTGACAAACTATGGGTCTCTGAGTAGCTTGTTAAAGTTTTAGCATAGGTGGGAAGCCACTCAAAGAAGAAAAGAAAGGGTTTAGAAATTAGATCTCAGAGAAGTTCAGCTGTAGAGATGCTAGAAGACATAATAATGATCGGAAAACTTAGAGGAGACAGGTAGAAAGACCAAGGTGAAAAATCCAGTGCTGTACATCATTTGAAATGGTCCTATCTCTGGCTGAAATGGGTAATTGATGGATTCAATGTTTTTTGAGGGGCATTCTGCACTCACTAGAGTAAGGATTTGATTTTTAAAATCAGAGATGAGAAACTGGCCAATCTAGTAGATTATTCAAAAATAAGTGTTGGCTGGGCCCAGTGGCTCATGTCTGTAAATCCCAGCACTTTGGAAGGCCAAGGCGGGCGAATCATGAGGTCAGGAGTTTGTGACCAGCCTGGCCAACATAGTGAAACCCTGTGTCTACTGAAAATACAAAAATTAGCCAGTCATGGTGGCAAGCGCCTGTAGTCCCAGCTACTCAGGAATCTGAGGTGGGAGAATCACTTGAATCCGGGAGGCAGAGGTTGCAGTGAGCCAAGATGGTGCCACTGCACTCTAGCCTGGGCTGCAGAGCGAGACACCGTCTCAAAAAAAAAAAAAAATTGTTACTTGGCTTTTTCTATCAGTACCTATATCCCCTCTAAGTAACATATCAGAGTCCCTTCTTTCAGAATTGACTGTCTGATCACCAAGATAATGAACAAAGCTTTGAAGCTAATTCTGGTTATTAAGCAGAGAAAAGAGTTTCTTTCTTCACTTCTCTATTAACATTTCAAATGGGATGATTTTTTTTTTTCGGGGATAAGGGTTTGTCCTGAATATTGTAGGGTGTTTAGCAGCATCCCTGGCCACTATCCACCAGATCCCATAGCACCTTCACAGTTGTGACAACCAAAAATGTCTCTAGACGTTGCCAGATGTCCCCTGAAGGGCAAAATTGCCGCTAGCTGAGAGGCAATAAAATGGAGCAAAGCTAAGAAAAATGCAAACTGGAGGTTAAACCCATGATATAAAATGCTGTATATGAGATGAGTGTGTTTGTCCCCTGGAATTCAGGGTGATGAAACGAGTCAATCCCCAAAATCGGACATGGTGGAAGATTGAAAAAGAAGCTGTGGTTTGGGAAAACCACCTAGGACCGGGAGTCAGGAGAATATGAATGAGTTCAAGTTCTTCCACTTTCTAGCTATTCTTGAATCAATGACTTCCCCTTGCCAGAGCTTCTTAATAAAATGAAAGGATTTAAATATGCTCTACTAGAATATACTGCAGCCCATTCTAGGTCAAAGGCTATGGTAAGTTTGTGACTCTTCATAAATCTATACTTGGTTCTTTGGGTACTGAACTCTCTCTAGAACTAGACTCTCAAGAAGGCTGAGTGTGTTTTCTTGTCAGAGCCCAACTAACAGGTTTTCTGTCTTTCTTTTTTCCTTGTCTCACAAGGTTCATTTCTATATCCATCCTCACTACTTAAAGAGAAATGGAGGTAGAAAGTGTGATCTGGCAAAGTCAGCTCTTTTGCCCTAAAATGATAGTCATTTTTCCCCTTGGAAAAGAGGCCTTAGGCTAAACAGTTTCTCTGGAGTAAGCACTATTTTTTTGAGCTCAGAAATATAACCTAAACGGGCAAGGAATCAAGAGTAAACTTCCATGGGAATTGTAGAGCCCAGGTCTCTACATACGCCTCTCTTAGAAAACGGACGTCAGAGGATATTCACTGTTTCCTCCATAAGTAGGCTGCCATTTTCCCATTGCATCACAGCTTTAAGATGAGAGATTACTTTGACTCCCAAGCTTTGTTTTCCAGTTCAGCTTCATGCATACCAGCTAATTAGGCAACATGACAACAGGGTGGAGCGATACTTGTATTCTGGATGTTTCCACACCCACAGTGGATTTGGCCTGGTGCCGCTGCCAGCCACCCTCAGAGCAGTGGCATCTTAAAATGCAACCACACCCAGACACCAACAAATTGTATTTTTTAAAGATTCATGTTAATGAAAAATTGTATATTATTGATTAATCTGTAGGCAAAAAAGAAAAGTGTCAGCTCTTTCTTCCCTTTTCTCATCCTCTACCTTTTTTGAAATTTACAGATACAATGAGCTAGCCATGTAGGTGAGTATACGTGGTGAAGGCAGGAGTTGAGGCGGCTTGACCCACACAATGCCAATTTGGACTAACCCAGGCTTTTGGCATATCAGGAACACGGGCTAGCTTTTGCTTGGCGCCTTAGAGCTTGTGGAGTACGTTCATTTACAGTTTAATTATATTTTCATGACAAAACTGATATATAGGTGGTATTATTTATATTTTATAAATAAGAAAAATGGGCTCAGATATAAATAAACGTGTCAAAAATCACACACAAGTTGAGGGGCCCAGTTTTGACCCCAAATCTCATTCTTTTGTCACTCTTTTCATAGCTATTTTCTATGTAACTTAATGGTGGAATGTTCTGGTCTAAGATGTCATCAATTAATTCTGTATATATTGAGTGCTATTATGTTCCAGGTACTGCTACCTGCAGAGGCAATATTTTTATTACATTGGCTGATATACTCGACAAGTACGGTTTAATTGGTCTGCCTTCTTTTTGTCTTCTTGTTTCATTTCCCAGTGTGCCTCACCTCATGAGTAATTTAGGAATGTAATCTGTGCTCACAGTCTTGCTTCAGCTAAATGTGAGGGCTGGAATTAAAACACAGACTTCCTAACTCCATAACAAATATCATTTTGAATACAATCATGACCTTGCTAGAAAGTTAGAGAAATAAGAGGGATTGATAACAGCATGAAAGGACATTTTTTTTTTCAATAAGACATTTCTTCTCTTTAAAGAAGAGAAGATGTTTGAACATTTAAGAGCTTTAAATGAGCTGTTTGGTTTTCTGAACTATTTGAAAAGTTGTCATTTTTTCATGACTCAAGTGACCTGTCAATCCTTCCAGCCACGTGTGGCTATTGTTCATTGAAGGTGAACCAATTCCTTCCAAAGACGTCACCATTTGTAATACAATAAACTGTTCAAAGGAAGGGGCACTAACAAGTAAATGATTTCTCTACCCTGGAGGTTACTAATTTGTACCCTTAAAATTAGGCACGTTTTTTGGCACTTCCCACAAAATATTCAGCACTTCAAGAAACTTAGAGGTGAATTGCCCCACTATGATCTCTTGTTTGATGTAATCAACAGGCTAACAATTAAAAGACTTCTAATGATAGCTAACATTGAGCATTCCCCATGTGCCAAGTATCATCTAAAGGCTTTACAACATGAATGAATTAACTTAATCCTTGTGACAATCATGATTACCACCTCTCAGTTTAGTGGTGAAGAAATTGAGATAGAGGGTTTAGGCAAATTGCCCATCCTCATACAGCAAAGAAGGCAGAATTTGACCCCTGTAGCATTGCTCCAAAGCCAAACACTGAATTTCTGAATTATGCTTCCTTCTCAAGAAGGCTTGGCTATGTATAGCTTGACTGTTACCAATAATAGATGCTTCAGCTCTGTAATGTAATCATCCCGATCTGCTCAATGGTCTTATCAAGGGGATGATACTCATGGTGATTTGCCTGAGGTCAAAGTGTTAGCTTGTCACACATTTCCAAAATGTCACTGGTCTCTGTATGGTGCAGACTGGAGAAGTGATCTCTGTTGACGCACTGTCTGGGTCAGTCTGGAGAAGACAGTCCAGGAAAATCCCGAAATACAGTCATACCTCAGAATAGACCAGGATTGATTTCCAGGACCCCCGCACATACCAAAATCTGCAGGTTCTTAAGTCCTGTAGCTACCCTACTCAATTTGATGTGATAAGTGAGTCCTTGGTATAGGCGGTTTTGCATCCTTCAAATACTGTATTTTCGGATATGCCTTTCGGTGAAAAAACTCTGTGTATAAATGGACCTGCGCAGTTCAAACCTAGGTTGTTCACAAGTCAACTGTACTTTACTTTGGAATTACGGTGTGGGTGTTTTAAAAGGATAACGATCACGCTTCCTCTCCATCAAAATAAATCATGACGTTTGTAGTTGAATCATATCAGGGAAAGGTGTCATTGAGGGTGTAGGCTGCTTATTTTTAAACTTGAAATAACTAGGAAATGCACTCTATTTGTCTTAGCCCTCCTATCTTCGTCTGTAAATTAAAGGAAGGAGGTGTGCTAGATGAATTTCAGTATTCTATCCAGCCCAAAAGATATATATTCACTTAGTTAAAAAAAATTCATTTTTGTTCTTAAAAATAATACCTAATTTGTGCAGAAAATTTATCAGGCAAGAAAAGTAGGAAGAGAAACATTAAAAAGTCATAAGTAATTCCACCCATCAGAGATAACAAATGTTAAGATTTTTTTGAAAACCCATTTCTGTCTCCCTTAACACAGACATATATAATGCTTTAAAAATAGTATGAAATGAATATGATTTTTTTTTCTAAAATTAGGTTTACTGAGATACATTTTATAAAAGCAAAATTCACAGTTTGGGTGTGCAGTTACATGACTTTTGGTAGACAAAATCACTTATGCAACCACCAGCAGAATGAAGATATAGAGTATTTTCGTCACCCCCAAATCTCCCATGTGTACCTATGTAGTCAGTCCCCTCCCCTGATCTCCAGCAAATGGCAATCACTGTTCTGATTTCTGCCCCTAAAATTTGTCCATTTACAAATGTCCTATAAATGGAATCCTAAAGTATGTAACATTTTGTTTCAGGCTTCTTTCACTAAGAATAATTCTTTTGAAGTTCATCCATGTTGTAGCAGGTATAGTATTTCTTTTTTAAAATTCTTGAGTAGAAATTCATCATGTAGATGTGCCAGTTGGTTGACCTATTCATCAGTTGTTGTACATTTGGCTTGTTTACAGTGTTTAGTGATTCTGAATCAGGTCATTATAAATATTCTCTTATGGGTTTTGTATAGACATATGTTTTAATTTCTCTTGAATAAATAAGTAGTGTTAGATTGCTAGGTCATATAGTAAGTGTAGGTAGGATTTTAAAATCCTCTTTTGTAAAAACTTGTTTTAAAAAATATTTTGTTTCATAATTTAAAAAAATATTTGTTTTAAAAAAGATTTACAGGAATTTGGAAGATGGTACAACAATGTTCTGTGTACACTTTACCCAGTTTCCTCCAATAGTTAAGTCTTTTTTTCTTTAGATTTTCTTTGTTTCTAATTCATTTGACTCACAAAATAAATGGGTGCTAACTACAGCAGTTATAGTGATATTATTCACACTACACAGAAGAAACCTTGGGTCATTAATTGATAACATCAAAACCTCATTCACCTACATTGAACTTCCAGAATCTTCTGTACCAACTGCCTAAAATACTAAAAATGTAGAATACTACAAATTAAAGATGAATACCTTGGTAGGCATGAATGACCGAAGTAAAACCAAGATTTATAGAGAGTCAATTAATTAAAAATCTTCCACAAAGAGAAGCCCACAGCCACATGGCTTAACTGACAAATTCTATTAAATATTTAGTGAAGAATTAATGTCAACTCGTCACAAACCCTTCCAAAAAATAGAGGAATACTATTGGGAACACCTACCAATTGATTCTGTGAGGCTAGTATTACCCTAATACTAAAGCCACACAAAAGCATCACAAGTAGACAAGTATGAATAAATATCCCTGATAAACACACACCCAGAAATGCTTAAAAATGCTAGTGAAATGAGTCTAGCAACATATAAAAATGACTGTACACCATGACCAAAAAGGATTATTTTATGAATGCAATGTTGACTTAGCCTCCAAAAACCAATCAATGCAATACACATAACTAATAGGATAAAGAACAACAACAAAAACATCAAAAACAACAAAAAGATCTCTTCAATAGACACAAAAGAGTGTTTGACCAATCCAACACCCATTTGTGATTAATTAATCTAAAAAGCTTCTGCACAGCAAAAGAAACTATCATCAGTGTGAACAGGCAACCTACAGAATATGAGAAAATTTTTCCAATCTATCCATCTGACAAAGGTATAATATCCAGAATCTACAAGGAACTTAAACAAATTTACAAGGAAAAAAAAACAAACAACTCCATCAAAAAGTGGGTGAAGGATATGAACAGACACTTCTCAAAAGAAGACATTTATGTGACAAGCAAACATGAAAAAAAGCTCATCATCACCGGTCATTAGAGAAATTCAAATCAAAACCACAATGAGATGCCATCTCATGCCAGTTAGAATGGCGATCATTAAAAAGTCAGGAAACAACAGATGCTGGTGAGGATGTAGAGAAACAGGAATGCTTTTACACTGTTGGTGGGAGTGTAAATTAGTTCAACCATTGTGGAAGACAGTGTGGTGATTCCTCAAGGATCTAGAACCAGAAATATCATTTGACGCAGCAACCCCATTACTGGGTATATACCAAAGGATTATAAATCATTCTACTATAAAGACACATGCACATGTATGTTTATTGCAGTGCTATTCACAATAGGAAAGACTTGGAACCAACCCAAATGCCCATCAATGACAGATTGGATAAAGAAAATGTGGCACATATACACCGTGGAATACTATGCAGCCACAAGAAAGGATGAGTTCATGTCCTTTGCAGGTACATGGATGAAGCTGGAAACCATTATTCTCAGTAAACTAACACAGGAACAGAAAACCAAACACTGCATTTTCCACAATGGTTGAACTAAAGTACCCTCCCACCAACAGTGGGTAAAGAATATGAACAAACACTTCTCAAAATAAGACATTTATGTGGCCAACAAACATATGAAAAAAAGTTCATCATTACTGGTCATTAGAGAAATGCAAATCAAAACCACAATGAGATACTATCTCGTGCCAGTTAGAATGGCAATCATTAAAAAGTCAGGAAACAACAGATGCTGGAGAGGATCTGGAGAAATAGGATGTGGCAAATATACACCATGGAATGCTATGCAGCCATAAAAGAGGATGAGTTCATGTCCTTCCCAGGGACATGGATGAAGCTGGAAACCATCATTCTCAGCAAACTAGCACAGGAACAGAAAACCAAACACTGCATGTTCTCACTTATAAGTGGGAGTTGAACAATGAGAACACAGGAACAGAAAACCAAACATCACACGTTCTCACTCATAAGTGGGAGCTGAACAATGAGAACGCATGAACTCAGGGAGGGGAACAACACACATTGGGGCTTGTCAGGTTGGGGGTGTTGGGGGCAAGGGGAGGGAGAGCATTAGTACAAATACCTACTGCATGCGGGGCTTAAAACCTAGATGACGGGTTGATGGGTGCAGCAAACCACCATGGCACACGTATACCTATGTAACAAACCCGCACGTTCTGCACATGTATCACAGAACTTAAAGTTTAATAAAATTTTTTTTAAAAATACAAAAATTAGCTGGGCGTGGTGGTGCACCCCTGTGATCCCAGCTACTCAGGAGGCTGAGACACGAGAATCACTTGAACCTGGGAGGCAGAGGTTGCAGTGAGCCAAGAACATGCCACTGCACTCCAGCTTGGGCAACAGAATGAGACCCTGTCTCAAAAAAAAATTGTGTAGTTTAAAATCCACTTATTCTATCATAGAACCAGATAGTAGCAGCTCATTTAAAGGATCTGTAAATATAAGCTGTAATTTTTCTGCCATCTCCAGATGAACACTTCCTTGATTTCCAGTCAGATTTTACTGTTAGAGAGCTGTCCCTTTCAATGGAGTCATACCTGTCTCTAATTTCAATCAGGTTCTACCTGTGCATTCTTGGGTTATATGAAGTAGAACTAACTGTTGTTGTTGTTGTTTTCTGCCTGATCCTAAAGAATTTCAAGCCTTTCCTAAGTGTTCAAAGTGCCAATGGGTAACAGTTCTGGATTAAAGTTGATTATAAACAGATTCTATGAATTCTCTATATATTATGTGAATACTTTATTTTCATCAAGGAAAACATTCTCTCATCCAATTTTTGTAATTCGTGGCTATCTCTCATTTATTAGGCACAAACCACTTAGAATTGGAATGTCCTCTCCGTGAAATGATTCTTTGTCGTCACGAAATGATTCTTTATCCCTGGTGATATTCTTTGCTCTGGAATCTACTTTGTCTGATATTAACATAGGCACTCAAGCTTTTTTTTTTATTTGTGTAGGTATCATATATTTTATCCCATTCTTTTACTTTTGAACTATTTTTGTATTTATATTTAAAGTATGTCTCTTTAGGCAGCAAATAGTTTGGGCTTCCTTTTTAAAAAATCTAATCTGTCAATCTCTATCTTTTAATTTACATATATAACCTATATCTATGTATAATACATTTACATAAAGTATATTCTTACATTTAATATATACATAATTTACATAAAACAGATTTACATATTTCATAATCCGCATGGTCAGATTTGCATCTACCATCTTATTATCTTTACCAATTGTTTTCTATTTTTATCACCTGCTTTCTATTTTTACTACCTTTTTTTTCTGAGACAGGATCTCGCTCTTTTGCCCAAGCTGTAGTGTAGTGGCATGATCCTGGCTCACTGTAGCCTCGACCTCTCTAGGCTCAGGTGATCCTCCCACCTCAGCCTCCCAAGTTACTGGGGCTGTAGGCATGCACCACCATTCCTGGCTAATTTTTCTATCTTTTGTACAGATGGGATTTCACCATGATGCCCAGGCTGCTACCACCTGTGTTTTAATTCCCCTTTTCTTCTTTTCTGCTTTCTCTTGGATGAATCAAGTATTATGATATCATTGTATCTTCTTTTGTTAATTTACTAACTATAAATCTTTGGTTGTTGTTGTTATTGTTTAAACAGTTGGTTATTTTCAAAAGAGATTTAAATAATAAAAAAATATATTTATCCATGTAGCTACTCTTTTTAGTGATTTCCTTTCCTTTGCATAGATTCATATTTCTATCTAATATATTTTGTCTTCTGCCTGCCTGAAAAATCTTCCTTTAACATTTCTTCTAGTGCAGGTCTGCAGTAAGTGCTGAATTCTTTTAACTCTTTTATGTAAAATCGTCTTTATTTCACCCTCATTTTCAAAAGTTGATTTCATGGGACATAGAATTCTAGCTGGTAGTTTTTTCCTTCAGTCACTTAAAGATATAGTTTCATTTCCTCTTCACCTAACATTGTTTATTTTTTTTAATCTGGTATTATCTTATTCTTTACTCCTTTGTATGTAATGGGATTTCTCCCTCACCTCTCTCACCCATCTACCAGCTGATTTTAAGACTTCTTGTCTCAATATTTTTGAACAATTTGATAATGGTGTGCCTTGATATAGTTTACACACACACACACACACACACACACACACACACACACACATTGTGCTTAGGATTCTTTTAAATTCTTGGACCTCTTAGTTTATAGTTTCTTGGACCTCTTAGTTTATAGTTTCTTGGACCTCTTAGTTTATAGTTTGAAACAAATTTTGGCTGTTATTACTTCTAATATTTTTTTTTTACTTCCCAAGACCCACTTTCAGGGACTATAATTATATTAGTCTGCTTACAATTATCCCACAGCTTGCTGTTGGTCTTATCTTTTTTTTTCTGTTTTATTTTGGACAGTTACTATTGTACACCTTCAAGTTTATTAATCTTTTCTTCAACAAGGTCAAATTATTGTTAATTACATTTAGTATATTTTTAATCTCAGATTCAGATTATGTTTTGTTTTTATTCCTTGTCTCTGCTTTACATTTTTGAATTTATGAAACAGTTATAATAACTGTTTTAATGTTCTTAAGTATAATTCTAACATCCGTAACAGTTTTGAGTCATTTATCCTACTTGTGAATCATATGTCCTTGCTTCTTGGTATGCCTAGTAATTTTAGACTGAGTGCCAGACATTGCTAATTTTACATTATTGAGTAGTGAATGCTTTTTGTATTTCTGTAAATATAAAGTTTTGCCCTGGGACACAGATAAGTTACTTGGAAACCATATAATCTTTTTGGGTCTTGCTGTTAAATGTTTTAAAGTAGAACCTATGGCTAATTATCCCCTACTACTGAGCCGCAGCCTGGTCTTCTGGGAATCAGAGCTGTGTGCCTGTGCCTGAGCTTCTTCTCCGTGCTCTATGGCTTAGACATTTTCTCAGGCCAGTAAACTGGAGCAATTTTAGGGTTTAGCTTGTTTGTTTACTATCTCGTGTATGACTTTTCTTCATTTCAAAAGACTGATGTCCACAACCTTGAAGATCATTGTTTAATATATTGTGTATTTGTATTTGTTGTTGTTGTTTGTTTGCTGCAGGCAGGAGTGTAACCCCAGTCCCTGTTACTTTATTTTGGCTAGAAGAAGAAGACATCCAGACAGTTTTTTCCTATTGATTTTGCCTCTTATTATGGGATTATTTTCCTGTTTCTTTGTATGTCTGGTATTTTTTAATTTTCTGCTAGACATTGTGATTTACTTTGTTAGGTGATGGATATTTTTTGTATTCCTGTAAATATCTTTGAACTTTGTCCTGGGACACAATTAAGTTACTTGGAAATAGTTTGCCCATTTTAAGCTTGTTTTTAAGCTTTGTTAGGTGGAACCAGAATAGGCTTTGAGGTTAATTTTGCCCCACTACTGGGGCAACACATCTCTCTAATCTGTAAATGAATGGCAAGGTTTTTCTTTCTGACTTACAGGAACACAAGTTATCTCCTCCCATATGTAAGTTCTGGAAATCATTCCTTCTAATCCTTAGAGTGATTCTTTCTGCAGCCTGGAGTAGTTTTCTCATGTACATTTACCTGTCAGTACTCAACTGAAGATTCTAAATAAACTATGTGCCACAAATCTCCAAATGTTTCTCTTTGAATCTTTCTCTTCTTGTTAACATGCCACGGAAATTTTACCTCCTTTGGTCTCACAGACCCTCAGGTTTGTATGATCATCTCAGGGAAGCTTCTATTAGCTACCTGTGTTCTCCCTCTCCGTGCTACAGCCTGGCAACTTTCTACAGGCTGTGAACTGTGGTAATGTAGGGATAACTTGGTTTGTTTCCCCCCTCCCAAGAATCACTGCACTGTATTATATCATGTCCAGTGTCAAAAACAATTGCTTTTGCTTTTATTTTTTTCTCATTGTTTCAGGTGAAAGAATAAAATAGTTTCTGTTATTCCATTTATGCCAGAAGCAGAAATCATATTTATAATTTAAAAATAAACTGATGTATTCCTTAACCCACACCTCAATTTGTGTTTCTATTTTCAGGATGTAAAGCCGGCATATTAATATTCTCATTTCCCCAATTAAAGCCTTCACATTATTTGATTCCTAATAAAATTATAAAAGCTATGTCTTCAAGCAGCTTTAACATTGTTAAGAAAGGTGAAGGACATAAGGAAAAGACAGAATCTTGATTTAATAGACTTCTATCTGATTCTGATTATCACCACTTATTATTTGTGTCTATGGGGAAGCTCCTATATCTCTCTAAGTTTCAGTAAATTGAGAATGATAACAATGATACATGTCCAGCCTATTCTACAGGCTGATCATGAGGACAAATGAGAATGCATACAGAAAAACACGGATAATTTGTAAGCATTTTACAAGTGTTAGTATTTACCTTCATCACCAAGACTAGTTTAAGTTCATTTTTTGCTTTCAATCCATTGATGTCTTTCAATTCTCTTTATTTTTCTAAAGATATACCTCTCCTTTGGACTCATTCCATATTTTCCTTTTCTTTCATATCCTAGTGTCACTGAGTTGGTGTTTAAAACTCTGTTGAATATGAAAAAAATATATCAGAACATGAGTCACGAGGCCTGAGTTCCTGTCTCAGCTCTTCCATTTATGGCTAATAGATTTGAGACAAATTAGTCAATCATGCAGATCTTTAAACTTCTCATCCATGAAATGGAAATAACACCTTCTCTCTCCTTAATTTAAAGGTGAGGATCAGCTATATAAAATAAACAGAATGTAAATATTTAAATATTAATACACACATATTGTGTGCAAACTGGTATTATACAAGTTATTCTATAACTATGCACTATTAGGCAATAAATTATACATAAAATTGCTCTATAATAATATAACAAACAAATGCCTTTAGTAATGCTAATAACTGTAAGAAGTACTTAAATAATTTTCTATACAGTTTTTAAGTACTTTTCCCAGCAGCATAACAAGTATTTTTTATCTAGAAGAGACAGAAAAAATAGTCCCTGTACTGTAGACAAAAGACAGTTATTACTTTTTCCAGGGTTGTTTATGTGGATGGCAAATAAATGTCCACTATGTATAGTTTCTTGCTCAGAAATATGAAAATTAAAATTTGACCTCTCAGAGGTCAGAGATTCTATCTGTTTTTTTTAGAAGTTTAACATTGGGCTCTAACACAGTGCTAGGCAAATGCAGGCATTTAGTTAATATTTGTCATATTCACCTGGAGAGTATTATGGAGCTCATCTGGAATACCATAATAATTTCTTAACCTTGGGTTTAGATTTTTAAATTTTTAAATCACATTTTAGTGAGTTGGTCCCACGCCTGAGAATTCCCTGATTTTAGAGTTATTACTCATTCGCTTCTTCCTTTTTTTTTCTGTCTATTGAATCAAGGTTGTGGTGTGACACAATGGTTAGTGCTGTTTAACTTGGTACATTCTTAATTTTTAAACCTTACAACATGGATTTGAGTCTCAGCTTGACCGCTTACATGCCATGTGGCCTGCTGTGAGTCACTGAGCCTCTCTACGTTTTTGTTACCTTCCTTTTAAACCAGCCTTCTTTCTTAAAGCAACTGAGATGAAATAAAACAGTAATTGTGGAAATTTGTTGTAGATTATAAAGCGGAATTCATCTTTTTGGGTTTTTTTACTCATTCATTTATTGATTTCACTAAAAATATCATTTATCTAATTGGAGAGATAGACAAGTCAACTGACAATTTCAAGACTGTGTCATGAGTGCAAGGTGTGGAAGTAGTAATGGCACCGGGTACTGAGGGGCAAAGAGTAAGAACACTCTATTAAGGGTCAGGAAGGGAGCCTCTGGGAACACACAGTCTAAGCGGAATCCTACAAGCAAAGATATAGAAGTAAAGGAAAAGATCATCCTACAAAACAAAGAAGCAATATGTGAATGCTTTAGTAATGGGAAACGTTATCAAGTAAACATTTTTGGTGAACGGTATTTGGGTTAAAGCAAGAGAAGTCTGGAAGTCTGTCTAGCTCTGTTACACACATTGCTGGAGGACATCAAAATGTGTGCATTAAAGCCCTTGAGAGTACAAAAGATAAAATCTATACAAAGGAGCCAAAAGACTGATAACAAATGCAATATGTGAACTCCAACCTGAAAGTTTGTTAACCAGTTGGCTTTCTACTTTATCTAATGGCAAAGATTATTTCTTCGACCAAACTTTAATCAAATTCCTCTGAACCCTCTTTTTGACTGGGCCTTAACCTTGGCCTATGAGAACTGCAAATTCTTAGCCCAAATGATGATGTCTACCTCCCTTTGTACTAAGAGGCTTGAACAAATGTTACCACAGTTTCTAATACCTCAAGAACATGTTCCTGATGACCCAGCCCCTGCTTAAGTTCCTATCTGAAAAGCTCAATGCTACCTAAATAATTTACTATTTACCTGACTGTAGACCCATGACCTCCCATTTCTTAGAGCATTTACTTTAGAAAACTTGCATCTATAAATTAGCAAACACAAATGGCCTAACCACAATGACCAACCTTCCCTGACATCTCCTTTAGTACTTTTCCTTTAGCACATGATATGGTTTGGGTCTGTGTCACCACCACATCTCATGTAGCTCCGATAATTCCCATGTATTGTGGGAGGGACCTGGTGGGAGATGACTGAATCATGGGGGCGAGTCTTTCCAGTGCTGTTCTTGTGATAGTGAATAAGTCTCACAGGATCTGATGGTTATAGAAGTAGGAGTTTCCCTGCACAAGCTCTCTTTGCCTGCTGCCATCCATGTAAGATGTGAGTTGCTCCTTCTTGCCTTCCACCATGATTGTGAAGCCTCCCCAGGCATGTGGAACTGTAAATCCAATAAACATCTTTCTTTTGTAAATGCCCAGTCTTGGGTATGTCTTTATCAGCAGCATGAAAACGGACTAATACAGTAAATTGGTACCAGGAGTGGGGTGTTTCTGAAAAGATACCCAAAACCGTGGAAGCAGTTTTGGAACTTGGTAACAGACAGAGGTTGGAACAGTTTGGATGGTCCAGAAGAAGACAAGAAAATGTGGGAAAGTTTGGAATTCCCTAGAGACTTGTTAAATGGCCTTGACAAAAATGCTAATAGTGATGTGAATGATAAGGTTCAGGCTGAGGTGGTCTCAGATGGAGATGAGGAACTTGTTGGGAACTGGGGCAAAGATGACTCTTCTTATGTTTTAACAAAGAGACTGGTGGCATTTTGCCCCTGCCCTAGAGATTTGTGGAACTTTAAACTTCAGAGAGATGATTTAGGGTATCTGGCAGAAGAAATTTCTAAGCAGCAGAGCATTCAAGAGATAACTTGGGTGCTCTTAAAGGCATTCAGCTTTTTAAGGGAAGCAGAACATAAAAGTTTGGAAAATTTGCAGCCTGACAGTGTGATAAAAAAAAAGAAAATCCATTTTCTGAGGAGAAATTCAAGCCAGTTGCATAAATTTGCATAAGTAGCAAGGAGCCTGATGTTAATCCCCAAGACAATGGGAAAATGTCTCCAAGAGATATCAGAGACCTTTGTGGCAGCCCCTCCCATTACATGCCCAGAGGTTTAGGAGGAAAAAATGGTTCTCTAGGCCAGGCTTAGGGTCCCTCTGCTGTGTGCAGCCCTGCGTTGAAGACACTCCAGTGGCTGAAGGGGGCCATGGCTTGGGCTATGGCTTCCGAGGGTGCAAGCCTGAAGCCTTGACAGCTTCCACATGGTGTTGAGCCTGTGAGTGCACAGAAGTCAAGAACTGAGGTTTGAAAACCTCAGCCTAGATCTCAGATATATGGAAATGCCTGGATGTCCAGGCAGAAGTTTTCTGTAGGGGTGAGGTCCTCATGGAGAACCTCTGCTAGGGCAGTACAGAAGAGAAATGTGGAGTAGGAGCCCCCACACAGAGTCCCTACTGGGCACCACTTGGTGGAGCTGTTAGAAGAGAGCCTTCATCCTCCAGAACCCAGAATAGCAGATCCACAGGTAGCTTGCACCATATGCCTGAGAAAGCCACAAACACTCAGTGCCAGCCTGTGAAGGCAGCTGGGAGGGAGGCGGTACCCTGCAAAGCCACAGAGGTGGAGTTGCCCAAGACCATGGGAACCCACCTCTTGCATCAGCATGACCTGGATATGAGACATAGATTCAAAATATATCATTTTGGAACTTTAAGATTTGACTGCCTTCCTGAATTTTCGACTTG
Source organism: Homo sapiens (assembly GCF_000001405.40). Lineage (NCBI taxonomy): Eukaryota > Metazoa > Chordata > Mammalia > Primates > Hominidae > Homo > Homo sapiens. The sequence goes on from NC_000005.10 coordinate 148,056,638, forward strand.
CATGGCATCTGTAGCCCCTTTGTTTTGGCCAATATCTCCCATTTGGAACAGCTGTATTGACCCAATGGCTGTACCCCCATTGTATCTAGAAAGTAACTAACTTGCTTTTGATTTTACAGGATCATAGGTGGAAGAGACTTGCCTTGTCTCAGAGTGTGGACTTTTAAGTTAATGCTGAAATGAGTTGAGACTTTGAGGCACTGTTGGGAAGGCATGATCAGGTTTGAAATGTGAAGATATGAGATTTGGGAGGAGCCAGGGGTAGAATGATGTAGTTTGGCTCTGTGTTCCCACACAAATCTCATCTTGTAGCTCCCATAATTCTCATGTGTTGTGGGAGAGACCTAGTGGGAGATGACTGAATCATGGAGGTGGGTCTTTTCTGTGCTGTTCTCATGATAATGAATGAGTCTCTTGAGATCTGATTGTTTTAAAAATGGGAGTTTCTCTGCACAATCTCTCTTTGACTGCTACAAAGATGTGACTTGCTCCTCCTTGCCTTCCACCATGATTGTGAGGCCTCCCCAGCCACGTGGAACTATGAATCCAATACACCTCTTTCTTTTGTAAATTTCCCAGTGTCGGGTATGTCTTTATCAGCAGCATGAAAATGAACTAATACAGCACACCTCAGCATTAAAAAAGCATCCTGCCTCTGGTTTTAGCAGAATTGAGCTTGGTTTCTACTGGAGTTTCTTTTCTCTATTGGAATAGCCCAGATAAAGTGAGTCTTGCCACTTTTAATAAATATTCAGCTCTGTTTCTCTTTAACACTATTCTACAGGATCATAAGTTTAATGTACTGGTTACTTAAAGAGAAAGGAGCCTACATAAGACTGTATTTTCAACCGTATAACTGTGTCTATACATTTTTACACAGTTTGCATGTGACTGGGTCAATACATACGGTGAGTGTATTGTTTGCTATGGCTGCCGCCACAAAATACCACAGACTGGGTGACTTAAACAACATAAATTTATTATATTTTCACATTTCTGGAGGCTAGAATTTCAAGATCAAAGTGACAGCAAGTTTGGTTTCCTCTGAAGCTTCCTTCTTGGTTTGTAATGGGCAAGTTCCCACTGTGTCCTCATGTGGTTTTTCCTCTGTGTGTGCATCACTAGTGTCTCTTTTGTGTGTCCAAATTTCCTCTTCTAGTAAGGACATCAATCAGTTTGGTCTAAGGCCTAACCTTATAACCTCATTTTAACTTAACCACCACTTTTACTTATCTCCAAATATAGGCACACCCTGAAGTAGTGGGGTTTAAGGCTTCAACATATAAATTTTGGGCAGACAGAGTTTAGCTCTTAACATTGAGTACCTGAGACACATTAGTTACAGTTGTAGGCAATGTGGTTACTACGGTGTGTAGTGTTTAAGAAGCTGGGCTCTGGAGTTTGAATGCCTTTATTACATTGACTGTGATCATTTGCAAGATCACTGCTTACAAGCTGTATGACCTTGGAAAAGTTATAGAATCTCACCAAACCTCAGTTGCTTTACCTGTAAGAATAAAATGATACTTAATCTTTATATTTATTGTTGTACCTAAGTGCATGAAATGTGTTAGCAAATTTTATTTCTTTACAATTTTTTTTTTTTTTGAGTTGGAGTCTTTCTCTGTCACCCAGGCTGGAGTGCAGTGGCGTGATCTTGGCTCACTGCAAGCTCCGCCTCCTGGGTTCATGCCATTCTCCTGCCTCAGCCTCCTGAGTAGCTGGGACTACAGGTGCCCGCCACCACGCCTGGCTAATTTTATTATTGTTAGTAGAGACGGGTTTTTCTTTTAGTAGAGACGGGGTTTCACCATGTTAGGCAGGATGGTCTCGATCTCCTGACCTCGTGATCTGCCTGCCTCGGCCTCCCAAAGTGCTGGGATTACAGGAGTGAGCCACGGTGCCCGGCCTACAAATTATTTTGTAAAGATAATCTTTTTCTAACTTTGCTATAAATCTAACAGTTTCATTCTTCCCTACTGTAAACACACACACACACACACACACATATTACACATATAAAATTTGCAATGCTTTTTTGCTAAAATTAGGTAGACTTTTTTTTTTTTTTTTGAGAAAGAGTCTTGCTCTGTCGCCCAGGCGGGAGTGCAGTGAAGTGATCTCAGCTGACTGCAAGCTCCGCCTCCCAGGTTCACGCCATTCTCCTGCCTCAGCCTCCCGTGTAGCTGGGGCTAAAGACACCCGCCACCGTGCCTGGCTAATTTTTTTGTATTTTTAGTAGAGACGGGGTTTCACCGTGTTAGCCAGGGTGGTCTCAATCTCCTGACCTCGTGATCCGCCCATCTCGGCCTCCCAAAGTGCTGGGATTACAGGCGTGAGCCACCACATCCGGCCGGTAGACTCTTAGGTACTTCAGGATTAATTTGTTATGATTTATTGAAAGACTGTAGCTCCTCAAACCTCTGTTTTCTATTGTCAGGATAAATCCTAGGAGACTTTAAAATGCACTAAATTTTTGAGTGATAAACAGTGTGGGGCCATGGGTCAGGGGTTCAAGTAATATCAGCTATAGGGAGAAGCTGATTGTTGTTTCTAAAATAAAATATAACCCATATGAAAATATTAATACAATTAAAAATTAGACATTGAAATTCCTGTCTTCTTAATCCTAATCTAATAAAAGCAGTAATTATGTCTGTAAATAGCAGGGTCTATATACTCAGTAAACAAACAATGCCCATCCCATTCTATTATTAGATAAAATGAGAGGCTTATCTCTAGTTTCTTAGTCTTTCCAGACAAACAGAAAGGAATTCCTACAGAGAGAGTGAAGTTAGTTGGTAATGCAACATTACCAGATAAGAAGATGAGTAAAGGCTGTTTTCCAGTTAGTGTCTTTTACAAAGGAGAATATAGGCCGGGCGCGGTGGCTCATGCCTGTAATCCCAGCAGTTTGGAAGGCCAAGGCGGGTGGATCACGAGTTCAGGAGATACGAGACCATCCTGGCTAACACGGTGAAACCCTGTCTCTCCTAAAAATACAAAAAAAAAAAAAAAAAAAAAAAAATTAGCCAGGCACGGTGGTGGGCGCCTGTAGTCCCAGCTATTCCGGGAGGCTGAGGCAGGAGAATGGCATGAACGCTGGAGGCGGAGCTTGCAGTAAGCCGAAATTGCACCACTACACTCCAGCCTGGGGGACAGAGTGAGATTCCGCCTCAAAACAAACAAACAAACAGGAGAATATAGACATGTTAGATTGATGGGGGAAAATATTAGAATTATAGAAAAGAAAATAAAAAAATAAAAAAGAAATTATTTCATCTTTTAAGATATATTAGAATATATAAATTTTACTCATGGTCACAACATACCTCTTTTTGCCCAAGTGATTGTGTATGTGTGTCTGTGTGTGTGTGCATGCATAGGGCTGTATCTAGTTTAAAGCACTGTAACGTCTGGATTCTCTTTTTTTTTTTGAGATGGAGTCTCGCTGTCTCCCAGGCTGGAGTGAAGTGGCGCGATCTCGGCTCACTGCAAGCTCCGCCTCCCGGGTTCACGCCATTCTCCTGCCTCAGCCTCCGGAGTAGCTGGGACTACAGGCGCCCTCTGCCACGCCCGGCTAATTTTTATGTTTTCGGATTTTTAGTGGAGACGGGGTTTCACCATGTTAGCCAGGATGGTCTCGATCTGGATTCTCTTTGAACGGTATAAAAGTCTGTGAGATGGCCGTGGGGAAACTCAGAGAAATTAAAGGTATAAAATGTAAGAAAGTGTCAAGGCTGAGATGACCATCCCAGCTAGTTCCTACTGCAGGTTTCTTTTATGACACCAATTTTGGCTGGTAAAGAAAAGATAATAACACCTAATTGGCTGCCTCACAACACTGCATAAACAAATCAAAAGAGCTAATGAATGGCAGGTTGTTTTGAAAGCTGTGGAAGGTGATCTAATCATAAAAGACTATAGTTATTTATTAACTATTATCGTCATCAAGGCTCCCTCTGTGTAGAAAAACAGAAGACTTTAGGAATGATATGGTAACTTTATATTTTGGAAATAACCTTTGTTTGTAGTAACATTACTGATCTACAACAATCTTTATAATTTTCTCATTTCCTCCCCCTGTATCAGTATCCTTCAGATTCTGCCAACCTCATAAATGCGTAAGGTTGTAAAATTCATAGTTTTTATTATCTAAGCCCACTCATTTCTAATGAGAGGAAAAAAGTTTCTACATGTTTGATGAATAATTGAAAGAGTTAAAAACAAGGATGATATTTTGAGTTAGAAGAATACCTTGATAACCTAACTCTGACCCAAACCTGAGTTCTCCAAACCTTCAATCCCATTCATTTAAATGTAATATTCATGGTGATTTTCAGGAATGAGGAGTAATTAACAGAGCATGTGATGAATCACCTCTGGCTTTACAACATTCCTAAAATGAAATGGAGAAGAAGCCCTAATGAAATGAGCCAGCTGATGAGTACTTCCAATTTTGGGGGTGCTCACTGAATCTTCTTTTTACTACTTTCTCCATTTGGAAAAGATATCAGTTTCAAACTTTTTATTCATCATTTCAGAAAAGGCTGGCATCTCTGAGGAGCTCTTTTCCAGTAAGAAGGAAACCAATGTCTTCAATGTTTCCTCATAGTAGAGATTCCTAAGACAGGCAATCATCTTTTGGTTCTTCTGTTCCACCCTAGCACCACTTCCACTCCTGGGAATATTCTCCATTTGGGCTAGGCTAGGGGTCACTAGAGCATAATACACAGTCATTGATTCCATTTTAAGGCATCAAACTCTTTTACCGTCAATAACAGAATATATGGTTGGGACACATTTCGTATGGTCTGACAGGGCAGATGAAAGATAAAAAATTAGTATTGATATGTGAATATTTAGAAGAGGCTTTTAGAGAAAGAGACAAGAAATCAATGCTGATTGAAACAGAGCAATGGTTTTCGTTAAGTTTTAACAGGTGATGTTTCGATTTGTTTAGGCATTATGGTTTAAAATACAATTAAAAGGGAAAAAGAGAACATATATCGTTATAGTTTAATTTCACCTCAAATTGTGTTGGGGTAGTTTTTCTATGCTGAGTAAATATAAATCTATTGGTGAAATCCACAGTCAACAGATGTTTACTTTTCTTGGTATCTTAGAAATTATCTAGTACAACCACGTTATTATAATTATGTAAAAATGCAAGACCAGCTATCATTAACTATCAAGCTTATCACATAAACTTGATAATTGTTCTAAGCACCTCTCTCTCTCACACACACACAAACACACACGCATTATATATATGATTTATCTCTAAACCTCTTAGCACTAGTACAATGTACGTGTTATTATTTTTATTTTACATATTAGGAAACTGAGGCTTAGAGAAAATAAGTGACTTGTCCAAGGCAACATGGCTAACAATTCAAGATTTGGACCCATTTCTAGCTTGCTTCAAAGCTGGGTTCATTTCTATCCCTACATAGTTGAAAAGACTACATAGAATAGAAACAGATTTCTGAAACCCTGTCTCATTCTCTTTCCATTAAGCTATGATGGACTTTGATTTTCTAACCTGTAACAATAATGGAATTTGAACTTGCTTTCCGTGGTCACTAATTTTACTATTCCATTGGAAAGGAGCCAAGCTACAACAATAGTGCAGACCTTGAAACCAATGATTTTATATATATATATATATGTGTGTGTATATATATGTATGTGTGTGTGTGTGTGTGTGTGTGTGTGTGTGTGTATATCTTTTTTTTTTTTGATGGAGTTTTGCTCTGTCGCTGAGGCTGGAGTGCAGTGGCGCCATCTCAACTCACACACCCTCCGCCTCCCGGGTTCAAGCAATTCCCCTGCCTCAGCCTCCAGAGTAGCTGGGACTACAGGTGCGTACCACCAAGCCCATCTAATTTTTGTATTTTAATAGAGATGGGGTTTCACCATCTTGGCCAGGATGGTCTCGATCTCCTGACCTCATGATCCGCCAGCCTTGGCCTCCCAAAGTGCTGGGATTACAGGCGTGATACACTGTGCCTGGCCCAGTGATTATATTTTTATAGGAAATAAATTATTTCATGAGAGAAAAAAGAAAGGACGTATTATCTCACTGTGATAAATCTCATAATATTGGCATACTCCCTAAGTTGGGCAACTTTGATCAGTTTTCTGGAACCATCATAAAAAGGCCTTTAATTGGATAAAGTCTCGAACTTTTCTTCTGTGGATGTGAATATCTTGAGAAGTACTGGAATGAAACAATTTGGCTCTGGTTTCAGTCATCTTCACATGTTTCTTCAGGTGCTTTCTTAAGCTATTAGGGCAAAATAAGCTGGTAGAAAAAAGGTGTTACTTGTAGGATGAAAGAAGCAACTAAAGAGAAGAAACTTTCTCTAGAAAAATGTTACATTTACACATTTATAATTGTTAACAACTTTTTTCTTCTTTTCTTTTTGGGAGACTAAATAATGGGATGATACAGGAAGAAATATGATTTAGAGAAAACTGATTGAGCCAAATTTTTCAAACGGTAATATGGGTAATCATAGGCTATGGAAAGTTAAACTGAGTCTCCAATGTTTATGATTATGATGTTTGGCTAGGATATAAAATAAGGCTTCAGAATATAAAATATCCTGCAGATTGAGAAGTTTTAAAAGTAGTTACATACAAGTTTTATTTTTCCAACGTTCCTGCCTTTTCTAATGTCTAAGGATGAAGCAGTGTACAGAGAGGAAAGAATGTTATATGTGTGGTCTGCTTGCAAGTGCTGGATGCCTCCTCTGCCTGCTCCAACTAAACTGTCTGCTTATGAGAAAGTCATTGCTCCTCTGAGTTCCTGCCTCCCTATATATTCAACATTAGAATTTTGCCAGGTTATCTTTTAGGGTCGTTCAACTCTAACATATATATGAGTCTGTGACACTGAACTCAGACACTTCAGAACAGGAACCCTGGATTTCTCTGGATGTGGAAATCTTTAAATCTATACCTGACTGGTAGGACAACCAATCTGTCTTCCTTTCCTCTCCTCTCCCACTTATGAAGGGAGTCCAGTCAGAAACATGTTTGTCTACGAGGTAGTATATCTGGTATTTCTGAGGAATTCGGTTATTATATAGGATTATAGAATATTCAACTTTGAGTAGGGTCTGTGGACTCCATCAATTGCGTTCTGGGGGAGGTACCATGAAAGAACATTCCTACTTTAGAAATAGATATTCTCTGTTCAAACCTGACACCCTGACAGGATCCTAAAGGATGGAAGCTAAAGTGGTGTGGTATATAAGTCCCATGACCTTGAACAACTGGTTTTATGTGGGTGTCACCAGTGCTTTATAAAAGTAAACTGCATCGCCCCGAGTTCAGTCATACTGCACCAGCTGAGCAATGCATGGAGTGGACCTGTAGGCGACTTGCATCGTCTTCAACATGAAGATAGCCACAGTGTCAGTGCTTCTGCCCTTGGCTCTTTGCCTCATACAAGGTGAGCAATTTGTGTGTAATCTAAGCCTCTTGCCACACATCTCAAAGCCCTGGGGAAGGGACTTTTCTCCCCCTACTCCTGCCAAAAAATGTTTACGTATGCATGTATAATCCTGAAATGTCTTGCCAGACACAGAGTTCTGAAGATTTATATATGTGGCTTTATAATTATGTTGTTATCTTTAGAAATGGCAAGTAGTTTGAGATAATCTGAATTTTCTAACCATGAGAAATTCTTCCATTAATTCTTTATTAATTCAGAAAACTGAATAGATTCTTCTTCATCTTCCTCTTGCTAAATGTATCAATTCATAATGCATATTCTTATATATGTAATAGACATTTAAAACTTAATTGTAAATAATATATGTATTTTAATGTTATAGGTATAAATGAAATATTTTTTAAAATTCAATCATCTGTTCTTATTTTAAAGCAGTGGTATCTTCTAGCTTATTTTAGTCTTGTGTTTTCAAATGCTAAATGGGTTGAAAGCATTTCTCCCAAAGAGTGAGGGACTTTTGTGGGAGCTGGAAGGTAGATTTTTATATTTGCTATTTAACCCTAAGAGAACACAAATTGCCTAGACTTACGTTGCTCTGAAACATTAAAATTTTTAAAAAGAGAAACTCATAGATAGTCTGAAATCATATACAAATAATGCCCATTTTCCTAAAATAGGTGTGTAGGTACAAAAGAGCCTATGTTAATGAGAGAGTATAATAGCCTGTGACCTTAATCTTACCTTCTGTCAGATCTCTAACTTTTGCAGCTGTAATAAGGAGGTAGAGCTGCCAGAATTCAGAAAATTAAATTTTATGTATATATCCTATAAATGTAATGCTATATTATAGTTTCAACTATAATATAGTTTCAAAATTATAATTGGTATAGTATTTTGTGTGTATGTTATATTGTAATTTTAAAAGGGAGGCTGGCATTTATTACTCCGAAAGGACCTTTTGAAGATAAGCTATTTTGATGGGGTTAGAATTCACATGAGTATTATTTTCCAAAGTAATTGTAACTTTCTGAGTGATTAGACCTTTGTGAGTATATATACTAATCTCCTGGTCCAGTGCCCTTCTTTTATTTGCCATGATAAATCTTAATGTGTTCAAAAACCATTTGCGGTTTTACAACATATTGTCATTAAAGCAATCAAGATGCTGCATTAAATGGATTATTTGTTTTGTTTATTAAATATTTTACATTTCCTTAACTTTGGTTTCTATATTTTCATCCCAGATGCTGCCAGTAAGAATGAAGATCAGGTTAGTCCTGCTTTTTCTGTTCATTGAATTCATTCCAAGATTCCCAAAGAAAAGTGGTTTGTGGCCAACACCTTCATGTTAATAATACAAACATATTATACTGGTAGGTACTAATAGCTTTTGTTAAAAACACAGAAACAGATTTTTATGAATCAGGACATGAGCCTCTCTCTCACACACACACACACACACACACACACTCAACATATTAATGATGATGGATGTCTGCAAGAGGCAATTTATCATGTTAAAGGAGCATTTTAAAATTTCATAAACAAAAAATAAATCAACTGGAAAACTACTATTGTTCCATTTAACATCTCAACAAGCCATGATACACCACATAGGAAGCTGAAATAAATTTTCTAGTAATCATTATGCAAAAGAGGGTGGTCTGTATCTTGTATATAGTCGGTGTATATAGTTCATGTAATGAATATTTATTGAGCATCTCTTAGATGTCAGACCCTGTTTGAGATGCTGGGGTTATTTTTAAGTAAACAAAATAGATGAAATTCCTGCCCTGAAAATTACGTTTTAGTGTAGGAAAACAGACAAATTAATAAGTAGCTTAGCAAAACATATGGTACGTTAAATAATGATAAATGCTAGGAGAAAAATAAATCAGGAGGCATAATAGGATCCCTGAGAATGGAGGTGGTATCCATTCTCATAAGGATAATCAGGGAAGTTCTCTCTGGACAGACAGTATTAGAATAGGAATCTGAAGGTCATAAGGGAATGAACCACGAAGGTATTTGCAGTTTACAGCAGGCCAGACAGAAGCACCTGTGAGCGCAGAGGCCCTGACGCAAGAAGGTGCTTTACCAACTCTTAAACCTCTTTTGTTTGATAAATTAAAAAATCATTTTCTACTAGAAGTTAAATTTTTTAATCTATTTGAAAGATAGGATGACCAATTACTCACACACACACATTTTATATATTTATATACACACACACTGCTATGCATGCTATTAATTCAGCACTTAAAGCACAATCTTAAATGTTTTGCTGAATATGTGGCAAAATTTGTTTTATCTCTGGCCACGAACATTAAAGGAATAAAAATGTGAAACAGCTATTCTTTACGTTGAAACTCTGAGAACCATGGTTAAAATACTCTCTTGCCGTATTTTGTTGCAATGATTTTTTTTAAAGAAACTTCTTACATGAGTGTTCTAGAGAATTTTATCATGTTCTCTACTATTTCATCTAAGTTTACTGATAGGGAGAGGTCCAGAAAGTTCAGTAGAGTAGAAAATAAGCTAGACATTTGGGAATCAGAGAGCATGCTCACTTGGAAGTTTTATACTGGGAAAAAAGAAGGATATTATATAAATATCATTGTGTATAAAACCATCATTTTCTTTTTCAGAGTCCGTGATGATGGTTGGTGATTTATGGCAGATACTGTGAATTTTACACTGCTATTTTTCATAGCATTAACCTCTATTTCACTGAAAAATATTTTAAAAACAAATTTAGTGACTTCTTATATTTGGTATTAAAGGCAAGAACACAAAGAAGTAATTATTTATTTGGAAGCCTTTCTAATCAGAGTTTTTGGATACTGTGTCAGAAATGAAAACTATTGATGTAGTCTTTTTTACGATGCTGTGATTTTGGTTATTTTCCAAGTTTAGTAGCTTGGGTTCCTTTCAGCATGATAAAAGCATGTTAAATGTCATAAACATGAACCTAAACAGCAGGGAAAAGCACTGCAGCAATCTGCAAGGATCTTAAGCATGCTTAAATTTGTCATCACCTAAGAGTCATTCTTCAGGCAAAAGCAAGCTGGTCAGTGCTCTAACACTGAGATAGGGCAATGGCAGCTCCTGGAGGGTTTTATTATAATATCTGGAGATGGACAATAGAAGACAACAAATTAGGCCTCAGCCAGTGAGGGAAACAGGAAGAACTTGGCCCTAGAGGGCTCCAGTTTTCCTGGGACATGCTGAGAAAAAGAGAATAACAGCAACAGTAACAAAACAAAACAAAAACAGGCCAGGGACTGGAAGTTACCCTGCAAGTAAACAGGTGCTGAAAAGTCATCTACTCAACTCAGGATGACTTTTGGTCTAAATATGCTTCTGTTTCAACCCTCTCTATTATGGTCATTGAAAGGGTATTCCATTTTGCTCAGAGAAAAACTCAACTGCTGCTTTCCATTTTTATGGTCTTTTCCTGTTTCCCAAGAGAATACATTGGATAATTTCATAACTCAGAAAAATAGCATTGAATCTCATCTTAACTAATTAATCACTGTGAACAAATTTCTTAACCTATTATTTGGGCCTCTGATGCTCAGTTTGTAAGAAAGGGAGTCTTTCTAGGAATTAAGTTCTCATCTAACAGTGATATTGGAGAAGTCCAATTTAGGGATTATTCTTATTGATGCAACTCTTTAATTTTTCTTATAAGTAGAGACAAGGTCTCATTATATTTCCCAGGAGGATCTTGAACTTCTGGCTTCAAGCAATCCTCCTCCCTTTGCATCCAAAATTGCTGAGTTACAGCCATGAGCCACTGCACCTGGCCTGATGCTACTCTTTTATGATAAGCTTTCAAAATTATTTAGAGCTTTATTCCAGGATTATCATGAGTCGTCTATATACTTTCTATAAGACTTACTTAATAAGGGATATATTTTCATTACAAAGACCCCAGGCTCTTCTCTGATTCTACTATATGGATTTTAGGATCAATTATATTCATCAAGGTAAGCATAACTTGCAAAGTTGGCATTTGATACTGTAGAATCAGAGATCAGACAGGTCTCAAGATGCCCAGTTATTAATCTGTGTCCAGAAATTACTACTCTGCTACTCTGATGGAGTCACTGTGTAGCTATAATAATCTTAGAGATATTTAAGCATGCCATCCTTAGCTAAATTTCCCAGGGCTGGTCTGTGATATCGTTTAGTTATTCTCCTTCACCATTAATCATTTTGCAAGTGCTACCAACTGCCTACCATTTTTAAGAGGCTAGATTAAGTACATCATTATTCATCCAGGCAAGTATACTTCTGTTCTACCTAATGCTGTATCTATGTCACCTAGCAAAGTATAGTAATCCAATAATAAGTGATTGCTGGCTCATTCAATGATGATCATAAAGATATAGGAGACTACTGGAGTTCAAGACCAGCCTGGGCGATGTAGTGAGACCCTGCCTCTCCAAAAAAAAAAAAAAAAAAAAAAAAAAAGAAAGAAAGAAAGAAAGAAAAAACAAGCACAAAACACCAGATATAGATATAGGAGCCTAAATAGAAACCTTTAATAAATTTTTTGGAACAGGTTGTGTTTGTCAGAGTTGAAGCAAAAGCTTTGTTTATTTGTTTCCTGATACAAGCAACTTGAAGCAGATTAAAAAAAATCAAAACAAAAAACAACAAAAATCCCCTTAGATTCCAAAGGCCTATTCTAAAGACCTAGTGAATTTTCACTGGGTACAGTGGCTCATGCTTGTAATTCCAGCACTTTGGGAGGCTGAGGCAGGTGTATCATTTGAGGTCAGGAGTTCGAGATCAGCCTGCCCAACATGGTGAAATCCCATCTCTGCTAAAAATACAAAAATTACCTAGATGTGGTAGCATGCACCTGTAATCCCAGCTACTCAGGGGGCTCAGGCAGGACAACCTCTTGAACCTGGGAGGTAGAGGTTGCAGTGAGCCAAGATCATGCCACTGCACTCCAGCCTGGGCGATAGAGCAAGACTCCATCTAAAGATAAATAAATACCTAGTGAATTTTCTAAATTAAAAGGGAATATAACATTTTAAAATCATACTTTACTAGGTAGCAGAAATGCACCATATTTTAAGCTCCTAAAAAAGAATGAGTGATGTATAGCAGGACTTTAATAATAATATTTAATATTATTTATTAATATTTAATATTGAATGAATCAAAGAATTACCACTTTTGAAGATCATTCTACTTTCCTTTTCCCCACCAATTCTATTATTTAAAATGTTTCCCCTGTCCTCCTTAAACTTTGTATAACGGAGTTATTGGTATTTACAAAACCAAAAGCCCAAAACAAACATAGTAGGATTTTAGTTCCAAGGGATGTGCCAAAAAAAAAATTACCAGAGAGAGAGAGAAAGAGAGAGAAAGAGAGAGAAAGCCTTATGCAATTATTGAGAAATTTCCTCAGTACTTCCATAGATTCACAAGGTTTGATTCTGATGGTAGTGATAGTAGTGCTGATGACATTTGTGGGGATGGTGGTGGGGGTGGAAGTATGGGTACTTTCTAAAAAATATAATACAAATTTGAAAATGCAAAATGGTTAGGCCTCTCCCAGAACCTCGGAAGGGGGATGTGACAGTGAAGGGCCCTGAATCTTAAGCTTTATTAGCTTTAAGGTAAGTCTGCCTGTGCTCATAAGTCAAATGATTTATCAAGGGACATGAAGTTCTTTTCAGAAAATAAACCAGTCTAGAAACTTGTTTTCCAGATAAATATAACCAAGAAATCCTTTTTTCATTTAACACTGTTAAAATTTCTAGGAACTGATATGTTGCAGTACAGCCATGGGGAAATGTAGGCAGACATTTTATAATGTTCAATGCTCAAACACCTTGCCTCAGTCCTTCAGCAACATTTTCATATTCCTTTCACAGCAATTACTATTGGCCTACTGTGTACTAGGTATTTTATATGTGTCATCTTAGCATATTCCAGTAATAATACTGACAATCACCAGCAACATCAAAACAATAATAATAAAAAAGGAGGAAGAAGGAAGGAGGATAATTTATTAATTGAATATCTACTATGTATCAGGCATTCTTTGAGGGCTTTACATACTTAATCTTCAAAAAACCTTGGAATTGTGTGTGTATATATATGCAGACATATACATATATCTACATATATATATCAAAATAAAGCTTGTTTTGATGTACTTTTAGCTAACACAACTTTTTTGGCATTATCTTAGGAAATGTGCCATGAATTTCAGGCATTTATGAAAAATGGAAAACTGTTCTGTCCCCAGGATAAGAAATTTTTTCAAAGTCTTGATGGAATAATGTTCATCAATAAATGTGCCACGTGCAAAATGATACTGTGAGTAAAGGTTTCTTTCTTTCTTTCCAATGTTTGAGTTAACAGCTAGTCTCTGAACTGGTAAATGTATTCTTTTTCTTTCAAGTGCATTTTTCTAAACCGAAATGGTTAAATAAAAGTGCTGAGCAGATCACTCTGACATTTCCCATCAGATAAAGTTGGATAATTACCACCCACCTGGAAAGATTTTAATAATCACTCAAACAAGATTCTGAAAGCATTCCAGAGGGCCCAGTGTCAATACCTTCTGTAGCACTCTATAGTCTTTTGAGGATGTAGTTCCACTTTGAACTTCCTGGTTTTGGAAAAAAATGAATTTGACAAAGAAAGTCAGATTCCTTGGGCCTGTTAAGACCTGATTCTGTTGCAGCCTAGGGACTGAGAAGATTGGCTTAAGCATAATGCCAGACTCTCCCGTGACAGCCAACCAGCAGAAGGACTTAAGCAAGGTATACCCTGATTCTGTGAGCTGCCAGTGTCTTTAGACACCTAGCATTATTCTAGGATGAGATGAACTAAAGGGTAGATTATAGTTTCCAACTCCTTGCAGCTCAGAAAGAATTAGTATCCTGGAAGTTTACCAATCTCTATTCAATGCTTCTTAACTTGGTTTCCTTCTCTCCATTGTCACCCCAAAGGTAAAAGAAGGCTTGGGTTATCAATTGCAAATCCTCAAACCAGAATGTCCTAATTTGTTTTTGAAAAGGAAGGTTAGCCTCAATTTCTGACCACTGTCAAAACTTCAACAGTGGTAGCAAGCCAATACTGAGCTTACCCACTTAGGATAATTATATTACAATTGGCTTTTTAAATGTCAGGTTGGTGTGTGTCACAGGATTTAATTTGGGGATTGACGTAGTCAATCATATTGGGATAATGAAGCTCAGATCGTTTGATCATGCACTGCTTCTAGTGAAGAGACTGTGAGACTATAAAGAAGCCAGGACAAGATTTAATAGAGGATGGGAGGCCTAGGGCAGGTTGAATAATTCTTTCTTTTTTTGAAAGCTGAATGTAAACCAGCAGGTATATTATTTATTATAAAATTTTCTTCTTGTTTCATAAGATGTTTTAATATGAGACTGAAAGTATGAATATAATAAATTTACTGAAAAATAATGTAAAACAAAAATGAAATGCCTTAAGAGTCTAAAGACAGTTTATCATTTTGAAGTTATTCAATTATTATTTTTATGACTTACGTAAATTATGTTAGAATAAAATTTTTTTTTTTACCTGGAAAGAAGGAGGCTGTGCAAAGCATAAAAGCTGTCATCAGATTCCTAAAGAACTGGCTTATGGAAAAGAAAATTGATTTGCTCTGTGGGTCCCTAGATGTTGGAATTAGAACCAATATAAGCAGGTTCAATGTGAATATTCTCTTTCAAAAACTGCATTCAAAAAATGGTGCAGATAGCTTTGAGAGTTGGTGACCACCTGGCTGTTGGAAGTATTCCAGGAAGGTAGTCTGTTATGCAGTTAAAGTTAGAGATTCTTCCTATAATACCATGTTCGAGATATTTTTCAATGTTGAAGGGAGATCTGGGGTTCTGTGTCCACTTCTGAACATGCTACCAATTTTGACATGCCAGGCTAGGCTGAGGAGAGCAGTTAAAATTAAGTTTACCATGTTAGCTGTTATTGTTAAAAGTTGAGCAAACAATGTTTAAACTATGCTATTTCTTGTCCTTTTCCAGGGAAAAAGAAGCAAAATCACAGAAGAGGGCCAGGCATTTAGCAAGAGCTCCCAAGGCTACTGCCCCAACAGAGGTGAGACTATTTGGAGCCAACCTGTTTACTTTTGAGAGGATGTTTGACTCTATTTAGAGCTATCTGTTTATTCCTTAATTACTAGGTCATACCTGTTTTGAAGCCAACAACTTAGGAGGGAGGGAACATGGGTTAGTCCAGGGGTGGGCTAAATATCTGGTACATCTTGTCCATAGGCCCAACCCATGATCCGACTCTAAAAACATTTTAGGCACTGACGGAAACTAAGAGGTGGAGTGAGCCAGTGTGATGTCTGCCTTCCAAGGCCATCATTTCTCATTCCTCTTGTCCTGTCTTAGCCCAAAGAAGAGCTTTCCTGGGACTGTAGAACTAAGTTCAAATCTTAGAATTCTTATTGCTTGTGTAACTTAGAAAATTTATGTATCTCTGGATCTCAATGTTTTCATCTGTAAAATGAGTTTTAGACCGAATAGAAACTAAGTTTTAAAAGCCGGTCTCAGGGTTTAACATGTTCTAGCAGGCATTTGACTCATTCTGTTTCCTTTTTCTTTTACTCTTTTGCTTTTTACTGTATATGTTCCAGTACCTGGAGGGTCCTCCTAATTCAACTATAGTTGCTTGTTTATATCTATTTTGCAGACAGGGACTCAGGCTAATATTTTGTTTAAGAAAAGTGTTCTCTGGTAAAAAAAAAAAAAGGTCATAAAACATTAAGAAGTAAGATAGAAGGAAGGAAAGAAACTGCAAATTTATCCTACTATATAAACCATTTCACTTGATAATTTTTTTCACTTAGAAACATTTTTAAAATCTTTACAAAATTATAAAAATAAAATTTAAAAAATAAAAATTTGGGGTCCAGATTGGTGGAAATATATATCTAGCCTACAATATCTCACAAATGGGTTACTGACAAAGCTGGGACTACCACCAGCTATTCTAACCACTACTCACATCACCCCAGGTCTCCTATGCAGTTTCTTCACTAATTTCCACTTTCTTTTCCTTCTCTGCTGGCCCCAACACGTAATTAAAATAATCAGTCAAGGTTAGTACACCTTAATTACTTATAACATCCATGGTCTAACAACGCTGACATCTTCCTTGGCAGTGTTAGCCAAGAACATCTGAGAACCTCAGCCTCCACAGTAAACATAGTCTACTAAATTATTTGCCTGGGCTCAACCAGTCTCACTTTTAAAACAATAACAGACACCACAAAATTGATCCATAATTGAAAACTCTTTATCTGTAGCAAAAGAGAGCTACTTTTATATTCTACAAAATCTGTGGGGGCCAGAAAGGTTTAGTGGCAACTTTATATGTGTCTTATTTGTCACATTCAAAGAGTGGCTCACTTTCTAACATCCATTCTCCTCTTCCTCCTCTGTCTTCATCATAAAAAAATGATATATCTATAGTGTTTAAAAATATAAAATATGAGGAAATGACAAAAAAGCAAAATACACACAAACATACCAATTTTAACAAACCTATCTAAAAAATATAGCTAGTTAGATGTTTCCATATGTAGACACAAATTTATTGAAGTTTAATAAAGTAGGAGTTTTAAAAAATAAAATTACAGTCTTAAGAAATAAAATTACTTTTTGTTAATATATTATGCCTGAGTCACACACACACACACACACACACACACACACACACACACACACACACAAAACTGTAAAAAAAAAAAAAACCCTCTAGATAAAACTCTTAATAGCGATGTGGTTCACTACTTAGGAAACTACTTACATAACCAAGTAGTAACTTACATTAAGTTAAGGCAGTTAACATTTGGCTGTGTGCCTTTCAAATAAGTTCTGTCTAAATTTTTCCTTGTCTCTGTATTTAAAAGGATTCATCCAATTATACCATGTGTTTTTTGTTGTTGTTGTTTTTCTCTCCACTATAAAACAGAACAATGTGCTGATTTTTTCTGCTTAGACTCCGCCCATCAGAAATCAACCCTGCTACTCCCTCTCAGAATAAGGTGCTCTGCATTTCAAGGAGTTTCCTCCTACAGACATCCTCTCACTCTCTCTTTCATCACTAATTTTCTTTTCACTAGTATGTCATCCTTTCATTTCCCGACTCTAGTATTCCCTCCATTAACAAGTCTTGTTGGTACTGCCTCCAAAGTCTAACTCCTTTTCTCCATTTCCATCCCTACCATCTCAATCCAGTCATCCATAATTTCTGATCTCTGGTGTTTTGGTACATGTAAAGACTTGTTTTTTTAATTGATGAATTCATTCATTCAATGTTTATCATGATTTAGGTTGCCAACTTTATAGAATATTAAGTTCACACGAGTCTGTGTGTTTCTGAGGTCCCTCTTTTTTCAGATTCATTTATTGCTTTAATAACTAGTATGGTAAGTCCCCCTTCTTAGTTCATGTTGTTAAAGGTTGATGGGACCTATGCATAGATATATGGTTTCCATATACATGTTAGAGATAAAAATAACTGAGTTTATAAAAACTTCATCTTGAATTTGGTAACCCAGTGTGTTTATGGATACAAAGAATTTGTAAATTAATTGGGGTAAAATTGACTTTTTACAGTATTAATTTTCTAAACTCATGAGCATAGAATAGTTTATGAATAAGTCATATAATTTTGATCTACTTTATAAAATTTACAAAATATTCAGATTTTTATAATTTTTGTTAATATTTTTAAAATGTGTAAATTTATTACTATTTTGAATATATTTTGTTTTTTATTGTGTTTTATCTGTTTATTGTTGATATAGACAAATTCTATTGATTTCTTCAGGTTAATCTTATGTCAGACAACTTTTGTTTTTGTTCTTGGTAGTTGATCATATTACCTACATATAACAAGAGTTTTATAATATTCCTTTCAATCTTAGCACATCTTTCTTTCTTTTCTTATATAATTGGTAAAGGATCCAGACTTCAATAGTTAAACACTAGTGATGGTAATGAACATCAAATAATCCCCTTGTCTCTTCATATTAAAGGGAATACCTCTAAAGTTTCTCCATTGAATGTAATATTTATCATAGCGGTTTTTACCTCTACACTTCAGCAAGTTTGGAAAATTCCTTTCTATTTTTAGTTTGCTGAATATGTGTTGCTTATTATTAAAAGTCTTCTTTGCAACTATTAAAATAATTTGATTTTTTAGTCTATTAATATAAATAAATTTCTGGATATATTTCTTAATATTAAACTATTATTATTTTCTTAGAGTAAATCATACTTTATAATATATTTTAAATAAATTTATGAATTTGGATACTAATATCTTAATTAGAAAATTTGCAATTATGTTCTTAAGTAAGGTGAATCTCCACTTTTATCTTTTAAATAATTCTTATCTGGCTTGGGAATTTACATAAAATTATCCTAAGGTGTGACACTTTAGACTCTGACTAAATCAGGTGGTCAGCAGATCCTCTCCTCAGAAAGCAACTATAAAGCTAGACAAAATTGACCAAAAACCATTTTAGCAATCTGAAAATTGATCAGCAGTCTATACCAATCTGAGAAGCATTTATCTTGAAAAACTGCTGACTTTAGGAATAAAACGAGAGGTCTGTGATGTTCTTGCTCAGGGATATTCCCATTTCATCCCCTGGCTTGGTTGGCATGGAGGTTCTATACAGGGTACAAAGGTCAGCAAAGGCATTGCCATTGTTGAAGAAGGCTAACCTAATTTGGAGTAACGAGCAAAAGTCATACCCAGAGGTGTTTTCAGTGTAAGTGATAATCTTCACCAAGGGTAAGGAAAATGGTCTGAGGTTGCAGTCATAATTGAAGCAAGTGTATTCCTGGCTGAGCCTTCACACGTAGTTGAAAGAGCCCAAAGAGGGTCAAGAGATTCGCAAACTCCTAACTGACTATAAAGCTGCGCATATCCGCTTAATAAACACAAAATGTCCCAGTGAGAAGCAAATGCTGGAGTAGATGCAAAAGTGGCCTGAACTTTGCATGCCCTCCCCTGTACACAAAGGTCTATCTGAGAGGGTGAAAGCATTGTTAGCTTGAAGTATTTGAACACAAACTGTGTTAAATCCTTAGCTGACCATTAAACTACAAAAACATAGGGGAAAAACATAGGAAGCCAGGCTTAAAAAATAACCATGATAGAAACTATCATTTTCTTAGCTGCACATCAGCAGCTGCAATTATGAGAGAGGAAGATTTCAAAGATTTAATCCAGCCACAGAAGCAAAAAAAGAATAAAAAAGCAGTGAAAATAATCTTTAAAGAAAAAATTGTAAACCTGAGTACCTATATTATCTAAAATGTTGTTTTTATAATCAAAATGTTCAGTTTTTATAATCCACGTTAGTGAGGTTAAAAAAATGTCAGTTTTCACCAAAAGTTATAAAATTTTCAAAGTAACAAGAATATACAACCCATACTCAAGAAAAATAATTAATGGAGTTTGTCTTTAACTGTGTACAGATGTTAGATGTGGCAGACAAAGACTTGAAGCAACTATTAAAAATGTATTCAGGATACTAAAAAAAATCATGTTTGAGGGTTCACAAGAAAGTATAATAACAATGAATAAGCCGATAAAAACTTTCAATGAAAAGACAGAATAATTTTTAAAAAGACCCAATGAAAATTCTGGAGTTGAAGGGCACAATAACTGAAATGAAAAGTTCAGTAGAGAGGCTCAGAAGCAGATTTGTGAATCCTTAAAAAAGGGAATTACCAAACTTGAGGAAAGCTTAATAAAAACTAACAATGGAAATACAGAGACAGACAATAGAGAAGAAAAATGAACAAAATTATACACTTTTTGAGACAGCAGCAAGAAAGCCAACATATGCATAATGGGAATACCACAAATAGAGGTGAGAGAAAAAGGAATACAAAAATTATTTGAAGAAACAATGGCCTAAGATGCCTTAAATTTGATGGAAAAAAATTAATTTTAACATTTAAGAAACTCAATACACCCCAAATAGGATAAATATGAAGAGATCCACATATGGCTCATCATGATTAAAATGTTGAAATAAAAAAAAAAAACAAAGAGAAAATTTAGAAAGTGGCAAGAGAAAAATGACACATCCTATATACAGGCTGTATACAATTAAAAGCTGGCCCCTCATCTAAAATAATGAAGGCCGGAAGGCAGTAAAATGACATGTTCAGAATGCTGAAAGAAAAAAAAGATTAAGCAATATTCTATATTCTCAAAAGCTATCCTACAAAAATTAAAACAAAATAAAGATATTACTGTACTAAAGAAATCTGAGAGACTTTGTTGTTAACACAACTACCTTAAAAATAATAATGAAGGAGGTCATTTAGCTGAAAGGAAATAACTACCAGATGGTAGCTTGGACCTACAGACAGAAATGAAAAGCACCAGAAATAGTGAAAATTGAGTTAATCTCTTAGCCTTTTTAAAAGAAATAATCTTAATATATAAGGCAACAATTATAATGCTGTTTTATCAGGTATATATATATATATATATATATGACAACAATAGCATAAAGGGTGATAGAGAAAATAAAGCTTTATTAAGGCAAAGTTTCTCTATTTTACCAGGATTAAGTATTATTCTGAAGTGGTTTGTAATAAATTAAGGTGCATATTGTAATTACTAGAGTAGCTACTAAGAAAATAGCATATATAATAAATATATAACATCAACAAAGGAATTATAAAGGTGTACTAGAAATATTTAACCCAAAACAAGATGGTAGTAGAACAGAGAAGCAAAAAAAGACAAAAGCATATTGAAAACAAATAGAAAAGTAGAAATGTAAATACAACCATAAAAGTGATTATATTAAACATAAATGGTTTAAACATCCCAATCAAAATGCAGAAATTGTCAAATGATAACAAAGGAACTATAAGCTATCTCCAGTAGGTGCTCCTTAGATTCAAAGACACAAATAGTTGAAATGATAACAGATCGGTACCATGCTAAGTTTAACCGTAAGAGAGCAGGATTGGCTATATTAATATGTGATAAAATAGACATTAAGACATTATTAGAGACAAATAGGGATATTTTGTAACTTTAAAAGTGTCAATACGTTAAGCAATATAACAATGATAAATGTATACACACCTAATAGAGGCTCCAAATTTATATAACAAAAAATGCTATAATTAAAAGAAATGAAAAGAAATGAAGAATTCAAAAATAATCGTTAGGAATTTCAATACTCCACTTAAAATACTGATAGAACAGCTAGACTAAATATGACCAAATAGAATACTTGAAGAATACTATCAACTAATTCAACCTAAACTGAAATATAGACAGTGCTTCTCCGTTGATTGTAGAATATGTATTATTTTAAAGCAACAGAGGAACATTTTCAGGATACACTATATACTAAGGTACAAACATAATAAATTTTAATATATTAAAATCATATATAGTATTTTTTTTTAACCACAACAGAGTTGAATTCAAACCCAGCAAGGAAAATGAATCGTGAAAATCCCCAAATCTTTAGAAATTAGGCAACACACTTCTGGATAATTGGTGGGTTAAAGAAACAATCTTGAGAGAAATTGGAAAATAATTTGAATTGAATGAAAACAAAAAGACAACAATTTAAGACTTACTGGACTTGTCTAAAGCACTTTCTAGAGATTTAAATGGCTTAATCAGAAATAAGAGATAGGATTCAATAATTTAATCCTCTACCTTGAGAATATTAGAAAACAAAGTTTAGCAAACTAAACCCAAAGCAAGCAGAAGAAGAAACATATAAGGATTGGAGCAGAAATTAGTAAAACACAAAACATACAAATAATAGAAAAAATTAATAAAACCAATGTTGGTTCTTTGAAAAGATCAACAAACCTGACAAACCCTTAGTTTTATTTTCCCTTCAAGAAAAGAACAGAAGACAAACATTACCAAAATCAAGAGTGAAATAGGAGACATCAGTATGTGCCCTGGAGAAACTACAAGGCTTATGATGAATATTATGAAAAATATTATGCCACCACATTAAATAACTTAGATGAAATAGAAAAATTCCTAGAAATAACCAAATTATTGAAAATTGACCCAAGAAGAAATGGAAAATCATAATAGACTTACAGCATAAGTAAAGACATTGAATCAGTAATTAAATTTAAAAAAATGCCCAAGAGCAGATGACTTTATTGGCAATTTCCATTATATACTGAAAGGAGAAATAATATGAATTCTTTACAGATTCATTCAGGAAGAAGAGACACTTTACAGCTCATTATATCAGTCCAGCATTATTCTGATACAAAATGTAGAAGACATCACAAAAGCAGAAAACTACTGACAAATATTCCTCATAAACATAGACAGAAAAATCCTTAACAAGACACTGGCTGGCAAATGAATCTGCAATATGAAAAAAATAAATCATTACCAAATAAGAATTATCCCAAGAAAGCAATGTTGGTTTGGGAACAGAAAATCTATTAGTCTAATACACAATATTAACAGAATAAAGGGCAAAACCACATGATTATCTTAATAGATGTTGAAAAATCACTTATTAAAATCCAGCACTCATTCAAGATGAAAACTCACACAAAATATTATCAATAGAAGTAAGCTTTTTCAGTCTGATAAAGAACGTCTGTGAAAAACCTACAACTAACATTATAATTAATGGTTAGAGAATGAATGCTTTGCCCTTAGGATTGAGAAGAAAGCAAAGGGTGGTTTACTGTCACCACTCCTATTCAACATTGTACTGGAGGTTCTTAGCCAGTATAAGGCAAAATTAATTAATTAATTAATTAAAGACACTTTTTATTGGAAATGAAGCAACTGTCTTTAATTCCAAAACATGATACCATATATGAAAAGTTCTAGGGATCCACAAAAAGAAAAATTACTAGAACTAATAAATGAGTTTAGTAAGATTTCGGTGTGCAAGATTAATAATACAAAATTGTATTTCTATATACTAGCAATGAACAATTTGAAAATTAAAATATTTCATTCACGATAGCATAAAAAATGTGGAAATGAATTTAACAAAATGAGTACAAGACTTATACACTAAAAACTATAAAATGGTACTGAGAAAAATGAAAGATCCAAATAACTAGTGAGATAAATAGTCCATGTTCATAGATGAGAAAACTCAATATTGTTGAGATGGCAATTTTCCCAATATTAATCAATAAATTAAACATATTCCCAATCAAAATCTTGTCAGTCTTTCTTTTTGGTAGAAATAGAGCAGTTGATCCTACTAGTTATATAAAAAATATTGAGACATTTAACAGTAACTGAATTTAAATTTTGTTATAATGCAATAGTGATCATAACAGCGTGCCGTTATTTCAAGATAGGCATAAAGATCAGGGGAATAGAATAGGGATTACTTACTTTTATGGTCAGTTAATGTTTAACCAACATGTCAAGGTAATGCTGAGAAAATTGAATATAATTAATTTTAAAAAACAGTTTTATCTTATACCATACACAAAAGTTAACTTAAATTTTATTTTGGCACTAAATGTAAAAGCTAAATATATGAAACTTCTCATGTAAAATATAGGAGGAAAAAAATTCATGAACTTGGGTAGGTAGAGTGACTTTAGACATAAAACTAAAAGCGTAATCCATGAATACAAAATTAATAAACTGAAATTTATAAAAATTGCAAATTTGTGTGCTTCAAATGACAACAAGAAGTCAATGAAAAAGCAAGTTATAGACTGGGAGAAAAATAGTCACAACCTATATAGCAGGTAAGGACTTAAATCCACAAAACATAAAAACCTCTTACAACCTTATTATAAGGAGACAATTCAATTAAGTATAGATATTACACCAAAGATATATGAATGGCTAATAAGCACACAACAAGATGCGCAACACCGTTATTATTTAGGCAAATGCTAATTAAAACCACAATGGTGTATCACTACACGTACCCACTAGAATGATTATAATCACAAAGACAGAAAATGCAAAATGTTAAGGGTGTGGAGAAACTGGAACACATATAGTCAGATCGGGGTAATATACAAGGTTACAGCCATATTGGAACACAGTTTGAGAACTTCTTAAAATTTTAAACAGATTGACCATGTGATCCAGAAAATTCAGTCCTAGGAATTCAGTGAAGTGAAAATACAGGTCCATAGAAAGTCAGGCATGTGAATATTTATAGCAACAATGTTTTTAATAGTTCTAAACTAAAAACAATCCAAATGTCCAAATGTCCACTGGTGAATTGATAAACAAAAGGAATATATTTATACAGTGAAATATTATTCAACAATTAGAAGGGATGTGCTACTGACAATTTTGCAATATGGATGAACTTCAAAAACACTATGCAAAGTGAAAGAAGCTAGAATTAAACAATTACATATTTATAATTCCATTTATATGAAATGTCCAAAAAGGGCAAATTTACAGAGTCAGAAAAATGTTTAATGATTGCTTGAAGCTGGAGGTGGGGGCTGGATATACTGTACACAAGCACAGGGGAATCTCGTAGGGTGATGAAAATATTTTAAGACCAGATTCTGGCGATGGCTGTACAACTCTTTCCATTTACTAAAAATCACTGAATCACTTTCAATGGGTGAATTTTATAGTATATAACTAATACCTCAATAAAGCTGTTTAGAATTTTATTTTTCAGTTCATATGATTGTAACTGCTTTGGAATGATTTGTACATTACTATTATTTAATACAAAATTTCCTAGACCTTCAGAAAAATAGATTATAAAGCTATTGGGACTGAGTTATTTTGGGGTGGGAATATCTCAGACCAATATATCAATTGGATTAATGTTTATTGACCTGTGTAACAAATGTAGTTATCTTATACTTTTTCATAGTCATATATGCAATTTGGTTTTTGTAATGTATTAGCATACTGATACTGATGAAATGCTTTCATCGTATTAATGTCTCAATATTTATATGGTAGTTTTTAATTATCATTCCATATATTTTTACTTTTCATATTACTTGTCTCTTTGGTCAGTCCTACTAGAAATCTTTTATATCAGGTTGTTTGATAATATACTCTGTTGTTTCTGTTTTCTATGGTGTTAATTCCTGTTTCTTTATGTTTGTTCCTGTTCATTTTACAATGGGGTTGAGGAATACTTTATTCTTTAAATTTAATTTTTAAAAAATTTATGACAAATATTTTTGAAGATATTAATAATTATACATCTCAGGATTTATACTTTAAGTATTTCTATTTATCATTATTTTCCAAACACTTCTTAATTTCTCTACCCCTAATGTTATTTAGTAATAGATTATCTAATTTTCAAATATGTGGAACTTTTAAATATTTTATATTAGCTTTTAATTTTATTAAATTTTGGTCAGAGAATATAAATGATGTAGTATTGATTATTTGTTATTTCTTAAGACTTTGTGACCTCACAAATATTCTGCTTTTATGAATGTTTTATATATTCTTTTTTTTTTTTTTTTTTTTTTTTTTTGAGACGGAGTCTCGCTGTCGCCCAGGCTGGAGTGCAGTGGCGCAATCTCGGCTCACTGCAGGCTCCGCCCCCTGGGGTTCACGCCATTCTCCTGCCTCAGCCTCCCGAGTAGCTGGGACTACAGGCGCCCGCCACCTCGCCCGGCTAATTTTTTGTATTTTTAGTAGAGACAGGGTTTCACCGTGTTAGCCAGGATGGTCTCGATCTCCTGACCTCGTGATCCGCCCGCCTCGGCCTCCCAAAGTGCTGGGATTACAGGCGTGAGCCACCGCGCCCGGCCTATATATTCTTAAAAAATGTTTATTTTCTGTTTCTTGGTTGTAGTTGTCTATAAAAATCTAATGGCTTAATATTCTTTTTTTTTTACTTAATATATAAATTTCTGAGAAGTGTTTGCTTAAATCTCTAACTCCAGTTATTGATTTATTTAAGTCTATTACATTCTGTTTGTTATTGTTTGACATATTTAAAGTCTATATTATTAGGTGAATATATGCTCATGATTGTTATACTTTCTTGTTCTTGTTCTTGTCATTTTTTACTTCATATATTGTCCTTCTTTGTCACTTATGATACATTTTTGGACTCAATTCTAATTTTTAAGTGTTAATATTGCTGCATATGCTCTCTTCCTCTTCATTTTTGTCTTGTATATTTTTATTATCTTACTGGTTTGATATTTGCATGCCTTTTCATTTTAATTTTTCTCAATACATGGGTTCTTTTTTAAACATCAAATTACCAATTGTCTCTTAATTTGTAGGTTTAGCACATTTATATTTATTGTTATTTCTGTTATAGTGAGACTTGGTTCTTTCATTTTTAAAATATTTTCGGTTACTATATTTAGTAGTTTCTTCTTTCTAGCTTTTTTTGGGTGGTGATTTATTTTTGTTCTTATTATGACTATCCCTAAACAAATAGCCATACTTTTGATTATTTATTCTATTGCTAATATCTGTGTCTATTGTCAATTTCTTTGTCTTCTCTCCAAATGTATGTTAATCCACTCTCCATATATTTTCTGTAAATATAATTTTGTTATTAACTTGATTTTAGCTTAAAATTCTTATTGCTTTTCTCTTTTATTCTTTTTTTGTTAATTATAGAAATTGTTCCTTTCTTCAGATATTTCTTTCTATATTTATTTCCTTCTTTTGGAGACTTCTAATTCTATTTTAAATGTTCTTTAGCTTTTCCTTTTTTAGAAAAATTGTTTCTTATTTCCATTGCCTTCTAGGAGAATTCCTTGATCTGATCATCTGGTTCACAAGTTCATTATTTATTTGTACCTATCCCATCTTTATTCTTTATATTGCTAGATTTATTATCATTTGAATATTTTCCATATACAAAATTTCCACTTTGTTCTTCCTTTATAACTTCTTTCTTGTTATTGTTTTACATTTGTTTATGCAGATATCTTCTCTTATCTCTCCATAACATAATTAGACTTGATAAAATATTTTTCTACCCATTCCAATATTTCTACTTCAATTAATACATGTTGTTTAGTATATTCTATTTTTTACTTGTCAGATATACAGATATTCTTATTGTAATATTCCATAATGGCTGTATTTATTTTTTCTGCTAAATTCAGTTAGGTAGTGTTCAATGTCAAGCTTCAGTCTGTAGCCCTTCTGGTGAGTATAAGGATAGAAAAAGAGATAAGACCCAGTGCTGGAGGTTCTGAATCCCCTCTTTTCCACTCCAGCTTGCTGCCACTTCACCAGGTCAGGAATCTATCTGTAAGGTCTCAGGCATTGTCAACATTAGGAAGAGGTGTTTTCTGTAGGTTGTGATCCACCACCTAGGGGTTTGGAGGGGAAGGAGATGGAGTCATATATCCTTGCGCCTGTTTTCATCATCCCCCAGCTGGCCTTTTGACTTGCTCTGTCATTCCCCTCTCTACACCTGTGACCTAGTTAGTACGTTGCTGTTGATTTTCTGGGGAAGGGGGATAGTAGTGATTGTTTTGAGTTAATTACTTTGATCTGTAATTTCCCTATGCTTCTGTAGTATCTTCAGGAATGATTTTTGAGAGAAAACCAAGAGCCATCCTGCTTTTTCTTTATGCTTCGGTCACATTTCCCTTCTTTCTGTCCATTCCTTAAAAAGGACAGTCTAGTTTCCACCACAAATCCTTTGCAATTGCCGTTCTCTATGCCCAGAATGTTCTTCCCTCAAATGTTTTTGCCACTATATCTAAAATAGTCCCCATTCTGGTCACTATTGTATTTTTCTGTTTATTTGTGAGAGCACTTACTATAATTTATAGTTGTTGTGCATATCTGTCTCTTTCTATCAGAATGTAAGCTCCTTAGAATATGTATTCCATTTTTTTCTCTCTCTCTCTTTTTTATTTTATATTTTCTGTGGCAGCTTCACAGTCCAGAAGAGTGCTAAAATGTAGTTAATATGTAATAAATTTTGTGGAATAAATGAACAAATGAATGAATGAAATAACTTATATGGCCACTGCTTATCTTATTTTCAATGTATTTTTAACTTCTTTCTAAACATATGAATAGTGGAGTATGTTCTTTAGCTTTTCTTTTCTATTTTCAGTTCTTTTCCTTCTAGATAAGAGTTTCTCAACCTGATCTTCTGTATCCTACTTTTATTCTTTATATTATGTGACATACTGATACATCATAGGTCTACATTCTAAGTGTTTCATATTTATCATTAAAATGTCTTTATTTTGACAATGATAACATGAAGTTGTATTTTGCAATGTGATATTCTAAAGAAAAATTATCCAGTTTTATTATTTGGTTTTAGGTAAAAGTTAAAGTCAAGTTAACTCTATATCTTTTTTAGCTAGGTTATGTCACAATAATAAGTTGCCAAATAATGTTTCATAAGAATTCACTTGATCCTTATTGCAAATCTGGAATGTAGGTAGGGTGTGAATTTCCATTTTTCTGATGAGGAAAGTGAGGTGCAAAGAGGTGAAGTGAGTGGGTGGCAGGTCTGAGACTTGAACACTAGTCTTCAGTTATTACTTTGTACATTTGTTTTTCTTTACCATCAGGTTTGTTCCTAAGTGTATGTCACATTATTAGAATAGAGATTTGGGCTTTCTCCTGCCGTACCTAAAAGATGTTTAGTTTACTTGGCTTGTCAGTAGAGAAAACATTGAAAATAACAACAACAACAACAATAAATGGTTCTGTGTCAGGCACTGTTCCAAGTGCTATACATGAATTAACATATGTAAATCCCTATATAGTCCTGAGAGTTTGACAAAATTATAACCATTTTGCACATGAGGACACTAAAGCATAGAGGTGTTAAATAACTTGTCCAAGTCCCATAGCTTAAGTGGCAGACTTAGAAATATGAAACAAGCAATCCTGCTCTTAATTACTATTCTAATCTATAATAATAGAAACTTTGCTGTAGTTTATAGTTTACTTAGAGCTTTCATATCCGTAATCTACTGGGCCTCACTACTACTCTGTGGAGAAGGCAGGCAGGATTGGACAGACGAACAACATGCCAAGTTTCAGAGTGGTGACGTGGCCTACTTCACCCAGACAGCAAGTGGCTGAAGTAATACTGAAATTCTTTCTTTTGAAATCTAATTTTATCTGTTCTTGGATCATGTTTTATTGCCCATAAATTTATTAGCTCAATGTAGCCTTCATGATATGTTTTTCTTCTCCAGCAATTTACATTATTGTGGGCTTAAAATGTTAATCTATTTATACATCTAAGGACTATTTTGTTTCTTACATTTTGACGTTCCTTGATCATGTCTTTTGCAGCTGAATTGTGATGATTTTAAAAAAGGAGAAAGAGATGGGGATTTTATCTGTCCTGATTATTATGAAGCTGTTTGTGGCACAGATGGGAAAACATATGACAACAGATGTGCACTGTGTGCTGAGAATGCGTGAGTATTCTCTGAAGTAGGCTTTCTCCCTAAAACGTGTTCTCTCTATAATTACATGACACAATTTTCCCTACAGTCTTTAAGCTAACGATTCATTATGTGGGAGTTAGCCATTCCTAAATTATTAGTACCACTTCTTTTACTACTCTTAAGACAAATAAAGGTGTATAGCATAACACTTTATATTTTACAAAGCACTTTTATGTATGATTTATCAGATGGTTATCACTTTATGAAGTAGACAGAATAGGGAGATTATAGATTATATGTTCATAATCTATAAAATGTTATAGATTTTATATTTAAAATGTATAATAAAATATAGCTTTAATATAATAAAACAGATTTAATATTTTAATAAAATATAGACTTATGATTTTATAATCTATAAGTTATAGATTATATGATTATCATATATAACAGATTATATAATATATTTACACACATACATACATATATACATATATATACATACACACATCTATCTTCTATCTATCCATCATCTATTATCTATTTGTTTATCTATGTGTATACCCTTTTTCACAGAGAATTATTTCATCATCAAATTATGTTTATTAAGTGCTTAATAATTTGTAATATTAGAGTAGATAATTGAGACTTTCAATATTAAATTTCTTCCCATCTCTCAACATTTACCAAATAGCTAAGGCATCTTACTGTCCTATATCTTGTCCCTGTTTTGTTCTTTCTCTACCTTCAATGCTAGATTTGGTTATCAATTGTCTTCACCAACAAGATGACATACCTGCTTGGCGGGTTCTGGCTTGTGATCTCAATCTTGAATTGTCTGGTCTTAAGGTTTTGCAAATATGAAAACCAAGGTGTGTACAGGCTAATGAGGGGTATTATAATTATTCACTTTTTGAGATCCTGCAAGCTTTAGCTCTCCTTGCAATAAATATTTTCAGCAAAATAAAACTGCATTAAAACACTCTCATCTTTTGCAGGATGGTATTTTCAGAAATTCACTTTAAAATTATGTCCTCAACTCTCACCAAGGGTCAACATAGAGAAACCGAAAACAAACGTAGATATATGAAGAACACACAGATTTTTATCAGATATATATTGTGTAGCACAAGTATGAGCATGCTATATATTTAATTCTTACTGTGTCTTATGTGGGGAATCCCATTATAAATCTTTAAATCTCTGGTCCAGGTGAAAGTTTCTCTCCCCTAATTTCTGGTATATTTCTTTGTACTATGTACTTTGTACTATGCGATGAGAATCATACTTCTCCTTGTGTTGTTTCCCTTGCAGCTCTAGCTGCTAGGAGGCTCTACAATAAAATTGAAAATTTTATTTTTATAGTGCCCCTCAGCTGATATCCTTTGAAATAACTTTTTTCTTATCACTTTTAAATATTTAGTTTTTTTCTTTATATTGTTTTTACTAAATTTTTATTGTTTTACAGATGTTATCATTGTAATCTGCTTTAACTTTTTACAAATTAGGAAATATGTCTTACATTTGCGGTTCTGTGTTTTCAGATATACTTTAAAGGTCTACGAGACTGAACAAAATTAATTATCAAGACTTTATGTACTTTCTATGAAAAATAAAATACTAGTCTTCATAACCCAAATAAAGAGTAGTATAGTGGGATGTTAGATAATACAAATTTGACTTTGTTTATTTAAAACAACAAAGTTCCTTGGGTGCTGAGTGTTATCTATTATCCAGTTACAAGCTTTACTTTTCCCCATCTTCTGATGTGGATCCCTCCTCTAAACAAAGGTTAAAAAAAGATTTCTATAAATAACATTTACAAGTCTGAATCTTTACCATCTCTTCCATGTTAACTACATTTCTTTGACTTGAAGTTATAAACAGTGACTTTTATTAGAAAAAGTAATAAAATAATACTATGTGGCAGCTGTTTTCGGGAGTAAAGGAGAATGACAATGCAATGTAGAGCAGTTAGGTTTGAATGGTGGGAAGTTCTGTGATATTAAACTGCTGTGTCTACTAACTTTTGATTCTAGGAAAACCGGGTCCCAAATTGGTGTAAAAAGTGAAGGGGAATGTAAGAGCAGTAATCCAGAGCAGGTGAGGTCAATTGTCAGCCTGATGGGAAATACTGGGAGGCTAACTTCAAATAGTAAGTAGGTGCTCTCCTCTTCCTTCTTAGGTGGGAGCCTTGGAAGGAATTAATTCTTGCTTTATGTGAAATGGAATACCCAGTACTGCCCACTAATATGAAAAAGCTAATTATAGTCTCTGAAACTGGATCAGATTACTTTGGTGGTTAGATCTTTCAATCTATTGCTGCTTTGTATAAAAAAAAAAAGAAGAAGAAGAAATAAAAAGGAAACTACATGTGTAGTAGAAAGGGCACAACACTTCAGTCACTTAGCCTGCGTTAAAACCCCAGCAGTGTCACTTGCTGTTTGGAGACCTTGGACAAATTACTTAACCTAAAATGAGATTTGAACTAAATAGATTTTTTTTCTATGATACAGTTTTGTGAGCCTGTGATGGTAGGGGAAGGGGAAGGAAGAAAGGATCTCATACATGTCACACTTGTCTTTTTCCAGGTGAATGATTTTCCTAATTTTCAAGGTCTGATGCCCTTTTTATAAGCTTCCAGAGCACCTGAGGTGACTTGCACCAAGTCATTTAGCATCATGCAATTTTAAATGTCTCTTTTTATCACCTAGGAGATTGGGAGCAAGTTGATGGCAAGGACTGTGCTCTGTCTGAGTTCTGGCACATAGTAGGTTATCTGTTTACTAAATAAATGAATAAACAAGTAAAAAAGTTTTATATTTAACCACATGAATTATAGAGTACTTACTGAGCTACATCTACACAGCTGGTACTGCTCTAAGTGGCCCATAGCAATGTCAGAGGGACTGAGTTCAATAAAATTTCTGAAAACAGTGTTGTCAGCATTACAATCTTGGTAAGTTTCAAGTTCTTTTCCCTGTTCTTCAGGATGTATGCAGTGCTTTTCGGCCCTTTGTTAGAGATGGAAGACTTGGATGCACAAGGGAAAATGATCCTGTTCTTGGTCCTGATGGGAAGACGCATGGCAATAAGTGTGCAATGTGTGCTGAGCTGTTGTAAGTAGCATCATCCCCAGGTGGACTTGATGATGATGCACTTGGTTGCTGTCCCGAGAATCACTCAGCAGAGAGATAAAATCCTTTTCATGAAGCATGCAATTCTTTGTCTTTACACTGTGAAATAGCCTTTCTCACAGAAAGGCTTCTTTTCTTTTTCTTCTTATCATTGATTGAAGTTTCTTAAAAGAAGAGAATAAGGTGGTCATGTTAGTTATTAAATTCAAGACTCTCATTTCTTTTAAATTACAGTAATTTGAAAATGTATAGTGTTTTATAAGGCACAATATTTTAAAATTTAGAAAGCACTTTCATATGGAATGATCTAGGTCAGTCGTCTGACATCCATTGCTTCATTTGGGCATATGTAGAGACCCTTCCTGAGTAATGTGAGGCTAATTAAAATAATAATAGTAATAATGCCATGTGTCTGAATCTATTTATTAGCTTAAAAAGTGGAACGCGGATCATTACAAAAGGAAGGGCTATTGGGTTAATCTTTATCTGAGTGCCTGGCAGTGCTTGGGCATTAAAGACGCAGATGTGGATAAGATCTAATTAGTCTTTCATATTCTGGCTGTTAAACAAGGTTTAGACTCTCTAATTCACGTGCCAGCAAACCTTAAATTGCTATATTTACATCACTGGAACTTTAAAATCAGGACAGAGATTTAACTGATTAGCAAACAAACGTCACACCTGCCTTTGAAAATTACAGTTAGTCCTTGTAGAATTCAAGGACATGTCCAATCAGGTTTACAAAACAGTGATGATAACTGGTTTCCAGACAGGAAATCAGCCTGATTTCCACTTTCTTATCTAGGAGACATGTTCTCTCAATGTTCAAATCTGCCCTAATTCTGTAGGGTTTTTTTTTCTTTTTATGCATTATGTGAAAAGGGGAATTTGACCTCTCTAACTCCTGGTTTCTTACTCTGTGGAACTGAGATAGCCACACCTATCTCCGGAATGAGACGCTAATCAAATGATAGATGTGAAAGGGCTTAAAGCTCAATTCAAATGTAGCTTTCATTAACAACTTAGTACTTTTACATGAAAGCAAACAAATACTTTACAAGGTATACAAAGTTATACTTAAGGGTGTGGATGGCAATGTCTCAAATGCTCAGTTTGGTTTCACCCTTGTCACAGCATTATTTTAAAGCTCTTGGTTCTGCCTGTTAAAGGGAATTTTCCTGACAATCTTCTGTTTGTCAATCAAGGTGTCACACCCATTCAGTTTTACAGAACAAAGCTTCTAATTGACTGTCAGTGAGTCAGTTTCACACCCTTTCTTACTATAGGCAAGAAAGCTAATTTACAGAAAGCAAGTTTCCCAGATAAGCTATTGCCGTCTTTCTTTCTTTCCTTATCTTTGGCAATTTCTCTGGCTCAGGCATTGAAGACGGAAATGCTTGTCTCTTGTAAGAGGATCATTTTCAGCAATTCGTAGCAGAGGATATGAAAGTGTTTAGCACAGGACTGAGGATACTGAAAATATGATTGAGTCATAAACTGACCAACTGTTTACTTTTCTTAACAGTTTAAAAGAAGCTGAAAATGCCAAGCGAGAGGGTGAAACTAGAATTCGACGAAATGCTGAAAAGGTAAAATGACTCACCAACGCAATTTTGTTCTTGTGGCCATATTTATTAACAAATGTATGCCTAAACCTTTGAGTAATGAAATAAAGTCATTGTCTTTTATTATTATATAGATATTTTTCTTAATATCAAAATTCCCCAAATTGACTATTCCTAGAATATTAATCATTAGATTCAGATTTAAAACAGCATTTCCTACCTAAGGCCCAAAATGTGCAGTTTCCACCTGTGTTTCTCCAGTCCTCTAGCCCCCAAAAGAAGATATAAGATAGAAAGTTTGTATAAACCAAATTCTGCTTAATTTCTAGCAGCCTTCTTTTTGGTTTAGTGTAAACCCATTTTACTCTGTATAAATTGTTTAAAATTGGCAATGAAATATAAATTAAACAGGAATAATTTTAAAATAGTGAGAGTGTTTTAAACACTATATCCACTAGTGCATTTTATGTGCAATTAAATTGACACAAGTTGAAGTTATTCACTTTGCCATTGTGATTATTCTGTTCAGAAAAACCTGCATTTATAAAGGTCTTGATTCTGCTTTAAAAAAAAAAAAAGACAAATTTTTAGAATGTGTTTTAAAAAAATCCTTAAAATTATTTTTTTGAAATTACTTGATAATTTAATTATTCAATCTAGTATAAAAAGTTTTGAATAAGCACTTTAGGTAATGCAGCCTGGATTTCTTAAATCACCTACTTTCAATGAGAGGGATAGCAGTTTCTTTGCTAAATGGCTAACCTTTTGTTGAGAAGTCAGAACGCCTGAGTTTTAGCCTTGGTTTTGCCATGCTCTGGGTGTGGGAGACTAAGTAAATAATCATCCTGGGCCTTAATTTTCTTGTCAGCAAAGTAAAGAGGTTGGATAATGACCTGAATTTTACCTTCCTGTTGGACTGTGATTCTACATCCTGCACACTTTTGTACTAATACAAGTGCACTCCTTTTTGCAGATCGTAGGGCTTATGTTTTCCTAAAGGAAGAAACAAGCCCACCTTTTGGTAGTCAAGAGCTAGCCCTTCAGTTCGTAATGCTTATTTAATGAAGCAAAGCTCTCAACCTAAATAGGGTATTGAAGGTTTACATTTAGGAAAACTAAGTATTCAGAACCATCTACAGTTTATGCAACACTTGCCAAGGATTGAAAAGGAATTCTTTTGTGGTGGTTGTTAAATTTCAGTCTAAAACTTTGGGTCATCCTGTGATAGTTAACATTTTATTACTTC
Source organism: Homo sapiens (assembly GCF_000001405.40). Lineage (NCBI taxonomy): Eukaryota > Metazoa > Chordata > Mammalia > Primates > Hominidae > Homo > Homo sapiens. Next base: position 148,092,451 of record NC_000005.10, read on the forward strand.
ATAAACACAGAGAGTTATTTTCCTTTGTTTTTCATTAGGTCTCTGTACTTCCCTCTTCCTCTCTGTGGCTAGGGTCATTGTTTTGGTGGGGTCACCGGGCATGATGGTGTGAATAGGACTGCTTTATTGTGATGGCTCAATATGTTCCCTATAATTAACTTGTCACTAGGTTGCAAACACAGTGTTTCTTCAGAATCTCCTTGGCTGAATCACAACTTATAAACTGAAATTATCATTGTTTCTTTTACGAGAATCATTGAGCATTAATTTTTTATACCATGCTATGATTATCAGGTGACTGTCTTCTGCTTCTCTATTTCTAGGTTGTTACAACCATGAGGTTTGGAGCACATCCATTGCTCCTCCAAAAATAAATATCTTCTTAATAGGAAGCAGTTAGGATTCTCTGTTAAAGCATCCCAATGGAATTTGAATTATTTTTTAAAAAACCAAAGAATGCTAGATCTAGAAAAGGTCCTACAGAGCATCTGTTCCAAAAACCTCATTGTAGAAGTAGTAACTGTGGTTCCAAAGGAGAAGGGACTTTGCTGTGGTCTCCCATTTGGGTGAGAGGGACAATCTAGTGGCCCAGGTCATTTGACTCCTAGCCATGCTCTTTATGCCCATGTTTTCTTGCCTGAAATTGAATGACGAAGGTCACACAGTTGAAAAGAAAGTTATAGACCAGGATTTTTTGTAGGTCATATTATAGTACTATATCTCACCACAAAATGTTTAATGACATAGAGATCCCCAAGCCTAGAGTAGCTTAGAGTATCATTTTTTTGGTAAAGTTTAGCCCTCCTCACATAGTAGAGTTTTCAAAACACAGAAAGTAGCCTGAAAGTATTGAACCAAAGCATCAGGAAATCTGAAAACAAATCTTTCTTGGATTTTTTTTGGTGGGGGGAAGTCACTCCTTTTTAGCTTTTCTAAATGAGTATCAGTCTTGATGATCTATCTGTCTAAGGTGAGGGTGAAAGGAAATTAGATCTACTCTCTCTCTACAATGTCAGAAATTATTATGGATAAAGAAGGCAGAATACACAAAAATTATCCACAGATCCATAGAGAAAATCAACTAAAGTAAGCATAACACTGTTGGATAACATCTTGTTTCTTTATACTTACAAACTTAGCTGGATTATTCTTGACTTGATCCATATTAAGTCACTTTTAGACATCTCATCTTCTCACAACTTTTTTTTCTTTTTTTTTTTGTGATTTGGCTGCTGCATTTTGTTGTGTTTGTGCTGGAACCTCATGAAAGATATCCCCTGACCCCTATTGATCTGAAAGTTAAAAAGAAATACCTAGTTTTAATCCAAGAAAACTCTTGGTCAGCCTTATTTTTTCCGAGGCTGTTTTTTATCTTTTAATAAACCTACCACATAACAGATACAAGTGCCAAGTAGTTGACAATATAATTACTGTTTCTTAGTAATCCTCATTAATATGTTGTATGTATTTGCCAACTTCTAGACCTGATGTTTTGTGGTAATAAATCTATTATAAAGTTTCCAGATTAAAACGTAGAAAAATGGTAAATAAAATTACTTGTTGGCTGGATGTGTTGGTTCATGCCTATAATTTCAACACTTTGGGAGGCCAAGGCAGGAAGATTACTTGAGCCAAGGAATTCAAGACCAGCCCGGGCAACATGATGAGATCCAGTCTCTACCAAAAAGGAAAAAATTTAGCCGGGTGTGGTGGTGCATGTCTGTAGTCCCATTTAGTTAGGAAGCTGAGGTGGAAGGATCTCTGAGCCTAGAGGTTAGAGGCTTCACTGAGCTATGATCATTCCCCTGCAATCCACCCTGCGCAATGCAGCAAAATCCTGTCTCAAAAAATAAAATATCCTGAAATGAAATGAAGTAAAATAAATATAATTGTCTTTTCAAAGGATTTTTGCAAGGAATATGAAAAACAAGTGAGAAATGGAAGGCTTTTTTGTACACGGGAGAGTGATCCAGTCCGTGGCCCTGACGGCAGGATGCATGGCAACAAATGTGCCCTGTGTGCTGAAATTTTGTGAGTATAGAAGTGGTTTTTTCAGAGTGATTCAAAGGGTGGGAGTGGAGATTGATTGGATTGATGAGTAAAAATAACTTTGAAAGGAAGCTTTGTTGTTGAGAACCATCTGAGCAGTTTTATGCCCTCCACAAATCATAATGCCACCTAGTGAGCAGGCACTACTGATGTTTGTCTATTTCTGAAGAGAAATGGATTCCATTTTCCAGTTGAAATATTGACTTACAGCATAGCACACTTCTTAACATTCCCCTGTGACTGTGACCTATGTGAAACTGTTTGTGAACTAATTCTAGTATAGAATGGGGGTAAAAGCAGGTACCACGACTTCGATTGTTTTTCTTCAGTAATTATCCCATGGTAACAGTGTTGATGCAACACTCTCAGATACTTCAGGTTTATACATTAATTGGATTACTCTTATCTTTTTATCTGGGACATATGACCTTGGGAGAAGGGCAAATCTCACAACATACAAATTATCACATTTATGAAAATGTCTTAGATGACATCTCATGACACTTTCGGCTTCTCTAGCTCTACAAGCCCTTTCCTGTGTCCTGTCCTATGCCAGTTCCTCCCGGTCTTGGCCAGATGATGTCCCCTCCTCTTGTAGATTACATTTCAGATTATCTTTCCTTGGACAAGAACTCCTAAAGTCCTTCCCTAATTGAAATTAAATTCTCATAATCCTTAGTAATTGTCTTTTCTAACCACCATCACAGTTGGCAATTATACAATTATTTCTCCAAGTTTTTGTTGACTTTCAGTCTTTTCTACCAGCCTCAAGAACTACAAGAGGGCAGGGTATGTGTTTGTATTATATACTCCTGCATGCCCAGGGCCCAGCCAACACTTGCCCAAAAAACCATAATTACTCACTAAATGAATGAATGAAGATATGAATGAAGATCTCCCACTCTCAAGAAGCTTAAGTTCAGTAGCAGAAATAAGCCATGGACATGTGCACATATTTATATATTGCAAAATAGAATAAAAACTGCTGTATAAGAGAAGACTATTCGATACAAAAACACAGCAATAGACATAGCGCTCATTTGTATTTGGGAACTGGAATGTCTTCTTCAAAAAGGTAGAATTTAAGCTGCAGAGTTTTAAATTTCTTTTAAGAAAGGGAGATGAGAAAAAAGATCATTTTAGTGGAAGTAAATGGTATAAAGGTGAAATTAAAGGGTCTTTTTGGGGATTTGAGGTGTTTTTAAAGTGTTTGTACTAAAACTCAGGACAACTTAGATATTTTTCCATCTATACCTAATGACTGTTTTGTAACATGAAGATCGGAAGCATCTCTACTCATTTATTTTACTTTTTCCAGCAAGCAGCGTTTTTCAGAGGAAAACAGTAAAACAGATCAAAATTTGGGAAAAGCTGAAGAAAAAACTAAAGTTAAAAGAGAAATTGTGGTGAGAATCAGTTTGATCAATCTAGTTACAACTTGTGTGTGTGTGGGGGGGTGCGTGTGTGAGAGAGTGCATATTACATAGTATGCACTTTCAATATTGTTTAATATTTTCCACACTACTAGTAGGTTTGCTGGAAACTAATTTCTAGTTATTATTTTGTGAAACTTAGATTAAAAAATTATGGCATTACAATTTCTAGCTGTATATGGAGGCAATTAATCAAGTCACATTAATAATGTAGTTTTGCACTCCTAAATGAAGGTGAAATATCAAAACATTGTCTGAATTCAAAGTGTGATATGTAGTCTTCGATGTGTGGTAGCTATTGTGAAGGTATTTACTTCAAAAACAATATCAATGTTGAATTTTAATGTGCTTCCTTTTAAATTATACTGTTCTCTGCTTTCTAAGTATCTTTTAACTAGTCACCTGTCTGTTTTTCTACTGCTACCCTCTTAGCTCAGACACTTAATAGTTTTCTTTTGCATTGACGTATTGGCATTGTACCTGGTTTGTACACTGTTGGTCTCCATCTTTCTCAATCTTCAAGATTTAATTCATCCTCCATGTTGTTTTCATATGTCATAGAATATGAGAACAAAAACTATGGTTCCACGAGTCAGCGATGCTATAAAATTCCAATGTTTGAAGATATTCTAGAGTATATTCAGACCATTTCACTTCTTATAGAAACCCTAACTTATTTCTTACAGACAGTTTTCCAGACTTCTATGATGTGCAGTCAACAGTTCTCCTAAGTAAGCCACTCCATCAGGCCACCCTCTGCCAGTATAACTCCATTTTCTTTCTTTCTTTCTTTTTTTCTTTTTCTTTTTCTTTTCTTTTCTTTTTTTTTTTAAGACAATTTCTTTCTTTCTTTTTTTTCTCTGTCACCCAGGCTGGAGTGTAGTGGTGGGATCATGGCTCACTGCAGCCTTGACTTCCCACTCTCAAGCTATCCTCACACCTCAGCTTTCCAAAGTGCTAAGATTACAGGCATGAGCCACTACACATAGCTTAAGCCTCATTTTGAACTGCTTTCTTCCCCTCAGTCCTAGGTTACCAAGTCCTTTTAATTTTGATATTCAAATATCTGTCAACTACTATTTTATCATTTATTTCCAATTTTTCTCCTTCCTTCCCTTTCTTCCTTTCCTTTCTCCTTTTTCTTTTTCTTCTCTCTATTCTTTTTTCTCTTTTCCTCCCTCTCTTTCTCTCTTTTTTAATAATATAATTACTGTTCTAACTTCAGTCCCTAGTTAATCAAATCCTCCACACATCTGGTTGATAACCTTTGTAAAACAAAGATTTGATTTTGCCATTTTCTGCTATAAACATTTATAATTTTCCCATTGCCTAAAAGTAATATCCAAATTCCTTTCAAAGTTTAGTGGTCTTTGATTTTCAAGGTCTCCTTTTGACCATTTCCCAAATATTATTCTCTTTATCCAACTAATTATTTAGCCACTATATTCATAAATATGTTAGATTACCTCAAAATAGCATGTTCTTTCACACCCCTGTGTGTTTGTCCATTTAATTCCTCTTGGATGGCCTTTTTCCACATTATGTTCCTGAATATATTCTCAAGATAGAACTTAGACATAAGTTCCCTGAACTTCCATGAATTATTCTTTTCATTGTACTTGTACACACTTAATTCAGACTAGTGTTATATTTCTTAGCTTTTTATATTGCAATTACTTATCTTTTCCATTTGACTGATAAAGAACATAAATATAAATAAATCATATTTCTATTTATATATTCCTAACTTAAGCATTCGTTGAAAATGTAAATGGATATTACAAGGAGAGAAATATCACAATTTTTGGATGGTCCTAAATCTTAAAAGTTTTATTTTTCATCCTTAATTTCTCTTTTTTCTTTGTAAAATAACATTTAACATTCATACATAGAAAACAGAACTATATCTCAACTTTTTCTTATTCATTATTCAGAAACTCTGCAGTCAATATCAAAATCAGGCAAAGAATGGAATACTTTTCTGTACCAGAGAAAATGACCCTATTCGTGGTCCAGATGGGAAAATGCATGGCAACTTGTGTTCCATGTGTCAAGCCTACTTGTGAGTATAGAGTTTTAGAATGTCAAAGAAAGAAGGGATCTTGCAGGTAATTTAATAGAAACAGCTTCTTTCATAGATGGGGAGACTGTGGCTCAAGACAGGGAAGTGAGTTGAAAACATTACATGGAAAATATCAGTGATAGAGCTGGGAGTAAGTACCTAGAGTTATTTGTTTTAAGACGCCTTGTTCCTCTGACACTCCCTCTTTTAGCACTGGAATGTCCTGACAAACATGAACTTGTACAAATAGTAGATGCCCCCTTACTCCTGAAACTTCACACGTTAGCCTGTTTTAGCAATTTATAGGTATCTCATCTTCCATGGGAGTTAAGAGTCCAAAGGTGATGCTTAATGTAGAAATGGAATAAAGTCAAAATTCCCATGAAACAACACTAAACTCCTATAAAATTACAATGGGTATTATTTTATGTAATGCAATATTTCTCAATAAGTTAGAATGGACAGTTTTCTTTCAAGATTTACGATAGCTCTTTATTTGGCTGAGCTCAAATTAAGTATTTAACTTATATTTAGAATCTATGGCTTTCTTTGTTTTGATTGACAACTACATATGGTTGAAATATCATCAGTTAACTGTACATACTGTGCAATTCCATTGTACAAAGCAAATTTAGGCTTATTTGTTTTATCAGTATATGGAAATTATTGTGGTTTTTTTTTTCACATCTTGTCCTTTAGATGAAACAGCTATGAGTAAGCAAAATATTTAAGTTTAAAGCAAAGCTAGGGTACACATGGTGTGATAGATAGACCATGGTCTTGAGGGAGGAGACCTTGGTTGTAGTCATATCCTGAGATGTAGCAAAGACCCCCTCTACCTCTCATCTTCTCTGATTAACAAGGGGATGAGTAGATGTGCTTTGTTAAGGCCACTTTCAGCCTTCAGGTTATGCCACCATGATTTTAGTTTTGGTGCCTCTGTTATGAACATTGATCATGCTCCTTTTCTTACTATGGGCAAGAAAACTAATTTACAGAAAGCAAGTATCCCAGATCCACTATTGCCGTCTTTCTTTCAACATTAAACAGACATTATGAAGAAATCATAGCACCATACTATCCTGGAGGATATTTTGTTGCTTCTCATTGATATGCAGTGATAAAGGGACAAAATTGTTCCACTCTAAGGAGGGAGAACAGTTAACAGTGCAAGGATGTGGAGAAATCATGGCATGTGTTTGTTCCTAATGGATCTGCTTCTTTTTCCCTCTTATTCAGCCAAGCAGAAAATGAAGAAAAGAAAAAGGCTGAAGCACGAGCTAGAAACAAAAGAGAATCTGGAAAAGCAACCTCATATGCAGTGAGTGGAATCCATCCAATAAATCCTATTTGGTGCTATAATTTGAACAAATTTTAAGAGCCTAAAGGGTGAGATTTTGCCCTGCAGAAATCCCCAGAATATCTTAACTCTTCAATCTGGGGATGGTATTGAGATGAATTATATGGGAAGATTGATCCATTCTTGCTGATTAAAAACTAACTCTGCAAAAAAAAAAAAAAAAAATTGTTTAAAAGCTGAAAAACTGAGTTCTACTTCTAGTTTTATCACTTATAGACTGTTAGCTTTTGCTAACTACTTTCCAGAGAAATTCTACATGTATGCTTTCTACATATGAGTTTCTGATATTTCACATCTAATTTGAGATAAAAAATACCTTGATTCCCCCACCAACGCATGATTTTTATCCCTGAAATATTACAATATTAGTTTCCAAAGCCTTAGCTCAGTTATCATCACCAATGGTTTTGATGATAAAAGTCTCCTAATTTTCACTCTGGATTTTATCCTTTCCCTTGCCCAACCAGTCTCCCTAACATAGTTGGAGTAATGTTTCAAAATGTAAATAAGATCATAATATTGCTCTTAAAACCCACAAGCAGCTCATCATCATATACAGGATATGCTTTAATCCTGTTATCTCTCCTCTTATTTGTATCCTTATCTCCATTCAGAAAATCATGCTCTGCTATGTGCCATGTCTTTTCCTACCTGTGTTTTTCAGCTAGTTTTATTTTCATAAACCTGTGTGCGTATTTCCCAATTCACTTTTTTTTGCCCAGTCAAATCCTATTTACACTTCCACAGTCTCACCTAAATTGTTCTTGCTCCCTGACACCTTCCCTGGTTTCCTTTGAGTTCTCAGATTTTATTGTACCCTGTATGTTCGTACCTATTTTATTCTGTTTAGATTATAGTGGAATTTGCTTATATATTGCTTGTATTATATGGGGACATTGTGCTATGTTTTATTTTTTCCTATCTCTTGGCATATGATGTTTTTCTTGTTGTCAAATTGAATTTTACATTTGAGAAAAACACAATTAAAATCCTCAGCTCAAAGAGATGTAACATTAGTTTCTGCCAATGTAGATGTTTGAACCTTCTGCTTTAAGTAGAAATGAAATATATGGCCAACTTACTTCTTCTATCTCGGCAGGAGCTTTGCAGTGAATATCGAAAGCTTGTGAGGAACGGAAAACTTGCTTGCACCAGAGAGAACGATCCTATCCAGGGCCCAGATGGGAAAGTGCATGGCAACACCTGCTCCATGTGTGAGGTCTTCTTGTGAGTAGCCCTGCAGCTGGGAACATGGAGGAATGATTTTGTTCTTTCTATTTCATTTCCATGTTCAATTATGGGAGGGCCACTTCAACATAAAAATGAAAGAATTAAGGCATATTTAGAGAAACTGTCTGATTGGAGACATGTATTTGAAAATCCATGTCCTTTGAAGATTGTCAAGACTTCACACTTAAGCAAGGAGAAAGTCATAATCTTGAAATATTCAAGTAGTTTTGTCTTTTAAGTGTGGAAACAGGACAAGTTCTAGCTTATCTCCGTGAATAAAAGTGAGGCCAGTGGGCCAAAGAATGAAAGGTCTGGAAGACAGGTTCCAAGTGGATGCCAGGAAGAACTTCCTAACAGTTTGCGGATTTCAAAGATGGATGATTTACCATGGAATTCCAAGGATGATATCAGTACAGACTTTACAGGCAGATTAAAGCAAAGGCTTGGGAGTCATTAGAGATACAGTAATGAGCATTGGAAATTTAGAAAACCACCTCTGGACTAGGGTTTAAATCCCAAGTCTGTACTTATTATTTCTATATCTTCAGGTGAGTTATGCATTCCGTCTGTCAGTTTATTTGTATGTTGGGGTTATAATAATAGTTTTGTAATGCAATTGTGAGGATTTCACAGTGTAAGCACAGGGTTAGGCACATCACATTCAAAGAATTTAATCGTTGTTAAGTGTAAAATTAAATTATATTTGAGATCACTTCTAATGTGGCGATTCTATGATTTTTACTTATCTCTTCTTAACCATCCTTTTTTAGCCAAGCAGAAGAAGAAGAAAAGAAAAAGAAGGAAGGTAAATCAAGAAACAAAAGACAATCTAAGAGTACAGCTTCCTTTGAGGTGAGTTTATATCCTCCAGCAACTCAGAGGGATATGGCCCTGAGGATCCACAGATCATGTTCAGGGAACACGTGCATTCCTTAAAACTGTATGAAACAATTGTACAGTTTGTGTTTTCATATGTGTTTTCATGTGTGCAGTTATACATGTGCATATGTGACTATTTCTTGGTTGTTGGGTTCATTGTTTTTATCACTTAAAAAATCCATGCCTTCAAAGTTAATCATTCTAAAATAAGCCAATTGCTAATCCTCGTTTAAGAAAAAAAGTACAAGCTTTAGCTATTTTTGCAATCTGATTCAGCCTATGTTCAACACTTTCAACTTCCTGCCTCAATTTCACAGGAGTTGTGTAGTGAATACCGCAAATCCAGGAAAAACGGACGGCTTTTTTGCACCAGAGAGAATGACCCCATCCAGGGCCCAGATGGAAAAATGCATGGCAACACCTGCTCCATGTGTGAGGCCTTCTTGTGAGTAGAGCAGTAGCCCCATAGCGTCTGAGGATTGAGCAGTGGGAATTTCCATGGGAAGTTTTCAAACCATTGTGAATAATGCATTTTCTTCTTCAGTGTAGCATTCAGTCTTGGGTGTCATATTTAAATGGACTAAAAACAAACAACAGCAACAATAAAACAAGTGGAGGGCTTTCTATTATGATATAAAGAGATGCAGAATAAGCCAGACACAGAAAAACATATAATGTGTGATGTCTCTTATATGTGGGATCTAAAAAAAGCTAACTCATAGTAGAGAGTAGGATGGTGCTTACAAGAGAATGGGAGTAGGGAAGGGTGAGGGTTGGGAATGAGGAAATGTTAATCAAAGGGTGCAAAGTTTTAGTTAAGCAGGAGGAATAAGTTTATGGGATGTATTGGACAGCATGGTGACTACAGTTAATAATAATGTATCATATATTTCAAAAACATTAAAAAAGTAAATCGTAAATGTCCTTACACCTTCCCAAAAAAGATAAGTATCATGAGACAACTATGTAAATTGCTTGATTTAATCATCACAATGTATACATATACCAAACATCACACTGAATTCAATTAATATGTACAATTATTATATGTCAAGTAAGAACACAATTTAAAAAAGTGAGGTGCAGAATAATTTCTTCTATGACATTTAAAAAGTAACCTAGAATCATTCACCCAGAGAAGAGAATACTTCATGATAATTATACTAATTGCTTTTAGTTTTATGAAAACATTATCAGATGAAATAGGAAATACATATGATTACACATAAAATATTACAATGCATGGAAAATTTATGGGATTTTTTTGTTCACTATCTTTCTTCCTACTTATTCTATGTGATTTTAAGGAATATAATTAAAATGGAAAAGAGCTATAGGAAGAAAGATTTGGGCTCATGATGAAGATTAACTTTGTAATAAAGCAGAAAAAGACAAGAATGGAGATTTTATTATGTAGGAGTTGGGAGCCTATTGATAGGGTGCCTAAAATAGGTCTTTAGGATGAATGTCATGGTATGGCCGGCCCTTCAAAAACGTGACTAGGCTTTTCTTAAACTCTTGATTTTTGACTAAAAAAACCCCCATTTTATTTCCCATGTGCCAAGAATCTTAGAAAGGACTTAATTTATTTAGTCTTCCCATATAGAAAGCAATATAATCCAGCATATTTTCCCATAGCATTTGAGGCTTGGAGCACTAAAAATCTATTAGAAGGAAAGTTGAGATCATGACCATATAATTATCACAACAAACGTTTGTTGAACGCATATAATTATGTGACACTTGCTCAGAGATTTGTTGCCTAATCTCATTTCATCTTCACAACAACCATATGAAATAGATGAAACCAGATAAAAAGCAAGAACAAAAAACAAAACTAAGGCCCAGAACAGTTGAGAATGACGGAAAAGTCAGGACAGGATATGGGACTTACAGATGAAGGAAAAGTTAATGTATTTCTTGTTGTGGGGTATAATCACTTAGTGAAGTCTTTCAGCCTGTTTTTTGTTCTCCCTTACATTAATTTTTCAGTAGCAAGAAACTAATTCTGCCACTTAGTGGTCATCTTTGCTGCCTCCTCTGACAATTTTCCATTGGGGAAAGAAAATGCTGCTTAAATGTTTTAGTCAACTTAGACTCGTGATAAAGGTTAGATCGGTTTTCATATAAAGATGTATGAACAATCCCATAATTTTAGATCTATTTTAGTCAGTTTATTTCATAAGTATATAAATTCTTTATTGAAAAGAAATAACCTTTATCACCTCATGTTTTATAGATATGTTAACAAAGGTGATTGATTTTTTTTGAGAATTATTCTACCCTCCATAGTTAGTTTTTGCACACTTTCATACCATGTGAAAACAGTCTTTTCAATTTTTAAAAAAGTTTTAGTTTGATCTATGTGCAAGTATTTTGTTGATTGGGACACATTAAAACATTTTCACAAATTATGTAATTTTTTTCTACATTTTGAACTATTTGTGTTATATATCCAATTATGCTGTAGATCCAATCCACCAAGCTCAATTTGCAACACTGTTAGTTATCCAAAATGTAACAGCTATCACTTTCACTTCATTTCCATCATATGCCTAGTTTTGGAAGGAAAGTTTCCTTTCAATAATGACAATAATGATTATGTCAATCTCTTATAACAATTATATCAATTATTTTATTTTGTACCAGGTACTGTTCTAATTGCTTTACATGTAGCAACTCATTTAATGCTCTTAACATTCCAATAAGAAAGGTACTTTTATTACCTCTTCTATTCCTCCTAAACACACACTTAAAGATGAGGAAGGCACAGAGAGGTTAAGGTACTTCTTGTCTTCCTTGCAGAATTTGGCTCCAGAGTCTTTCCTCTTAACCACCATGCTATACTGCCTCTCAGAAGATAAATATTACCTCTCCATAAAGAGTAATCACACATGCAAAAGAATCAGCAAATAAGAAAGTACTATTGCAGTACATATACTGGGAAGTTAAACAGGTTTACTCCCTAATTCAGGGGCTTTCTCTTGCACACCATTCTCTTGAGGTAGAGTGAATCATAATTGTTTATTGTCTAATAAAAGTATAAACTACTATGGGTGGATATTTGGCAGTGTTTGAGAATAGTCAAAACAATAAATGATCAAGCTATGAAAGTTAAGGATCTAGTCTACTATATTAAGATCCATTTCTGGCCAGGCACGGTGGCTCACACCTGTAATCCCAGCACTTTTGGAGGCTGAAGCGGGTGGATCATGAGGTCAGGAGTTCGAGACCAGCCTGGCCAGCATGGTGAAACCCCGTCTCTACTAAAAATACAGAAAACTTAGCCGAGTGTGGTGGCATGTGCCTGTAATCCTAGCTACTTGGGAGGCTGAGGCAGGAGAATTGCTTGAACCCGGGAGGTGGAGGTTGCAGTGAGCCGAGATCGCGCCACTGCACTCCAGCCTGGGTGACAGAGAGAGACTCCGTCTCAAAAAAGAAAAAAAAAAATCCATTTCTTCTCTCTTTTTCTTTTCGGTTTCTTAAAGTCAACAAGAAGAAAGAGCAAGAGCAAAGGCTAAAAGAGAAGCTGCAAAGGTAATATTCTCAGGAATGCTGATGCTGTGCCCTGACATTTTTCATTTCTTTATAATTCTTTACTTATCCTATTAGAATAAATGTTTTCTGTTTAATTTTCATGCCTGAAATAAATGAAGAACATTTTTAACCTGAACAAAAAGGGTCCTGATAAGAAGTGTCCAGAGTACCAATTTTATTTCACAATTATTCAAATTTTGAGGTTTATTTCATAAAAAGTGGAATGTTAACTTTTTGTAAGGAATTTTCCCCATATTTGGCTTTTATTAGATTTCTGTTGTTAGAGTATTAACTTATGCCATTTACTAATTTCAATTTACATTATTCATATCTCTGTTATTTCAAATAGAGAGTATAAGATCTCAATCATTCCAATTTACAAAACGAAAGCACATATATTATCATATTTGAGCTTTGTCACCACCCAGCTATGGAGCAAGTGGTGGTTTTCTTGCACCCAATTAAGATTATTAAGTTGGGCCTCTGACTTTCCAGTTATTTTTATTCCACTCTCCATGCTTTTATAATTTTATACATAGCAGAGTCAAATTTATCTGTGTGGAGATGTTGAATTATTCTCATATAATAGCTACATACAAGATTTATCTTTCTTTCTTTTTTTCTGTTTTTTTTGAGATGGAGTCTCGCTCTGTTGCCCAGGCTAGAGTGCAGTGGCGCAGATCTGGGCTCACTGTAACCTCTGCCGCCCGGGTTCAAGTGATTCTCCTGCCTCAGCCTCTCTAATAGCTGGGATTACAGGCACGTGCCACAATGCCCAGCTAATTTTTTTTTTTTTTTTTTTTAGTAGAAATGGGGTTTCACCATGTTGACCAGGCTGGTCTCAAACTCCTGACCTCAAGTGATTCACTCACCTTGGCCTCCCAAAGTCCTGGGATTACAGGTGTGAGCCACTGCACCCGGCCTGTTTATTCTATTTCTTAACAATAGCCACAACAGTACAAACCTCATCATTACTTGGGGAAAAGTTGACACAGTTTAAAATTTGCCTTCTTACTGACTCTTTTTTTTTTAAATAAGTGTTTCTACTAGGTGAAACTATCTTTTCATTGATCATTTAGAATTGAAAATGTGTTTTCATCCATTATGTTTGATCAGCTGCCAAATCCTCTTAGATATTTCCAGTGGTATTAACATATTCCTCCTTCTCTCCACTCCTATTCTTACCCTCTTGCTTCAAATCCACATCTCCCATTCCTGGTTTTTAATTTTTTTAAATCAATTTACTCCCAGAAATATGTTAGTTTCTCCAGGGATCAGACTTATTCTCTTCTCTATGTATAAAGATATGTCTTTTTAAATTTATTTATTTATTTATTTTTGAGTCAGGTCTTACTTTGTTGCCCAGGCTGTAGTGTAGTGGTGCGATCAAAGCTCACTACAACTTCGAACTCCTGGGCTCAAGTGATCCTCCCACCTAAGCCTCCCAAGTAGCTGGGACTACAGGCACACACCACCATGCCTGGCAATTTATTTTATTTTTTTATTTTGAATTTTTCTGTAGACACAGAGTTTTGCTATTGTGTCCAGGCTTGTCTTGAACTCCTGGGCTCAAGCACTCTTGCAGTGGCCTCCTAAAGTGTTGGAATTACAGGTGTGAGCCACCATACTTGGACAAAATATATATTTATTTCTTAGGTTAAGCATGTTTTTTCTCTTCTTTCTCAGACCCCTAAAGACAAATCACAGGTAAGCAATATTCTCATTTCCTCCAGGAAGGCTTCTCATCTAAGCCTGCCTATGGAATCTTCCCACCTCTGATCTTTCCTAGCTTTTACAGACCATGCTATGCAACACAACACACACGTATGTTTTTGATGATAAATATTTTCAGATCTGCTATAATGATGGGACAATTCTGATTGATGACGGAAGCTTTGTAAATACTTACTGATTTACTACTATGTGTTATCACTTTTGTTTTTACTTTTTACTCTACGTTACATATTCCTCATAATAGGAAAAGATGCAGGAAGGATAGAAAACTACTCTGAGAAAATATTTTCTTCATTTCCCAGGAAATCTGCAGTGAATTTCGGGACCAAGTGAGGAATGGAACACTTATATGCACCAGGGAGCATAATCCTGTCCGTGGCCCAGATGGCAAAATGCATGGAAACAAGTGTGCCATGTGTGCCAGTGTGTTGTGAGTGTCCACCCCATCTCTCCCACTGAATTTCTTCATCCATGATCGCCCCTGAGTCTCAGATCCTTCATGCATGTGTAGAGTATAGACCGTGAGTTATATATTAGAAAGGTTTACAAGCAGATGGATAAGACATTAAGTAATATTGAATCATATAGTGACAATACTATTATTTATTCAATTATCCTTCTATTTTCCAATTAAGTCAAGGGAAAAAGCTCAATTTAATGGTTTTTTTTTAACACTTGATAATCTTCATTTGTGAAAAAGAGAGAGCAGAAATTTCATGATTTGGATTGGATGATCTTTTTGATGTCTTTCCCACTCCTGACATTTTATGATTTGTTAGTCTATTCAGATAGGAGCTAAGGAGAAGCCAGCTGGATGGAGGTCTGTGGGGTCAGTACATAAAGACTATTAAAATAGCCTGAACAATAAATGGAATAGGAAGGATTGTTATTTATCCTTTCAAGGACATTACTATATAATGCAAACATTCATAAGTGGTTTAGTGTGGAGTAAAACCTTTAGGAAACAGGCTCATACCCTAAATGTTTACTAAAATGTCTCCTTGTTAAGCCAGGTTCATGGCCTTCTAAGGTCTTTGTTTTGCTGAGTGGTGTAGGTAAGCCTGTGACTACAGCTCCATCGTGTGGGACAATATAGAGGTTAATTATTATCACTTCTAATTCTCCTTTTTAGGCTCTTAATCTGCTCCTGAACTTAACCCTAAAATAAATGCCGAGAAAAACGCTTATTTAAATAATACCTGCTGAGGTGCAAAGTTAATGTCTCCTAACTTTCACATGTCTTGATCCAACCTTAAGTGGATGCATACAATTCCCTAAAAGGAGAGGTTGACAGAGTAGAGCACTAGAAGAAAAGTGGCCTGAAATTCAAGAAGCCAGGGTTTTTCTCTCACCCGTTCAATTTGCTGGTGTTGTGGTAATGACTAAATGTAGTAAATGCTAAGGATTTTCCAGCATTAACATGCTATATGTCAGTAGAAAATGGCAAGAATACCAGAATATTAGGCTTGTGTTCAACCCCCAAAGATTAGCAGTTGAATCTAACTGGACTTAAATCACTACTGCAATCTAAACCTTGAATTTCAACTTCAATATTAGCTCCATTGAAATAATATTTAAAATTTTTAGTTTAAAGTAAAACATGGTTTATTATGATTTTGAGCCCATCATCTGACTTAGCATCACCCTTTGCCTTTATCACGGATATGGTAGTTACTTGGAGAGGAAAGGTTTAAGCAGTGAAATAAAATCAAGACAATTGTAGCTTTATTCGGAATGTTAATTAAAATTAGCGACGTACAAAAAATAAGATCACCTGAGGGCCACAGACTGATAAAGATGCATGCTTGTTTTGTAATTATTCTTCTTTAGAGGGGGAATGTAAACAGCTAAGTTTATCTGTACTATTGGTTAAAGCAAAAGCACCTCTCAGACTAGATAAATTTGTATTGAAGACTGAATCTGACTGTTGGTTTGGAAGATCCTCATTCCTTTTAAAAATGTACTACCAAAAAGAGTAGGGAATCATATTCAGCCTATATCTTCTTTTTCTATTACAGCAAACTTGAAGAAGAAGAGAAGAAAAATGATAAAGAAGAAAAAGGGAAAGTCGAGGCTGAAAAAGTTAAGAGAGAAGCAGTTCAGGTAGTTGTTTGAGATCATCAGAGCCACATAAATATTCAACGATCACTCTCCCTAGGGAGGGCTCCTATTCCCTCCTCCTCATTCCAGTATTCTTAGTTTCTTTGCAAACTGGGAAAATGTGTTTGGATCCCCATATACAAGAGTACTCCCCTTTCCTTATTCAATTTATTCACATTAAATCTATTAATTGCTCGTGCAGGAGAGAGATCAATCACCATTTTCTCCCCTGATTGTGTCAATTATATTACCTAAGAAAGAAGTATATATAGATTGTTATCTTACTGTCTGAATGCAGACTAATAGAGACAGATGTTCAGATTTTTCTCAAGTACATTTTTGAATATGAATATTTACCTTAAAAACAGCAACAACTAGGGATCCCACTTAATTATCTGTGAGATTTTGAGGAGATAAAAGCATCTCTGAGTCTTGAGTTTGCATTCTTTAACATCTCACATGATGGTGATAACAATGATAATTGTACATTCGTTGCTACTGTATGCATCATGGCATAAAGTTTTATGACTGATATTTGTAGTAGCCATTGAAGGGACATATTATTATCTGTGTTTTATAGAAGAGGACTTGGAAGCTGACATAAGAAGTTAAGAAATATATTTAATTAGTTACATATAATACAATTATATACTGATATATTATTTACTATATATTAACATAAATATTATATGATACAAATAATATCATATATAATTATAATTATATGTAGTTAGTAACTTGAGAACCAAGAATTGAACCAAAAGTTCTGGCTTTAAGGCCCATGATGCACTTTAGATTTTACACGCTTCTGCCATTTGTATTATTCCTGCAGACTATGCCTTAGGTCCTCATTATTCTTTTCTTTTGTCCTTCTGTGATTTAGAAGAGCTCATTTCTACTGCTCTTACCTTTGCTCTCTACAATCTACTCTCAACTCTTAAGCCAAAGTAATTATTTAAAACCATAAGGCAGGTCGTGCTACCCAGTGGCTTCTCACCTCACTCAAAGTAAAAATCAAGGTCCTTGTAGTGTCTGGAAGTGCCATACATGGTCTGATCCCTGCCACTTTTCATAGGTCACATTTCCTATTATTCTACATTGTTCTCCATGCACCAATTATACTGGCCACCTTTTGGTTTCTGGGACATCCCAAGCATTGATTCATGGCTTTCTATCACGTGGTCACAAAAACAATGTGGTTAAAAAACTGGACTCTAGGCTCAGACTGTCAGGGTTCAAATCCTTGCTTCATTTCCCTACCAGTAAGGTCCTACAGTTAACATCTTCATATATTAGCTTTCTCACTTATAAGATAAGGACATTATTATTACGTATATTATTTTTATGAAGTCCCAAGAAACTTATTAATGTATAACAGCACAGTGTCACACATATCTTAAGTAGTCACTCTTTAATATTATATTTATTGCTGTTAATGTCATTATTGGTCTAATCTCATTGTCCAGTGGGGTGTTCCATACTGGAGAGTTCACCAATTCTTCAACATACAATGAACTTTACCTTCTATATGCCATTACTCACAGTCAGAATATCCCTCTTGTCTACCAAAATTCTGGCCACTTTTCATGGCTCAGACTGTGTGTTAACTGCTCCCTAAATATTTTCCCATGTGTGCAATATACTTAATAACTCTATCACTTGTTATGCCAACAATTTAAAAAGTATTTTAGTTATATTATTCATTGTATTATAACTTATAGTTGCCTCTATGTGTTTTCTTCAAAGAAATTAAAAACTCTGTGCTAGTTTTCTATGGTTGCGATAACAAATTAGCACACTTTAGTGGCTTAAAACAACATAAACTTCTCATTGTTCAACTCCCACTTATGAGAACACATGGACACAGGGAGGGGAACATCACACACCGGGGCCTGTTTGGGGACTGGGGGAAAGGGGAGGGAGAGCATGCAAATATCTAATATTAGCCCCCTCATGCAAATATCTAATGCATGCAAATATCTAATATTATTAGCCCCCTCATGCAAATATCTAATGCATGAGGGGGCTAAAAACCTAGGTGACGGGTTGATAGGTGCAGCAAACCACCATGGCACATGTATACCTATGTAACAAACCTGCATGCTCTGAACATGTATCCCAGAACTTAAAGTAAAATAAAACAAAATAAAATAAAATAAAAAACAATGAAAACAACAACAATAACATAAACTTCTTATCTTATTTCATAGGTTAGAAGGCTAAAAAGGATCTCACTGGGCTAAAATCAAAGGGTTGGCAGAGCTGTATTCCTTTTCTGGAGTTTGCAGGCGACAATCCATCTCTTTTTCTCCAAATCTAGAGGCCGTCCATGTTCCTTGGTTCTTGGACCCCCCTTCTCTGTCTACAAAGCCAGCAATGTTATATCTCTCTGACTGTTCTTCTGTGGTTACATCTCCCTCTCACTCTGTCTTCCATCTCGCTCTTGCAGTTTTAAGGACTGATCCTTGTGATTGAGCCTTACACTGAGCCCATTATGGCAATACAGGATAATCTCTTCATTTCAAGGTTATTAACTTAATTATATCTGAAAAGCCCTTTTTGCCATGTAAGGCAGCATATTCTCAGGTCTCAAGTATTAAGACTTAGACGTATTTGGTGGAACGGTATTATTCTGTATACCACAGATTCCTTTACCAATTTAAGAGGCCATACATTTTTCTTCTCTGTATCTTTCACAGTGCCTAGTGCAGAATAATATTTGACCTGAAGGTTTTCTAATGAGATAAATAACAGCAATCCATGTTCCAAATGTGTGACCTAGTTCTCTGAAAAGCATTTTGGTTACTATCAACCTTCAGCATCACCTTTTCCATGCAATCATTATGTTTTAGTTTTTAAAGCAGTATTGTGGAGGAAGATTTCTAGTGTTTAGTTATTGGACTCTTAAAACCTGCTTCTGCTTCATTTGGCAGGAGCTGTGCAGTGAATATCGTCATTATGTGAGGAATGGACGACTCCCCTGTACCAGAGAGAATGATCCTATTGAGGGTCTAGATGGGAAAATCCACGGCAACACCTGCTCCATGTGTGAAGCCTTCTTGTGAGTGGGCGGCAGCCACTGCTGCTACTGAGTGTGGGAGAAGATCAGCATCGGGTGGGCAAGAGGGGTGACATTGGAAGTTTTCTCCAGGAGATAGATAATAAAGGCTGTCTTTGCACTGAGTTTGGAAATTTACTATTATAAAGCCATATATTCAGCCCATTTATTTCTGGTGTTCTTCAATAGTCTGAGAGGTACTTGAATCACCATCAAGAAAGGACCATGTGCTAAGAGCAAAATTACACTGGAGTTAATGGCATAAAAGGATTAGGACTTCTGTTCTCTGCAAGCATAGGTCACTGTCAAATAATCCAAAGGTGTAATCATTAGGTGCTAATAAATTGAAAATGAGTTAACATCTAATTGATATCTTAGTTTATTTCTGGGGAGAAGAACAATATCTTTATTTTTCAAAAGAGATATAGTCATAAAAGTTTCTTCACTGGTTTGCTATGGCATGTGCGTCTTATTCTTTAAACAACCTTAAGAACAAGAACGGCTGGGTGTGGTGGCTCATGCCTGTAATTCTAGCACTTTGGGAGGCCGAGGCGGGCAGATGACGAGGTCAAGAGATCAAGACCACCCTGGCCAACATGGTGAAACCCCACCTTTACTAAAAATATAAAAATTAACTGGGCATGGTGGTGCACGCATGTAGTCCCAGCTACTTGGGAGGCTGAGGCAGGAGAATTGCTTGAACCCAGGAGAAGGAGGTTTCAGTGAGCCAAGATCGCGCCACTGCACTCCAGCCTGGCAACAGAGTGAGACTCCATCTCAAAAAAAAACCAAAAAACAAACAAACAAAAGGACAAGAACAATGATGTAGAGAGATGTGTGTTTACCTTTCCACTCCAAAGCTAAGTTGGTGGAGGTATAGAAGTAATGGACCATTTTTATGTAGAGACATTTCTCCTTTAGGGTAGTATGTATTGGGTGCTAGGAATGATTGTTTTGTCCTCCCTTTTCTTATAGCCAGCAAGAAGCAAAAGAAAAAGAAAGAGCTGAACCCAGAGCAAAAGTCAAAAGAGAAGCTGAAAAGGTAGTAATCCTGAATGTTTATACTGCAATGAAAGGATGAGATTTTGCAGTATCTCTGTAAAAATAACTATGGAATTACTGAAACCCCAGTTGTGAGGGAACTAGGGGTTCATTTAGTCCAGGGGTTGAGAAACTTTTTCTTAACAGAACAGATAGCAGATATTTCTGTTTTTGTGGCCATAGAATCTCTGTCACAACTACTCCACTTGGCTGTTGTGACTGTAAAACAGCCCTAGACTGTATACAAACATATGGGCATGGCTGACTCCAATACAATTTTATTTATAAAAACAAACGGCTGGCCAGATGTTGCTCACAGGTCACAGTTTGCAAACCCCTGATTTATTCTGTTCCCATATATTAATATTAAGATTTAAAATTCAGAGAAAAAGAAGAACTTGCATGTAAAGTTAATGGGAGTATGAGTATCAGTACCAATAGCTTCATATTTCAAAGTTCTGGAACAATAGAATTCAATCCTAGACTTCCTGATACCACAGCCAGCCTTCTTTCTAGTACACTATTTGTTTTTGGATTACCACATTTGGTCAACACATGTGTTCCTTGCTTTACCTGTGGTTATATTTTGGTGCCAGCATTTAGGAAAAAGATTAAAAAGTAGCATCCCCAAATAATATTTTCTTGGATTCAAAAAGGCTGGCTCCAAGTAGTTTATTCCAAGTTGTGGTCATTTCCCTGCCCCCATCAAAGACTATTGAGATTAAAAATAACCTCTAAAGAAGTATCGCCCTGGAACTCTGTATGTTTGGCTTGTTTACAGTTGTATTGCACAGTTGTAATAATTCTAAATTTAAAAATAATAGCAGTTCATATGAAAAATAGATTCACTCTTCAACATCTACAAGAGAAAATTCTTCAGTATGAGCTAATTTCTGATTTCACATTACTACTACAGACAAACTCTCCTCTCATTATTTTTTCTTTTGCTAAATATAACTAGTTAGGGGATCTGGCAATGAACCTTTAAGCAGAGCTAGGAGAAAAATTCCCTCTTTCATCCTCATTGAATTTCAACTTGAACTAAAGAATTCAGAATAAAATACAAAATCAATTGTAATTGCCATTTGTAATTAACTCTTTGAACTTCAGTGATTGCTTATTCTGTCTCAATTTCTCACGTAACCCTAAACAAGGAGTGTGCCCAGTCATCAGAGAACTAAGTTTATTGAGAGTCTTGTGTATGGTTGCAGGTTTAGTCTGGATTTTGGGGCTATCAAGGAAAAAGAAATACAGCCACCTTCTTAAGTCCTTTGTGTTTAATATAAATTGAACACTATAACTGCCAGAAAAAAAATTCTCAGGTCATTTTCTCTCTCTTTTTTTTTTTTCTATAAAGCACTTAGTAGGAACCCAGTAAACTAATTTCCCAGAAGATACTCAAGCTTTCTCCTTTTCTTTTCCTTTTAGGAGACATGCGATGAATTTCGGAGACTTTTGCAAAATGGAAAACTTTTCTGCACAAGAGAAAATGATCCTGTGCGTGGCCCAGATGGCAAGACCCATGGCAACAAGTGTGCCATGTGTAAGGCAGTCTTGTGAGTGCACAAAGAAAACCACTACTGTGGGATGGTGGAATTGGGGAAGCAATGAGCCAGGCAAATAATATGTATTGTGTTTGTCCTTTCCTTACATGTAATAGAAACAGAAGGTTATCTGTAAAGCATTTGAAATAAATCTTTTCTTTATAATGGCCAAGATTCACAGTTCTAGAAATAAAATAAATACAACTAAGCTATTACATTCTCTGTTAGTTCTGGGGTAGACCCTGCCAGTAGATCACACTTCCTTGATAAAATTCTTAAGTTATTTGCTATCAAGTGGATCCTTTCTCTGGATTATCTCGCAACTCATGTTGGAAAGAAAACACACAGATTTTAATGTCAAAGTCCTTACCTACATTGTTGAAAATAACACATTTTCAGAAAATGAAAAGTAGGTCTTTACACAAAGTTTGGAAGTACACCTAGAATATTTAAGTCCTTCAATAGCATTTACCAAACATCTACAATGTACAATGTGTATAATGTGTATAATGATTATACAAAGGTGAATGAAATAGATAATCTTCTCAGAAATCATATAGTCCACTGATATTAGTCACAGACGTAAGGTAATATAATACAAAGGAGGGACTGTTGAATGAAAAATTTGTCTGTGGTATGTTACAGTACTTCAAGAAAGGGATAATTAATAGAAAGTTTTATGGTGGGATAAAACTAGACCTTATAATTTGGATAAAATGTGGACATGACAGAAAGTAATGAGAGGAGAAGAAGGGAACAGCAAGAGTAAGGATCTAAAATTAGGAAAAAAACAAGTCATTTAGTTTAGTCAGAACTTACCAACTTTATCAACCTTGAATGCACACCAGAGATTTCGAGGTCAATTCTACATGTAATGGGAAGCTGCAAAAGTTGTTCAGATAGGACAGTAAGTGGCATAAATATTGTTCCTTTAGGAAGATTCATTTGTTAGCAGTAAACAGGAGAAAAAGAGAAAGAAAGTACTAAACTTAAGAATTGCTACTCATGTAGAGGGAGGAGCTGCAATAAATAACCCAGGAAGAGGCAGCTACGCAGAGCAAGGAGGTAGGCTAGAAGGCGAGTGGATCAAGGTGGGGGATGCTGTGAAGGTGAAGTCAATGTCATGTGGTGACAGCTATGCAAGCTGAAGGACAGTAAGCAATTAGAGATGATTCCACTGTTTTGTGTTTGTTTTTTTGTGAAAGGTAGAAAATCCAGGAGAAAGAATACATTTGGTAGAGAAGATAATGATTTTGGGGCCTCTTGAACATTAGGTATTGGCGATAAACACAGCTGGAGATCCCCAGTGAACATTTATGAAGTGTTAGTTAATTGCTCACCTTGTCTTTTTTTTTTTTTTTTCTTATGGAGTCCCACTCTGTCGTCCACACTGAAGTGCAGTGGTGTGATCTCAGCTCACTGTAACTTCTGCCTCCTGGGTTCAAGTGATTCTCCTGCCCCAGCCTCCCTAGTAGCTGGGGTTACAGGCATGTACCACCACGCCTGGCTAATTCTTGTATTTTTAGTAGAGACAGTGTTTTGCCATGTTGGCCAGACTGGTCTCGAACTCCTGACCTCAGGGATCCACTCACCTCAGCCTTCCAAAGTGCTGAGATTACAGGTGCAAACCAACACACCCAGCTTTACTCACCTTGTCTTGTTTATGGTGATATATATGTGGTGTTCTTTTATTTTAATGAGACCCTTCCTGGCAAAGGACTCCATATAATTTATATTTTTATTTTTAGAGAAGGCCTGCAGCATAGTAGATGTTAACTCAATGCTCGATAATTCTGTACATATGTGATTTGTTCATATAATGAGAAACTCAAAGAAATGCACACCACTCTCTGTAATCTATTGTTCCCTACCTCCCACTTTCTAATTTCCAGCCAGAAAGAAAATGAGGAAAGAAAGAGGAAAGAAGAGGAAGATCAGAGAAATGCTGCAGGACATGGTTCCAGTGGTGGTGGAGGAGGAAACACTCAGGTGAGAGCAACCTCTAATTTCAGTAACTGGGGCGGGCTCAACTCCTTGACAATAGGACTGTGAATAGCGTATATAGTCTATGGTAAAGGCAGTGCTAAGTCCTTGAGAGAACAGAGAAGTTTCTCCTTAAGGTTGCAGGGTAAGATATCAGCACATTTTCACTGCTCTGGGGTTCATTTGGATTTCTTTACACCTTGAAATAATTAACAATATGTAATGACCTTATCCCAGTCTCCTGAGCCCTCTTTATGGTAATCTAGACCTCATATCAATAATCGTTCTCATCAGTATCACATGCTCTTCATTTTCTTTCATTATTCTTTCTTGCCTTGGACAGAGCCACTTTTTTTAGGTGTCTTTTCTGTTGATCCAAGGCAGCATGATAGGACAAAAGAGCACAGGCTTTGGAGTCAGATTGGGTTATGATTCTGCTCCTACTACCTGGACTTGTGAGACATTGAGTAAATTACTTCCTCTCACTGAATT
The DNA here is from genome assembly GCF_000001405.40 of Homo sapiens. Classification (NCBI taxonomy): domain Eukaryota; kingdom Metazoa; phylum Chordata; class Mammalia; order Primates; family Hominidae; genus Homo; species Homo sapiens. The sequence continues at coordinate 148,116,953 of NC_000005.10, forward strand.
CTACTTTCCCTGATTTAGCAGTACTCTTCCAGGGATAAAAGAAAATAATTTAGGCAAAGGTTTAGCATGTTTCTTGAGGCATTTTTAAGTGTCAGCATGGCAATGTTGCACATAAGGTCACTCCTTGGGTCTCTGAACACAGTTTCATAAAATTGCAGTCGCCTTATTTATCTTTTTACAACCTTGGAATATCAAAACCATGTCTTCACTTCCAGATCTGACAAAGGCCCAATATTTACCTTTGATAAACTCTGGCTATTCTGTTTTTTTCCCATCTTTTTTGCTTTAGGAGGCTGAGTTCTCCCTTTTAAGGAATAGCCCTGTTGATTAGAATTGTCTGATAGACATTTTGTGTGTCTTGTTCATAACTTGGTCAAACCTACCTTCCTTGACATTTTGCATAACTTTGGGTTTTCCTCCAGCATTTTTCTCTCTCTTCTATCTGCACTAGAGACCTGCACATTTTTTTCTGTATAAGGCCAGCTAAATATTTTAAGCAATGTGGGCTTTGTGGGTCATATGATGTCTGCTGCAACTATTTTACTCTGCCATTGTTGTGGGAAAGAAGCAAAAAAATAATATCTGAATAAATGAGTGAGGATGTGTTTCAGTAAAACTTTATGTGTAAGAACAGGAAGCAGGAAAGATCTTCCCTGTGGGCTATACAATTGAACCTTGAACAACATGGGTTTGAATTTCCCAGGTCCACTTGTACTTAATTTTTTTTCAACCAAACTTAGATAAAAAATACAGGATTTGTGGGATGTGAAACCTGCATATATGGAGGGCTAACTTTTTGTATAGGTGAGTTGTACAGGGCCAACTGACAGACTTCAGTATACATGGATTTTGATCCTGGAACCAATCCCCCAAGTGTACCAAGGGGAAACTGTAGTTTGCTGACATTTAATATATGCTATTAAATTCAGTCATATTTATAATTTCCTTGTGTAGATCCTTAAAAGCAACATTAGTAGCCATGACAACTCATCTCTTATAATTACAACATGGGTGATTCTGGTCCCCTTTTCTCTGCAGATGCCAGACCTAGATGTTAGGGGTTTTTTTGTTTGTTTGTTTGTTTGAGATGGAGTCTCACCCTGTCACCCAGGCTGGAGTGCAATGGAGCAATCTTGGCTCACCGCAACTTCTGCCTCCTGGGTTCAAACGATTCTCCTGCCTCAGCCTCCCAAGTAGCTGGGATTACAGGCACCCGCCACCATGCCCAGCTAATTTTTGTATTTTTAGTAGAGACAGTGTTTCACCATGCTGTCCAGGCTGGTCTTGAACTCCTGACCTCATGATCCACCCATCTTGGCCTCCCAAAGTGCTGGGATTACAGGCATGAGCCACCGTACCCGGCAATGTTATGTTTCTTATAAAGAGAGGTGAAAGAACTTCTCTTACTCAGACTGTTAAAACAATTTACTAAGAATACAGTAGACTAAGTAATCCAGGGGCTCTTCGTTCTTCTCTGTTTTCAGGACGAATGTGCTGAGTATCGGGAACAAATGAAAAATGGAAGACTCAGCTGTACTCGGGAGAGTGATCCTGTACGTGATGCTGATGGCAAATCGTACAACAATCAGTGTACCATGTGTAAAGCAAAATTGTAAGTATTTCTCTCAACAGGCATGTCTAAAATATAGTCACATTCCTCTTGAATGAATGGCTATTTCTCATTTGCTATGGCTCCTTCCATGCAAATTATTCTTTTTGCTAATTTCCAAATATTCTATTTTTTTCTCTTGCGTTCTCTAAGGAACAATGAGCCTTAGCAAGGGCAGCTAACCAAGTGGCTGATTTCTATTGTATTTTCTATTACAATTCTGTGAACTCTAAGTGCTATCATGATAGACCCTTGTTCTTTATTGTGCCAGAATCCTAGGAAGACTTTGTCACGGCCATTTGGAATCATTGACCAGCACAGTTGAAGAAAGCTGACTTCTTGTCATTTGCACGGGACACACTTAGTGCATAATCCAGGGTCAATATTTGTTAACAAGATGAATATTCACTTTTTTCTCCTCCAGGGAAAGAGAAGCAGAGAGAAAAAATGAGTATTCTCGCTCCAGATCAAATGGGACTGGATCAGAATCAGGGAAGGTGAGTTATTTTTTGGGTTTTGGCAAGAATCGTCTTTCTGTGAGTCAGCAGTTGGCGATCAAAACTATAGAAGAAGGTGTCAACATGATCAAGCTAGAGCTTGCCCTTAGAAGGTCAGGAGTTACCAAGTTATCAGTGACTCTCACTGATAACTTGTTCAGTGAAGAAACCTAATGCCAAGTGGACATCTTTAAGTCTGACACTTTACAAGGCATTTTTATAAATTACAGTTTATTTAATTATTTCAACAGCCTGGTCAAATTTGGCCTTTTAACCTTATTTCGTAGATAGGGAAAATGAGGTTTTGCAAGTATACTGGGATTTATTTTTGTTTTTGCATTATTTTGCTGCTAGTGTAAGTTACTATAAGCAGATGCGTAAAATAACACACATTTATTATCTTATATTTCTGGATTCCATAAGTTTTAAATGGTCTGATTGTGATAAAACCAAGATGTTGGTAATGCCGCATTCCTTTGTGGAGGCTCTAGGTGAGGATCTGTTTCTTTGCTTTCTCTAACTTCTAGAAGCTACCTGTATTCCTTGGCTTGTGGCCACCCTTAAGCCAGTGATGGCCAGTCAAGTCCTTCTTATGCTTTATCATTCTCACACTGACTGTCCTGCCGCTGCCTCTCTCTTTAATGAGTAAGAACCTTTGTGATTACATGGGCCCCACTTGGATAATCCAGGGTAACTTCCCCATTTTAAATTCAACTGATTAGCAATCTTAATTCCATATTCAACCATAATTCCTCCTTGCCACGTAAAGCAACATATTTGGAGGTTCCAGGAATTAGAACATAGACGTCTCTCTCTGTGGGACATTATTTTGCCTATCACAGCAAGGTTACATGGCTGCCTGACTCTTGGAAAGAAATCCTCTGATTCTCAAATCCAATCAAATATTATGTAAAAACAGCACTTCCAATATAATCTTCCCATCTTTTCAGGATACATGTGATGAGTTTAGAAGCCAAATGAAAAATGGAAAACTCATCTGCACTCGAGAAAGTGACCCTGTCCGGGGTCCAGATGGCAAGACACATGGCAATAAGTGTACTATGTGTAAGGAAAAACTGTGAGTATGTTTCAAAATGAGCTTTTGACTGTGAGTCTTAAAGTACAATAATCATTTCTTACCAGTTTGGGAAAATGACAATTGTTTTAGAAGCAGATCTGGTAATTAATGAGGCGTTTGTTCACTTTGATTGAAATGTTTCATTGTTTTCCCCCCAGGGAAAGGGAAGCAGCTGAAAAAAAAAAGAAAGAGGATGAAGACAGGAGCAATACAGGAGAAAGGAGCAATACAGGAGAAAGGAGCAATGACAAAGAGGTAATAGATGTTAGACACGCTAATACCTGAATTCAGTTAGTTCATTGTATGGTATATTTATTCAACAAATATTTGTGAAATGCTGACTCTGTCCCAATCATTGGTGATATAACGGTAAACAATGAAGTCATGGCCAGATCTTGAAAATAAATAGCATGCTCTTCAGTTCCCCAGGAGTGACTCTGATGCAATTGTAGAACCAGTGACAACTGTCAAATTATTGTAGTTAGCCAGTGAATTTCATTTTTGAATTTTTTCTTTCCTTTGAGACAGGGTCTTGCTGTTGCTCAGGATGGTCTCGAACTCCTGAGCTCAAGCAATTTGCCGGAGCTCAAGTCTCAGCCTCCCAAAGTGCTGGGATTACATGAGCCATCGCACTCTGCTGTTTCTGAATTTTTTAAACAAATAAATATCAAGCAATCAGATGCCAAAAATTACAAAGAAAATCAGTATCAAAAATTTGGAGTTTGAGGCCAGGCACGGTGGCTCAGGCCTATAATCCCAGCACTTTGAGAAGCTGAGGCGGGCAGATCACGAGGTCAGGAAATCGAGACCATCCTGGCTAGCACGGTGAAACCCCGTCTCTACTAAAAGTACAAAAAAATTAGCCGGGCACGATGGCGGGCGCCTATAGTCCCAGCTACTTAGGAGGCTGAGGCAGGAGAATGGCGTGAACCTGGGAGGCGAGCTTGCAGTGAGCTGAGATAGCGCCACTGCACACCAGCCTGGGCGACAGAGCAAGACTCTGTCTCAAAAAAAAAAAAAAAAAAAAAAAAGGAAAAGAAAAAGAAGAAAAGTTGGAGTTTGAGATAATAAATTCTTGATCTGGCATTTCATTGCCACCTAGTGTTCAGTTTTGGTCCTTATAAATAGTATTCAACACTACAACACCAACACGTAGAATATTACACAGCACAATCTTTTAATGCACCGACGGACTCCAATTAGAAAAGATAAATAGCGAAATTTCCCTGGGAAGATTTTTCCTATTAGTAGGGCAACTTTTCATTAAGCCTGTAGTGGCTAAAGAAAATGAAACCTTATTAGTAATTATCATTATTTAAAAATATTTTGGGAATATCTGTTGTGTGTTACGGTAGATGAAATGGCTTTGAGAAAATAACCTTATTGCACAACTTCACATGATCTCTAAAGGACATCTATTTAAAATCTTGGTAAATTTTTAATTTTATGATCCTTATTTAAAAAATTTTGAACAGAAAAATGCTATATATATTTATATATAGAAAATACTGAGTAAAAAAAAAATAAAGAAAATATGGAGGCAGGGTGTGGTAACTCACTCTTTTAATCCCAGTGTTTTGGGAGACCAGAGCAAGAGAATTGCTTGAGCCCAGGAGTTCAAAACCAGCCTGGGCAACATAGTGAGACCCTGTCTCTACAAAATAATAATAATTAAAAAAAAAATAGCCAGGCATGATGGTGCACACCTGTAACTCTAGCTACTTGGGAGGTTAAGGTGAGAGGATCACTTGAGCCCATGAATTCAAGGCAGCAGTGAGCTATGATAGCATTATTGCACTCCAGCCTGGGCAACAGAGTAAGAACTTGTCTTAAAAAAAAAATAAAAATATTGAGATTGTGTGTGAGTGTGTGTGTGTGTGTGTGTGTGTCAAATAGAGAACTACCGTTTTATCTACACATGCAACGTTAAATAAGGTTTACCAATAATTATATTTAAACCTCCCCAAAATCTATTCAGTGGTGATATTGTTCCAATTTTTTAGAATTCAGGAAAACTTAAGAGAAGTGAACTACACATAATTAATGAATAGAAGAGCCAAAGACTGAATTGGAGGGTTGCAATACAGTCAGAGGAGTGCTATTATAAAAATATGTGGTATTGTGAGCACCTGGAAAAGAAAATACTTCCAGTAATTTGTGAAAATGGTGGTTGTGAGACATTTAATATGTTGATAGGTATTTAATTCCAGAGAATTTTTTAAAATGCTGCAATTAAAAGTAAGGCCTGGAATTGTTTGTTTACGGACATCACAATTTAAAGAAAGAAGGGTAAGTACAATCTAGGTTACTGTGTTATTTTTTAAGGTAATGTTTCCATATCACCACTTTGGCTCTTTGGGCTTACAGGAAGTTCCAGAGACTTCTGTAGCTCTCTGAAGATTTTAGTACATTCTAGATCCTATCTGTAGACTCGGTTCTATTGGCTTCTTTTTATGATCATTATGTTTCAATGAACACAAAAGGCAGCTCCATATACTTATCCACACATAGGAGTTTTATTCTCTGACTTGTAAAAGCAAATAAGTAAAAAGGTATAACCTGGTGGTTAGCAGGTTTCTGATCACAAATTCAACACTGACTTTATTTAATAGCTCTGAGATTTATTTTTCTCATCTGTAGAATGGGGATGATGCGTATTTATCTTATAAGATTTTTACAACCACTAAAGGAAATCTATTAAACCACACGATAAAGCACCTCGCACAATAATTTTTTTTTTTTTTTTTTTGGTAAATTGTGGTTGAGAAATGAAGCTGAAAGTTTACGTGTTTTTATGTTTTGCCAGAAGAGTGTCGTTTAGTTCATTCCAGGGCTTTTGAAGTAGACTTATGTGTGGAATACTGAGTGCACTCATAGGGAGACAGGTTTGGGGCTCTGCCTCATAGAAAATGGTATTAAAATGAGATGGGACAGGGCACTGGGGGCTCATGCCTGTAATCTCAGTGCTTTGGGAGGCCAATGCGAGAGGATCACTTGAGGCCAAGAGTTTAAGATCAGCCCAGGCAACACAGAGAGACTCCCGTCTCTACAAAAAATTTTAAAATATTAGCCAGGCATGGTGGCACATGCCTGTAGTTCTAGCTACTTAGCAGACTGAGGTGGGAGTGTTGCTTGAGCCCAGGAGTTGGAGGCTGCAATGAGCTATGATTGCACCACTGCACTCCAGGCTGGACAACAGAACAAGATTATATATATATAACAAGATTATATTATATACATAACAAGATTATATATATATATAGATAGATATAATATATTATATATATAGATATATATTATCTATCTATCTATATATATAATCTTGTTATATATATGTAATCTTGTTCTGTTGTCCAGCCTGGAGTGCAGTGGTGCAATATATGTGTATATATATATATATATATATATATATATAATCTTGCTTGCAATATATATATATATAGTTTTTAAAGGAATGGGCTGCTTTAGTGAAATTCCATTAGGGCAAGACAATCATTTGATAGAGATGCAATGGAGAAGATTCAAACTTCTTAGGTAGAGATTGAATAAAGTGCCTTTAAAACATATTTCTTCTCTGAAATTTCACTTCTCTGTTTTTTTCCTGTGTTATGAGTTTATATCTAATCGGTCAATCATGTTATCAGGTTTGAAAGATTATACCATGACAGTAACAACTTTTTCTGCTACTGTTGGTAGGATCTGTGTCGTGAATTTCGAAGCATGCAGAGAAATGGAAAGCTTATCTGCACCAGAGAAAATAACCCTGTTCGAGGCCCATATGGCAAGATGCACATCAATAAATGTGCTATGTGTCAGAGCATCTTGTACGTAAAAAGGTTTATCAATAAATTTGATAGTTGTGCCTGTTTGCTAGAAATTAGTTTTTGTTACTTTTAAAACCTAAGATACTTGGCATCACACATTAATGATATGATACCTCCTCTCTTTTGAAGAGACAATTTCCAAAGCACTTTCACAATAATTTTTTTATTTTGATGTTGAAAAGCATAATCATACCCAGAACCTCTGGGGTAGGAAGAGGTAGCTTATCAGCTAGGTAACCTGGGACAGGCCAGTTCATTGTGCAGAGCCTCAGTTCCTCCTGAGGGAAAAATGACTGAACAATATAGTTTTGTGGAGATTCAAGGACATTTTAAAAATGTTTATGAACTTCAAAGCATTATACCTACGTAAATAACATTCAAGGACATTTTAAAAATGTTTATGAACTTCAAAGCATTATACCTATGTAAATAACAATCAATATTGTGAGTTTGGTTATAATTTAATTGGAAAAGTAAAAATGAGAATTATAGCAACTTTCTAGATGAGAGTCTTAAGTCTATTATATTAAGGAAAAATAAAGACCTTTTAGGATCATATTTTTCTGGATAAGAGTATAGTAACAGCATCTATGAAAGTTGATAGCATTGCCACAAATATATTATCATGAAAATTCCAACAATCAGAACTGATTAGCTTATAAAAATATTCTTAGATTTTTTTTTAGGTATAAGAAAACAGTGTTAGATTTGCTAATGTTTAGAATCGCAGAAATACTTGGTTAAAGACAATTCAGTAACAACCCTTGAAAAATTACCCTATCTTTTTTTTTAATTATTCTGCAGTGATCGAGAAGCTAATGAAAGAAAAAAGAAAGATGAAGAGAAATCAAGTAGCAAGCCCTCAAATAATGCAAAGGTTATTTATTAAAGGATACCAAAATAACCATTTTACTTTTCACCTTCAGAATTTTGCATTCTTCTCCAGCTTTGGGAATAATAAATATATTAATATCTTAACTTCAAAGAAAATTGATTTTTCTTGTCTTGTCACTTTGTATCATAACAAGATTTTTGGGGGTTTGGGGGTTTGATACCTTTTTTGATTTTGTAGAAAATTCTCTGAGAGTGTGTGTCTATTATTGTTTTAGTCTTTCCTCCTTGGGAGAAATATGGATTGAAAAGTAGAGGGTAACATTCTTTACCAACTCAACTGCATGCTTATCTTTGACACTTTAAGTGTGAAACAAGGCTTTGGGTAGCTTGCTGATGTTTATTTTAATAATTCAGGCAATATAAACCAATCTAAGTCTCCCTTTTAGCTTCCCTTCTGTTTTCACCAGATGATTCTATCAGCATTAAAGAATCAGCAGTGTGCATGCGTGATGCTTTCTTTTCTATTTATTTTTCAAGACTACAAAGAAGACATCTTTATTCAATTCTTTAACAGTAACAATCACATTTGTAGAGTTAGATCCCTGAGCAATTGTCCTTTTGTCAAAAGCATGCTTCATGGGGAAAATGGGGAAAGGAAGGATGGATGAACGGGAGAAAAAAACAGGAAGGTCTATCAAGTGTTGTTTTATGTTTCCCTACATTTTTCAGGACCAGTGCAGACAGGTTCAGAATGAAGCGGAGGATGCAAAATTTAGACAACCTGGGCGTTCCTTGGCCTCTGTTGCCAGGATGAGTACAGTGAGTCTGAGCCCAGAGCTAAGAGAGGACTTCCTAAAACCAAGTTTGAAGAAATCACTAAGCCAAAAAGGGACAAAGCCATGTTCACTTTCCCTTTCTCATTTTCTAGGATGAGTGCAGTGAATTTCGAAACTATATAAGGAACAATGAACTCATCTGCCCTAGAGAGAATGACCCAGTGCACGGTGCTGATGGAAAGTTCTATACAAACAAGTGCTACATGTGCAGAGCTGTCTTGTGAGTAAGAGGATTCTGCTCCCCCTGTAGCTAGCAGGGGAACTGCATTTTTAGAAACTGCTGCTTGAATAAGTTTGTATATTTATGAACCCCATGGGATTTTAAAAATAAGTCTTTAGAATTAAAGCCCTCAAATTGAGAACACCTGATATAGTAGAAAGAACACTGAGACTTGGAGACAAAAATTCCGTATGTAAGTTCTAACCAAGATGTATACTAGCTGTGTCATTAAACAATTTGTTTTCAACTTTCAGCATCATAATTAGAAGAAATTCTTCAAGATCTTTATTCCACAACTAGATCAGACTCAATTGAGATGCCTTTAAAAATAAATACAAATTTTTACACCCCAAAATATATTATATCAGAATCTTGGGGCTATGGAATTTGTTTTTTAGAAAGAGTTTCTAGGTTATTCTAAAAAGCAAATAGAAATGGAGACCAATGGACATTATAAATGATGATGATGATGATGATGATGATGGTTGTAAAGCACACTGTGAACACAACAATAATCAAATTTCTTTAGCTTTTCATAGTGAGTGTTCTTTGAGGGGGAATTACCAAATACTACTCCCATTTTATGTTCTAGAAAATCAAAACTTCAGAACATTAACCCACTTGTCATCTGTTAAGTGATGAAAGTTCTAAACCAGCTCCTAATTGTGTACTTTTCTTAATATGTCATCCTGGTCACTATCTCAATGTTCTGTGATTCTGTTTTATTTATTTATTTATTTATTTATTTATTTATTTATTGAGACAGAGTCTCACTCTGTTGCCCAGGTTGGAGTGCAATGGTGCGATCTCAGTTCACTGCAACCTCTGCCTCCTGGGTTCAAGAGATTCTCCTGCCTCAGCCTTTCGAGTAGCTGGGATGATAGGTGTGCACCACCATGCCCAGCTAATTTTTGTATTTTTAGTAGAGATGGAGTTTCACCATGTTGGCCAGGCTGGTCTCCAACTCCTGACCTCAGGTGATTCGCCAGCCTGGGCCTTCCAAAATGCTGGGGTTACAGGCGTGAACTACCATGCCTGGCCTCTGTCACATTTTATGAGGATTGCTTAACTTCTCACTGGAAGTTATAGGAACTGTTTCTTATTTTAAATTATTTTTTATTTTCTTCTCTAGTCTAACAGAAGCTTTGGAAAGGGCAAAGCTTCAAGAAAAGCCATCCCATGTTAGAGCTTCTCAAGAGGAAGACAGCCCAGACTCTTTCAGTTCTCTGGTAAGGAGGACTATTTCTGAAAAGCTACTTATCAATTTAATTTTCTTGATTTTTTTTGACCTGTTGCTATTTGCTATTTTCATAGAAGGGTCTGAGGTTTGCTGATTCAGTGCAGCCTGAAGTCCTTTGAGGACTATATGCAGTTTATGCTTGGTGAGAGTTCTGGGATTTCTCATTAGTGCCTTATCCTGTGCCCTTTGAGATTATTTGCCCTGCTTCAATTTAGTACATTTTGAAATTTACAATGTGTGTGTGGAATAATTGTGACTAATTTCACATATGGTAAAATACATAGTCAGGTGCCTCAATTCTGTAATTTTAGCATACCTCTTGGTATTCTTAGCTTCCTCACCTAGCTTCCGCTTATTTCCCTCCTCCAACCAAATCTGTTTCTACATCCTGGAACTCTATGCCAAGCATGCTCACAGGTATAAATTTCCGCCAATTAGCAATTCGCAGTAGCTAAAGCTTCTTGTTTAAAATATAGGCTGAGCTGGGTGCGGTGGCTCATGACTATAACCCCAGCACTGTGGGAGGCCAAGCGGGCAGATCCCTTGGCCCCAGGAGTTTGAGACCACTGTGGGCAACATGGTGAAACTCTGTCTCTAGAAAACTTACAAAAAAAAAAATTAGCTGGGCATGGTGCCTTGTGCCTGTAGTTCCAGCTACTTGGGAGGCTGAGGTGGAAGGATGGCTTGAGCCCAGGTGGTCGAGGCTACCATGAGCCGTGATAGTGCCACTGCACTCCAGCCTGGGTGACAGAACAGGACCCCACCCTTCTCTCTTCCTCTCTCTCGTAGCTGATGGTCACCAGTAATGTAAGTATTAGTCTACATTAGCATGATAAGATTTACTTTGTAGAGCCTTCACAAGATGAGGAGTAGAAAGGAGCAAAGAGGATATGAGAACATCAAGCAGATTCTCAGATTGGGCCCTAAAAGGAAGATTTTAGCACCTAGGCTGATGACCCAGAAAAGGAGAAAGAAAGGTATCAAACATGAATTTTACTTCATTATTCACCCAATTCAACTAGGGTAATAGATGAGTTACATACATGAAATATGCATTAATTACATATTTCTGGTAAATTGAGCTCCACATCAGGGATCCGAAGGCATGGAGAAGAGCTATTAACAAAATATGTTTTTTTTTTTAAATACTAAAGTATAATAGTTACATAGAAGAAATGTACATATGCAAGTAAATAGCTAAATGAAATATCACAAAGTGATCATACCTGTGATAGCAGCAAGAAATAAGATATCATCAGCAGACCAGTAGCCCCCTCATTCTCCCTCATAAGCTACAGTCTGCTTTGGAGCTATTTCTTTTGGAGAAATAAATCTTTCATTATTCATTTTTTTCATCAAGCCGGCAGTCCTTTTGTCAGTCTACAAATACTTACTGAGCACCTGCTATTTTTCCAGGCATTATTTATTTACTTATTTATTTATTTATTTATTTTCTGAGAGGGAGTCTTGCTCTTTCGCCCAGGCCGGAGTGCAGTGGCGCGATCTCGGCTCACTGCAAGCTCCGCCTCCGCAGTTCACGCCATTCTCCTGCCTCAGCCTCCCGAGTAGCTGGGACTACAGGTGCCCGCCACCACGCTAATTTTTTGTATTTTTAGTAGAGACGGGGTTTCACTGTGTTAGCCAGGATGGTCTCGATCTCCTGACCTCGTGATCCGCCCGCCTCGGCCTCCCAAAGTGCTGGGATTATAGGCGTGAGCCACCGCGCCCGGCCTCCAGGCATTATTTACGTATGCTAGGTTAATAGCCATAAACAAAACAGATAGCGCTCACTACATGAAGTTCATAGTATATTGGAAAAGCAGATACAATAAATAATATGAATAAATGAAAAAATAATGCCAAGGAGGAAATAAGGCAGAAAAAAATGGTACAGTAAATTCTGAGATGGGGAGGGGAGGGGATACAATTTTAAGTGACATATACAGAGAATAACTCTCTCAGAAGGTGACATTTACATCAAGACCTAAGGGTATTGATTCTGTAGGTATATCTGAGGAGAACATATTCCAGAGAGAAAACATAGCAAAGCGTTTAGTGTTGTTGAAATAGAGCTACCTCAGCTGTAGAAGAGGAAGTCAGGAAGCTAATGGGAGGCCATGTTATAAAGGGTTTTGTAGACAATTTTAAAGACTTTGCCTAATATTCTGAATGAAGGTTCTGAGAAGACTAATATGATTTGATTTATGTTTTAAAGGAATAACTTTGCCTGATACCTATTGAAAACACTGCAGGGAGGCAAGGGCTGGACAGCTAGTTAGCTATTGCAGTTGTCTACAGAAGAGATGATGCTGGTTTATACCATGTTAGTAGTGGTGGAGCTCTTGAGAGGTGGTAAGATACTGGGTCTGTTTTGAAGGTGGAGTCAACAGAATTTTTTGAGTTGATGTACTATGTTAAAAAAATGAAGAGAGAGAGAGAGTAAGGAACATTGTAGTACCTTTTGAACATTATAGCACCAGTTACCTGAAAAAATACAATTGATATACCTGGTTGAGTCTAACCTTTGCCAGGGTTTCATATAAGTTACTTATCTAAATTCTCTGTGAATATTTGTACCAATATGGAACTCACCACAATCTAAAGCAATTCATTTAGGTGTTTGAATCATTTATCAAAACAAAGGAACAAGTACACAAATACTGCTTGACTCCTCCAAAATGAGTATTAGCAGATATAATACTATTAAATTTTCTATGTCGTCTTTGTATCTGTTTTCAGTAAGTAGTTTTCAAGGAATTTATTAATTTCATCTATGTTGTCAAATTTTTTGGCATGTAGTTATTTATAACATTTCTAAATTATTCTTTTAGTATCTACAGCTCATATAGTGATGACCTGTTATCTCTAATATTGGTAATATATGTTTTCTTGACTCTGGTCAATTTTGCAAATAGCTTATCAACTTATTCTTTTCAAGCAGCTAACTTTTGGCTTTGTTCTATTTTCTATTTCATCAATTTCTCCTCTTTATTACTTATTTTAAAAAATTTTCTATGCTCATCATTGGCTAGCTCCTTCAGATGAAAGTTTAGATCATCCATTTTAGAACCTCTTTCTTTTCTAATATATGTATTAAAGTTATAATTTTCCCCCAAATTACTGCTTTGGCTGCTGGGATTTGATAGGTTGTATTTTCTTTGTGATTCATTTCATTTCTAAATTCTATGATTACTTTGAGTCATGAGTTATTTAGAACTCATCCTTTTACTTATAAATATATTTCTTATAAATATTATATAGTTGATTCTTTTTGTTCTTCCAGTTGGATAATTTCTGTCTTTTAACTGGAGTACTTACTTCTTAATATTCTATGTAATTACTGATACCATTGGATTTAAGTCTTCCATCATCCTATTTGCTTTTGAATACTTTTTTTATATTTTGGCTCTACTTTTTGCCTTTTTAAAAAACTAATCAAGGTCTTGGAATTATCATTAATTATTAAACTCATACTTCCAAAACACTACGAAGAGCAAATATGTTTCTTCTTTTACATGGAAAATATACATATGTTTTTTACCGTGGAAAACATACTAACAACTAAAATTTACTGAACACTTAGTATGTGACAGATACTGCGTTAAGCATGAACTTACATGCATTATCTGTTTTAATCCCTTCAAGCAGTAATATAAAGTAAGGACTACTATTATTTATGATTTTCTGGTGAGAAAATTAAGGCTGAGAAAAGTTAGATAAGTTACTTCTCTAGTTAGTGGTAGAGCTAGGACTCAAAAACTCATGCAATTTATGAGTATTTACCTCTGAGTCTTTCCTTTCTAGGCTGTATATAACCAATACCTTCACTTAAAAAGGCGAATATTATTTCTGGCATGCCTATCATTCTAGATTTCTTCTTATGGGCAGGTAATTGTGTCACATATTATAAAGGATATTTGCTTTCTTATTGCTTTGCTACTCCTTGTTTCTTTGTTTACTTACCTTGTCAAGTTAAAAATTGCCAAATACAGGAAGTTAAATCCACCTCATATGGTGCAAAATCAATCTTTGAGTTTGAATAACATATATCACACTCCTTTTACAACCATTTATTCAAGTTGGATTAAGGAACTCAAGAGGTTTTCTTAAGCCCACCCCTCTTCTTGAATGCCATAAAGTACGTCTGCTTTATTTTTTGCTTCTTCAGGATTCTGAGATGTGCAAAGACTACCGAGTATTGCCCAGGATAGGTTATCTTTGTCCAAAGGATTTAAAGCCTGTCTGTGGTGACGATGGCCAAACCTACAACAATCCTTGCATGCTCTGTCATGAAAACCTGTAAGTATTCAAGTTGCCCCATCATATCTTCCAGTTTAGAATTTCTCAGCTAGAGTGTTAACCCATAGTAATGCACTGATATAAATTCGAAATGTGTTGCAAGTAATTTATTCATCATAGAAGTTAAAAATTCAAAATTTGTGAATTATCTTTCTTATATGTAAAATAGAAAAGATTTAAGGCTATTCCTTTGGTAAATTGCTTACCTACATTGTTATATGCTCTACTGAGAAGAAGAGAAAGAAAAAAAATAGTGGAGTTACAATTGCAGAATATTGGTATAATCCTGTGTACAGTCATGGGAGTGTGAACATCATTCATTCTGTGTGTAGTGGAGAAAAACAGTAGAGAACTACTGCTATATAACCCAGCCCAGTGTATTATATCTAAAAGGTCCTGTGACTATAATATAGCTACATATTCCCCATTTCTTTAACCCTGCCTCTTGAAAGAAGTAGTACCTTGCAAAAGGAAAGTGCACTGTACAAAAGAAAGCCCAATAAATAAATAGCTGATCTGATGTCTGCTCTCATATTTATGACTATCTGGGTATCTGGAGGCATATTATTTCATGATTCTGAATCTCACTCCCTTCATTGGAGAAATGGAGACAGTTCTCTGAGCTGCTGACTTCACAGATGATTGAAAAGAACTGCTAGATATGAAAATATTTTTATCTTAAGTTAAATACAAGGGATTCATTTTAATACTCTTATTATTGGCTTTAGTTTTGTTGTTGCTACTCTGCTCAAATGCTGTCTGAATTTTAAAATAATTTTTAAATAATTTCCCCTTGTCTCTATATGCATCCCTTCCCTTCTCCTGGCCACCATTTGGCCAGCTTTCAAGGAGAGAATGGTGACAAACCTTGGTTTTCCCATCTCACCTGACCCCAGACCTACATTGTAGTACTACTTTATCCTTCTTAGGACACTATAAGCAAGGCCCAGAACATGAGGATAGGACTCCCTGATATCCTGCTTTTTAATCCTGGAAAAATATTTAAAAGAATTCATCTTTTAGGTAAGGTATGGTAGATATAGGTAAGGTATGGTAGGTATGGTATGGTAGGTATACTTCATCTATAGGTAAGGTATGGTAGATAAGGCACTTTCAGATTTCAGTCACTGAATCCCTGCAACCTGCTATGGAATGTTATTATCTTTATTGTTCAGAAGGTTAATCTGAGGCTCAGAGAGTCCAGGTAATTTGTTTAAAGTTACAAAGCTAGGGAGTAAATCAGACAGGATTTTGACCTTATTGATTTGGATCTAAATACAGTTTTCTTTTTTCTCCACTAAACTACTGTTATTTCTAAGACAGTAGTTCCTTAAATTGTCAAAGACCAAAGATTCCTTAGATAATATGAAGAAAGTTACTCCTTTCAAGAAAATTTAAAAAAATGTGATATGAACAATCCACACACATAATATTCATAGGCTCGTGGAGTACTTGAAATTCATCTGTAGACCTTATAGGTTTTTAAGAATTAAGAAATTCCCGTTTAAGGAATAAATATAACTGTCCAGGAATTCCATTACTATATATACCTTATCTCCAGCCCAGAAATCCTTTAATTCCTCTTTCTTATAAATGTCAGGGCCTAAATTATCCATATAATTTTCTTCAACATTTTCATCAACTTTATAGACCCATAACAAGTGATCTTTTTAAGGGAAATTTAGCATAAGAAACTGAAATGATGAAAATATTAAGAAAGCATACCTCAGGATAGTTTGTTTAGCTAAGGGAGCTGGGAGTAGATATTATAAAGAAGGATCAGGTTATCTGAGGCAAAAGGAAACAATATTCATTTCTAAGGTTTTAGAGAAAGTTATATGAGAGCAATTTCAATTTAAGCAATGCTAAAAGACAAATTGCACTGCCTTGATAGATAATGAGTTTCCCATTACCAGAGGCAAACAAGTACATGTCTGATTCATAATATTTCTCCAGTGAGAGGCATTAAAATTCGTACTCCTTAAGATTCATTCCAACTACAAAACTCAGACTGTATCATTTGTGTCTTGTTATATTTTTCCCCAGGTCGTATTATTGGTACTCAATATAGTCAAACATCTCTCTGGGATCTGATTCTCGCATCTATAAATGCGAGATCACCTTTAGACCAGATGATCTCCAAGTTTATTTCCAACATTCTCTATGAATATATCAGTGAATGAAATGTGACAGGATAGGTCCAGGGCTAGGGGATGAATCTGGAGCAGAAGAGAGACAGCCTGGATGATACCTACTGAAAATGAAAGTAGTTGAATGCAGATCCCAGATCCTCCCTCTAAATACAGTTTGGTTTGATACCCAAGTGTCCTGCATGTTGGTCCTTATTTATTTTCTTATTATAACTGAGAACTTCCTCGTTGTTGAAGCATCCTCTGATCTGTTTTAGGATACGCCAAACAAATACACACATCCGCAGTACAGGGAAGTGTGAGGAGAGCAGCACCCCAGGAACCACCGCAGCCAGCATGCCCCCGTCTGTAAGTACATAAGTAGACTGGCCTCCATGGTTACGTTGTGAGGAGCACTGGGTTCTGGTTTTGTTCTCTTCCACTGAGTAATGGACATTTATCTGGCCAGAGAGGTGACACTAGGTCAGGTGACCCAGAATTGGTCACATTTTCACTATAAGGATAATTAAGTAATTACTGAAATAAGTGGAAATAATGTAGCAGTTAATATTTTAAAATATTTAATGGGTCCATTAATAGATTGTTTATGAGCAATGTCTCCAACATAACGTTACTTATTTCAGGATAGGTTTTGTTTTCTGTGATCTATAATAAAAAGATGAGACAGAGACCAAGAGAGGTCAGAGAGTGACAGAGTTGGATTTAAACAATTTCTATATAATGCCCATATTCTTGAACTTTACATTGTATTAAATTATTTCCCAGCATTAAAAGTTGACCAATTTCATTTAAACTCCTGAAAGGATGTTTCAACGTACGTTACTGAATTTAACATTCTCCCTGGTGGCTATTTGAATAGTCATCCTCAGGGAGATGGTATGTAACATGAAAAAATAGGAATTTTCAAATAAGAGAAAAATGTTTTGTTATGGGATAAATGTGAGTGCAAATTTCAGTTTTTGCTGTGCTTATACGAGACTCTTGGCAAATCACATAAATACTCTAAACCAAATATCCCAATGACCTATGAAAATATTCAATAAATACTGACTTTTATGCATTTGGCACAGTGTCTGAAAAATTAATGTCACTATTATTATTATGCCTAAGACCAAAGTATGAATTTAGAAAAAGAGTCGAAAGTATGAACTTTTTCTAACAGACCATGGTATAGTGCTTATTTATTTTTAATAAATTATTGTCAATTGTAGTTTGATAAAATTATGTGTAATAAACAATATTTTAATGCATTATATTTAATAAAGCTATTTATTATTATTCACATTCTCTTTGCTCCATTCCACTGCCACAAAAAGCTTTGGCAATAATGGAATCAGAAACTATTCAGCCAGATTTGAAAATCTTAGTCAAGCAATACTAGATAAGGCCATATTAAAAACGTCTGCCCAACAATCTTTGTTAAGGGAAATTGTGAAAACAAGAATCATAAGCTAGAGTCTTCCTAGTTTCACATTAGCAGCTGAAAGCAATGTAGAGGAAGCCGAGGACTGGAATGAAATCAGAAGACCTTATCTTTCTCATGTGGGCTTGACAAAGTTATTTACCACCCATTTAAAGACCTCTACTCTGGTTCTTTACCAGGATCCATAAAAAGGGAGTTTAAACTTTAACTCTAGTCCCTATATTGTGTTTGCTGTCTTATTATATAGAAATTCTTAGTAGTTGGCTCCCATTTTATTGACAGAATATACTGTTCCCCGTCCTCACAAACTCACCTTTACATATATCTCAGGAGAGAAAGGTCAAAATAGCTTTATGCCAGTCCAATAGACCACACCTTAGACCACACTTCCCTGTAACTCTCATCCTGTGTAGGCAACTTGGAAAAACTACTTTATAAAGAACTTGCCATAGGTTTATACTGATAAGATGTATTTCTTTAAATAATGAAGAATGTTGCCGGGGCTTATCACACAGGGTGTTGTAAAAGAGTGCCGTTCTTCCATTTCTGAGTGTATGCTTTCCACTGGAGTTGCATAGCAGGCATTAATAATGACAGAAATTATTATGCTGTTAGTTAATGAAACAAAAATTAACGTGTCCTGGACACAGGTGGAACTTCAGTCCCTGTGTAAGATTCAAGTGTGTGATCTCGGGTACAGTTGGTACAGACTGGTCATGGCCTAGCATTGTTCTGATGACTAGTAAGGATGTATATATTGGGGTGGAAGCCTGTTGTTTGAACTTTATTTCTGGGTGGAAGTTTCTCTAAGAAAGTCTGGAATCTCAAGAATAGAATAAGAGTCCAGGCAGTCACAAGTTTCTTGGAAAAGTAGGTTGAGTATCTTGGAACCCACTCTTTTGTTACTAAGTACATAATACTTTCTATTATGCAATAACTATTATACAGTAACTACTAAGATTTACATAGGTCTTTAGAGTTTTATGTACATTTTCTGTTTGTACTCTTACAATAGTCATTTGATTAGGGCAGGGATCACTGTCTTTCCCATTTTACAGAAAATCATCCTGGGGGAAACTGTCACTTATTAAAGTCCCTTAGTATAATATCTTGGGTTCAATGTAGATATCCTGACTTCAATTCCAGTGCTCTACTACCATTCCTTAGTTGTCAGGAGATTCTGAAAACTAAGTGCTGTTGAGAAGGCATTATCTCAATTAAAAGATGATTTGCTATATTGGAAGGAAATTTCTATATTAAGAAAAATACAAATATTATTTTGTGAGATAAATGACTATTCTTATCTATATCTGTCAATTTCATGACAGATTTTCAAGGATTCAGGAAAACCGAAGCTTGCTACTTTCAAACCAAAGAAAACCTCCTGGAGTTGATATAGGCAATGAAGTGGAGATTTGAGTTTGGAATGACAGTGCTGCTCGTGCCCCAGGTGGTACTAGTTGAAGATGTGCAGTTATGTGAAAGAAAACTTCCTGAGGCCCTCGCCCCCTTTAAGATTATTTTTAAATATTCATTTAATGTTTTAAAGGCTGATTTCAAATATATGGATGAGTCAGGCAAAGGAAGACAGCTGATTACATTCTAGTGGTCTACAACAAACTATAGTAGAAAAACATTCGTATTACAGGAAGTGAATTCAAGTTATGACGTAACATGACAGTGGCAAGTTACTAAACTTCTCTGAAGCTCAATTTCCTCATCTGCAAAATGGTGCTAATGACACCTACTTCTTTTTTATCAGCATGAAGGCTGCATGTAATCAAAGGCAGAATTAAGCCATGTTCATATTTGTGTCCACCTCAACACGTAGTACATACTAGGTGCTCAATATTTGTTGTATCAAACTGGATAAAATGTGAAAGTGATTTTAAATTGCTACTTCTTTGCAGAATGCAGGATCTATGGATTTCTTTGATTAAGATGCAGCTATAAATATACAGCCCACATTTCTGCAATATCTCTGGGTTCTAGCATCTAACCTACCCATCTTCTCTTCTAGGACGAATGACAGGAAGATTGTTGAAAGCCATGAGGGAAAAAATAAACCCCAGTTCTGAATCACCTACCTTCACCATCTGTATATACAAAGAATTCTTCGGAGCTTGTCTTATTTGCTATAGAAAACAATACAGAGCTTTTGGGAATGGACTCACTGATTTTCAGTCTTTTCCATCTCTTTCCTCCTAGACTCTGTGATCTGAGGGTATAAAGACATCTCCACCAAGTCTGAGCCCTCAAAATGTCCTGATTACAATGCTGTCTGTCCAACTGCCTGTTCAATAAAAGTAAACTCAGCAGAACACCCTTTCTGGGATTTCTTTGTCACTATCTGGATAATAGATATTTGCTTTTAAAGAAACTGAATAAACTCTACCCTTTTGTCTTTTTGTGTTGCTAAACCCATTGGTGGACAGAGAATGTTCACTTTTTTCCTGCTTAAGTTGCTGTCATAGCTGAGAAGGACTGTCTAGAAGAGAGGTGGGGAGATATGGGTTCCCATCAGCCAACAGCTATACAAAGTTAAACTAGCTATAAATCAGCTTCATCTTAACTATTCATTACCATACCAGCTCCCCTTTCTACATTTTCATGAATGGGATAACTGCCTCTCGGTTATTTAGGTCCCATCCAAACACATAAACCAGTAAGTTTTCATGTCTATTCATTAAGTTACCTCCTGACAATTTCCTTGTACCCATAATCTGGGAAGAACTAAGAAAATTAATTACCAATTTGTGTAAGCCTCTAAAGTGGCACTCTCCAATAGAAATGTAATTTAAGCCATATATGCAATTTTAAATTTTCTAGAGGCTACAAATAATTAATAATTATAAAAATATTAATTTTAATAATACATTTCATTTAGCTTAAGATATCAAAACTATTAATGTAATCAATATAAACTTTTAAATTTACTAAGTCTTTGATTTTGGTGTATATTTTACACTTACAGCACATCTCAATGTGGACCAGCCACATTTCAAGTACTCAAGAGATACATGTGGATAGAGGTCACCGTATTAGGCAACGCAGTGCTGCCATGAGCTAATGGACGTGGGAAATCAGAGGAGGAATGCAGACACTAGGTAGGGGTGGATGAAATGCTTGTAAGCACCTTCCTCTATGCTGAAACTCTGTAAATCCCTACTCTACCTAGTCGCTTTGTTCACTTGAAAATTCTGGGCTAGTTCTGAAAACACTCCATAGGGAGAAATTATATGGAAAATCCATTTTGCTGCAAGATGTTCTCAGCTCCAGAAGAACTAGCCTGATGGGACGGACTTACTTGGATTTGGGAAGTTAATTTGTTATTTTTCTCCTCTTTTTTTTAAGTCTCTACTAGCTCAATTAAAATATCTCTGGGTTCTAGCATCTAACCTACCCATCTTCTCTTCTAGGATGAATGACAGGAAGATTGTTGAAAAATATCACCAAACCCTATTTTTCCTTTGTAACTGAGTGAAAATAAATTATCCCTTATGCTGCATTCTTTTCTATGTTACATTAAGAAAAAAAGAAGAAGGGCCAATAAGTAATTTTTTCAAGCATGAGAAATTCGGAGTAATTCCTGTTGAATTATTATTATTATTTGGCAATTTCAGGATGTATAGGATGGGTTCAGAGTGCCCATGACATATGAGATTTTATCTTCTTCATGTTCACTTATAGGAAATCCAGAAAAACTCTTTTTCTGGCTAAAACATATGTTTTTCTGAGAAGGTGTTTTGTTATGTCATTTTGAATATTTGATTAGAATATAAACACAAACCCTTTATATTTATTTTATTATTATTAATATACTCAAAAGACATTCTTATCCTGTCCTTAAGACTTAACCAATTTTTGGTAATCACTCCGAGTACAGAGAAAGAGTTTGGCTTAGGGATAGAGTGGGGTAGAGGATATAATAGTCTGGAATGGGATGAGACAAGGAAATGAGGAGAAGCGCAGTGACCTCAGGAGTAAGAATCAAAGGTGGAGGGCAGGGTGGGTGCAGAGGTCAGGAATAGAACATGACCAAGGAAAATAAAGTAGAAAATACTGTGAGGCTCAAGGATTAGGGTTAAGAGAGTGAATGTGTAGAACACATTGCTTGTGATTTAAAAAGCTAAAAGTTGATTTATTTTGGGGTGTATACAAATTAGGAGTGTATATAAAATGGAATCTATGTCAAAATGGTAACAAATAGCTTCACTAAATATCAAGTAAACTAATCTTTGGGTTACTTAAGTTATATCCTGATGGACAGGAGGTAAATGAAAACCAGACCTATCTCACTGAGGCTTCAAAACTAGATCTAAAATTCTAAACCAGAAGGTGATGCTGAGATGGGACTAAAGAAAGCCAAAATACTTCTGTCAGCCCCATCTATCCACTACTACCAAATAGTTATGCATTTCTCTGTATAATTTGATCTTCAGATTTCATTTTGCATTAAGGGTGTTCAGAGATCTATCCCTTTGAAACTCTTATTTTCTCATATTAGAAGTCCTCCTGAAGCCTTCCCATTTCTTTCAGGCTTCAGAAATGCCTAAGGATGTGGAGAAAAGAGCACGTTTACATACTTTAGATGAAAATATAAATTATTTTAAACTCTGTGGAAAACAGTACGTAGACATCTCAAAAAACTAAAAATAGAACTACCATTTGACCCAGCAATTCCACTACTAAGCATCTACCTAGAGGAAAATAAATCATTATATTAAAAAGACACCTGCACTAGGATGTTTATCACAGCACAATTCACAGTAGCAACATCATGGAACCAACCTAAGTATCCATCAACAGTTGATTGGATTAAAAATGTGTTTTATATGCACCACAGAATTCAATGCAGCCATGAAAAGGAAGGAAGTCATGTCCTTTGCAGCAACATGGATGGAGTTGGAGGCCATCATCCTAAGTGAACTAACTCAGAAACAGAAAATCAAAGATTGCATATTCTCAGTTATAAGTGGCACTCATAGACATAAAGACAGAAAATAAACTCTGAGGACTCCAAAAGGAGCGATGGGAGAGGGATGAGGGTCGAAAAATTACCTATTCGATATAATGTTCACTATTTGGGTGATAGGTACACTAGAAGTCTACCATTATACAATATACCCATATAATAATATGCACATTTACTCATTGAATCTAAAATTAGAAATGAGACAAAACTTCAAGTTACCTCTGGAACCAACAGCAAATAATTCTGTAGTTGATTAGTAATTCCTGCCATAGGCACAGGGAGAAGTAAAAAAGGCAGGAACATCAGGTATTTGCCATCCCACAATAGGGCAGGAACTTAGGAACTGAGCAGATCTAAGCTCAAATCCTGACTTTGTCACTCACTAACTCTATGACAATGAAAATGCTACTTTATCTCTCTGGGTCTTCATTTCTTCTATAAAAGGGGGGCTAATAATTTCTACCTTACAGGTTACAATGAGGATTATATTATATAGTTTATGAATGCCGTAAACTGAAGATCTCATATACATTAAGAGCTCAATAAATGCTTGTTATCATTATTTAATATAAAAACAGTAAGGTGTCAGAATTTTCCCTATTCAATAAGCTCTCTAATTCAATTAATTTCCCTGTGATTTTTTTTCTGTTTTAACCTCCAAAATATTTTTGACAACATAAATTTTAAAAAATTATAATTTTAGAAAATACAAAAGTATGCATGGTTTCTAATTTTCTTGAAACATACCATTTTCTTCACCAGTTTTTAATCTTTTAAGTAAGCACTCATGTCCTGTGGATATCTTGGATCAGGATTTGCTGTTGTTTATTTGTACCTAATTTTCACTCTAATAAAATGGATTGGATACTATAGCACAGTATTAAAGAAAAAAAAAGAAAGAAACTAAGGAGAGCGCTTATCTAGACTATGGATCTCCAAACCTTTCCTGTAAAGAGCCAAATTGTAACTATTTTTGGTTTTGTGTAATATATATTCTCTTTTGTTGCTGCTATTGTATAAACAAATGCAAATAAATTTATATTATGTAAACATGTTCCCACAGCTATGTACCAATAAAACTCTATTTACAAAGGTACATGATGGGTTGGATCTGACCCTGGGGCTGTAGTTTCCCTGGTGCAGACCAACTAACTCAGTAATGGATGAATGTCTGGCTCTTGTCCTTATTTGCAACTTGTCTACGCTTTGTGCCTTTCCACACCTTCAAACACCAACAACATTCTTCATTTTACGATAATAACAGTAATAATTTTTAAAAGTTCACTTTTATAAAAAACTTAATATGTGCTTGAAATCAAGAAAAACACATAGAGAAGCTCACATTTGTACCCCAAATCTATGTGCTATTTTATGGATTGAATATCATTCCCCCAAAATTTGCAGGTTAAACCCTAGCCCCCACAGTAACTGTATTTAGAGATAGAGCTATTAGGGAGGTAATTAAGGTTAAATGGAATTATAAGGGAAAGACCCTAATCTAACAGGATTGGTGTCCTTATAAAAAGAGGAAGAAACACCAGAGATCTCTCTCTGAATGTGCACAAGGAAGGGTCATTTGAGGACATAGCAAAAAGGCAACCACCTGTAAACCAGGATGAGAGCCTTCACCAGAAACGGGATTTTCTGGCACCTAGGTCTTGGACTTTTCGTCTCCAGAGTGTGAGAAAATACATTTTTGTTGTTTAAACCACCCAGCCTGTGGTACTTCGTTATAGCAGCAGAGCTAACTAGTGTAGTTGTGGCCTTCCTGATTGACTTTGACCAAGGTTACTCCAATATCTAACCCAGTTAGATTATGAATGAGTCCTCAAATGACACTCGCTGAGGACCTTACTAATGATGATGTCCCAAACTGCTCTTTTCATAGAAAGAAGCAGAATAGGACATCCTGTTCTTTCCTGGGCACCATCCTGGCACAGAGATCCCCTTTTCTTTCCAGTACTGAAATTAATCTTTTAAGTAAATAACATATGACAATAAATCATTCTTCAAGCATGAAGAGAGAACAGAGAGAAAGATTGTCACTTTTTGATAGGTGCCTGGAAAAAACATCAATTAAAATATTTTTCTTTCTTGATAGAATTTTCATTTGACCATGTAAAAGTTTTTCTTGGATTATTTTGAGGGATGATGCGCTGTCTTGCTGCAAGTCATTCTAGGTACTTTATTTTAATTTGCTATAGTGCTTTTAACTATTTCTCAAGTCTATGGACATCTTGCATTCTACATTATTATTATTATTATTTTGAGATGGAGTTTCGGTCTGGTTGCCCAGGCTGGAGTGCAGTGGCACAATCTTGGTTCACTGCAACCTCTGCCTCCTGGGTTCAAGCGATTCTCCTTTCAGCCTCCTGAGTAGCTGAGATTACAGGCGCGGGCAACCACGCCTGGCTAATTTTTTGTATTTTTAGTAGAGACAGAGTTTCACCATGTTGGCCAGGCTGGTCTCAAACTCCTGACCTTAGGAGATCCACCTGCCTCGGCCTCCCAAAGTGCTGGGATTACAGGCATGAGCCACCGCATGTGGCCTCTACCTTATTTTTTAACATGTATTTTCTACCCTCTTTCTCACTTCAGCAGACTTTTGCGATAGCCTTCTGCAATACACTTGTTTGTAATACGAATAATTCACATTCATAGGGGAAGGAGGTCATGGAAGACTTTCAGAATAAAGCTGCATCTTTACTGAGATGAGAAAAATTAGTATAGAGTTTGGAGAGACAAAAATTCTAAAATGGAAGGAAAAAGGGGAAGAGAAGGACCAAGAATGGATAAAGTGGTTGTGCTAGGAAGAGGGGGCAAGTGTAGAAGGGAAGGAGAGCAACACAAGGGCTGTATCTTTTACAATTTGTTTGTTTTCAAATGACCTCTTCAAAACACAGATCTGTTCAATTTCCCAACTCAAATTGGTTGAAAAATCCTACTCAGCAGCCAAACTTCATTAGAACAAAGCAAAACTAGGCAAACCTGAAATCTATGCATTCTCCTTGTCTTCCTCTTTCAGTTTTATCCTTCATGTAATCACAAAATTTGATAAACATTTGGTTCCAGCTATCATCCTTCCTTCCTGATTGACTACAACAGCTTTTTTTTTTATTATTATACTTTAAGTTTTACGGTACATGTGCACATTGTGCAGGTTAGTTACATATGTATATATGTGCCATGCTGGTGCACTGCACCCACTAACTCGTCATCTAGCTTTAGGTATATCTCCCAATGCTATCCCTCCCCCCTCCCCCCACCCCACAACAGTCCCCAGAGTGTGATATTCCCCTTCCTGTGTCCATGTGATCTCATTGTTCAATTCCCACCTATGAGTGAGAATATGCGGTGTTTGGTTTTTTTGTTCTTGCGATAGTTTACTGAGAATGATGATTTCCAATTTCATCCATGTCCCTACAAAGGACATGAACTCGTCATTTTTTATGGCTGCATAGTATTCCATGGTGTATATGTGCCACATTTTCTTAATCCAGTCTATCATTGTTGGACATTTGGGTTGGTTCCAAGTCTTTGCTATTGTGAATAATGCCGCAATAAACATACGTGTGCATGTGTCTTTATAGCAGCAAGATTTATAGTCCTTTGGGTATATACCCAGTAATGGGATGGCTGGGTCAAATGGTATTTCCAGTTCTAGATCCCTGAGGAATCGCCACACTGACTTCCACAATGGTTGAACTAGTTTACAGTCCCACCAACATTGTAAAAGTGTTCCTATTTCCCCACATCCTCTCCAGCACCTGTTGTTTCCTGACTTTTTAATGATTGCCATTCTAACTGGTGTGAGATGGTATCTCATTGTGGTTTTGATTTGCATTTCTCTGATGGCCAGTGATGGTGAGCATTTTTTCATGTGTTTTTTGGCTGCATAAATGTCTTCTAAACAGAGCCCTCAGAAATAATGCCGCATATCTACAACTATCTGATCTTTGACAAACCTGAGAAAAACAAACAATGGGGAAAGGATTCCCTATTTAATAAATGGTGCTGGGAAAACTGGCTAGCCATATGTAGAAAGCTGAAACTGGATCCCTTCCTTACACCTTATACAAAAATCAATTCAAGATGGATTAAAGACTTAAACATTAGACCTAAAACCATAAAAACCCTAGAAGAAAACCTAGGCATTACCATTCAGGACATAGGCATGGGCAAGGACTTCATGTCTAAAACACCAAAAGCAATGGCAACAAAAGACAAAATTGACAAATGGGATCTAATTAAACTAAAGAGCTTCTTCACAGCAAAAGAAACTACCATCAGAGTGAACAGGCAACCTACAAAATGGGAGAAAATTTTCGCAACCTACTCATCTGACAAAGGGCTAATATCCAGAATCTACAATGAACTCCAACAAATTTACAAGAAAAAAACAAACAACCCCATCAAAAAGTGGGTGAAGGACATGAACAGACACAACAGCTTTATAACAGATCTCAGTGCTGTACTCCTTTCTCCTTCATTCCCTTCTCCCCTGTGGTAATTATCTAAAGTTAGGATTTGATGGTATTGTGCTTAAAACCTTGAAGTGGCTTCTTCTGACACATGAATGCTCTGTTTACCTCTTCAGCCTCAACACTTGTGTTTCTCTCCTTCCTGTCTACACTTGAATGATTTTCTTGAAATTGTTTCCACATGTCCCCTCTTCCTAACATAACCACTCTATCCATCCCTGCTCCTTCTCTTCCCCTTTTTCTTTCCACTTTAGAAATTTTGCCTCCCCAAACTCTATACTATTTTTTTTCATCTCGGTAAAGATGCTGCTTTATTCTAAAAGCCTTCCATGACCTACTTCCCCATATGAATGTGAATTATTTATTCATTTGTTATGCTCCTATAACACCCTGTTCTTACACCTATATTACCCACTGTCACTGTTTACTAGCTACTTATTTACAAGTTGGTCTGTCTCACTGGAATGTGACTTCTTTAAAAAGAGACAGTTTATTATTGTTTTTATCCCTACTGCTGAATGCGATGCTGGGCATGAAGCAATTGCTCATTAAAAGTTGTTGAGTAAACTTAGACCTTTAAGATAAGAATTTTAAAAGGAAGTAATATTTAGGGCAGACACTCTCAGTTCTGATCAGTAACATAAAGCCTCTACAAGGATAGAGAAGGGAACTTATTTTTCAAAGAACTTAGGGATTCTGCATTCTCTTCCAGGTACAGATTAAAAATTGTTAGCACTGATGGAAACAGCTGGCATTGTTGGAAATAAGCTAGCTCCATGAAATATGAACTTATGAAATGTACCCATCTCCCTCTGAAGAAGGCTATAATCATGAGGTGGTTCTCAGAAATACTAGATAAGCTGCAGCTAAAAAGGAGGGCAAAGAGTAGCATGACCCCAGAAAAAAATATCCTGTTAAGTGTATTTTTTTTTTTGTAATTAACATTGTACTTTCAACTAATTAATTGTTTTTTATTAGCTAAATACATAATGTGTAGTTGACAAAGATCTCAATCAGGAAAAGGTATTTCTTTAAGGTTGATAAGATCCTGGATTGACAGAACTGGAAGAGACTTAGAGATAATTTATCCAATATCCTTAATACATGGAGATCCTGAAGCTGAGAGGAACAGTGATTTTCTGAGCAAACCTAAGTGAGTATAAATCAGAAATAAAAATTTAAGTGAATGGCTTGTAATCTCATGTTCTTTACACCACATCCTTTAGCCTCATGAATCCTAGTCTTGTGTTCTCTGTATAAATAATATTGTCTATCTGATTGTGTTTTCAGGCAAAAGGAATGGAATTTGTATTCAGTGATCTTAGAAAATTGTTAGTTATCTGCAGAAATGGTCACTTCTGCTTATTTGTAGAATATTTCAATTTTATATCTACAGGACATGAGGTAGAAAAAGTACACTTGTAGATTTAATCCGCATATAGCAATGGGGTTAGTGATAAAAAGTGAATTCCAATGCCTTGACTTACATGAAAGAAATCCACAGGGTCAGTTATACAATGAAAGGCTGTCAGCTATTATATTCTTACTTTGGAATCAACTTTGTTCCTGTAGTTTTAAGTAAAAAGAGTTGGCAGAAATTCTACTGCTAAGATCTCTAAAAGTGAGCTCTTAAACATATTTGCTTATGTTCTAGCCTTTGTTTGTAGAACAGGCATTGAGGAGTTGAACAGGAAATGTCACATTCTTTAGCCAGGAGCTATTCCTATACACTCAGAAGCAGCAGCTGGATGAGCTCCAGCTGTAAGGGTTTACTCAGGAACTTCTGGTAGGGATGCTCACCCTCAGATTAGCTGTCTTAGTTCATTTTGTTTTGCTATACAGAATATTTGAGGCTAGGTAAATTATAAAGGAAAGAGTTTTTTTTTTTTTTTTTTTTTTAGCTCATTGTTCTACAAGCTAAGTTCAAGAGCATAGCACCACATCTGGCTGGCTTCTGGTGAGGCGACATTCTGGGTCAAAACATGGTGGAGAAGCATTAAAGTGAGTGGCATGTTCAAAGAGATCTCATGGCAAGAGAGTAAGGAAGAGAGAGAATCTAGGAAGCTGAACTCAATTTTATAACACCTGCTTTCTGGTAACTAATCCAGTCCTTCAATAGTGAGAACCCACTCACTACCAAGGGAGGACATTAATCTATTCATGAGAAATACATATATTTTGGGGTTCTCCAAGGCTCAAACACCTTCCACTAGGCCTCACCTCCCAACATTTACACATCGGAGATCAAATTGCAACATGACCTTTGGCATGTTTAAATGCCATGTGGTTTGGCATGTGCTTTTCCTTGACAAATGAAGCAAATACCCTATCTTGAGTTAACAGACAATCATCATGGAAAAGGTCAATCTTGGATGTGGGAGGGACCCTGCCTTGTTTGTGTATTTATACCTGTATGGGATAGACCACTCTTCTCTCTCTGGACTCCTTGGCTCAGAGCAGCATATCTCCATCATTGGCATTCACCATCACTATGAAGGGCTTCACTGCTTTTGCCATCCTTGGTCTAGCAGTCACTGCTTGGGCTACCTCGCCATATGGCAAGTCAGGGTTTCTTTCCAATAGTCACGCGTTTATGTTAACTGTAATATATTCAGCCTTCATTAAATTATAAATGTTAATGTCTAAAGAAAATTTAGAAGGCATCTGTTTGAATTGGCCTGATTAACAAAAGTGAGTTGAGTCAGATCTTTAGTGTGAGGAAGAGAGACTGAGGAGAGGGATAAAAGGATTGTGGCTGTATGTTCCATTCCTGAGCAGGATCCCTCAGGTTTATGACTTGCCCTTTCAGAAACAACCTATAAAGCTTTGGGACCATAACCCATGCCATCCTACTCAGAGGATGCCCACAGGAACTCCTGGACATCTGTGACAGTCCTTTCTCAATAAACAGAGCTTTCCCCACTGGATTTTTTTTTTTTTTTAAATCAGAGCCACATGCATGTCTATCTTCATCCTGAGTTTGGACTTGCATGAAGAAATGGCCTCTTTTAGGGCTGGGCTGGGCAAGGACTATTGCTGGGAAATGGGTTTTGGTTACCATGAACAATGGGGATTTAGCTTTGCACTTCTAACTGTGCAATTTGTTCTTTCTCCAACTGCTCCTCTTCAACTGATTCTTGCTTCGCTCTCTTCTGGTGATCAAACAAAAGGGACAAAGGTGAGTGCAACCTTCTCTGTGTGGTATTTGTAAAAATGAAGTCATAGTGAATGTGTAAATAGAGCTGTGAAAGTAGCTAAACTGGCTCACAGTGGATTCACGTAACTCCTCTGGAGGTAAAAACATGTCTGCTCTGCGCCTTCCTGGTGGTATTTCCTTCTCTAAAGCTTGCACAAGGAACCTCTTCTCAAAAGAACCGCAGATAAAGTAAACTTTTATCTTTGTATAGTATTTTAAATTTTCTGAGCATTTTTCACATTCCTTATTCTTTTAGACTTTCATTAGAATCCTTAAAGGAGAGATTGATATTTCCTTGTTAAACAGAAAATTCCCTTATTATTTAGCGCATGTTCTGGTCTGTTTATTTCTGTAGCACAACACCTGGTCCATAGAAGTTCTTCAGATGTGTTTGTTGAAAAGCTGAAGAGGCTAGTTTTCTTTCCACTTCCTTCCCCTTCAACATCTTCATATAAGAATAGAATTTAATAATGGGAATACAGGGCATTATTTTTTGTTCCAACTATAGGTGAACTGTTCCAGATACATTAAAGGCTTAAAGACTGCATGCCCAAGAGACTGGAGACCAATATGTGGCACAGATCAGAAAACTTACAGTAATGAATGCATGTTTTGCATGCAAAACCAGGAAGTGTTATACTCAATTTGAAGCCCCAATTCGTCTTTTTTTATGATTATAAAGCCCACACTGGCCAAAATCTTGGTCTTTTAAAACATGGCTTGACAAATGCCACTTTTTGTGTGCTTCCTCAATACCCCATGCACAATGCTCTGTTAAAGTTGTGAAAAAGAAAAGCTTAGCTATATGTCTAAAGAAATATACATATATGTGTATATGTGGATTTACATATGTAAATATATATATGTGTATGTTTGTGTACTTGTTGGAAGTAATGGCAAAAACTGCAATTACTTTTGTACATATATATACATATATAAAATATATTGGTTATTCAACCAAATTCTCATTCACATTATACACTATCTTTTGGGTATTAGCTGTTACCTATATGCATTTGATACCCACATTGCATTTAAGGAAACAGTCTCAAGCAGGAAATATATATTGGTCACATTTTCATGAATCTCCTATACTTTTCTTCCTCCACAGGATAATTTTGAGGATAGCTATTTCTATTTAGGCTGTTAGCCATAGACACATAAAACCTTGTGAACTTATATGGAAATATATGACTTTGATCTATCCTTTAGAATTTGTGTTTCCTCTCATGATCGTCTAGAAAAGTTGAGGGAAGAGAATGATAGTACAAATGAATAGTTGGAATTAGCATATCCCCACCACTACTAGCACTACAAGTTTAATATTAAGTCTTTACTTTTAACAAGATCTGAGACTTTAGAAGAATGAAACAATGATTATTACCAGCCTTCCAGTAGTATGAATTCAATACTTTATGATTCATGGTTAAAATCATGGGCTTTGGTGTCAAACATTCGGATTAGAATCCAGACTCCACTTTGTAGATTATGCAAATACCCAAGTTACTACAAGCTTCAGTGTTCTTATCTCTAAGACAGAAATTATAATAGAATTTAGGATTCACTGTGATAAAGCATGCCAAATCTTAGCTAAGTAGCCAACACAGAGTGCTTTATAGAAGTAAGCTCCTTTTTTCTTATCTTTTTCTTCCTTCTTTTCTCCTATTTTCTAGTCCTTTTGAAAATTTAAAGTCAAGTGTCACAGCAAGTGTTATCCAGAATAAGGTCTCTCAGTATATGTTAGCTCACACACTAATGCAACCAGAAGAGATTAAAATTATATTATCTCATATCCTGTTTTTAGAGAGCAGAAATCTAATATTTAGAAAGAAGTGACTATACCAAAATTGTACAGACTTTAAGTGGCAGGGAAAGATTTGGGTGTATTTTCTTTTTCTTAATTGCAAAGTTAAGAATGTTTTCACACTATATTATGTCTTAGATTCTCACTGAATATTCACAGGATTTTAAAAAATGCTCAATCTACTTTTAGTGTTGATTTTATGTTTTTATATTCTTACTTGATTCAAAAATGTTCATATATTAAAGATGTTTACTATCAGTATTAACCAACTGGGATAGTTATTCAAGAAGAGCTTCTCATTCTCAGTCTAGGTCAGACAACAAAGAAATAACATATGACTATTTTACTCTATAGACTATGAAATCTCAAATTATCACATTATGCATTCAATAAAATCTTCTCTTCCAGAGATCAAGAATTTCAACTCAGAAAACTTCATGAAGGTAAATGTGTAAGTATATGCAGAAATTTTATTAATTCTTAATTCTTAATTCTTGATGTAAAATATGCCTCATTTTCGTAGAAAACAACCATTTAAAAATACATATTCTAAAAATTACCTATGACTATTTATATTCATAGATAAGGCATCTGGCCAACCTAAGCAGATCTGAAATATAGCAGAGGAAGAGTTCACAAACCTTATTTATAGCCCTTAATTGGAATATATTGCTATCCATATAGTTATTTTCTAACATTGCAATTAACTAGAAGGTTAAGGTGAGGATTTCAAGGAAAATTAGGAACTTAAGACGCTTTTATAACAATAAAAAAGTTATAAATAAAGTATGAAAAAATTTAAAAACAAGCGTAGACACAATTAATTCAGGGGTAAAAAGCTAGGTGGGTGGAGTGTCAATAATTCTAATAGAGTTTAAAATGTGATATAAGATAATTATAAACATGGGGTTGTGACAATAAAGACAGTTCATTTTTAGGACGGGCACCTAACCAAATTTGATGGGTGAGAAAGAGAAGTATCATCGTGAAACTGTTCTATAAGTAGTTAAAATGACATTTAAGAAGGAGTGGGAATTGTCCTGATAGATACAGTTGGTAAAAGTTAGGCAAGATAGGAAAACAGCAAGAGCAAAAGCACAAACATATCCAGGGGCAGGAAATACTTGGGAACTCAGTCCTGAGGTTTAATTAGAGTAAGATGCAGAAGACATTGCAGACAAACCTGAAGAGATAAGCATGAGTCAGGAGAGGATTATCTCCTAATGGAGAATCAGTTAAGTATTTGAAGAGCAATATCTATTTTGCTTTTTAAAAGATCAGTCTGGCATCAGTGTGGAGAGTGATTGAAACCTCAGATAAGCATAGAGAATGGGCAGAGAATTAGCAGAAAACTGGGGTCGTTTGAACAGGACATATTGAGGGCTTGAATAAAGTGGATGACAGTATGATGAGGAGAGGACTGACTCAGAAATGAAGTACCAGATAGAATCCACAAGGTGTATTCATCACTTAGATATAGGGAATTAGTGAGAGGGAGGGCCTAAACTGGACTGAGCTGTCCCTAGCTGTGACAAGACTCCCAGCCTTGTTGAGACAGAGTATGTAAAGTGCAGCAGCTATATTTTTTGCATATGGAATTTTGGAATGAATGATCTTTTAAGATATTTTAAAAGTTTGTTTTCTATGATTTAATTATTTGAAAGATAAAACATGTTTGTTTGTTTGTTTCTGATGGAGCAGATTCAGTGTACCAGGTATTCTGAGGCATGTACCATGGACTACACACTTCACTGTGGATCTGATGGAAATGTATATTCCAACAGATGTACCTTTTGCAATACCGTTGTGTAAGTGCTGAATTTAATGTATTATTTGCAGAACTAGCCTCTCTCAGAAATAGCCGGAAACAATCTTAGTACCTAACAGGCTAGATGTTACTATGAAGCATAAGACTATGATTATTATCATAATATTTTACCAAAAAAAAGAAAAGAAAAGAAGAAAAGAGAGAGGAAAAGAGGAAGAAAATACATAAGGAAAAAATTGATGCTAAGAAAATAAAAAATTTGATCAATATCGCTAAGTGGCTGCTAAGAGAAAAATTTACAGACTCTTTGGTTTCTGACTCTGGCTCTTATTACCATGAAACGTCTCTTTTCTACCATGTTAAAGCTTATTGATTAATTACTCAGTTTTTTAATGCCATGTACTCATCTAGCTGGCTTAATCTAAAAATATGAAACTTCTCATTTAATATTTCCAAAGCCATCCTTTTAAAAAATAATAATAATAACTTTTCTTGTAGGAAGAGCCAAGGTGCAATTTGGTTGAAAAATTATGGATTGTGCTGAATCTCCCTGATGCTTAAGGATATCAAGTCTCCTTTGGCAGATTCCACTTAGATAACCAGTTTGTCTTGGACGGCTGAGGAGGCAAGCAATAATCTGGTACAAACATGGATTTGAGTCTTCAACAAAGTATTCTCAGCAAGGAACTGACTATCAGTCCTATCTGTGGATGTGATTCTTCTCTTAAGGAGAATATCTATGGTCATTTTCCTAAGCTAAAAATCATATAGAAAGATTTTCTCTATTTCTATACAAATTGGGAACTAGATATTATACACACAATGGTGAGAAGAGAATATGCTTATATCATGTTTAAAAGACTCAATTGTTTTAAGTAAACATGAGTCAGAGGATGGATCTGTCCATTGGTCTCATATTATCTTTGGCACACTAATGAAGTGAAAAATTTAGATTTGGAGAAAGTGAGAATCCAAAATACTATACACTAATCAGAACAGACCAGTCATAACGTATATTTTAGGTGTCATCATTTAAAGAGGACTCAGTCACGTATGGGCACATGCAAAAAAGGCATTATGTTGAAGGGAGAGAGACATTAAAAACAAGATCTGATTGATTAAATGTTGAAGTCACTAAAAGGCCTCAGGAAAATATGATGGAGGTGGGAATGATGAGGGTATATTCAAAACCATCCTGAGAGAGAAACTCCAGAATTTTCTCATCTAGCATGCCATAGAAAGCACCCAGAGAATTAATTCAACTTGCTGAGATAGATATTTCATCTTGAAGGAGAAAAGAATTTTCTAGTAGTAAGTTTAGAACACAGTAATGCCCTATAAATTTAACTGTGGAGAGCACATGGTTTTTAAACACAGGTTGGTTAAATACATGCCAAATATGCAGTAGAGATGTGTGTATGTGTGTGTGTGTGTGTTTTCCTAGCAACATGTATAGAAAAGTAATGAAGGGTAAGGCAATGTTTCGTGTGGGGAAAAGCAATACTAATGGGCAAAAGAAGAATCCGTTTCATAAAGAAATTTTCAGACTAGTGAGAGAGACATACTTTTAAGGAGTTAATTACTATACAATGTCACAAGGACCATACTATTAGAAGTTTAATCAAGACAAAAAGAAAGATATGAGGTGTTAATGACATACTATATCAATCTGTCTACTTGTTTCTCAGTTATTACAAAATACCACAGACTGCATGGCTTAAACAATGTAAATTTATCTTCTCAAAGTTCTGAAGGTTGAAAAGTCCAAGATCAAGGTGCTGGTTAATTCAGTTCCTTGTGAAACCTGTCTTCCTGGCTTGCAGATGGCTTCCTTCTCACTGTGTCCTCACATGATGTGGGTGATGGTGGGAAAAAGGCAAGAAAGGGAGAGTTTTCTTTTTTTTCTTATATAAGGCCATCAATCCTATTAGATTGAGACCCCACCATTATGACCTCATTTAACCTTAATAAACTCCTAAAAACCTTATCTCCAAATACAGTCACATTAGGGGTTAGAATTTCAATATGTGAATTTTGGGGAACATATTTCAGTTTATTGCAGCTAGGTTACTAGAGTTTTATTTTTATATTTTTTTATATGCATAAAGGATGGTACTTGGACAGGAGAAATGAAAGTATTCTATTATGAATTTCTTATACTATAAGTAAAGTGATATCATACCATTTAGACTTACCCAGTGAGAATACATATATTTTGGGGTCTTGGTGAGAAACTAAGGTTGTATATTTTTAAACCCTATAACAACATTAAATAGCCAATAAGGGAAATAAAATGGAATAATAATTTTTAAAAAAAACTAAAAAAGAAACTTCAGCCCAAAGAAGGAAAAGAGAATAAAAAGGAAGCAAAACGAAGAAAAATAGGTTGGACTAATGGAAAACAAGTGGCAGGATGTTAGAATTAATACAACTGTATTAGTCTGTATTAGTCAGGGTTCTCTAGAGAAACAGACTGATAAAGTGTGTGTGTGTGTGTGTGTGTGTGTGTGTGTGTGTGTGGAGAGAGAGAGAGCAAGACAGTAGGAGATTTAAGTCCCTGGCTCACACAATTATAGGGCTGGAGAGTCCAAAATCTGCAAGACAGAGGAGCAGGCTGGAAACCCAGAGGTGTATTGACATTGCTGCTCAAATCTGAAGGTGTCCTGGAAGCAGAATTTCCTCTTCTTTGAGGGCTGTAATTAGTCCATTTACTGTTGCTTATAACAGAATACCTGAAACTAGGTAATTTATAAAGAAAAAAATTATTGGGAACCATGCACAGGGCTACCGTAGAGCACACTGAGATTCATTCCTGGCCCCCAACCACTCTGGGGGAATGGTTGAGTTAAACTGGCAAGGAGCAACCTGTTCTCATGATGGACTTCTGGAATCCTGGCAGGACAAGACCCCTCAACCACTATGGACACTTGAGTTGGCAGGAAGAGCTGCTTAGTGAAGTATTAGGAGAAGCACTCCATTTGGTGTAGAGCCCAGAGGGTTTGGTGTGGGAGCATCTGTAGTGGAGCTTGTCCAGGGATGCCCATCCCCCTAGGCTCAACTTTCTTCTGTAGGAGACTTTAGCCCTGGGGGAACTGCCAGACCTAAACTCTGCAGGGAGGTCTTGCTCATCAGACAGGGCCAGTCTGACCTGAGCACCTATTAGTCTGCTGGCCTCTCTTGGGGTCCCAGCCTTGCTGTATCTGTTTGCAGTGCAGGCTTTGGTGCCCTGGCGACCCTCATCATAGCTCTTGCACTGGCAGACTGCACCTGACCAGCAGAGCAGTCTCTGTAGACATGCACCAGCCTGCCTGATCCCTTCTGCCACTGCAGTTTCCCCAGGGTCCACAGCCATACCCCACATTGCCTTATTCGTATCCCCTAGCACCATTCTGCAGCTGATGAGCATGCACCCTGCCCTGTTGTTGCTGCCACTACTGCTGGCACGTGAGAACAATGACAGATCCTGCCACCTTTACCTTACAAATTGCTTTGGCTATCACCACCCATCAGGGTTTGGTGACCAGTGGTCTGGAAGCACCATGACCCCCATCCCCATCATAATGGATTTCTAACTTCAAGGAGCCAGAGAACAAAGTTGGGGCCTGATAGCAGTCCCCCAGAGTTAAAGCAGAAAATCCAGCAGTTGGTAGCTGAGCCTTTGCCCCCTAAAATCTTCCAATAATGAAGCCATGAGACAGAATCCAATTTTTACATACAATCAAACCCTCAAGGTCATAAAATAGAATACAAGAAAAAAAAAATTCCAAGGGACAGCAGCTTCAAAGATTAAAGAAACATCAGCCCACAAGATAAGAACAGCAGCTGGGCGCGGTGGCTCACGCTTGTAATCCCAGCACTTTGGGAGGCCGAGGCGGGTGGATCACGAGGTCAGGAGATCAAGACCATGGTGAAACCCCGTCTCTACTAAAAATACAAAAAATTAGCCGGGCGTGGTGGTGGGCACCTGTAGTTCCAGCTACTTGGAGAGGCTGAGGCAGGAGAATGGCGTGAACCTGGGAGGCGGAGCTTGCAGTGAGCCGCGATTGCACCACTGCACTCCAGCCTGGGTGACAGAGTGAGACTGTCTCAATTAAAAAAAAAAAAAAAAAAAAAAAAAAGAAAGAATCAGCACAAGAACTCTGACAACTCAGAAAGCCAGGCTGCTTTCTTTCCTACAAATGACTGAACCAGTTCTATAGCAAAAGTTCTTACCCAGGCGGAGATGGTTGAAATGACAGAAATAAAATTCAGAATATGGATAAGAAGGGAGATCACTGAGATACAGGAGTACGTTGAAACTCAATCCAAGAAAGCTAAGAATCACAATAAAACAGTGCAGCAGCTGACAGACAAAATATCCAGTATAGAAAAGAACATAACCAACCTCATAGAGTTGAAAAAATATACTACAAGAATTTCACAATGCAATCATGAGTATTAATAGCAGAATAGACCAAGCTGAGGAAAAAAATCTCAGAGCTTCGAGACTGGCTTTCTGAAATAAGACAGTCAGACAAGAATAGAGAAACGAGAATAAAAAGGAATAAAAAAAGCCTCTGAGAAATATGGGATTATGAAGAGACCAAATCTACAACACATTGGTGTCCCTGAAATAAATGGAGAGAACGGAAACAACTTGGAAAACATATTTCAGGATATCATCCATGAGAACTTCCCCAACCTGGCTAGAGAGGCCAATATTTAAATTCAAGAAATGCAGAGAACATCAGTAAGATACTTTTCAAGAATATCATCCTCAAGACAGATAATCAACAAATTTTCCAAGTTCAAAATAGAAGAAAAAATATTAAAGGAAGCTAGAGAGAAAGGGCAGATCACTTACAAAGGAAAGCCTATCAGACTAACAGCAGACCTTTTAGCAGAAACCCTGTAAGACAGAAGAGATTGTGGGCCAATATTCAGCATTCTTAAAGAAAGGAAATTCCAACCAAGAGTTTTGTATTTGGCCAAACTAAGCTTCATAAGCAAAGAAGAAATGAGATCCTTTTCACACAAGCAAATGATGAGGGAATTTGTTATCACCAGACCTGCCTTATAAGAGCTTCTGAAGGAAGCACTAAATATGGAAAGGAAAGACCATTACCAGTTACAACAAAAACACACTTAAGTACACAGACCAATGACACTATAAAACAACCACAGAAACAGGTCTGCATAATAACCAGCTAACATCATGACAACAGGATAAAATCCAC
Source organism: Homo sapiens (assembly GCF_000001405.40). Taxonomy (NCBI): domain Eukaryota; kingdom Metazoa; phylum Chordata; class Mammalia; order Primates; family Hominidae; genus Homo; species Homo sapiens. The sequence continues at coordinate 148,156,403 of NC_000005.10, forward strand.
ACATGTCAATACTAACATTGAATTTAAATGAGCTAAATGCCCCAATTAAAAACACAGCAAGCCGGATAAAGAACCAAGACACAATGATATGCTTTCATCAAGAGACCCATTTCACTTGCAACGACACCTGTTGGCTCAAAATAAATCTACCAAGCAAATAGAAAACAGAAAAAAGCAGAGGTTGCCATCCTAATTTCAGACAAAATAGACTTTAAACCAACAATGATCAAAAAAGACAAAGAAGGGCATCACATAATGGTAAACAGTTCAATTAAACAAGAAGACCAAACTATCCTAAATATATATGCACCCAACACAGGAGCACCATGATTCATAAAGCATATTCTTAGAGACCTTAAAAGAGTCTCAGACCTCCACATAATAATGAAAGTCTTCAACACCCCACTGAGAGTATTAGATCATCGAGGCTGAAAATTAGCAAAGATATTCAGAAACTGAACTTAACCCTAGACCAAATGGAACTGATAGACCTATATAAAGCTCTCAACACAAAACAACAGAATATACATTCTTCTCATCATTACCTGGCATATACTCTAAAACTGACCACAAAGTCAGACATAAAACAATCCTTAGCAAATGCAAAATAACTGATATCATAACAACCACTCTCTTGGACCACAGCGCAATAAAATTAGAAATCAAGACTAAGAAAATTACACAAAACCACACAATTACATGGAAATTAAGCAACCTACTCCAGAATGATTATTGGGTAAATAAAGAAATTAAGGTAGAGATCAAGACATTCTTTGAAACTAATGAGAACAAAGATACAACATATGAGAACCTCTGTGACACAGCTAAGTCAGTGTTGAGGGAAATTCATAGCAGTAAATGTTCACATCAAAAAGTTAGAAAGGTCTCAGTTTAACAACCTAACATTAAAATTAAAAAAAACTACAGAACCAAGAAGAAAACAACCCCAAACCTAGCAGAAGACAAGAAATAACCAAAATCAGAGTTGAACTGAAAGAGATTGAGACACAAAAAAATCATTTAAAAGATAAATGAATCTAAGATTTGGCTTTTTAACAAAAATTAGTAAAATACATAGACCACTAGCTAGAATAATAAAGAAGAAAAGAGAAAACATCCAAATAAACACAATTAGAAACAATGAAGGGGTATTACCACTGACCCCACAAAAATTTAGATAACCAGTGCAAAAATCCTCAACAAAATATGGGCAAATAGAATTCAGCAGCACATCAAAAAATGTATCCAAAATGATCAAGTAGGCCTTATCCTTGGGAGGCAAGACTGGCTTAACATATGCAAATCAATAAATGTGATTTATCACATAAATGACACTAAAGAAAAATACATGATTATCTAAATAGATGCAGAAAAGTCTTTTAATAGAATTCCACACACATTCATATTAAAAACTCTCAATAGACTTAGTATTAAATAAACATACTTCAAAATAATGAGCCATCTATGACAAACCCATAGCCAACATCATACTGGATGTGAAAAAGCTGGAAATGACATGATCTCATTCCCTTCATTTGCTGCATAGTATTCTATGATGTCTACATACCACACTTTCTTTATCCAGCCTATTATCAATAGGCATTTGGGTTGATTCCATGTCTTTGCTATTGTAAATAGTGCTGCAATGAAAATACACATACATGTATCTTTATAATAGAATGATTTATATTCTTTGGGTATGTACTCAGTAATGGACTGCTGGGTCAAATGGCACTTCTGGTTCTAGGTCTTTAAGAAATTGCCACACTGTCTTCCACAATGGTTGAATTAATTTACATTCCCACCAACAGTGTAAAAGCATTCCTTTTTCTCCACAGCCTTGCCAGCATCTGTTGTTTCTTGACTTTTTAATTATCAACATTCTGACTGGCATGAGATGGTATCTCATTGTGGTTTTGATTTGCATTTCTCTAATAATCAGTGACGTTGAGCTTTTGTTCATGTTTTTGGCTGCATAAATGTCTTCTCTTGAAAAATGTTTGTTCATGTCCTTTGCCCACTTTTTTTTTTTTGAGATGTAGTCTCGCACTGTTGCCCAGGCTAGAGTGCAGTGGTGCAATATTGGCTCACTGCAACCTCTGCCTCTGGGTTTAAGCAATTCTCCTGCCTCAGCCTCCCAAGTAGCTGGGATTACAGGCACCCACCATCACACTCAGCTAATTTTTTGTATTTTTAGTAGAGACAAGGTTTCACTATGTTGGCCAGGCTGGTCTCAAACTACTGACCTCGTGATCCCCCCCCCGTCAGCCTCCCAAAGTGCTGGGATTACAGGCGTGAACCACCACACCCAGCCCCTTTGGCCGCTTTTTAATGGAGTTGTTTGTTTTTTTCTTGTAAATTTGAACATACTCTTTCAAACATTAAGACCTTTCACTGCTCAGAGTATCAGTGATATTCCTTCCTCTGTCTTTGGGATTGTGTATCAAGAAAACAATCCCCTTGTCAGCTTCTCCTAGCCCTGGCCCCAAATAAGCACATTCAGCCTACATAGTGTCTCCTCTCTGACATAGTACCCTCTGACCTCGAATTGTTATTCTCTTAATTTATGGTTTTCTCTCTTCTAGGATGTGAATTCTTTTCTGTTTTCTCCTTCTTTTTATCAGTATCTTCTGCTTATGGTGATAGCTTATTTTGCCTACGCCAGCCTTCCTGCCTGTCAATATGAGTGATTTCATTTATTCCTAGCCCTGCGAGTATTTTGCCTTGTCCAGCCTCCAACTTAAATGCCCTATGAAAAAATGTCAACAGAGATCTGTAGTTGACTAACCTGAGGAAGACATTTCAAGGTATTATTATTTAAAATTAAAAATGTTCAAATAAAATTTGTTTTACCTTCTATATCTTGTTGATAATTTTGTTAAGCTCAATGAGCTCAACGCTAGTCACAATATTACAAACTTTTGATATATTTCTAGCAATAAATTTACAATTTAAATTAGACACCCAAGGGAAATTTGATTTGACTTCTTCAATTGGCTGAATGAGTATTTACTAGGGATAGCTAATAACTGCTTTTAAGATTTTTAAAAATTTCAAGTTCTAAAATATTTTTGAAAAGTATTGCATTTTTCTCTAAATCATTAAGATCTCAGTTGGTCAAGAATGCACTCATGGCCGGGCGCGGTGGCTCACGCCTGTAATCCCAGCACTTTGGGAGGCCGAGGCGGGCGGATCACGAGGTCAGGAGATCGAGACCATCCTGGCTAACACGGTGAAACCCCGTCTCTACTAAAAATACAAAAAATTAGCCGGGCGTGGTGGCGGGCGCCTGTAGTCCCAGCTACTCGGGAGGCTGAGGCAGGTGAATGGCGTGAACCCGGGAGGCAGAGCTTGCAGTGAGCCGAGATCGCGCCACTGCACTCCAGCCTGGGCGACAGAGCGAGACTCCGTCTCAAAAAAAAAAAAAAAAAAAAAAAAAAGAATGCACTCATTAACTTTCTCCAAATCCATTACCGATCAATAAATGAAAGTGAGTGATATTCACAGTTGTGAAATTTTTTTCAATAGTTTATTATTAAATATCAGAAAATACAAAAAAGTTGAAAGAATTTTATGGCAAAACTCATATACCCACCTCCAAAATTTTGCCATTAATATTTTGCTGTACGTGTTTTACCATATAAATAATTTAATTTTGAAATTTAAAAACAAATCTATCATTTCCCTATCAAACTTATGGTCAATATAATTTAAAAGTGCTTCAGAAAAGTCAAAGGAGTTATTTAAAAACATGTTCAACTGTTGGTCTTTGTGAATCTAAGTGTTCTAAACATGCAACTGTATTAATTTGCCAGGGCTGTCATAATAAAGTACTACAGACTACATGGCATAAGCAACAGAAATTTGCTCACAGCTCTGGAAGCTAGAAGTCTGAGATGAAGGTGTCAGCAGGGTTGACTTATCTCTGGCTTATAGATGGCGATATTCTTTGTGAGCCTTCTCATGATTTTTCTTCTTTGCTTGTCTTTATCCCAATTTTTTCTTCTCATAAGAACACCAGTCATACTGAATCAGAGCCCACCCCAATGACCTAATTTAACCTTAATTACTTCTTTAAATACCCTATCTCCAAATACTGCCACATTCTGATATACTGGATATCAGGATCATAACACATGAATTTAAGGGTTATATAATTCTGTTCAAAACAAAATTGAGATGTAAAGTGAAACCTGAAGCTGATATTAGACAAAAATGTCAATCATAACTTGTAATTATATTTTTCCTATTTAATCAAATAAGCCTTGATATTCATGCTGTTTGATTTTATTGCAAGCGTATGGTATAAGTGAAATAATTCCTAATTGCAGAATACTCTTTTGTGAGCTTCATTAAGAAAGTAGGGATCTTGGCTGGGTGCAGTGGCCCACGCCTGTAATCCCAGCACTTTAGGAGGCCAAGTCTGGCGGATCACCTGAGGTCAGGAGTTTCAGACCAGCCTGACCAATGTGGAGGAACCCCGTCTCTACTAAAAATACAAAATTAGCCGGATGTAGTGGTGCATGCCTGTAATCGTAGCTACTCAGGAGGCTGAGGCAGGAGAATTGCTTGAACCCGGGAGGCAGAGGTTGCAGTGAGCCAAGATCGCACCATTGCACTCCAGCCTTGGTAACAAGAGCGAAACTCCGTCTCAAAAAAAAAAAAAGGAAAGTAGGGATCTTAAAGTTAATAACAAATACTTTCTAAGTCAAAAATAATAAAACAAGCAAAATAAAGATGGGAATTATATGTTGATAAAATAATAAGAAAGATGTTGTACCAGTAAACGAAGACAATGGTTTCTACGTTTTTAGAAAAATCTTTAAAAAAAAAATACTGGGAGCAATTTGTTAAGAGAAAATCAGAGCTTATGTAAATATACTAACTTTTTCCATTTAAAGGTAAATAATTATATACTTATGAATTATAAATGTTTTAAATGTGTTAAGTAAGCTCAATCTATAAATTATAGATTATATATAAATATATAAAACCTCTTAACATTTAGGGACAATCAGGCACTCATGCAGACATATTGAAATGTATGGAGATAAATTTTCTTACCAAAAATAAAAACCCCAAAATCAGATATGACAGAAGATTTTAATATATGTAATTAAATAATTTATTGGGAAGAAGTATATAGCTAGATGGAAAGAAAATAAAAAAAAGTAGGGGAGGTAGGTGTTGCCATTCTCATTCTAGCACTGCGGAAGGTCAACAGCATTCTCTCTCAGGGTGCTGCAACCTTTTATACACTTCAATGATTCATACACCTCTTGTGGATGTATATGCATCAGCTATTACTTTGCAAGGTTGGAATTCTAAACCAGTCGATAGTCTTATTAAGATATGTTAAGAGTAGCCAGGTGCGGTGGCTCACACCTTTAATTCTAGCACTTTGGGGGGCCGAGGCAGGTGAGTCACCTGAGGTCAGGAGTATGAGAGTCTGGCCAACATGGCGAAACCCCGTCTCTACTAACAATAAAAAAAAAAAAATAGTTGGGTGTGGTGGCATACACCTGTAGTCCCAGCTACTTAGGAGACTGAGGCAGAAGAATCACTTGAACCCAAGAGGCAGAGGTTGCATTGAGCCAAGATTGTGCCACTGCACTACAGCCTGAGTTACAGAGTGAGACTCCATCTCAAAAAAAAAAAAAAAAAAAAGATATGTTAGGAGACTGGTGCCCAAGGAAGTAATGAAAAGAAAGGCTGAAATTCAGTTTGAGTTATTAGTATTTGCCACCACTGTTGTCAGATCTTGTACCAGGTTCTATGGATACAGTGATGTCCAGGACAATTTCTGCCTTTGTGGATAGCCTTCTTAGGGGTGAGTAACATAGAGACACAGAAACAGACAGGGAGACTGCCAGGAGATAAGGACATTCAGAAATAGATTTAAGAGAGTAGTGCTGTCAATAGCAGGAGATGGAAATAAAACAAGAAAATAAGGGAATAGAATATCGCCCTTATTCTTCAGTTTAGAACCTGGGGAAATGAAAGATTTTTATCTCAGAATTTAAGTCCTCATTAAAATGGTCTTTCAAAAACATTAAAAATGAAACTGATAGAATATTCACTGTAGCGATATTTAGCTCCTTTCTTATTCTGGCAGGCCTGAAAGGGCTCCTTCTGAAAGTTGAAAGAATATAAACTTATTTTCTCCTTAGAAGAGGTGGACAGTTTGCAGATGGTGAATTATTGTCTTCTTCCTTGAAGGTTAAATCTAGGGTAAAAATAAATGTGTTTTCTCCTAGGAAGAGGTGTATAGATTACAGATAGCACATTTTTGTTTCCTTGCTTGTGTTTGAGGCTTTTGAACTTTCTTGATTGTGGTATCAGCCTGTTCTTGCACTGCCACAAAAAACTACCTGAAACTGAGCAATACATAAAGAAAAGAAGTTAATTGGCTCACAGTTTCGCAGGCTGTACAGGAAGCATGGCTCAGGAGGCTTCAGGAAACTTAGAATCATGGCAAAAGTTGGGAAAAGAAAGCAGGGGAAGCAAGCACATCTTACATGGCTGGAAAAGGAGGAAGAGATTGTGGAAGGTGCCACACACTTTTAAACAACCAGATCTCATGAGAACTCACTCACTATCATAAGAACAGCAGGGAGGAAATCTGCCCCTATGACCCAATCACCTCTCACCAGGTCTCTCGTCCAACATTGAGGATTATAATTCAACACAAGACTTGGGCAAATCCAAATCATATCATTTCACCCCTGGCCCCTCCCAAATTTTATGTCCTTCTCACATTGCAAAATACAATCATCCCTTCTCAACAGTCCCCCAATTCTTAACTCATTTCAGCATTAACTCAAAAGTCCACAGTCTAAAGTCTTATCTGAGACAAGGCAAGTTCCTTTCACCTGTGAAACTGTGAAATAAATAACAAGTTAGTTACTTTCAAGATACAATGGGGATACAGGAATTGGGTAAACATACCCATTCCAAAAGGGAGAAATCAACCAAAATAAAGGGGCTACAGGCCCCATGCAAGTCTTAAACCCATCAGTGCAGTCATTAAGTCTTAAAGCTCCAAAATAATCTTGTTTGACTCCATGTCTCATATCCAGGCCACACCAATGCAAGGGATGGGCTCATAAGGCCTTGGGGATCTCTACCCCTGTGGCTTTGCAGGGTACAGCACCCTTGGCTGCTTTCACAGGCCGGTGTTGAGTGCCTGCAGCTTTTGCAGGATCACAGTGCAAGCTGTTGGTGGATCTACAATTCTGGGGTCTGGAGGATGGTATCCCTTTTCTCACAGCTCCACTAGGCAGTGATCCAGTGGAGACCCTGTGTAGGTGATCCAATCCCACATTTCCCCTCTTTACTGCCCTAGTAGGGGTTCTTCATATGGGCTCTCTGCAGCAGACTTCTGCCTGGTCAAAGCCATTCAACAAGTCTCTAGGGAGTTTCAAACTCTCCCTCAACTTCCTGTCTTCTTTTGAGCCCTCCAAAATTGTTCCAACCTCTTCCCATTACCCAGTCCCAAAGCTGCTTCCACAGCTTTAGATGGCCAAAGCTCTGCCCCTTAGACATCCTATAAGATACTGTGGGCAGAATTTGTTGTCCCAAAGTGAAGTGGAGAGAAGCAAGTAACTCTTTGGAAGGGATCATAAATGGGAAGAAAGACAAATCAGTTAAGACCCAGATGAGTTTTCCATCAAGGCCTACTTTGAGGATTTCTTATTTTCCTTCTCATTTCTGAGGAAACTTATCTCTAGGTTACAGCTTTTTAACTTTCCCCCTTCTTGATAATTCTCTTTAAATAATTTTATCATATTATTATTATTTTATGAGATATAATTAGATGCTATTATATTATGTTTATACTTTTAAGTTTAGTATATATGTATGCATTTCCCTGTCCTTACCTTTTTTATAAAGAAAATATGTACCCTTGTACATCCAGGGGCAGGAGTTTTAGGGAGAATGAAGGGTTAGGGTGGCTTTCTCTGCTCCACCTCTTGGTTAATCCCAATGGACAGGGAGTAGCAGCCCATGGTGGTGGTTGGGACCGGGGAGCTGGCCAGCTGGAACCAGCAGGGCAGTGACTGGGTAGTTGACAGAGGATCTCGGAATGACACAAAGGGGTACATAAACAGATAATTTAGGACAGGAAGTAAGGTTAAGAAATAGCATTTTTATTTTATGCTATAAGAATTGCATATCTGCAAGGTAGAGGAGCTGACACTTGGATTATACAAGGCTAAATATTGGCCCTCTGATACGGTTTGGCTCTCTGTCCCCACTCAAATCTCATCTTGTAGCACCCATAATTCCCACGTGTTGTGGGAGGGACCCAGTGGGAGATGATTGAATCATGGGGGCGAGTCTTTCCCATGTTGTTCCCGTGATAGTGAATGGGTCTCATGAGATCTGATGGTTTTCTCTGCACAATGAGAGTTCTCTGCACAAGCTCTCTCTTTCTGCCTGCCACCATCCACATAAGATATGACTTGTTCCTCCTTGCCTTCCACCATGATTGTGAGGCTTCTCCAGCTACGTGGAACTGTGAGTTCTCCATTAAACCTCTTTTCTTTGTAAATTGCCCAGTCTCGAGTATATCTTTATCAGTAGCGTGAAAATGAACCAACACACCCTCTAAAGGAGTTAGAGGGAAAGTAAAAATAAAACAAAACAAAAAATGTTTTGGTTTTTTGTTTTGTTATTCATGTTATGCAAAGAGAAAAGATAAGAAGATCTGTTATTTGGAATGTAAGGTGGTTCTTCTGAAGCAAACATTGTACATGACAAAGTTAAACAGGCAAGAATGATTTTATTTAAGGTTATTGCAGTCAGGAAGAGAGGCCAGAACTCAGCCTGAACCCAAGTCACTGAAACAAAGGAAATGGGAGGGTTTTTAAGGGCTGGGGTGAGCTAATGCCAAGTACTGGAGGATATTAGGGAGAAACCATAGGCCATCTGTGTTTGCTAATTGGCTTAATCCAAACTAAAAAAAAGCTCATATCTTTATGATAGGAGGTGTTTTTGCAAATTGGAGCAAGGTGCTTACCACCCTCAAAGGTAGCTCTGTACTATTCCACAGAAACTAGTAGATACGGGCACTATTTGCCTTAATGATTACATTTCAAAGGGATGTCCCTCAGGCCACTGAGAAAGACAGTCCTGGGTTGGGTTGTTAAACTGGCAAGAGGCTTCTAAAAGGATTTACAAGTCAAATGGATATATAAAGAAATTAGAGTTACACATTATAAAGTAAATGCTTCACAAAAAAAGGAGGTCAGTGGCTTAGAGTTAAGAAGCTTATCTACAGTTCAGTTGAGCCAAGGGGAAGGTTAAAGCCATAAAACCATCTTGGTCAGTCCAAATAACTGGTTATCCAAACCCATAGTCAAGACCAGTGCAAAAGAATGTACAAGTCTGGTTAATGCTGTCCTAGGGCTTCCCTAAAATCCTTGAGAAGGGGAAGGCTTAATCCTACAGCCTGGATGGTACCAATTATTTGCGTGGTATCTGGTGGTTTTTCTCTGAGGGATAAAGCATTGTTGCCACTTATCAGTACTGTGGTGGAAATATAATTGGTCATCAGAATGAGGTGGACTATGAAATTTCTAACCATTGGGCAGTGGAGCTGAGACTTTCTGCAGGAGGACAGTGGTAGAGCCTTAGATCAATCCTGTGACACTAGAAGATTTTGCACCCATGAAAGGTGATAAGAATCTGCTTTGGACAACAGGAGGAGGCACTGGGTTTTGAAGATGTGGGTTTGAGGTGAAATTGGAACACATAAATTGAATTACTTCACAGCTAGGGAGGCTGGAATTCGGTGAGAAAGCCCTAAGCTGTAGCTTTTGGAATTAGACTGGGTGTAATAGATGATGACAAAATCATAGACTAAGGATTCTCTGAGGGAGATATGATCCTTTAATCTTACTTATTGTCTTCTCCCAATATTAGTTCAACTGAAATTTGGGGGAGTTTGGAAGAAGTAAAGATGTTCTAGCCTTAATTATTTCCTGTAGCACTTGGTTTTCCTCTGTGTGCTTCAGGATTAAGCGATGTTTATAGACCTCCCTCTGTTATCTTGTTTTTGCATCTATTAAATAGAGCCATGTGGCCATAACATGCAATTCTCTTTATCTTAGAATATTTTGCTTCAGTTTTACATAGTTAAAATATCGGATTTGTGGCATTTTATTGTTTGATTCCTCAATGCTAATATAAATGAGAAACACAGGGGTCATGATTAATACCTAAATGTCACAAGATTCAGAAAACACAAATATTGGAAATTTCCTCCTCAAGTCTGCTTTCCTTGAGTAATTATTTGTTTAATGACTTTTCCTGTAGTGTGTCTAAGCTCCATTAGGGTAAGGATGATGCCAATAGTTTTCACAGCTGTACTTTCAGGGCCCCTCACAATTCCTGACAAATCAGAATCCCAGACTGTAGAAGACCTATGGAAACTCACCTTATGAGTGATGCTCTGCTAATAAAATTTGCAGCAAAACAAAGTTAAAAAAAATGTAAATTATTTATTCTCAGATGGGAAGTAATTTCACACTTATTATTTTTGAATGCCATAAAATGAGTCCGTGGCTCTGAATTTACAACACTCACATCCATATAGTGGCTGAGAAGAAGCCAAATTAAAATAGCATTTATTGGTGGCTTATCTGGCTCAGTTTTCAAAGCTGTTTAAGTGTTTGTTCAATTAAACCTCCAAAGAGCACTTGATGGAATGTGTGATTACCCAATAGCGCAAAATGGAAAATTCTGTGGTCCAGATAGAATAAATTACTTTCCAAGTTGACAAAACATTATAAATTGATGTTCTGATTCTGCGTTCAGAATCCTTTCTAAACAACAGGATGCATCTACCTTTCCAAACTGGGGAACAAATGATCTACTCAGGAAGATAGCAGGTTGTTTTCAAAATATTTCTTGTAAGTATGGAGCCCAGAATTACAAGTATGGAGCCCAGAAATGTGATGAAAACCACCACCTCTCTCATATTCTAGGTGACCTAAGTTCTTTCTGGAAGTTTTCAATGGGTTTATTTACAGGCATTTATTAAAATAAAATATTAAAAGACAAGTTAACTGAGGTAAATAAAAATCTGCCTATGCTAGCACTATTAATAACAATAAAAAATTGGCATCACCCTAATTGAGCAACAATTAAAGAATATTAGTATAATTAAAATCCACATATGTGATGGAATATGACACCAGGCATCTAAATTCATGTTCAATATATTTAGAGATCAAGAAAATGTAATAGTGCATTTCTAAGTGAAAAAACAATATATATTATAAAAGTTGAATATTGTAATAAAACATATGTACCTGTGTGATTATGTATATATATTTAAACTGGAAGAATATAATTTTATATATATTTAATAGGTACCTCTGAGTTGTAAGATTTCACACCTTTTTATTTCATTTGTATATTTTTTGTTTTATATATTTTATTTCATTTTGTATGTTTCTTTTTTTTCATATTTCTATTTGGCCATTTCTATTTGTATGTTTCTACTTGCTCCGCCTCCCTCTCTTTTTTGTATATTTCTATTTTATAAATTTTCTAAGTGAGCATATATTTTCTTTGTATAAGAAAAATAGCTTTTTACAGAAGGAATGGTAGAGGCCAGAAGTTCAGATAATAGGAGGACCTTAAGCTATAATAATATATCTTCCCTGTTAAAATGGCAAAGGCTCTGGGTTACTACAGGCACAAGGCTGGATCTACTGCAAATGGTATCCAAGGATCTCATCTGTCACTGCAACCTCCTGTACCAGCCTTTTCTTTATTAGATGTTTCCACACATGTTTTCATTCTGGTCCTAATACTGGTCCTGGTCTTGATACTAATTATTGTTGTGGAACATGTTATATTCTTTCTGCTTGCTCTTTCCTACTGTGGGATGTTTTCTCATGCTATTGCCTCTCTTGAATTGCCTGCTAATGGCTGCCCTTTCCAGTGATCTCTTCTTACCCTCCTCAGGTCTTCCCCTGCTGAGGTTTGATGCAATCTGAATGATGGATCTCCAGGGCCTGCTCAGTCCAGCACACAATGCCTCAGTGACTTTTCTGTCCTACGCAGCAGTTACTCTATTTCCTCCTGGGGCCCTAATACATGCTTCTTAGAAGGAGCACATTATATTCCTCTTCCTTTTCTCTTCTTTCTGAGGTGGGTCAGCTGTGACATGAGGGATGGAGAGAGTGGGCCTCTGTGTTTTGCTCTAGTTTTCTGGCTGCAGCTGAACTTGTACTGTTCCTGTTCCATTTCTGGAGGAAGCCAGGGAAAATATCAGGATGAGATGGGGGTGTGTTTAGCAAAACATGGTGTCCCAGATTGTGCCAGGAGTAGGCATGGTAGGCAACCTTTCATAGTGTACAAAGAACTTGCAATCATCCTGAGAGTAGAATACTCTGGCTACATTTTAATGTCTTAAGTAACACCTGCCACATCAGAGCACATCAGCAGAGTTTATATAAATTATCCATTGACATGTGTTGCAGACAGAGATAAAAGCCTAGAGAACATATGGAAGACCAGGCTACTTTTCTAGAATTAGGAATGGAGGAACAGTTAAATGTGGTCCTTGGTCAGGCCCTGGAAACTGCAGTTTCCATTCTCTGGGGTCAGAAATGTTGCTACAAGGAAAGTCCATCCCGAGGGAGGATTTGCTCTCTGACTTTTCCCTTTCTGTGTCTGGATTAAAATAGCTGTGGGACCCCAGTGAGATGGCAGATAATGATTTTTCTCCCTGTGAATGTCCTCAAAGAGTCTGGGATTCAACATCAGAAGATCCTTGGTATAGACAAGCATGCCTGAATCATCAGAAATCTTTGTCTTAATCCAAAGAGGTATTCTTTGCTTGACGAGCAAGTACAGATCCACTCCACTTATTGAGAAGTTCATGTTGTCTAGGGACCTCAATAGCCCCATCTTTTTTTTTGCATCCCCTCAAAAGATAAATTTAGGTGAAGCTTCAGGTAAGGAGTTGCTTTTTCATGACATGTAAAATGTTTTCCCACTAAAATAATACACTTATGCCCACAGAGTAACCTATGATTTACTTCTGAGTATTCAAAGATCTGTTACTGAGCTCTATACTTTTAATCAAGATAGTTATTCAAGGTTTAACTTTTTAAACATTTGTTTCTGAAGAAGAATGGAATAGGCTTTCCAAATACATAGTACTGAGGATACAATGGGTGGAGTAGAGATGGCTCTTCATTGTAAAAGTCATCTTAAATCCTGATTGTCTCTACTTTAGTGATTGTATTAGAGGGCAACAACCTGAGACAATATTTCAGAGCATCATTCCAAGGACACACCAGGAGGAAAAATGGCCAAATCTTTCCCAGTATTCTCACTTTTGTCCTTTATCTTGATACATTTGGTGTTATCTTCTGGTGAGTAATTTAGCTGGTCTTGGCCAGCAGTTGAAATTGATTTGTGGGCTTTTACATCATAATCTGAGAGAGAATGCTTTGAAATTGTTCTTTAACTGGGATGAATATATATATATGTGTATATATATATAAATTATCCATTGACGTGTTGCAGAGTGTATATATGTATATATATATTTATATATATACTCAGAGTATATGACAAAATGAAGGTCTCTGCCCATTGAATCAGTATTTTAGACTCTCTCTGTCTCTATATTTGTATATACACACATATACATATACATATATATACACACACATGTATATATATACTCTGAGTATACTCAGAGTATATATATGTATACACATACTCAGAGTATATATATATATATACACACACACACACACACACACATACATATATATATATATAGAGAGAGAGAGTCTAAAAGACTGATTCAATGGGCAGAGACCTTTGTTTTGCCATCTTTTGCATGCCGATTATGAGATTTAACTCATGAGGGCAAGGAGGCTTGGGTGACTCACTGAGGTAACATGTAAAAGTGACTAGCAATATAATATGCATACATGAGATCACATCTGGAAAATTTAGAGTGTTTGATTTGCTGTGTATTTGACTGGACCATTATCTTTTGTGCCCTCTTCTAGAGAAGAAATCATGTAGGGAGTCATAAAGAGGCCTAGCCTCAAGGGCTGCAGAGCTTGCTTTTTCACATATCTACCAAGAATTCCTGAGTATTACCCAGGTGTCTTTCATGCCTAAAAAAATATGATGATTGGGCCAAAAGATCACTTTAAAGTTACAGCATTGCTTATTTCTTTCATACATAGATTACCAGCTCTAAGTCCTCTCAAGTCCAAGCTAATTAGGAAAATTATTTAGTACACTGGACTGCCAGCCTTTATGAAACAGTGATGCATCTATATAGTCCCCTGCTGATATCAATTAGGAGTAAAAGATTTATTTCACATTTAAAAAAATGAATGAATACATGTATAAATGAAATAATGTTTTCCATTGCTGAAAACTTCCTTGATAATAAATTAGAACTCGTTTATTCTGCCAACAGATTAAGCTATGATTTAACAGGAATTAAATTCTGTAACTATTTTCATGTATTCTCTAGTTTCAGGCCCTAGACACTGGTGGCCACCACGTGGAATTATTAAGGTAATGTTCCATTAAATTTCCCCCCAGGACTTACATTATAATATGAGTTCTTTTTTTTTGGAATTGTTACTGTGGAAACTTAATGCCTCAAGGTCACCCGTAATAGTCTTCAAGGCCTATTTGTACGAGGGTGGTGGATACACTGCTGAAACAGTACCCCAGAGTAGAGATCCAAACTTGGAACCCAGACAACATTCACTCATACATACACCAGAGAACCCTCTTTAGTGCCTGAGAAATATTGAAGAGTATTGACAATTGCCAGGAGCATGACAGGTTCTTAAGAGCCTATGGACTTGGGCATAACATGGTCCTGGCTCTCAAGGAGCTCACAGTCTGATGGAAACAATGACTTAAAAGAATGCTCCTAAATGTCTTGAGATGTACAGAGAATGCCTATGTAAGTTGTGAATGCAGAAGGCAACTTCTGGATATGGATGGAAGAAAATGTGAAGAACAGTAGATACCTGAACAGAGCCTCAAACTATGTTTGCAACTTGGATGAGGGCAAAATGGAGACATCTTTTTCATTTTCGTCTACCTTAATGAGCACTGCATATAATGTGAGGTCAATCGATATTTGATAAGTGAGGGAAAAGATGAATGAGGGATTAAACTTTTCATTTTGATTCACATTTGCATCACTGTATTCCTTCCCTTTAGAAGTATTAGCACCTTAAGCTTTTGTCTAATTCATAAATTTTAAATTTTATTTCTTCTTTGTAAAAAAGTCTGTCATGAGTTGACTGCTGAGAAAGATATTTTGAGGGCAGCTCTACCTTCAAGAGACCCGGGGACCAGAATGTGAAGCTTGTCAGAGGCTACTGCCCCAGAAAATATCTGCAGAATTTGTCCAGGATTTATACCCTGGTCTCATAAAGCTGAGTTCTGGAATTTTCTTCTGCAGAAATTTACCTGCAGGATAAGTCTGCCTCATGCCCATAAATCCATAAACAATAATAAATGCGCTCACTTTTACTTATTTTCTTTAAAAAATATTTATTAATCACCTATGCTGTGCCCTAAGATACACTATTGAGGAAAGCAGTTATATTCCTTTTCCTCATGAACCTTGCAGATAACCAAAAAAGGAAGAAACCAACTATGATTTATGGTAAATTTTATAAATACAAGAAATAAAATGGTATGATAGAGAATATCTGTTGAGTGTAGAGATAACTACTATAAACAATGGGTTCAGGCAAGGTTTGTCTGTCATGGGGATATCTAAGGTGAGACTTGAAGGATAAAAAGTAGCCACCCAGGTGAAGAGGGGGGAGAAAGACCTTACCTACCTGGGTCACTAATTGAAGCCCTGTGTGACTGGAGCACAGACAGGGAAGAAAAGTGGCGGATGCTACAGTGAGAGCAGCAGGTGGGATTCTCACCTGAAGAATGCATAACTTCCTCCAAAGAGAGAGAGAGAGAAAAGAAGCTATATTTATAGACAACAATATAAACTGTTCTTACTCTTGTCTTTGATAACTGTATATTCTTTCAGATTCAACTATTTTATATCTCATTTATTCATTTGGCAAATGTTTATATAGCAATGACTAATGCCAATATATGTGCTGGGCACATAATGACTAGCCTAATCAGACACAAATCTTTCCCTTCTGGGCTTATACTCCTTTGGGGGTGTGGGATTAGTTAAATAATTAAACAAATGCGTTGTTACAAACTGATTAAAAGTATAAAAATAAATAACAGAGAGTTGTGACCGTATTTTAATAAATAGTTCTCAGAAAGTGGGTTATAACCTGAGCTCTAAAGTTAGAATGAGTTTAGGTTGAGAAAAAATATATTTGGTGGGGTGGTTATGACACGTCAGAAGACCTTGAGGTGAGGGAAAGATAAAGAATTTATAAAAAAGAAAAGCAAACTAACGAACTTACTAAAAGGGCAGAAAGCAAGGTAGTATCAGGTAAGGGCGGAAGATTTGGGAGGTTCCAGGTCACATAGGGACTTTTAGCCCATATTAAGAAATACTTTTTTATAATGTGCAATGAGGTTCGACGAAAGGACCTTAATCAAGGAAATAAAATGATTCAATAGAAGTTTAAAATATGAAACTTCAGGAAATAAGGAATAAAGGAAATGGAGGGATTAGTTGGGTAACGATGGTGGCCTGGCCATGATGGTGGTGTTGAATAAAAAAAGAGGGAAGAGGAATTTCTAAGTTAAAACATGACCCCCTTCTTTCCAAATTCCTAGCCAAAACTTTCTCCTACTTTGTGCGTGAGGTATTTTATCTGTACCAATCTCATGACACTTATGGAGTCCCTGAGAACACTAGCCTCAAGCTTCATAATCCCAGAGTCACTACTTCAATTCATCACCAGCACCAGCATTGTCCAGAGGAGAACTTCCCCCTGAAAACAAACATCCCTGAGTCCGGGTCCCTGAGGAGACATGTCCCTTCCTTTGTTTTCGATTTTTTTCTACAGTGTCAGGGCATTAGTCTTAGTGATCTTGCACTTTACAACTTTGAAATAGGAAATGGCTTGAGGATTTAGAGAGTGAAAAAAAAGTGATAAATATTTGAAATCAAGGCATGTGGATTCTTCCATTATTGATCTTCAGTTTTCTTTGCTGAGCTGTCATAGAAAGTCTCTAAGAATCTTTCCAGATCTAATAATTGGGGCATAAAGAAGACTGAGAGAGAAGCCCCAGATAAATAATCTATTTATCTACTCTTCTTATTCTTTTTTTTAACCATAGCATAGTTGGCCATTGTTCTCCTTTATTGAGAAGGTCCTGACAACCAGGGCATCATATTGTCACCAAATGGGATATATATAGGTTCTAGTTCCATGGCTTTGTGGAGATGGGAAAGAGAGCTTTTGTGAGAGTGGAATATTGTCTTGACTATGCTTAGATTTTTTTTTTTTTTTTTTTTAGGTGGGGTCTTACTGTGTTGCCTAGGCTGGAGTGGAATGGCACCATCATTGCTCACTGCAGTCAAGTGATCCTCCTGCCCCATCCTTCTGAGAAGCTGGGACTGCAGGCGTGCACCACCATGCCAGGCTAATTAAAAAAAAAAAAACTGGAGAGACAGGGTATCGCTCTGTTGCCTAGGCTGATCTTGAACTCCTGGGCTCAAGCAATCCTCCCACCTCAGCCTCCCAAAATGTTGGAATGACAGGCATGAGCCACCACGCCTAGACTATGCTTAGATTTTTCCTAATAAAGTTCAAAGGTGACCTACCTGTCTAAGTGGGATTCTAACTGGATAAATCTTTTCAACTCAATTTCAGGTGAAATGTCCATATGAGAAAGTAAACTTGAGCTGGTACAATGGAACGGTCAACCCCTGCCCTGGCTTATATCAACCCATCTGCGGCACCAATTTTATAACCTATGATAATCCCTGCATTCTGTGTGTTGAGAGCTTGTGAGTACTATTTGGGGAAAAGAGGGGAACTGTAAGTATGGTTATCCACAGCAATTACCATCTACCCTTCCTATCAAGTACATCAACCTTGAAGCCAGGAATTTGCTCCAGTTCACACAGATAATAATCAGCACCCACTCAGAAAAGCACATAGTAATTGAAAGTCCACTGGACTAGAAAGTAGACTCATTGTACCGAATGACATTCCTCAGGTCCGTTCTGGTATCTGAGCCCTTACATTCCCATATGCCAATTGATTGACTTCCACTCGAGAAGCTCTCAAATATCCCTTCAGGCCCTGAATTATTTTTTATTTTAAGAAAAATTGTAGTTTTGCTTTCTCTTAAATATCTTCACCCCCTTATGTGTTTGAAACTCTGAACTACAATGATGATGTAATTGCAAAGTTTGGATCTTCTAGCTGAGACAGTGTTTAGATTTTTGGATTTATGTGACATAAATCAGTGATTAGATACTGAAATCTTATAACGCAATGCTTTCAGCTTTGATTCCTATATGAGTGAGTGCATTTCACAGAGAGAAAAATTTTCCCCATGGCATCAGATTGGAGCTCTTAGCCCAATCATTTTGTAAATTTTGTGCAAGGAGCAATGACAGGAATGTGCAAAGCTCAGGTCATCCCCACTAATAAGTAATTCAGCCAAAGTGTGAGAGTATTAACAGAATAGTTGAGGATTGACATGCCTCACACATCACAAACTCGGACCTGATTACACAGCTTAATTTCAAAAAGACTGTAGCATGTCTCATAATATCTCCAGTGGCATCTTAGAATCAAGGAATGATAACTAGGTAAGAAATCCAATAATTTTGTCTTTTGTCATTAGTCAATTCCCTTTACACTCTGGATCTTAGTTTTTCCAAATATAAAACCAGGTTTTAGATAGATAATTTTAAAAGTATTTGTTTAGTTCTGACATTGTATTACTAAATGAAATGTTTATTCTGATTCTTCCTTTAGGAAATCTCATGGAAGAATCAGGTTTTACCATGATGGAAAATGTTAGCTGAGTGGACTTGAATGTGGAAGATATCTTCTTTTTTTTTTCCTCCATGTCTCCAATCTCCCTCTTGCGCTTTTTACATCTCCTTGCATTTGTTCTTCATGACAAAGAGCTATCACTACTGAGCTTGTAGCAGATTGTTCAAAGTTCCTTCCATGGACCTCTCCCCTCACTGACTGATTGCCTTCCATAGTCTCCCTAATAAATACACTTTTATGAAAGTCTGATTTGACTTGGGTCTCAGATCTGTGTCTAAAAATCTCAGAAGCAGAAGAAATTCAGAATTTCAGTCATGGGTCAAAGGCAACTATTGGGATTAACCAGCTCTCTAATGCTAATAACACTGAATTAATCTATGTCAAGCCTCCAGATTGTCTTCCGAAGAACATGACAGAAATTTCTTCCATATTCCTTTGGCATTAAAAAAAAAAGTAATGGAACTATAGGACATTGTACTCTGCTTGTAGGATTCCTGTTGCCTAACTTCTGCAAACTTATCATTAAACATCCTCCCTTTTGGATTCAGCCTCGAGACAGAGGTATTTACACATGTGCAGCTTTGATCAGCAGGGCCCCACATTCTCAGCAGATCTATTTTGCCTAGAAGAACACCTACATTGTTGGTATCCATTAATGTCCCATTGGTCATTAGCCTTTTTCTTAAATTCTCTGGACAAATTTTAACCCCTAAAACGTATAGGGACACCTTTTTCTCTCTTATACTTCATATGTATTTTTTACTTCTATATGTACAGCAGACTAATAATATGCACTAATATGCTCTCTTCCTTTCAGAACTTTGCTTCCTACTGGCTTGGGAAAGAGCATCTATTCTGCCTCTTACTACCTTGCAAGGCTGTGGTCAGAGTGTGTACATGTTCTGTTACATCTTTGATCTTACCTCCTGTGCTGATCACATGGTGAATACATGGCTCCAGTGAGAAGAAAACAATCACTTTTCATGTATCATCTTTAGAATTAATATCTCTGGGAAAAACTAGATATTCTCTAGCTTTATAGCATGCCAATTTCCATTGCTCCAAGTCCTGGGCTATGCAAGAACATCAAGAACTTCAGGGATCCTGGGAGGATTGTTTTTTAACATTATTGCTGTATCTTTGTTGACAAATCTTTTCTTCTGCAATAATTAATTTGCCATTAATGTCATCAAGTGAATTCTTAAAAATCTTAAATAGGCACTATTAATAGCCTTGCATGAGATCTGAGCTCTGTTATCTCTAATCCTCTCTAATGACTCTTTCTTTGCTTTGGGTAGTTTCTTCACACACGAGCACCAATTGTTAATCTTCTGATCCCTTTATCCAGCTCTCCTGTGCAGTAGTCCTGCAGACACCAGCCAGTTTAGTCTCTATTTCCTTTCAGCTCTGTATCCTCAACTCGTAATTGCTTCATTGAGATTCCTCTTTCCTATTCCTAGAATCTCTTACAATGCAAAAACCAAGGTCAACTACAGACTTTAATTTATTTATTTTCCATCTATCAGGAATCTGTCCTTCAGTGCCTCGTGTCCTAGTGTCATGTTTACATATTTGTCTGACTATTTTTGTTGTTTCAGGTAGGAGAATATATCTTATCTGGTTTTCCTTGCATCCTATTGTTTGAAAGTAGAAGTTGACTTTATCTTTTATCGTGCCATTGTACTTACGTTTTATACTTCTTTTTCCTATGATACCTCCTAAAGTCTACACTAGAATACGTTGTCATTATTCTACTTTTTGTAAGAATTCCAATGGACAAGATTTGTGCTCTATAATACTACAAATCTTTTTAGTAGATAAGAAAGCACTGACTTAAACTGTCAATGGGTAACAGTAAAAAGATCAGTAAAAATAATTTTTTTTCTGTCATTTGATAGTAGGCATTCCCAAAGATGTAAAGGAGATCAGCATGCATCTAAATGCAAGATGGCCTCCTTCCAGTGCAACCCCTAAGGATAATTTTCACAGGTCTCTTATGACTGCTAACATGAAAGGAACTTCCCCCTTTTGCGGTCCCAGCTCTGATAGTCACTGCCTGTGTTCTCATTCTTTCTCTCTCTCTCTCCCTCTGCCTTTGGCAGGTGATTTCAAATTCCTCCCTCTGATTCCCTGTATATTTTATGCTTTGGTAATTGATTAGCCCCAGGTTTTAGCTATTGCCATCTTCCACCCACCCTGCTTCCTCTGCATGACAAACCCACTCACATCTGTATTACTCTGTTGCCTATATACGTATAACTCACTTACCCACATCATGAGACTGTGCCCATATTCTTAGCATCAGACACTGGACATCTTTATATATACACATATATATATATATATACACACACACACACACACACATATATATATACACATATATATTCCATTTAATGACTTTGGACATGCGCATACAACCTTGAAACCATCGTCACAATCAAGGCAGTAGACATATCTGTCACCTCTAAAAATTTTCCTGTGACTCTTTGTTTTTGTTAATGCTGCTGTTGTTGTTGTTGTTGTAAGAAAAATTAATGAGATCTACCCTCAATAAATTTTGAAGTGCACAACACCGTATTGTTAACTATGGGCACTATGTTGTATAGTAGATCTTCAGAACTTATTCTTACATAATCAAAATTTTAAAACCATGAACAACAACTCCCCATTTCTCCCTCCCCCCAGTCCCTGGAAACTATTATTTTATTCTCTGCTTCCATGAATTTGACTATTTTATTTTTATTTTATTTTATTTGTTTTACTTTAAGTTCTGGGATACACATGCAGAATGTGCAGGTTTGTTACATAGGCATACATGTGTCATGGTGGTTTGCTGCACCTATCAACCCATCATCTAGATTTTAAGACCTGCATGCATTAGGTGTTTGTCCTAATGCTCTCCCTCCCCTTGCCTCTCATCCCACAACCACCCCAGTGTGTGTTGTTCCTCTCCCCATGTCCATATGTTCTCATTGTTCAACTCCCACTTATGAGTGAGAACATACGGTGCTTGACTTTCTGTTTCTGTGTTAGTTTGCTGAAGATGATGGCTTCCAGCTTCATCCACTTCCCTTCAAATGGCATGATCGAATTCATTTTTATGGCTGCATAGTATTCCATGGTATATGTACCACATTTTCTTTATCCAGTCTATCACTGATGGGCATTTGGGTTCGTTCCATGACTTTGCTATTGTAAATAGTGCTGCAGTAAACATACATGTGCATGTGTCTTTATAGTAGAATGATTTATAGTCCTTTGGGTGTATACCCAGTAATGGGATTGCTGGGTCAAAGGGTATTTCTGGTTCTAGATCCTTGAGGAATCACCATACCATCTTTCACAATGGTTGAACTAATTTACATTCCCACCAACATTGTAAGAGTTTCTATTTCTCCACTGCTTCACCAGCATCTATTGTTTCTTGACTTTTTAATAATCACCATTCTGACTGGCATGAGATGGTGTTTCCTTGTGGTTTAGAATTGCATTTCTCTAATGATCAGTGCTTATGAGCATTTTTCATGTTTGTTGGCCTCATAAATATCTTCTTTGTGAAGCAGACACTGGACATCTTAATTTCACTGGCTCTTGTGGAATCTTGAAAGTCAATCTATCTAATATGGATCCTATGCTTTTCTAAATTTGCTTTACACATGTTTTGATGTAATGAAAATTAATGCTATCACTCTCTCTAAGCCCTTTTTCACTCAAACTCAATTTTAATATACTATAAATATATATTCCTTATATCAGCTTACATATTGATCAAACTCATGAACATTTATTTAATTCAAGTCATCTTGTTTTAATGTTATTTTACTATTCATCTTAACTGTTATCTCAGGTTCCATTCTATTCTTCTGACCATAATTTTCCATTTAAATATTATCTGTTAAAAATCACTATCCTTGGTTAATTATAATAGAAACAAACATCTTAGTATGACATACAAGACACTTTATTTCATCTGTGAAAGACACTCTCGAAGCCCAAGTTGAACTATAATGAACTCTTGTAGGACTTGTAGCAAACCCTATTTGCCCATAAGGTGGCAGTAAAGCATTGCTCTTTAGACCAACAACTTTGACAATACTTTTGGCCAACTTGTCATATAACAATATGATTTTGGGGAAATTGCTAGATCTCTATGAGCTGCAGATTTCTTATCATCTAACATGGTAATATCCTTCTCCCCAGGAAGATGAAAGCTCCTAACATACTCAGCCTTGACGTTTATTCAGGTGTCACATTGGATGAGAGTATTGGGAAATGTTTCTAACTAATGGAATATTTGTAACTAACGAATGGACTAAATATTACTCTTCTAATCCTATGGAGTTTTTTTCTTTCTGATTAGCTTATTTTTACCCTGAGAAAGTTAATTCAGAGAGACAGACTTGTGTAAACTGTTTTCCATGTATTTTCCAAGCAAAAATTTGGAATGAGTTAGATATGGGCCCTATGTAGGCTTCCAGAAAGTCATTGTTATTTAAAATAACAATGAAAACAACATGACAAATCTAAGCCACAGTTAATTTTCTTTAATATAAAATTCATTGATTTATTTTTATTATTATTTTCAACAAATCATAATTGTGTACACTTACGGGGTGTAATGTGATGTTTTGTTATATGTATACAAAGTGGAATGATTAAATCCATCTAATTCACATATCCATCACTTCACTTATTTTTTGTGGTGTGACATTGCAAATTTACTTTCTTAGCTATTTTTAAATAGGCAACATGTTTTTATTAACTATAGTCATCCTTCTGTGCAGTAGATTTTATAAGCCTATTATTTTGTGTAACTGAAACTTCGTACAATTTGATAAACACCTCCTCATTCCTTCCTCCCCACCCCCACTTCTAGCTTCTGGTAACCAGCATACCATTCTCTACTTCTACTTCTATGAACTTGATCTCTTTTAACATTCTGCATTTAAGTGTGAGTATGTGGTGAAAGTGGGCATCTCTGTCCTATTCCATATCTCAGAGGAGAAGCTTTCAGCTTTTCACCATTAAGTATGATGTTAGCTGTGGGCTTGGCATATATGCCATAACTGTGTTTAGGTACATTTCTTCTATGCTAACTGTATTTAGGTACAGTTTTTTTCTTTGCCTGGCTTATTTCACTTTACATAATGTTCTCCAATTCTGTACATATTGCTGCAAATGACAGAGTTTCTTTCTTTTTAAAAGATGAATAGTATTCCATTGTATATCACACTTGGAAATATATCACATTTTCTTCATCCATTCATTTGTTGATGGACATATAGATTGTTTACATATTTTTTCTATTGCAGACAATGCTGTAATGAATACAGCATGCAGATACCTCTTCCACGTGTTGACTTGAATTCCTTTGGGTATATACCCAGAGTGGGATTGCTGGATCATATAGTAGTTCCATTTTTAGTTTTTTGAGGAACCTCCATCCTGTTTTCCATAATGACTGTACTAATTTACATTCCCAATAAGAGTGTACAAAGGTTCTGTTTTCTTCACTTCCTTGCCAGCACTTCTTATCTTTCATTGTTATAATAGCCATTCTAACAGGTGTGAAGTCATATCTTATTCTGGTTTTAATTTGCATTTCCCTAATTATTAGTGATGTAGAGCATTTAAAAATAAACATGTTTGCAATTTGTATGCCTTCTTTTGAGAAATGTCTGTTCAGGTCCTTTGCCAATTTTTAATTAGATTATTTGTTTTCTTGCTATTTAGTTGCTTGAATTCCTTATGTATTTTGGAATACTAAACCTTTGTTAGATGCATGGTTTGTGAATATTTTTTTTCCCCACTCTGTGGGTTGTCTCTTTACTCTATTTTTTCCTTGGCTGTGCAGAAATTTTCAGATTTGATGCAATCTCGTTTGTATTAATACTTTTGCTTTTGTTGCCTTTGTTTAGAGTTCAGATAAAAAAAATCATTGCTCATACCAATGTTATAAAGCTCTTCCCCTGTTTCCTTCTAGTTTTACGGTTTCAAGACTTACATATAAATCTTTAATTCATTTTGAGTTCATTTTTATATATAGTATGAGATAAGAAACCAATTTTATTTTTCATCAGGCAAATATTCCATTTTCCCAGCACCATTTATTGAAGAGACTCTCCTTTTCCTTTCTCCATTGTATGTTTTTAAATTTTATTTCAAAAATCAATTAGATAAAAATGTGTGGGTTTATTTTTGATCTGTCTATTCTGTTCCATTGGTTGATGTATCTGTTTTTATGCCAGTTCCATGCTGTCTTTATAGCATGGTGCTGGCATAAAATAGCTTTATAATATATCTTGAAGTCAGGTAGTATGATGCCTCCAGCTTCATTCTTTTTGCTCAGTATACTTTGGCTTTTCACGGTCTTTTGTGGCTCCATACGAGTTTAAGAGTTGTTTTCTCTGTTTCTATATAAAAAGACTGGAATTTTTATATTGAATGTTTAGATCATTCTGGGTTGTATAAACATTTTCACAATATTAATTCTTCCAATCCATGAACACAGATATTTCTCTATTTTTTCTTCAATTTGTTTCGTCACTGTTTTATAGTTTTTTTGTATATAAATCTTTCACCTCCTTGATTAAATTTACACCTAAGTGTTTTCTTTTTTGGTTGCTATTGTGGATGGGATTAAAAAATTTTTTTGGATAGTTCATTATTCGTTTATAAATACTAATTTTTATATGTTGATTTTGTATGCTGCCACTCTACTAAATTTGTTTATCTTTTCTAGTAGTTTTCTTTGTGGCATCTTTAGGGTTTTCTATATACGAGATCATACCGTCCACACACAGAGACAATTTCAGTTTTTCATTTCCAAAAGTTTTCATTTAATTTCAACAAATAAAATGATTTTTGTTCTATGGTAACTTTGTTTTCATTTTATGTGTGTATGTGTGTATTATGTGTAAACATTTGTGTGTGTGTGTGGCAATAATAGCTAAAATCTACTAATTTAGCATGAATCCCAATGTAGTAATGGGTAATTTTATTACCCGTAGTTCTCATGTTGTATATTAGATCTCTAGACTTATTTATCCTACATATGGGCTATTTTTTAAAATATTTTGACCTACATCTCTGTATTTTCATACCCTTCCACACCAAACTTACCCCTGATAAACACTGTTTTGTTCTCTATTTCTGTGTATTTGAATTATTTTGAGTTTCACATATAAATGAGATCAGGCAATACTTTTATTTTTGGGTCTGGCTTATTTCACTTAGCATAATGTCCTCCAGACTCATTCATTTTGTGGCAAATGGCAAGACTTCATTTGTTTTAAGGGCTGAATAATATTCTATACATTCATACGTGTGCCACAGTGATTTTAATCCAGTCATCCATCAATGAACACTTAGGTTCTTCACATATCTTGGCTATTGTGAATAAGGTTGCAATGAACATGAAAGTGCAGATATCTTTACAAGGTCATGATTTCTTCCTTTTTGGATATATACTCAGAAGAGGGACTGCTGGGTTACATGGTAGTTCTATTTTTAATTTCTTTTGGAACTCCGGTACAGTTTTCCACAATGACCTATTAATCTACAGTCCCATCAACAATGTTTCAGGGCTCCCTTTTCTCCATACCCTTGCCAAAACTTGTTACTTCTTGTATTTTTGACTATATATATAGATATATGCACAAATACATACATATATATATATATATATATATACACACACACACACACACACACACACACACACACACACACACACACATATATATTTGAGATGGGATCTCACTCTGTCACCCAGGCTCCCAGGCTGAAGTGCAGTGCAGTGACACAATCATGGCTCATTGCAGCCTCCACCTGCTTGGGCTCAGGTGATCCTCCTACCTCAGCCTCCCAGGTAGTAGGGACTACAGGCGTATGCTACCACAGCCTGCTAATTTTTGTATATTTTGTAGAGACGGGATCTCACCATGTTGCCCAGGCTGGCTAGAACCCCTGGGCTCAAGCGATCTGCCTGCCTCAGCCTCCAAAACTGTTAAGATTATAGGCAGGAGCCAATGCACGTGGCCCCTTTATATATTTTGGATATTAATTTTTTATCAGATATATGGTTTACAAATACTTTCTCTGAATATGTAGGTTCTTATTCATTTTGTTTATTGTTTCCTTTGCTGTGAAGAAGCTTTTTAGTTTGAGGTAGCCCAACTTGTATCAATTTTTTCTTTTTCCTTTTGGTATGATATCCAAAAAATCATTGCCAAGGCCAACGTTAAAGAGCTTTTCCTCTATGTTTTCTTCTAAGAACTTTGGGGTTTCAGGCCTTATACTTGGAAGGTATTACAATAGATCCCTCAAAAATAGAATGGATAATAAGGGACAATAGAGAAAATAATTTCTTAGAAAATACAGCCTACAAAGATTGAGTCAGAAAAAGTAGAAAGTCTGAAAAGTTCAATAACAAATAAGGAGACTGAAGTGGTAATTAAAACCTCCCAATGAAGAAAAGCTCAGGACAAGATGGCTTTGTAGCTAAATTTTACCACATATTAAGGCAGAATTAATACTAATCTTTCTTAAATTTTTCCTAAAATAGAACTAAGGAAATACTCCCAAACTCATTATATGAGTCCTGGTATCACCAGCTCGATATACCAAAGTCAAAGATACCACAATAAAAAAAAATGACAAGCGATTCTCTGACGAACATTGATTCAAAAATTCTCAATAAAATATTGTCAAAAGGGATTCAACAACATGGCGTGGTGGCTCACGCCTGTAATCCCAGCACTTTGGGAGGCCGAGGCTGGCAGATCACGAGGTCAAGAGATCGAGACCAACGTGGCCAACATGGTGAAACGCCGTCTCTACTAAAACTAAGAAAAGTAGCAGGGTGCAGTGGCAGGCGCCTGTAATCCCAGCTACTTGGGAGGCTGAGGCAGGAGAATCGCCTGAACCCAGGAGGCGGAGGTTGCAGTGAACCGAGATCGTGCCACTGCACTCCGCCTGGCGACAGAGAGAGACTCCGTCTCAAAAAAAAAAAAAAAAGTACATTATGACCAAGTGGGATTTATCCTTGGCAAGCAAGCCTGGTTTACCATACACAAATCAATCACTGTAACACGTCACATTAACAGAATAGAAGATAAAAACTTCTTTACCATCTCAATTGATGCAGCAAAAGCATTTCACAAAGTTGAACATTATTTATTGATTCAAAGCTCTCTATAGTTTAGGTATAGAAGGAAAGTTCCTCCACATACTAAAAACCATCTTTGAGAAAACCACAGCTAACGTTATAATCAATGGGGAATAACTAAGCTTTTCCTCTAGGATCCAGTACCAGGCAAGGATGCCCACTCTCGTCACTTTGGTTCAAACATATTACAGTACTGGAAATACTACAAAGAGTAATCAGACTAGAACAAAAAAGAAAAAGGCATACAAATCAAAAAATAAAAAAGTAAAGTTATTTCTAATGGCAAATGACAAGATTCTAAATGTAGAAAACCCCAAATACTCCACAAAAAAGCAGTTAGAACGAATCAATGAATTTAGTAAAATTACTAGATACAAAATTGACATACAAAAATTAATTGCATATCTGTACACAAATCATAACCTATATGAAAAATAAATGAAGAGAACAATCCCATTTTCAAAAGCATAAAAAATACTTAGCAAGAAATTTAAGCAAAAATGTGAAAGATTATACACTGTAAACTACAAAACATTGATGAAAAAAAGTGAAGACACAAATAAATAAAAAGATACCCCTTGCTCATGGATTAGAATATTGTTAAAATGTTTGTAATACCCAAAACAATATACAGAATTAACACAGTTTCTATAAAAATTCCAATGAAATTCTTCACAGAAATAGAAAAAAAAGTCCTAAAATTTGTCTGGAACCACGAAAGTCATCGAATCGTCAAAGTAATTCTGAGAAAGAAAAATAAAGAGGTGTAACACTTTCTTATTTAAAGTTATGTTAAAAGGCTATAGTGATCAAAAGAGTGTGTAGAACAGGCTTAAAAACAGAAACATTTCAATGGAGCCAAATAGGAAGCTGAGAATCAAAAGGTCAGGAGAGGGAAAGGATAATCTCTTTAGTAGATAGGGCTGGAAAAACCGGATTTCCTCATGAAAAGAATAAGGTTGAACCCTTATCTTAGACCATACACAAAAATCAAACAAAAATGGGTATATTCAAGATTTTCCACATTTTGTGATCTAATAGACATCCATACTATTTGTGTAAGACCTTTGAAATCAGGCTTCGGCAAACAATGATTTATGATTTCTTCTTACTTAAAAATATTTCTGGTTCAGTGTACCTTATATGAAATATTTGGGATGAGAAGTGTTTGGGAATTTGGGTTTAGTTTTTTGGATTTGGGAATATTTTCAGAAAACCCAGTGGTTGAGCATCCTTAATCCAAAAATCTGTGATCTGAAATGCTCCAATGAGCATTTTCTTTTGAGCTCCATGTTGGGGCTCAAAAAGCTCCAGATTTTAGATCATTTTGCATTTCAGATTTTTCATATTATGCACGCTCAACCTGTACTAAAGAAGATTATGCCATTTTAATGACTGGATAATATAGACATATAAACCTAATATAACTCTGAGGTGAAGTATATCCCTTCCAATGTCACATTCATTAAGTAAAGAGACATGGAAGAGATGCAGATTCAGTAGAGATCATAAGAAATTTAGTTTTGGATATAATGAATTTTAGGAAAAACTGGGACCATAAAACGAAAAATGTATATACCTTAGAATAATGAAATGACCCTTCTTAACTTTTCTTTTTGAGCAAATTCCTGTATGACTACAAGTAATAATAAAAGAATATGTGTGTTGTAGTGGTGGTGGTGGGGGCCTTGCTCAGTTTCTTCAGTTGGCTGAACATTTTCTGGCAATGAGAAAAAGGGACACATAAGACTATTAAGAAAATATAAATATGTCAAAGGTATACTTTTTTGCATAATAATAACTTAGCTTCTATGATTACTCAATCTCCTCCTTCGTCAGTGTTCCAAGGGAAACTATGACTTGTTAGCATTATGACTAAGTGTTAGGAGAGGAAATGCCCATATTGCAAAGTTGCATCCTAAGCAGTCAAGCAGAAGTTTGTGGCTTTCTTTCTGTGAAACTGACTCTTACAGAATGGCCCTTGACTAAGGGGAGAAGTCATTACACTCTTTCCCAGGACTCTCTACTTCTCCTACCTAAGACATTTATAATTATATGGTTAAGTGACTACTTCTTTTGTCTTCAACATAAGAATGTAAATTCTAGGCGAGCTGATATTGTGTCAGTTGGGTGCTTTTGGACTGATTCTAGGAAATAGTACTGTCTAATATCTATATTAGCTATAGGTATATTATCTATATCTAATATCATGAGCCAGATATTGCACAATAAGAGGAATCAGCATTCTGATCCAGTTCTTCAGCTCACTTTCTGTACAACTTGGGAGAATTCATTTAATCTTGCTAAGCATTGGTTTACTCGTGGGTAAAATAAGCTTGTACCTAATAAGCACCTCACAGAATTGTGATATTCAAAATGAGATAGCACAGTAAATGCACTTTTTAAAGTGGCATACTCATGTAAAGAAGTTGAGGAATAGCTTATTTTATAGAGAAAAAGATTTTAAAAATCAGTTTTTCTACTTTGCTTACTTTTCCTCAAGTATTCTTGTGTTCTGCAATATGATCTGAGGTTTGAGTTACAACTCTTGTCTGAGATATTAAAGCTCAAATCTTTAGCCTGTGACAAGTAGAGCACTGAATCTGCTTTTTAAAAACTTTAATAGTAAAATGGCATAATTCAAACAGCAATCATTACAATAAACTTCGTACTATAATGTCTCCTTGTACAAGAAGATGAAAAGGTATTAAAAACCACATTACAAAAACCAATTTAAAAATTAAAAAAACATACAAAATATGTGAAAAATATAACAATTAAATGAAAAAAGTGAAAGTTGTCAATATTAATAGGAAGTAAAGCTGAATACAAACCAAAGAACATTAAATTTATTTCCTTTAGCATCCTCATTCTCAGATAAGAAAGCTTCCTTTGTGACTGAGAATATAGAAGCAATTCCAAAAGATCTACAACAGGTTCCCACCAGCACATCAGCATCCATACTGTACTCTTCTCTGTTACTGTGGAAGAGGTCTCCATGTCCCTACCAAAGACTAACCCTGAACATTTTCTTTTATTGAAAGAAGGAAGATCTGAAATCGATAATCTCAAGTTACATTGTGAGAAACTGGAAAAAATGAGGAAATCTTAACAAGATAAGCATAAAAAAGAAATCATAAATCACAAAGGGGGAAAACAATTAAATAGAAAACAGAAAAGCAGTAGAAACAGATCAATGAAACCAAAAGGTAGTTCTTTGAGATTGATAAAACTGATAAACGTGAAGTGACCAATCAGAAAAAAAAAGACAGAAGACACAAATCACCAATAAGAATGACAGAGGTAACAACTCTAGAGTTCTTATATAAATTAAAATAATAATAAGGAAACATTATGAAAAAAATTATATCAACTATTTTGTTAATTTAGTTGAAGTGGAAGAATTCATTTAAAGACATAAACTACCAAAATTCACTCAAGAAGGAATTAATTTATATAGTCCTACATCTCTTAAATTAATTGAATTTCTAGATAAAAATCTCTGATAAGAAACTCATTGGCTCTGGTGCCATCACTGGTTAATTCTACCAAAAATTTAAATAAAAAAATACTGATTCTATACACATTCACATATAATATTAACGAAAAGAGAACACTTACTAAATTATTCTATGAAGTTGCCATTAACCTACTAACAAATAAAAAAAGACATTAAAAGAATAAATAAGAAAAGCAACTACTGCAGATAAATGTCCCTCATGAACAGAGAGGAATGTCCTAAACAAAATTTTAGCAAATAGAATCCAACAATATATAACAAGGACAATTAATAATGAGCAATTGGGGCTCAGGCAGAAATGCAATGTTGATTGACATTTAAAATTCAACCAATATAACTCAAGGTATTGGCAAACTAGAAAAGAAAAACCATGTGATTACTAGTGAAAAACAAAAACATATTTGACTAAAATTCAACATCAATTTCTTGTTAAAGCAAACAACAACAGCAATAACTCCCTGCAAATTACATATGGAAGGGAATTTTATTAACGTGATAAAGGGCAGCTATAGAAAACTTGTGGCAAACATCATAATTATGAAAACTCAAATGTTTTCCCCCTTTAAACAAGTACAAGATGAAGATTTCCACTCTCACTACTTCTTTTCAATATTTTGCTGGAGGTTTTAGCCAGCACAATAAGACAAGAGAGAGAGAAAAAAAAAGAAAGAACAGAACAAAACTTTCAGATGGGAAAGTAAGAAATAATACTGCAATTTTCTTTATTTGAAGATGAAATGATGGTCTCTGTAGGAAATGTGATGCAATCCACAAAAAAGGATACTAGATCTAACAAGTGAGTTTAGCCAGGTTGGAAGATATAATAACAAAATACATTAGAGGATATGGCAACAAAATACAAAATACATTGTACTTCATTTTACAGTTTTATTTTTAATCGACAATGACAATATATGTATTTATAGGGTATATGATGTTTACATTATGGAATGATTAAATCACGCAAATTAACAAATCCATCATCTCACATACTTATTTTTTTGTTGTGAAACAAAAAATCTAATCTTTTAGAAATTCTGGAATATGCAATGCATTATAAGTTATTATAGTCACTGTTTTGTGCAATAGCTCACTAAAGCTTATTCCTCCTCTCTTACTGAAACTTTGATCATGTTCCCTTTCCCCACCTAACTGCCTCCACCAGCCTCTTGTAACCACCATTCTACTTTCGAAACAAATTGTATTTCTATAAACTAAGAGCAATCAGAAATTTAAATGAAAATAATTCTAACAGCATCAAAATATGAAATCTGTTGAGCTTGTAAATGTCCTATACATTAAAATTTTTAAAAAAGCATTGTGAGGTAAATTAAAGGAAACTTAAATAAATAGAAAGATATGCCTTTTTCATGGGTCAAAAAAATCATTTTTGCTAAATATCATTTCTCCTCCAAATTGATTTATATGTTCAATGCAATTCTTACTAAAATTCTAGCAATGTTTTATGCAGAAATTGACAAGATTATTCTAAAATTCATATGGAAATCTAAAAGTCCTAGCATAGTCAAAACAACTTTGAAATGGAGAACAGCATTAAAACTAACATTACCATTTTTCAGGACTAATTATAAAGCTATAGATATCAAGACAGTATATCATTGGAGTCAAGATAGAAAAATTGATCAAAAGATCAGAATAGAAGGTCCAAAAATAGATCTATATACATATAAAAATGATTTTATAAAAAGATCTAAAGACAATTCAGTGGAAAAAAATGCTTTTCAACAAATGCTGCAAAAACAATTGAATGTACATAGACAAAAACAATGAACATCAATTATAAAAACATTAATTTAAAATGGATCCCTGAACTAAAATCAAAACTATATAACTTTAAAAATTATGATTTTAGAGTAGGTAAAATTATTAGATATGACACGAAAAACATCATCCATTAAAGAATATTTTGTAAATCAGACTTCATCAAAATTGAAAACTTCTGTTTTTCAAAAAAACTCTAATCGAAAAAAACAAGTTACAGGGTGGAGAAGGTACTTTCAAAGCACATATTTGATAAAGAAGAATTTGTATAATGCTCTTTAAACTTAACCAAATATAAATGAATGTTATCATGTATAAAAGATTTGAAGTAGACATTTCATCAAAGAATATACATGGATGGAAATAATCCACCATAGCATGGTGGCTACAGTCCAGAAAGGTGCATACCAAGAGGGAGCATCCTGACAGCAGGGGTTCCCAGACAGCCAGGTGCATCCTCTGTGGCTTTGTATGATCTACCCTCCCTTTTGACACAGTCTAGTGACTAACACAATCCTAAGCCCACCCAGATTCAGGGGCATTAACTATAGACCTCACTTCTCAATGAAAGGAATATAATCAGTTTTGAGACAGTTTTAAAATTGCCACACTGTGATAAATTAAAAGTCAGATCACGTGCTGCCTAAGCCTGTCATTCTAGAGGAAAAGATTGGAAAGAGTCAGAGTGAAAGTGTATTTTGGCTTTTATTTTCTTATTTTACATGATAGGATAAGAAAAAGAACTTAGGCAGGTATTTGGAGACTTGTAATTAGAAATTAAAGGAAATGTAGAGAATACTAAGAAATGTGATGCCGTAAAGGAAATTTAAAAGCTATTTTCTTCTAGACACCCAAAAGTAAGAAATGCTTTTAGTAACAAAAACCATATGTATTTTCTGAGTTTAAAAAAGGTTTTCAGGTTTGTTGCCATGATCATATTAAGACTGTTGACTTCTCACCTAAGCTTATAGTTTCAGATGGCCACAAACTATCTGCCATTAAATTTAGAAACAGAGGTAAAAGAATAAAGAAAAAAAAAGGTAAGCTTCAGAATTGTGGCTAGAAAGAACTTAGGACACTTTTAAAATAGTTACTGGTGTATGGAAAAAAATTAAACAAACAGTTAAGGAACCCTCTAAATGTTGAGGGATTTATATTGTCAGATAAACAATAAGCCAAGATTAAAGAAACTATGACCTTCAATAAATTTTCAAGACCCAGAAAATGACCATAAACAAGTAGCCTTTGAAGGTAGTACAGCCCCAAAAAGTAAATGTGGTTTTCTAACTTTATCTCAGTTTGGTTTTTGGTAGAAATGCAAGAGCCTATCAGAGGGCACAGCCAGAAACGACCAAGAACAACTGACAAGGGCATTATTTTCAATAACAGAATCAGAGTCTTATCAAAAGCTATATGCCACTGCCAGCCCAGGGTGTCTCTACCCTTCCAAGTAAGCAATTTTTATCAGTGCTATGTGCCAATGACATCTATATGTATCTCATTACACTTTTTTTTAATGAGAGTTTAAATTATGATTATCCTGTTCATATTCCTCTACTGTATAAAAATCATGGGGGAGGGGTGAGGAGTTGATAAGTCTCCATAAAGAGCTACTTTTAGAAACCTTGAACTTTCTGGTGGTTGCAATGACTGGATAAGACTTTACTTGGTCTCCTTTGAGGGGCAGGGTATATCCCACATGTGGACAAAAGGGTGTGCACAGTTTTTTATTGGTCACGGGGCCTAATTGTCTACAAAACTCATACTACAAAACTATAATATAGAACATTTCTGGGAATTGGAAGTCTAATAAGGGAATCTATTTCTCTGTCCTTTTTGCATATGGTGTTACTATATGCCTAATTCTCAGCAACAATGAACAAAAATGTTGTATTCCACTTTTAAGCCACCTTTAAAGAATCACAATATTTTATTCTTCTCACCACTTTGATGCAAATGAGCAGGGCAAATTTGAGCCATGTATTGAAAATGGAAGAGCCAGAAATGAAAGGAGACTGGGTATCTCCATCACTGCCTGAAGGCAAACGGCCTGTGAATTAGGGACAATCATGGGGATGTTATGCAATTGAGAAACAGACTTCTATCCTCTACAAATTATTACACAAAGGGGTTATTTGTTGTATCAGCTGGGATTACCCTAAGTAAAACATTTGTAATAAAAGGCACAGTGCAAAATTTACCTGCATTAGGGTATGGAGATAAGGGAGTTATTGGGTCATGCTAGCTTTAGAAATTAAATCATGCAGGCATTGATGATTCCACTCAAAGTAGTTATTTTGCTTTTGTTACTTGTTCTAGTGGCTGTAAAGGATACTGGCATGTATCAAGTAAACGCTACCCTTACAGGCAATATTGTATTTTAAGTAATAAATAACTTAATAGTAGACATATAGTCATGATATGCCACATGCTATATGCCATGAAAGATAAAATGCTATACTTCATTTTAAGTCAAAAGAGATTGGCCGGGCGCGGTGGCTCACGCCTGTAATCCCAGCACTTTGGGAGGCTGAGGCCGGTGGATCACCTGAGGTCAGGAGTTTGAGAACAGCCTGGACAACATGGCGAAATCCCGTCTCTAATAAAAATACAAAAAAAAAAAAATTAGCCAGACATGGTGGTGCGTGCCTGTAGTCCCAGCTACTCGAGAGGCTAAAGCAAGAGAATCGCTTGAACCCAAGTGGTGGAGGTTGGCAGTGAGCCAAGATCGCGCCACTGCAGTCCAGCCTGAGCGACAGAGCGAGACTCTGTCTCTATTAAATAAAAAAAGAAAAAAGAAAAGAAAGAGATTTATTGATTCCTTACTGGATAACTGCAGAACACATTTGAGAATAGGCTTCATTTTAGATTAGTCAGGAAAATTGAGTTAGATTCTGAGAGGTAAAGGTAGCAAAATGTGCTTTAGCAGAGAAAATATTAATGGGCAAAAGTACTGAAAAGTACTAGTGGTTCAAGTCTCTGATAACTGGAAGGGAAACTGGGAGATGGAGTAAGAAGAGAAGTATGCCATATTGCAGAAGAACTTTGAATCACAAGCTAAAGCTCTTTAATTTTATTGAGCAAGCTTAAACAATGGGAAGGCACACCCAGTTATTTTTCCTTGGGGTGGCTTGGTCAGACCAGAGATGATAGGCTTGGGGGAGAATTTGTGTAGCAGACATAATGGGAATTTTTGAATTTAGAAATAAAAATATCACAGAGGATTTTTATTCCCAAAGTTGAGGGCAAACCTAATAACAATTTGTTTAAAGTAAATCACCTGATCTGGGCATTACTGCTTCCTTGTGATTTTAAAAGACTTTGGCAAACTTTCCCTCTCATATTTCAGTGTCTTAGCAAACATTTAAGAGGCTTCCTCTGATGCTTATAATTAAACTTCAAAGGGAAGGGGGAAAAGCCAGACATGTAGCTGAGATGAAACTATTTCTTTTTTTTTTCTCTCATTGTTACCAATATGCAATTCTACCTTGCTTATTTTCCATTACATTTTCCAGAGGTAGTATTGACATTTATTATGTTCTGATTTAAGATGGTAGGGAAAGTCAGTATGTTGGCAAGAATTTTTACTGCTGTATGATTTAGACCTAGCTCTCATTTCACTTTGGGCCACCGTACTTACTGAAAACAGCATGGTGTTGCATGACCTATTTTGTACTTACTGGCCTCTTTTCAGTCTCCTTTTCAACCATCTTTACCTGATATCCAGTGCTCTGGCCTGCTGAACTATTTGGTGTTAATGCAATCAACATTCTTCACACACTCATGTCTATTTTCATGGGTGGTAGTTTAATTTTCTTTCGGATATGTGTCCTCCTATTCTTCTTCAACAGCGAACATTACTATTCTATCTACAAGCAGTCTTATTTTGCCTCGGAACTCTTATTTAGCCTTCAAGATTCATACCTGTGCAACTGTATCTTTTAAATGGGGCTTTCTCTGATGACATTGTGTTAGCAAAAGTAATTGGTTCTTTATTTATGTATTCACAGCTCTTTGGGCACATTCTGTTTTCTAGGATGTTATCCCATTATGTTTGAATTACATTGTATGTATTTGATTTGCTAAACCGTGAGCTTCTTGAGTACAGGGATAACACAGTGTAAGTACTATATTCAAGCCATGTGCAAATTGGTATGAGAACATAGAAGAATTAAAAACAAACAAACCTTTAGAAACCATTGAAAAACTGCCACAATCAAAGAATAGCATAGAAAATTAGAAGGCAGTTCACATAAGATAGCAAAAAGACTAACAAATAAAAAATGGCTAGGCATAGTGGCTAAGGCCTATAATCCCAGCACTTTGGGAGGCCAAGGCTAGAGGATTGCTCGAGGCCAGAAGTTTGAGGCCAGCTTGGGCAACATAGCAAGACCCTGTCTCTATAAAAAGTAAAAGATCAAATAAAAATTTAAATAAATATTAAAACAGTTTGTATTTTTTCACTCAAGACATATTGTATAACCTCAGACTCAGCCCAGGAAAATCAGTAGTAGAATTTAAGAGAACAATGAAAGAAGCACATGTTCTGCTTTAAGATCATTATAATCTCATGCTATAGACTAAGCATGAATCAGTCAGTAAATAATGTAACAGAGCAACTTAGTATTCACCTCTGTGGAACAAATTTATAAAAGTTCTAAGAAGAGGGAGATAAATGACCACAGAATTATTAATAGAATTTAGCTTGATTCTTTGAACACTTTCCCCATTATCTAACCTGGACCTTTTAAAAAATTTGTTTTTAGGCCGGGCATGGTGGCTCATGCCTGTAATCCCAGCACTTTGGGAGGCCGAGGCGGGTGGATCACCTGAGGTCAGGAGTTCAAGACCAGCCTGGCCAACGTGATGAAACCCTGTCTCAACTAAAAATACAAAAAAATTAGCTGGACATGGTGGCGGGTGCCTGTAATCCCAGCTACTCTGGGAGGCTGACGCAGGAGAATTGCTTGAACCTGGGAAGCGGAGCTTGCAGTGAACTGAGATCACGCCATTGCATGCCAGCCTGGGCGACAAGAGCGAGACTCTGTCTCAAAAAAAAAAAAAAGTTTTTAATATGACAAAATGCACATAACTTAGTATTCACTATCTTAATCATTTTTAAGTGTCCAGTTCAACAGTTCAGTGGCATTAAGTGTGTTCGTTGTGTGTGCAGCTATCACTACCATCCATTTCCAGAACTATTATACTACGTCTTCCTCAACTGAAACTCTATACCTATTAAACAATAACCTGCATTACCCACTTTCCCCAGGCCCTGGAAACTACCATGATACTTTCTGTCTCCCTAATTTTGACCATTCTGAGTACTTCATAAAAGTGGAATAATACAAAATTTGTCTTATTGTGACTGGTTTATTTCGCCTAGCATACTGTCCTCAAGATTCATCCATGTTATAGAATATGTAAGAACTTCCTTCCTTTTTAGAGCTGAATAATATTGCATTTTTCTCTGCATAAATATGCGTGTGTGTATAGAAACATATATATAATAACAAGTATATATAAATGTGGTATATATACACATTATTTTCACATTTTGCTTATCCATTTATCTGTTGAAAGACACTTGAGTTGCTTCTACATTTTAGCTACTGTAAATAACGCTACTATGAATATATATGAACAAATATTTCTTTGAGACTCCTTTTCAAGTATTTTTGGTATATACACAGAAATCCCACCGAAACTCTTTTTTTTTTTTTTTTTGAGATGGTGTCTTCCTCTGTTGCCCAGGCTGGAGTGCAGTGGTGTGATCTTGGCTCATTGCAACCTCCACCTCCTGGACTCAAGGGAGTCTCCTGCCTCAGCCTTCTGAGTAGCTGAGATTACAGATGCTTGCCACCAAGCCTGGCTAATTTTTTTTTTTTTTTTGTATTTTTAGTAGAGATGGGCTTTCACCATGTTGGCCAGGCTGGTCTCGAACTCCTGACCTCAAGCAATCTGCCTGCCTCGAGCTCCCAAAGTATTGGGATTACAGGCATGAGCCACTGCACCCAGTTTTGGATTACCTTGTAACTCTCACTCTCTTTGATCTTTTAAATAATCTTATTTTTTAAATATTCATTTTTAAAATCCAAATTCGGATGCAATCAGTGAGGGTGTGATTCTATGTCAAGAGTCAAAAAGATCTTTATATATTAAAAATGATGATGAGTCAAAATGAACAAGATGAAACTTGATTAATGGCTTTCTATGTATGTCAAGAAAATGAACCACAAAAAGAGAGGAAAACAGAGCTCTGATTTTGTATTTGTGGCATGCTTTATATATCATCATTTAGGTTAGTTATAAACATACTGACTGGGACAAGATTCTATTCCTCTTGGTTATATTAATTAATCTATCGGCACTTTTTTGTTCAGTTGTTCAGTCAGGTGTAGTAGTCTACCCATGTATCTTTATCCGTTTACAAAGACAGCACGAGAGCTTATCTAATGCCTTGCTGATGTTCAAATCCGTCGTATCTGCAGATACCTTATACCATCAGTCTAGTTACACTGTCAACGAAGAAAACAAAGTCACTGTGACCTAGTTTTTTCTAAACCTAGGGATCATGGCATCCTTTTGTCATGTTCTTAAGGCTATGCTAAACTAATCTCCTCCTGAATAATTCTCTGAATTAACGTTAAGCTAAAACACTAAAACTGAAAAGCAAAGAGATTTGAGGAGACCTACCACAAAACACATGTACAAAATCCAACTTTAATAAATGAATTTAAGAAGAAATATCCAAAAACATAAAAAAGAAAGCAAATTAAGAAGAGATTTTGAATGAAATATAAACTACTTAATGCTTTATTAATATTTATAATATCTGTTAACTTTCAAAAGTTTTATATTGCAAACTATACTTTGTGATGTAGTTTGATTTCCATTGTAGCAAACGTAATTTAGAGAAATGTAGATTGCTTTGATCCTGGTGAAAAGGGATCTGAAAGGAGAATAAATTGTGGAGCAGAAGTGATGAATAACACAGTTTATATGAATTGGACAGAGAGAGAACTGTCACTCGATAATCTACAAATTGGAAAAACTAACTTCCAATTATGTACTTAGTGAAATGTACTCTCGTGCAAGAGCCAGTGAGTATTAGAAATTTTTCCTTTTATCTCCTTAGGAAACAGATAAGAATATAGAGATTCCCAAGTGAGACTGCAACTGTGTTAAAATATATCAGTAAGAAATTGAAGAAACGAAAGCAATGACAGAAAACTAGAGATGGGCAAATATCTACATGTTTAAAATAAGTAAGAAGATAAATTTTGGAAAATGTCAGAATAGTTACTAATAATCCCTGATAATCATATAGTGGTAATTATTTTTTAATCATATTCTTTGAATAAATATTTATGCAGTAATTGCTAAATATTAGATGAAAATTTGAAAAATTAAAGATTAATAAGGTACAGATTCTGCTCATAAAGAGCATGTAGACAAATAGAGGAGATACCATATAGGCATAATTTTATAATGTAGAACAGTTTCACAAGAAAAGTAAATACATATATTCTGAGAATTAAGAAGTATTATTAGTGTCAAAGGGCAGGATTCTCAAACTCAAATGCCTCCAAGGGCCAACAATAAGAGGGGCAAAAGAGTGAAATAAGAGCATATTTAAATGAGGCATGTACCACTAAACTCCAGCTGACGTTTGCCATGGCAATGAAGTGCCCAAATATTTTCAGAAAAATCTTCTGTTTTACTTCTATTTTTCTTTTTTCTTTCTTTTGTTTTTTTGAGATACAGTCTCACTCTGTTACCCAGGCTGGAGTATAGTGGCACAATCTCAGCTTATTGCAACCTCTGCCTCCCGGGTTCAAGCGATTTTTGTGTCTCAGCCTCCCAAGTAGCTGGGATTACAGGTGTGCACCACCATAGCCAGCTAATTCTTCTGTATTTTTAGTAAAGATGGATTTTTTTCATGTTGGCCAGGGTGGTCTCAAACTCCTGACCTCAAGTGATCCACCCGCCTCAGCCTCCCGAAGTACTAGGATGACAGGTGTGACCCACCGCACCTGGCTTATTTTTCTTAAATATTCAAATTAAAAAGCTGTAGATTATTTAGAAAAACATTTAAAACCACAGCATAGGCTAAATAAAATTTATTAACAAGCCTGAGTTTGTCTCTATGCTACCAGTTTAGAATGTCTGCCTTGGAGGATAAAGAAATGCTCTGTGAAGAGTAACATAATTTGGACTTTTTATTGTTTGATATATAGAATTGAGAGATATAATGATTAAAGAAAATAACATCCCAGGCAAAGGCAACACTGTAAGTTCAGGTAGGCAAATAGATATGTAATGAAAATAAATGAGAAATGAGGAAGAGCTTATTTTGGAAGAGGTATAGAGTCTATGATGGGGAAGAGCAGGACATATGATAATATGAGCATTTAGGAAAGAAGGTGAGGATAATTGGTAGTCCACATAAATTCATTACAAGCAAGTCATGCCAAACTTCCTTCATTGTATTTCACAAGGATGAGAAGCTTGATACCATGCCATACAATATATGAATATTGATTTCAGTAGAGTAACTTGGAAATAAGTTGGTGAAATATCTTTGAGCTTGCTTTGTTCAGCACTTTTGCAATGACATAGATGATATACTTATTAATGACATAGAAGACAATGACATAGAAGACATACTTATTAAATTTTCAGTTGATACAAAGGTGGAAAGGATTGCTAAATTGAAGACACTGTCAAGCCTGAGCAATCTTGAGGGACTGAATGCAAAGTTTAGTTAAAAACTAAAAGTGCTTATAATCAAAGAATGTCAGTGAAATAGGCATATGATGTATGAAAATAACCCAGAAACCTGCTCTTGTTAAGAATACTAAAATTCAGAAAGGTTAATTAACATCCCCCATATCATAGAGATTTGGCAGAAGTAGAATGGACACCCCACATCTATCTGGACTCAAAGTCTGTGTTCATTCTAATCTATCACAGAACCACAATGTGTATTTCTCAGTAGAACTTTAGGTCATTTTTAAATATTGAGTGGAAGATTGAAGTAAATGTTTTCTAAGATGACAATCAAAGAATCTATGTTTTGTTTTTTTCTGCCAAAACATTTAATAATAATTGAATCTAATCCATCAAGTAGAATAGATCAAATTTTATATAAGGTAAGATTTATAAGTGTCAAAAATAAAATGTTTATGTTTGTTATCTTCATTTCAGTGTAATATCAGAAAATATGTTATTAATTAAAGGTATTTCAATCTCAGTCATTCAACAAAGATTTTCTGAATGGCTATTAATTGCTAAGCATGGTTGAAAGTACAACAGATACCACAATGAAAAAAAAATCTTTCCCACTAAGCACTCACATTTTACAAATTTAGTGTGTCTCTCTGGTTCTCCCTTTTTATTCCCTTTTTTCCCCCCAAATATAACATTTGAATCCAGGACAAAGCTTACATAACTTCATGACATTTACATGACATTGGCACCTGGTGAGGTATTTCTTACCAGTTGGTCCCTAGATATTGACTTTTATCTCTCCAGGAATTTTTGCAGTGTAATAAAACTCCTATGGTCACTGTATCATAGAGGGCCTGGTTCTCCATTACCCAGCTCCCTGTTATCTGTTTCATGTGTTATCATACTCTTCTGAGTTATATGATTCCCCCCATCAAGCTATCAATTGTAATGTCTCTTAACTCAAAGTCCCTTGTTCTGAAATAAAAACCCTTCTTGTTCTTGAGCCCTCCCAGCACTTGGCTATCTTGGGGACTATGGATTTCAGCTGCTTTTTCTGATCTTCATTGCAACATGACAGACTCCTGTAAGACTGCTATAAAGTCCAAATACTTGGATATCTTCCTCGATACTGCCCACTCTGTTTTACCCATGATATGCTGACTAATGCTTTAGATGCCTCCAACAGCCAAGGAATTTGAACTAAACCAGGACGATGAAGTCTAAGCTCGAAAACCCCCTTTTTCTTCTCTTCCCGAACCCCTCCTCTTAGTCCTAGGAAACAGTTCTCCTCTTTTCCTAAGTGGTCCAATGGAAGTTCTAAGAAAAACAATCTTCACTCTGA
Source organism: Homo sapiens (assembly GCF_000001405.40). NCBI lineage: Eukaryota > Metazoa > Chordata > Mammalia > Primates > Hominidae > Homo > Homo sapiens. Next base: position 148,199,923 of record NC_000005.10, read on the forward strand.
ATAAAGATTGGATAGTTGCAAATGAAAAATGCTTGACTTTAGTCTATTGTACAGCTAAGGATGTTAACAAAGATCACTTTATAATTCAATGGCAAGGACTGACTTCCTTGATTAATGCTTTCTTGGATTAAAGTGGTGGCTGTCCTTTTTTTATTTAACAAAAAAAGCCTCTATTTCATGCCCTATGCTAAATGGTGGAAGGGTTCAGGGGTTTGAGAGAAAATAGAGTACATAGCTGTCTGAGAAATGACATTTCAAAATAATACATTTTACAATATATATAAGCAATGGTGGGAAAAGGAAAATGTATATGAACAAGTAAAATGTGAAAACACACAGGCACAGATATATGTATCTCCTTGGATTCAGAGCTAAGCATTCTGAAAGCAATGAAGCTGCATTTCAATAAATGAAATAATATTATATATATAGTTGGCAGCAAAAAATGACAGAATTAAAATTTACCTTAAATTCTCTTGCATGTGTATTAAATGAAATGCAGATGATTTTATATGCTACCATGAATAGTAATTTTTTAATAAATGTATAATGTTTATATAATAAATTTTACATTGAAAATATATTCTTACAGGGTTTGTGTCTTTACATAAAAATGTATGCATAGCTATATTTTGGAAGACCACTGTACGTATGTTGGGACTGCATTCTAGTATGTCTATATAAGAGTCATTGCTTCTACTGCATTCTCCCACATCTCCCTTTCTTTTATTTTTTGTTTCTTTTTTGCTTTTGCCTGATTCAGTATATTGACATTTACTTATTCTTTAATGTTAAGATTTTTAAAACTTTTCCTATTTTTCTTCAGGGAATTAATTAAAACAAAGTTCAAACTACTGTCTTTTACTTGCTATGCAGCCAAACGACTATAATTTTATGTAGTCTGTGAATAATTGCCTTTAATTTATTAACTTCTAGTATTTCACCTTCTTATTTAAAGAGCCAATTAAGTGATTTCCCAGAGAATGTTTCTTACCTTTTCCTTTAGGTTGTATTAAAACAAAACCAAAAACTTTCATATGGCCTCAGAAACCTAAGAAAAAGGATAATTCAATCATTAGGGACCAGATTCTTTCTTAAACTATATATATTTATGATATAATATTTCCTTCCCTATGTCTATCCAGAGCCAATACTTAATATGTGCTTTCATGTTCCTAAGCGTTTTTGTGGTAGGTAGTGTAAATGTTGAGGATAGAGAATTGAAAACATTCTGAAAAAGAGGACAGAGTCATTCTAAATAAGAATAATTCTATTAAAAAATCACCTATTAAAAAAGAACTCTTGAAGATCAGAGGAAAGCAGGGAAGGAAAGACTGGAAGATAGGGAGATGGTAATATTTAGGTGAACAGTGACTGAGAGTGTAGAGGTGAATATGAGAAGCAAGGACCAAAAATGAAACTCTGGGGAGAGAGGAAGAAGTTTAAACAGGAAGTTTAGAAACATCACCGTGAATTTAATGATGGCATATGATCGACTACCACTGTTATGTTGATTTTTTTTATTACTATTTGTTTATGCTTTCAAACTTTTGTCACTTTTGGACATGATTATTATTAGACTAATTCTGTACATTCTAGTCACAGAAGGAGGGAAAAAAAGGTGGTCAAAGAAGGAAGAAACATAGGAAGTAGAATGGAAAGAGGGAGGAAGGTCACAGCAGTACCTAAAACCATGCTATGCAATGCTTTAGTTTTAGGAACTGATCTTTATATTATCTCATATGAATGAGAAAACATACTTAAAGATCACAAATGGGTAAATTGTACAACTGTTGTTTTTAAATTTCATGACTTAAGCAATTTCCCATATATTTTGTTTTTCTAGCTATTTTGACTCCTCTTCCCATAAAGGATTCAAGAAAATTTTAAATATAGTTTTTAAGGTTTTTCAGTAGTGTCTTTGAATACTTTTAACATCTGACCTACATCTTTCTGTAAAGGACTTTAAGATGATTTCCCTCATGATATTTTCAATAGCAGTTTATGATTTGAGGTAGACGTTCTTGTTATCACTACAACCATTCTTTTTTGTTGCTGTTTCCTGAAAGAAGGTTGTGGCATCGCACTCTTTGATCTATCTTGCAATTAAATTGGCCATGAAAGATAATGTGATTCATCTAACTTTTATATGAAAAGTAAAAGGAAATATATTGCTCATTTCAAAAATTCAATTCAGGCCAGGCACAGTGGTTCACGCCTATAATCCCAGCACTTTGGAAGGCCGAGGCAGGCGGATCATGAGGTCAGGAGTTTGAGACCAGCCTGGCCAACATGGTGAAACCCCGTCTCTACTAAGAATACAAAAATTAGCCAGGCATGGTGGCAGGCACCTGTAGTCCCAGCTACTCGGGAGGCTGAGGCAGGAGAATCGCTTGAACCCGGGAGGCAGAGACTGCAGTAAGCTAAGATTGCACCACTGCACTCCAGCCTGGGCAACAGAGAAAGACTCCATCTCAAAAAAAAAAAAAAAAAAGAAAGAAAAAAAAAAAAGAAAATTAAATTCAGTAACTTTAAAAAACAAATTTTTGTTACAAATTAAAGAAAATAATTGACTTCCCTATTTATTTTGACTCAAAACTGGACAACCACTGGCATTTGACTGCTATAATGATTTAAAAATTAATAAGCTGATTCCTGCTCAGAAAATGCTTCTTCTAATGCAGTTCTAGCTACAGTGTGGAATATCTGTCTCCTTTAGGTACACCTTGGATGATCTGGACTCTAAAAATCCAAGTTACACCCAAGATTCCATTATCCTGTGGTTACTCACTTGGACCACAGACATGTAGGACCTGTCTGAAAGAAATATAAGAATCAAGTGGAAGTCAACCAGTGAATCATCCCTATAATGTAGTGAAACTTTAGAAAGAAGAGCCGGGAGGATGTATTGGTTGTTAGGAAAATGTAGGCTACCAGTAGAAAATGACATTCTCTATTAATAAGATCTGAGGTGCGACACACATAATTGTCCCAATTTTTAAGATTGATGGGGAGCATGAAGCATTTTTTTAATGTGTTGGCAGGCCCCATTAAATGCATAAACTGCATAGGACTCATGTGGTCTGAATGTATTTTAGGGCTTTCTGGGAATTGTCTTGACAGAGAACCTCAGCTGGACAAAGCAGCCTTGATCTGAGTGAGCTAACTGACACAATGAAACTGTCAGGCATGTTTCTGCTCCTCTCTCTGGCTCTTTTCTGCTTTTTAACAGGTAAGTTTTTTCTTAAAATTAAGATCCCATATTTATACTGAACTGGATATGATGAGTAGTTGTTTATCATATTTTAAATCCTAATGATTTTGATGTAAAAGACCAATTCTGAGAGATTATCATAATGATGATAATGATTGTGATGACGACAATGGTTATGGTAATAATTATTAAAATTACTGTGATTTGTTGAGCATATACTATATTCTAGGCATGTACGAAGGGATTTTATGTATTGTCTCTGAGACTCATAATAAGGTATTTCTATCTCTGTTCTTCATATAAGAAACTGTGGAACAGAGAAATTGAGAAAATCAGCAAAAGACTTGCAACTAGTAGTTAGAATCTGGAATTTGAATCAGATTCTCTTGCCATCACATTTAATGTTTGTTCCATAAAACTAGATTGGAGGATGGATAATTGCATTAAATATTGGTTTTGCTTTCCAGAACAAAGAAATATTTTCCTCCCCTTAGTTATTATTACAAAGACATTCAAATAATTA